>NC_000013.11:102502979-103127979 GCF_000001405.40 Homo sapiens
AACGTAGGGCTGTTAAATGATGGTACCATTTTTTAAGCTGCTGAAGTCCCAGTTTCTACATGTACAATCTGCTCCTAATATAAAAAGTGAATAATGAGTAGCAAAGCTATATTGTCAGCTCTCATTTACCCAAATCAGGGTCTCCTTCCTCTCCCTGCCCTGCCCTCCAATATAATCAGAGCAGTAGATTAGCTCAGGAAAAGCACAGGCCAGAGTCGGGCAGAGGAAGTTTCCAGTCCTGGCCTTGACACTTTTTGGCTGCCTGGTTTTTAATAATTTGCCTTCTGAATCTTATTTATTTATGACACTATTAAAATTTGGATTATAATACATATTTTCTGAGGTTGTTTGGAGAATTAACTTGAGTGGTTCTTGCACTTTCCTGAACATTAGCATCACCTGGGAAGCTTTTCAAAATCCTGAGGCTGAAGCCTAACCCTAGGCCAATTAAATCAGAATCTCTAGGAGGGAAGCTGAGTGTCAGTTTTGTTTTGTTTTCTTAACTTCCCAGGTGATGCCAAGGTGCTGCCAAGCTTTAGAACCCTATTGAGTTAGTACTGTCTATGTAAATATCTAATACACTGCCTGTCCCTGAACAGACTTTCAGTAAGTGGTGGCTATAAGTATTCTATCCTATCAAATTTCACCGTGTCTTTTCGTCTGCCCTTTCTTTCCATTCTCTTATCTGCAGGTCTCCAGATAGACTGTTAAAGTGAGTACAAATTGACTTTAGAGCCTCCCTCCTCCCAACTTCATCTTGTTTTTCCCTTAAGATCCTCCTTTCTTATCTCCCTGCTCCCCATCTATTCCCTTAATAAAATACCATTCTAATACCCCTAAAGTTAAAGATGCCAGGATAGGATAGAAAAAACTCAAAGTAGAATTTCACAATCAAAGAGTGAAGCAGCCTGGAGATCAAGGTGTCGTCCCACTGCCTCTCAATAAGACCCTTCGTCACCACTGACTATACGAGGCTGACAATGGGGGTACAATTTTGATTTGCCATTTCCAACTCTAATTACTGTGTGGCACAATATGGCTGTTTTGATTACTTTTTTAAACCGTTATGCATTTTTATTCCAATCACTGTTTGTCCAGTTAAGTAAAAATTGTCCTCGACAATTATAAACCAGCATCATCATGGATGCCATGGCATGTAGCCAGACAAACACAGCACGCATCTGACTTGAAGAGCATCCATCTTCAGGGTTGCTAGACTGAGATGTGTTTGCTTTTAACTGAAATGAAAATATAAGTTAATTAAGATGAGATAAGTGATGAGTCTGTCCTCAGACAGGGAAGTGTTGCTTCGGGAAAGCAAGTGGTAATATTGCTACAGGCATAAGCCACCTCATTTTTATCCTGACATGCATTGTAAGTGTGTGTCCACCATTCCCAGCAGATTTCTGACACAAAGATGAATAATTTTCTGCAAGACTTGTTAAATCAAACTTAGGATTGAAAACTGACAGATGAAAAATTGAACCTTCCAAGTAAGCCAACCATTTGAACTGAAAAATATAAAATTTCAATCTCTGTCCCTTTAAAAAGTCTCTAAATTCTATTGATTTATATCTCAGATAAATACAACTAATTGACAAATAAGTATCAATGTTGTTTAACCATTTCTGAGTTCACAATAATAAGGTTTGGAGGGAAGGGGGACAGCAGTATTAAGTGTTCCCCTTTGTATGTTTGTTTGGAGTTCAACCACTTCCAAGAGTAGTCTACATTTATATCAATTATTTCTGAACTCCCATTCACTTCTCAATTCCCTGCAATAAGTGAATATTATTTTTAAAAACTGAATTTTAACCCTATATCTAAAGTACCTTTGTTTTGATCACCTCTTGTTCAGCCCATTGTTGAGGAAGGGATTCCTACCCTAGGATTATGACCAAACACACAACATCCAGCACTGGACAGATGAGATTTAGAGCAGTGTATTAGCTACATGTACTCACAGTCTGGGAGAAAAGGACACCACACCATGCAGGGCCATGCAGGGATTGCACTCTGGAACTGAGTGAACAATCGGGGGCTGTGGGCAAAGGGAGGTGGCCCCTAACTTCTAGCAGAGGGTGTATGTAACTGCTTGTCTGAATACATTTGCAGGCTGGCAGGAAACTGAAGTCCACAACTCAGGGACTAATAGGTACTGTGCATAGTCCCCATGATCAAGAAGGGTTGTTTGACTAGGGGGCCTCATCCATGGGAGCAGAGGAAGTAGCAGAACTTGCAGTTTGGCCACTTGAGGCCCTCCCAGTTTTCCCCAAATGTCAAGGCACCTATAATGCTAGGCCTCAGTTTTAGGCCTTATACCACCACGTTATGGAGTGAGGATAGTCCAGTCACTAGATACGATAATGAGAGGGTTGGATAACCAGTGGTTTGGCAGCCAAGCAGATGCTTCCTTGTTTAATTTTGTGTCTTTCCCATTAAGTTGTAAACTCTATACGGATAAGCATTACGTCTGTCTCGTATTCCACTAAAATGGTGGATAAATATTTAATCAATTAATTAAAAACATTTTTTATCAGTTCTCAGAGATCCACTTGCACGTAAACCTTTGAGTCAATGGTTCTAAGGCCTTAGTTAAGCTTCTTGTTGACAGAGAAACATGATATTAACTTCACAGCCTTATCTTCAATTTTGCGATATACCCTAATCCTGTCCTACTTCCTAGGGCTCTCAATAAAACATATGCCAAATTGCGAACCCTTAATATTGTTCTATATATGTTTAGTGACAGTGACGGTGTACAGGCTACAAAACTAGGAGCTTGGCAGAAATCAAGAACAAAAGGACCAACCTCTAGCCAGTTGAAAAATGACAGTGATCTTGGTGGACAGTACACACTACCATGGGTCCTTTCCTTCAGCATTCACTGCAAATGTTATGAGCAGTACGCTGATTGTGCTGCTCTCCTCAACATGCATAATTTGGGAAAATGAGTCAAGCTTTTTGCTTCCCCCCTACTCCCTCTTTACAATTCAAAGCCAAAGCCCACTCTCAAACAGTGTTTCTTAAATGTTGACTCAAGAACAAAACAGACTGAGAGACAATTGTTTAAAGTCAATTTAGAAATATCTACCCAAAGAAGAAAAATAATGAATGCCAATGTCCAGATGGCTTTCATGATTAATAAGTTGGATTCAATCATGTCTAAAATACATAAGCTTCCTTTCTATATATTGAAATTTTCAATTATTTTGGCTGACTATAATTCCAGTTAATAAAGTAGACATGGCACAGCAGCCACTTGAAGATGATTGTAGTGAGAAGAAAACTATCTAAAATTAACTATTTTAACTGAGATTAGAAAGTATTGCATTCTTCACAATTTTCTCCCTAATAATCCTGAATAGAAAGAAATCAAAAGACTTGAATCTAAATTTGGGTGCTCCATTTTATAAGATATTTGGGCTTGGAGTTTACTTAATCCCTCCAAGCTGAAATTTCCTCATCCATGTAAAATGGGGATAATAATAATTGCCTTGCTAATCATTCTGCAAAATAAATGAGATAGTATTCATGGAAACAGTTTGAAAAGTACAAAGTGTTATGAACAAATGTAAGATACTATTAGAACAAAGATTCTTTGATATTTTTGTTCCATGCTTTTCCCCTGGATCATCCAGTTATTTTTCTGCCAAAGGGTGGAATAAAAACTAAAATGTTCTGATTATGACTGAAGCTGCTCTCTGTGATTTCATCATTCACACACAGGCAGCCCAGAGTTTAATCCCAGGTCCAAACTCAGACTCCAAAACTAATTCATTGGCAGAGAAAAGATTGAGTATGGCTTCTAGAACAATTGCCTGGATTAGATTCTTGTTCTGCTATTTGATATGGTTTGGCCAAATATCATCTTGAATTGTAATAATCCCCATGTGTCAAGGGTGGGACCAGGTTGAGGTAACAGAAACATGGGGGCAGTTTCCCCATGCTGTTCGCATGATAGTAAGTTCTCATGAGATCTGATGGTTTTATAAGCATCTGGTATTTCCACTATTGACACTCATTCGCCTGCCACCCTGTGAAGAGGTGCCTTCTGCCATGATTTTAAGTTTCCTCATGCATCTCCAGCCATGCAGAACTGTGAGTCAATTAAACCTCTTTTCTTTATAAATTACCGAGTCTTAGGTATTTCTTCATAGCAGCATGAGAATGGACTAATAAACACCTCTTAGCTATGTAACCTAGAACACAGCCTTTAATCACTCTGTGCCTCAGTTTCCCCTACTATAAAATGTGAATAATAATGGCATCTCCTTCATAGGGTTCTGGTTCCTATTAAATGGGCTTGCACATGTTATGTATCTAGACAGTATCTGACACATATGAAACCCTCAGCAGCTCTGGTTGTTATTACCAGCATTACCTCCAGCCACTCTCCAGCCTTCTAACCTGCTTCTCCTCCAGTGGCTACCACAGTCACAAACCTGGGGCAATCTTGCTTCTCCCCACATCCGCATGCTGACATCCCATCATTCATCCATGATATGGTTTGGCTGTGTCCCCACCCAAATCTCATCTTGAATTGTAGCTCCCATAATTCCCATGTGTCATGGGAGGGACTCGGCGGCAGGTAATTGAATCATGGGGGAGGGTCTTTCCCAGGCTATTCTCATGGTAGTGAGTAACTCTCACAAGATCTGATGGTTTTATAAAGAAGAGTTCCCCTACATATGCTGCTCTCTTGCCTGCCACCATGTAAGATGTGTCTTTGCTTCTCCTTTGCCTTCTGCCATGATTGTGAGGTCTCCCCAGCCATGTGGAACTCTCAGTCCATTAAACCTCTTTCTTTTATAAATTGCCCAGTCTTTGGTATCTTTATTAGCAGCACAAAAGCAGACTAATACAGTAACTTGGTACTGGTAGAGTGGGGTGCTGCTGTAAAGATACCCAAAAATGTGGAAGCAATTTTGGAACTTAGACAGGGTTGGAACCATTTGGAGGGCTCAGAAGAAGACAGGAAAATGTGGTAAAGTTTGGAACTTCCTAGAGACTTGGAGGGCTCAGAAGACAGGAAGATGTGGTAAAGTTTGGAACTTCCTAGAGACTTTCTAAATGGCTTTGATCAAAATGCTGATAGTGATATGGATAATAAGGTCCAGGCCAAGGTGGTCTCAGATGGAGATGGGGAACTTGTTGGAAACTGGAATAAAGATGACTCTTACTACATTTAACAAAGAGACTGGCAGCATTCTGCCCCTGCCCTAGAGATCTGTGGAACTTTGAACTTGAGAGGGATGATTTAGAGTATCTGGCAGAAGAAATTTCTAAGCAACAAAGCATTCAAGATGTTACTTAGGTGCTGTTAAAAGCATTCAGTTTTATGTATTCACAAAGATATGGTTTGGAATTGGAACTTATGTTTACAAGGAAAGCAAAGCATAAAAGTTTGGAAAATTTGCAGCCTGATAATGCAATAGAAAAGAAAGACCCTTTTTTTTTTTTTTTTTTTTTTTTTGAGGAGAAATTCAGGCTGGCTGCAGAAATTTGCATAAGTAACAAGAAGCCAAATGTTAATCACCAAGACAATGGGGAAAATGTCCCCAGGGCATGTCAGAGAACTTCATGGCAGCCCCTACCATCACAAGCCCTGAGGCCTAGGAAGAAACAATAGTTTCATGGGCCAGGCCCAAGGCCCTCTTGCTGTATGCAGTCTAGGGACTTGGTGTCCTGTTTCCCAGCCCCTACAGCTGTGGCTAAAAGGGGCCAAGGTACAGCTTGGCCCAGGGCTTCAGAGGATGCAAGCCCAAAGCCTTGGCAGCTTTCACATGGTGTTGAGCCTGTAGGTGCACAGAGGTCAAGAATTGAGGTTTGGGAACCTCTGCCTAGATTTCAGAGGATGTATGGGAATGCCTGGATGTCCAGGTGGAAATTTGCTGCAGGGGTGGGACCTTCATGGAGAACCTCTGCTAAGGCAGTGCAGAAGGCAAAT
Source organism: Homo sapiens (assembly GCF_000001405.40). Classification (NCBI taxonomy): domain Eukaryota; kingdom Metazoa; phylum Chordata; class Mammalia; order Primates; family Hominidae; genus Homo; species Homo sapiens. The sequence continues at coordinate 102,508,930 of NC_000013.11, forward strand.
GTGGGGTTGAAGCCCCCACACAGAGTCCCCACTGGGTACTGCCTAGTGAAGCTGTGAGAAGAGAACCACCATCCTCCAGGCTCCAGAATGGTAGATCCACTGACAACTTGCATCATGTGCTGGAAAAGCTACAGACACTCAAAGCCAACCCATGAAAGCAGCCAGGAGGGATGCTGTACCCTGCAAAGCCACACAGGCAGAGCTACCGTAGGTAGTGGGAGCTCACCTCTTGCATCAGCATGATCTGGATGTGAAACATGGAGTCAAAGGAGATCATTTTAAGATTTGACGGCCCCACTGGATTTCAGATTTGCATGGGGCCTGTAGCCTCTTCATTTTGGCCAACATTTGGAATGAGTATATTTATCCAATGCATGTACCCCCATTGTATCTAGGAAGTAACTAACTTGCTTTTGATTTTACAGGCTCATAGGCAGGGACTTGCCTTGTCTCAGATGAGACTTGGGACTGTGGACTTTTGAGTTAATGCTGAAATGAGTTAAGACTTTGGGGGACTGTTGGGAAGGCATTATTGGTTTTGAAATGTGAGAACATGAGACTTAGGAGGGGCCAGGGATGGAATGATATAGTTTGGCTGTATCCCCACCCAAATCTCATGTTGAGTTGTAGCTTCCATAATTCCCACGTGTCATGGAAGGGACTCAGTGGGAGGTAATTGAATCATGGGAGAGGGTCTTTCCCAGGCTGTTCTCATGATAGTGAATATGTTTCATGAGATTTGATGGTTTTATAAAGGGGTGTTCCCCTACACACAGTCTCTTGCCTGCCACCATGTAAGACCTGAATTTGCTTCTCCTTTGCCTTCTGCCATGATTGTGAGGTCTCCCCAGTCATGTGGAAGTGTGAGTCCATTAAACCTCTTTCCTTTACAAATTACCCAGTCTTGAGTATACGTTTATTAGCAGCATGAGAACAGATGAACACAATCCAATTCTGTCAAGTCAAATCCCTACATTTATCTTTTACCTCTGCCTCCTCACTTCCTCCAGACTATCACCTCTTGCTCAACTGAATGAATGAAAAATGAATCTTTCTCAGTAAAAGACTGATTACAATGACCTCCTAACTTTTCTCTCTGCTTCCCATCTTCTGCCCCTCCTTCTCACTCCCTAATCCATTCTTTCCATTTTTAACTAAATGACTTCTCATAAATGAGAATCTGCTCAGATCACTTCCTGGTTTAAAGCCCTTCAGTGGCTCCATACAGTCTCTAGGACACAATTCAAACTCTGTAATGTAGTCACACAGATGATAAACCTCCAGGGTCTCGCCTCTGCGCATTTCCCTGGACCTAGACTTAGTATTCTACTCACACTACCTCCAGTCATGCTCAAGATTTTTCAGTTCCTCAAAGGAGCCCTAACTTCCTTCCCCTTGATGCTGCTACCTCAACTATTTTCTTACCTAGAATATTTGCCTGAAATATTGTTCCTAAAATATTATTCTTCAACTGCCTCACTCTTACTCTTGCTTAATGTCTCAACTCAAATATCACTTCCTACAGAAGAATTTCATTGACCCATGAAATGTGATTAGGGCTCCCTGCTTTATGCTGATTTAGCCCCCAAACTTGTGGTACTTCCTCCTTTAGTTTGATTACTTGGATAGTGTCTGTCTTATACCCTGCATCTGAGCTCCATGAAAACCTTAGCTATTTCATTTACTTTACTATCCTGAGTTCCTAGCACAGTGCTTGGCACGTATATACTTAATAAATATGGAACTATGAATAATTAATTAATACCACAGCTCTGACATCCAGTGGTTATATCCTCCCTCTATTCTTCCATAACTCTCCATGCACAGTTACCAAACAATTCTAGGGTAAGGTCATTTGGAAATACATCAAAATTCTAAAGAGTTTTGCCTTCTGAATATGAATGAAAGAGATAAAAATATTCAACTGCTGCTTGGATAACACATACTTGGGAGACACATATGTTAGTAAGTCCTCTGGATAATACATATATGAAAAAATGACTTTATAGAGAACAAAATGAATCTATTTGGAAATTCTAAAATAATAGGGCCAAAACTTAAAGCCTGTAATAATTACCACTTAGATTAGTATAAGATTTTACACCTTCAAAGTCTTTTGAATATGTCTTTTCATTTGACCTTCACAGTTTACCTTTGAGTTATATAAGAGCAATGTACCAGTTAGGGTTATGTTCATCATCACTTACAAGGATCAAAATAATTGTAGCTTGAATAAGACAGAAGTTTATTTCTCTCTCATGATAAAGTCCAGGATTGTTATCATAACCCTCCTCTGAGAAATATTCCAGGTTCCAGGCTCCTTCAAGACCAATCTTTCCACATCAACAGGGTAGAGCCCTCATCTTCCTGGCCAAGATGAGGACTAAAGCTCTATCCATTACATTTATAATTGGAGGCTGCAAAACAGAAGAAGAGATAAAAAGGAGGAAGGACAAAGGGTACATCCTAAGTATTATAAGGGATCATGTAAATGTCATGAGCATTATGACATTTCTGCTCACATCCTATTGACTGGCATGTAGTCTCAAAGTCTCAGTTAACTGCAAAGGTGACTGGCAAATGTATTTTGTTTTAGTCTGAGAGACCATGTGTCCTTAAAAAAATTGAAGTTTCTACTACAATGGAAGAAAAGATTAATGGATTTTGAGGGAGAACTAGCAGACTCTTCTGCAGGTGATGTTAGATGCCCATTTTTCAGATGAGAAACTACAAAAGTTGTGAATGGAAAAGGCAGGGCTGATATCTAAGTATGCTGAGTCTCCACTCAGTGATATTCCTATTACCATTGCTATGGACTGAACTGTGCCCCACTTCCCCCAAAATTTCTTGTGTTGAAGCCCTAACCCCCAGTGCGACTGTAGTTGGAGATAGTGTCCTTAGGAGGAAGTTAAAATAACTTCCTTCTTCAGCCCAGCTTCCTTCTGCCTGGCCATTAGACCATAGATCTAACTTGACCATCCAGGTGGCTCAATCTCTTCCAGTGGTAATGCCTCCTCCCTTTTTCATTTCATTCTTGTTATCGCTATTCTTTAGGTTACCTAACACAACCCTAACTGGTACATTGCCCTTATATAATGCCAAGGTTAACCATGAAGATCAAATAAAAAGATATATTCAAAAGAGTTTGAAAGCATAAAACCTTATACTAATCTAAGTGGTCATTATTACGGGATTTAATTTTTGGCCCTATTATTTTAAAAAAGGGTAAATTAGGTCTTAAGTGTAGAACTCTAATTTGATAAAATTAGTGTCCTTATAAGAAGAGGAAGAAAGACCAGAGTTCTCTCTCTCTGTACCATGTGAGGGCATGGCAAGAAGGTGGCCATCTGCAAGCCAAGAGAAGAGGCCTCAGAATGAAACCTAGCTCGCCAGGACCTTGATCTTGGACTTCCCAGTCTCTGATCATGAGGAATAAATTTCTGTTATGTAAGCTACCCAGTGTTTTGTTATGGCAGCCCAGGCAGAGTAATACAACCATGTAGCCATCGCTGGTGATTAGTGACTGTTTAGACCTGGATCCATTCCCAAACTTCTCCTGCTTGCTTGGCATTGCAGGTCTGTATTCCACAGGCTCTCTGATACTCAGGGATGGTAGACTGAAGGGCGAGAAGAGTGAAGAAGCCAGAGCATTTCTTCAGCTTTCTCCCTACTTCAGGAATCTCCAGTGGGAGCTGCATCTCCTTCTTCAGTCCAACTTCCTTCTCCCAGTCCTTTAGACCACAGGTCTAACTACCGTCAGGTGAGCCCAGTACCATCCAGGTGGCTCAGGCTCTTCCAGCAATACCACCTCTTCCCTTTTCCTTTCATTCTGTAATTGTTATTCTTTTGGTTGCCTTTCTTTCCTCTGTTCACTCTCTCAGCCCTTCTAACCCCTTAGTTAGTTTCCTGTGCTAAATTTCCTCTTCCTGGCATGGGTTTTGTTCTCCCACTTGAACCCTGACTAAACATAATCGGACACTAAATAAAGCCAAGAATAATTGTGTTTTTCAGGAAAATGCTATTCACAAATGTAGGCTGCATGTCATCTTAAAATGTACCATACAGAAATATTTTTACTGTAAAAGATTCCATGTGCCATATCTTATATTCAACAACTAGGCCAAGAATTCTACAGTCCAAAGTCAAGTCACAGGAGTTTTAATTCAGCTTCACAAGGTTGAAATTTGCAGTGATACACACCACTTTATTTTAAAGAGAATAGATCACAGAAGAGAGTAGCCATTGCAGCAACAGATCCATACATATAGAAAAGTTGAGCCTAAGAGGAAAAAAAAATGGCATTCCTAATAATTGGGAAAGGAATGGTCTGTTTGAGGAATAGTACTGAAGCAACTGGGTAGATCCATGGAAAAAGCAGAAATAAAATTTAATCCCTATCTATAAAAAAAGAAACTTCAGATTAATATAGATACTGACGTAAAGCAGAATATAAAAGAAAACATGAGAACATTTTCATAATCTTAAATACAACAAAGAAAAAAAAACAGTAACCATAAAAGAAAGTATTGGCAAATTTGACTGTATAAAACTTGCAATTTCTATATGATGAAAGACAAGAAATAGGATAATATATTTGTAACATATTTAATAAAAGATAAAGAATAAGATTATATAAGCCATGTACGTATATATACACACATATAAAATATATAAGTTATGAGTTACCAATATAAATTCATTTTTGGGCAAAGGATGGAAATTTATTATTGGGCAAAGGATGGAAAATTATTTTACAGAAGAAACAACACTGAAGAACAATAAAGCTATGAAAACTATCCAATCTCATCTGCAACCTGAAAAATCAAAATTAATAAAATATTTTTCCCAGATCAGATTGGTTAAAAACATAATCAATTGCCATCCAAAACAGTCCCCAGTGGCCAAACAGGAAAATTTGAGGAACAAAATCAATGAAATTACATTAGATTATAACCCAAAGTATGAAATACACAGCTATGAGTACATACTGATATAAATAAGTGATTGAATAAATAAATAAATGGAGGAGGATAGAATTCAAAATAATGTATCAGCTACTCTACTTTCAAGAGGGTGGAGCATAATTCTTCTTCCTTCCTTAAGTGTGGGCTCCACGTAGTGACTTCCTCTCAAAGACTGCAGGACAAACAGGGGGAAAGAGTGACTTGGCAATAGAGAAACCTGATAAACCCTCCCTCTGCCAGGTGATCAAGGTTAACACCACCTCCATAAATCATGTTGATAGCACATCCCCTTGACATGATGCAATGAGACTGGCACTTTACTGCTGTGATTTTTCCTCTGCAAAACCCATAATCTCAGGCTAATCATGAGGAAAAAACATCAGATAAATTCAAACTGAAAGACATTCTACAAAATCTCTGACCCGTATTCTTGAAAACTGTAAATGTCGTTGTGATGGATAATTTTATGTGTCAACTTGACTGGGCCACGAGGTGCCCAGATTTTGGTTAAACGTTATCCTGGGTGTTTCTATGAGGGTGTTTTTAGATGAGTGTAACGTTAAAATGGAGAGACTGAGTAAAGGAGACTGACCACCCTCTCTAATGTGGGTGGGGGCCTCATCCAATCAGATGAAGGCCTGAATAGCACAAAGGGCTGATCCTCCCCCAGATAATAGGGAATTCCTCTTGCCTGATTGCCTTGAGGTGGGACTTCAGCTTTTCCCTGCCTTCAGACTCAAGTGGAAATATCACCTCTTCCTGGGTCAGGAGCCTTCCAGCCTTTACATTATTTATTCAATACCTACTAGACACTGTGTTAGAGTCATTGCTGGATTTTAAAAAGATGGAACCCAGGTACATGTCTAATAGCATAAAATAATCTTTCTTGAATAAACATTGAATTGTTAGAATACTAATGAGGGAGAGGAGGAAGAAGAAAGAGAGAGGGGTAGGAGAAGTAGAAAGAAAAAGAGGGAAAGAAGAGAGGGAGAAGAAAAAGAAGAAGAAGGAAGAGGAGCAAGGATGAATGATGATAAAACAAAGCTTGTATTTTTAATCAGTCTCAACAATCCCTACTGACTTCCCCCCACCAAAAAAAAAAAAAAAATCTGAAAATATGTTGGACATGATTATACAGAAATCGAGCAGAATAATGTCAATTGTTTACATCATTAGTCATATTATTTTAACTCGCTATGAGTTTTCCTATTATAAAGCAAACATAGTACAATTTAATAAATCCTAATAGCATTTTACTAGGTGTAAAGAGCACCAGGAGCTATTAGCCTTGTTTTCTAGGCATATATTTATGCAATTTTCTTTTCACTGTGTGTCTAGGTTTAACAAAAGTACTTACAATGATATTTGCTGCAAATCGTTTTATTTACTGGCTGAACTATAGTTACAAAGACTCATTTTATTTACGTCTAACTAAATTTTGAAAGTTGTAGAATGACATTTATATTAGTTACCCAATAAAGGTGGGGGTGTTTTGCTGCTATTATTACTTTTCAATTCTAAGCAAGACAGAGAATCTGTTCTAGCTTCTAAAAGAAACTAGAAAGATGTATTGCTAATGATGTTCAGTCCATGTGTTACTTTAAATAATCTTAAGTATTATGAAAGTACCAGTCTAACAGTCTGATTTGCCTTTCTAATTTTGATTTTAATTTATGACATACAAATAAATGTTAAAATAATTTTTTCTCTTATCCTAAGTCTGATCTTTTGAGTATATAGAATGAGACATGGTCACTGTCTGCTGAGTGCCTATCATGGGCTATACATCTTCCATTTATCATGTAGAAGAATGTATATACCATTGAATAGTCAAGCAGCATTTAATTTAAACCTTACTCATCCCCACTTTTTGTTTAACAGATGAAAAAACAGGTTCAGGTAGATTCAGTAATTTGATCAAGGATAAAACAGCCCTGAAGTGGATTCTAACCCACTTCTGAACAACTCCAACACTGCCACTGTTTCCCACCTGACATGTTGCCTTCATTCTCATGGTGGGAACATTATATTTTATGACACAGTTGCCTCAAAGTTTCATTTTGAAAAGAGGTGAGTTAACCACCTAAATCTTTAATATGCCTAAATGTTTTCCAAAATAAGCTTCCGAACATTTCTAATTACACGTGCATATGTTTTGGTGTTCTTTCATTGACCTTAAATTTAGAAACTCTGAAAACCAATAATCTCAACTCACAAACAGCAGTGTTTGAAGCCTCTGAAGTACTCTGGTTTTACTTAAGTTCCATTTGGGGAGGGGTCGGGGAGGGGTGGAGACCTGGAATGGCCATATAATGGCCCAAGACCCTTAAAAGCAGAAGCATGTCTGGAAAATGAGCGTCCTTGTTTATGACAAAGGCTTGAAAACCATGGGATGGCTTAGGTTGTACCACTTCCACTGTTACTCGCCACACAGAATATTTGGGTCTTTTTTCTTATGACATCAGTGCCAGGTGGTGAATCTCCAAATCTACTGGTGCATGGGAGTGGGTTAAAGAAAGCCAAAATAGGTGATCTCTGATTCTGTTGGCTAACTAAGGACCATCCTAGGACAGTCTCGGTTTCTTTATCTATAAAATGAGTAATTTGGAGCAAGATACCTTTGAGTTTCACTAATCTGGGTATTCAGTGCCTCAGATTGCCCAGCAATACACTAGCAACTCAAATTTTGAACAACTAAATGTCTGAGCCTTTCAATATTTTGAAGTAGAAAATTTTTACTGGCTTGTAACCATCTTTAAATGTCAGAATTGGTCAGGTCTATTCTACAAATGTCTTTTCTGCTAAGAAACTACCTCGGGAAAATCCTTTTCAGAAAAAATCACTACATAGTTTATGTATTGGCAAAGTTTATTTTGAAGTGAAAATGGTCAGTCTTCTGTTTTTGGTGATATTAAGAACAGAACCAGATAAATTGCATATACATTCTGATAAATTTTTTAGACATCTTCCATTAAGACAGTTAAATAATGAGGAATCTATCAGGACATGGTAGATTCAAAGATATGAAATGTGTGGGTATAAATCCAGACTATTTTAAATTAACAACCGAGCCACCAAACTTGAAGCTCTGATCTACAAAAATATCAGCGCACATCATGAATACATAGAGGTATCGTAACTGCAAGAAGAAAAGGGATGAAAATGTCAAATCATATTTTTCTTTGTATAAGTTTTTATTACAACACAGACTTTGAGGGAAAATACTTCAGTTTCATTAATAGAAAAAACATATTTTCCTAATTAATATAATTCCTGGTAGCATTATCAAGGCATTTAAATACTATTCAATATGGTAATTCATAATCTTTTTTGAATCACAAATCCTTTGAGGAAAGTAATGAAAGCTTTGAATTCAATTTTCATAAAAATGCATATTCACACAAGTGTGCATAAAATTTCAGGTGATTCATGGACTTTAGGTTAACAACCTTGTATCCGGGAGTGTCTTGGAGCTACTCAGACCTTTAAATACATATATTTACATGTATATTTATATATGTATGAAGATATATATGTTATACATATATCTTCTGCAACAACTTGGATATCAGCCCAGTTTATAGAAGAAATCACATTCTTACATTATCATTGATTATAAAATTAAACTTACAGAAATTTAAAAGCAGTTAAACTTTATTATCTAACTAGCAGAGTTAGATATGTATCACAGATCACTGATCTGTGATGCATAATGTAATAATGTAACAAAAATATGAAATGAAAGGATAACATTTTAGTAATGAGAAAATTTAGAATATGTTAGAATTTGAGGAAACTTACTTTCATTTAGCATAATATATAAAATAACTAGGAAGCAAGAAAATACAAAAACGTAAAAGAAAAATTCAGTTTGCTTATTTAGCAAGAATAATTTCAGGGTGCAACTAGTTGTCAACACTTTGCTTGACTAACATTTGAACCTGTCCAATCACAGGGACATGGAATCATTATTTTGTTCCATTCTTTCACTCTGCTGAAAACATTGACTTATCCTCCACAAAACATGGGTAGTCCCAGGTTCAAAAGAACTCTTCAAAACTCCACCTGGACTTTAATGGCCTGTGCTGCTGCAGGGTATTAAGAATTCCTTCCAAGAAGGAAAAGCTTTGAGGAAAGAGAATCACCATAACTGGCATATTTGTAGGTGGAAATACTGCTTCTTAAAGGAGCTGGTTAATCTGATTCATCTTTCCATCTTTCCCCCCTGACAACTATAATGTGAGTCATTCAGCAAGGAGGCCGATTGGAAACACACAGGCACATGTGCACACACACATACTTACAAATTATAAGGTTCTACAATTTCAGTCTTGCACATAATGCATACTGCATATAATGGCCTGCTGAAGCCAATGCTCTTACTGCGAAGAGTTGCTGCTCTGTTTTTGCAAGAAAATTAAATTATTTTCTTGTCCCCGCCACATTCCCCTGTAAGTTACAAGCAAACACTTACCACCTGTTTCGTCTTTGGCTTCTGTTTGAATGCCAGAATAAACCTGGTAGGCCAGTGGATGAAAAGTATATTTCTAAGGCCCAGATTATAAATAAAAGTAAGGTTTGTTTATGTTTTACTCATATTACTGAAGAAAAGCTTTAACTAGGCTGCAGCTTTATTATTTAAATGTGATGTTGGGGAACCTGTCAAAATTAGTGAGAACCAATTGAATTACCTCTTCTAGTGTGCATATCTTCTTCCTTTGAATTTCTCCAACAACTGTACATATAGCACTGTTAAGATGCCCTATAACACGTGTGTTTGTAATTATGTAATTTACTCAACCAGACTACATAACACCTTTATGGTCAGAAATTATACTCTTATGTTTTATATATACAAGATCCTCAGTAATGTATTGATACTATTGTTGAAATATAAGTCAAATAGGTGACTTGCATTTAAATGAGTTTAAAAGTAACTTGTAGATAATGGGCTATTTAACATTTCTCTAGGAAGTTGTACAGAATAAAGTGTACAATTAATTTCACAAAGAGTAAATGAAAATGCGTGTAAAGCATTTAGCATAGTGCACGCAGGTACACAGCAAAACCTCAATCAGTTCTTACATTTGTTGTTGTATTCCCCTCATCAGTTGCAGCTCTTTGTAAATTATAGGAGTTCAATAAATATTTGACTGGATAGGCGAGGCAATGGTTGACAAGAGAATTGTCTCAGCCCTACAAATTGATTTTTTTAAAACAATTGCGTTCCATAAATAGTTAATAAATAGCAGTAAAGTTTACTTAAGAGTTTTCTGTCCACATTAATATTACAACAGAGAGGCCGGACGCGGTGGCTTACACCTGTAATCTCAGCACTGTGGGAGGCCAAGGCAGGTGGATCACCTGAGGCCAGGAGTTTGAGACTAGCCTGGCCAACATGGTGAAACCCAGTCTCTGCTACAAATACAAAAATTAACCGGGCATGGTGGCACACACCTGTAGTCCCAGCTACTTGGGAGGCTGAGGCAGGAGAATCGCTTGAACCCAGGAGGCAGGGGTTGCAGTGAGCCAAGATTATGCCACTGCACTCCAGCCTGGGTGACAGAATGAGACTCTATGTAAAAAAAAAAAAAAAATTTATTTATATATATATATATATAAAGAATAAAACAAGAGAGAAAGAGACTATACACTACATTCTAGCAAGGTATTCTCCCTATTTCTGAAGCTACGTAGCTTACATTCTAGTAAGAATGAATTACATACATTCTAGCAAGAAAGAGTCTTCTTATTTCTGTAGTTATACATCTTCTATTAAAGCCTAAAGCCTACTCTTTACAATGATTGCTAAATACTGACAGAAGTCTTAGATGGAAATTTGATCAATGAAATTCTCTCTGCCTAAAGTCCATTCTTGACTGCCAGTAATCTGCCAGATCAAATCCTAGACCTCCGTCCAGTGCCAACCACGTAGCCCTCCCTCTTCTCTGCAAGCAGCTTCTCTTTGATTCTTACATTCCTTCTGTACTGAACTTTTTGAGGCTTCCAGACCCCACTATGCTTTTTGGTGCCTCCACAACTTTGTTCTGCCTGGAATACCAGGATCTTTTTCTCCCTTCCACCCACTTCATCTAGATGTCTCCTAGTAACTTTTCAAGACCCAGATCCAGCATGTCCTCCTCTAGGAATTGGTCCCCAGCTTCTGCCTCCTCAAGGCTAGCCTAGAGCAGAAAGCAGAAGTCGGTATCAAAGTGATAGTCTCCCAGAGAGAAAGTGAAACTATGGGAAAAGATCTGCATTTGATTCAAAATGTTGGAAGTTCTGGCTTTTGAACAATAAGAACAGCAATTTCTTCCACAGTACATCCTAGGTACTGAACACTGTTCTAGCTGGATTTAAAGAGAGAGGCAGAGTCAAGAATCCAGTGTAAAATACTGTGTCCCGAGGTCTAGAAGGTTTCCATGGCCTGAATATGCCACATATCAACATAAAAGGAGAATCTGACCAGGCACAGTGTCTCATGCCTGTAATCCCTGCACTCTAGCCTGGGCGACGGAGCAAGACTCTGTCTCAAAAAAAAAAAAAAAAAAGACAAAAAAGGAGAATCTGGTTTTTTTGGGTAAATTTAGTGCTCCTGGTTCTATATAAGAAGGATTCAAAGGCCGAGGTGAGCAGATCACGAGGTGAAGAGATCGAGACCATCCTGGCCAACATGGTGAAACCCTGTCTCTACTAAAAATATAAAAATTTTTATATTGGCCTGGTGGCGTAGACCTGTAGTCCCATCTACTTGGGAGGCTGAGGCAGGAGAATGTCTTGAACCCAGGAGGCAGAGGGTGCAGTGAGCCGAGATTGCACCACTGCACTCCAGCCTGGCAAAAGAGTGAGACTCCGTCTCAAAAAAAAAAAAAAAAAAAGGATTCAAAATAAATGACTCAGGGTCCTGAATTGTTTGCACATCTGTATCCTTCCAGACCTCAACTTATTATTAGCAATAGTAGGCTATCAGAGGGGATGGTGTCTGTCAGACAATGTCGTGACAAGTGCTATAACCAAGTCTAGAGTTACATTTGGAATGCTCGGGAGCTCAGAGGAAAAAGTAAGTAATCAGTTGGGTTAGGTCAGGAAGTCTTTACTAAGCTGGGATTTGAAGACTGAGTAGGAGAAAGGAAGAACATTTCTGGGGAGCAGGACCACATAAGCAAAGGTACAGAGGTGGGAGAATGTTTGTTTTGTTCAGGGACTGGAAGTGAGTAGTTCGATGTGGCTAAAAAACAAAGAGAAGGGGTCACAGATTTGCAAGATAATTACTAAGGCCTTTAATAATGGAAAAACACCTTACTTAAAACATAAGTGTGTAATGAAACACTGATTTTAAAAGACTGCCAATGGTATTGTCCTGTGTCCTAACTGTCTGAAATGACAGCAAAATGTTATGGAAGGTAGTAATGTTTGGGATCTGGTTCTATCTCTGTCATTAATTTGAGGTAGGACCTTGAACAAGTACCTCAATCATTGTGCACCTATGTCCTCCCCATATCAGAAATAAGAGAGAGCCAAGGATCTCCAGAACAGCTTTCAATGTTAAAAAGTCAGTAATTTTCAGAGTGAGACTCCACCTCAAAAAAAAAAGAATACTCAAGCAACTGATAGATTTTAAATATTGATATCAAACGAAATATTTGGAAATAGTGAGGTAATGTTTGTAATAGGAACAAGAATCTAGTTATTTTACATTTATATGTCCAAAGCTTCCCATGTCATTGGATGGACAGAGTCTTCTACTACAACCTCATCACATGACAAGTAAAAGAGTCAAACTAACAAGGGGTCAATTTTATCCTCATAAACTTCGCATGAATATTTTTGAAAATATAGATTTTTAAAGAGAGATTTGGGAAAAATCAGAGACCTCTCCAGCTGGATTAGATTCTTTAAAAAACTAAATAAAAAATGATTTTGCTTGTTCTGGAAAATAAATTGTTTTTATACCTGAAAACATTTCTATGATGGTATTATATAGCCAAGATCAGTGAAAAACAAACTGTATTTATAGGGTTTTGATATTAGAGAATGAATTAAAACCTTTTATCAGTAAGAAAAAAATGTCAGTAATTTTAAGAGATGCAGGTATGAAAAATGTACCTTAATATATAACCAGGAGCTGGAGCCAAGATGGCCGAATAGGAACAGCTCCGGTCTACAGCTCCCAGTGTGAGCGACACAGAAGATGGGTGATTTCTGCATTTCCATCTGAGGTACCGGGTTCATCTCACTAGGGAGTGCCAGACAGTGGGCGCAGGACAGTGGGTGCAGCACACCATGCACGAGCTGAAGCAGGGCAAGACATTGCCTCACTCGGGAAGTGTGAGGGGTCAGGGAGTTCCCTTTCCTAGTCAAAGAAAGGAGTGACAGACAGCACCTGGAAAATCGGGTCACTCCCACCCCAATACCATGCTTTTCCGACAGGCTTAAAAAAACAGCGCACCAGGAGATTATATCCCACACCTGGCTCAGAGGGTCCTATGCCCACGGAGTCTTGCTGATTGCTAGCACAGCAGTCTGACATCAAACTGCAGGGCGGCAGTGAGGCTGGGGGAGGGGCGCCCGCCATTGCCCAGGCTTGCTTGGGTAAACAAAGCAGCTGGGAATCTCGAACTGGGTGGAGCCCACCACAGCTCAAGGAGGCCTGCCTGCCTCTGTAGGCTCCATCTCTGGGGGCAGGGCACAGACAAACAAAAAGACAGCAGTAACCACTGCAGACTTAAATGTCCCTATCTGACAGCTTTGAAGAGAGCAGTGGTTCTCCCAGCACGCAGCTGGAGATCTGAGAATGGGCAGACTGCCTCCCTCCTCAAGTGGGTCCCTGACCCCTGACCCCTGAGCAGCCTAACTGGGAGGCACCCCCTAGTAGGGGCAGACTGACACCTCACACGGCCAGGTACTCCTCTGAGACAAAACTTCCAGAGGAACGATCAGACAGCAGCATTCGTGGTTCACGAAAATCCGCTGTTCTGCAGCCACCGCTGCTGGTACCCAGGCAAACAGGGTCTGGGGTGGACCTCTAGCAAACTCCAACAGACCTGCAGCTGAGGGTCCTGTCTGTTAGAAGGAAAACTAACAAACAGAAAGGACATCCACACCAAAAACCCATCTGTACATCACCATCATCAAAGACCAAAAGTAGATAAAACCACAAAGATGGGGAAAAAACAGAGCAGAAAAACTGGAAGCTCTAAAAAGCAGAGCACCTCTCCTCCTCCAAAGGAATGCAGCTCCTCACCAGCAACGGAACAAAGCTGGACGGAGAATGACTTTGACAAGTTGAGAGAAGAAGGCTTCAGACAATCAAACTACTCTGAGCTACAGGAGGAAATTCAAACCAAAGGCAAAGAAGTTGAAAACTTTGAAAAAAATTTAGACGAATGTATAACTAAAATAACCAATACAGAGAAGTGCTTAAAGGAGCTGATGGAGCTGAAAGCCAAGGCTCGAGAACTACTTGAAGAATGCAGAAGCCTCAGGAGCCGATGCGATCAACTGGAAGAAAGGGTATCAGTGATGGAAGACGAAATGAATGAAATGAAGCAAGAAGGGAAGTTTAGACAAAAAAGAATAAAAAGAAATGAAGAAAGCCTCCAAGAAATATGGGACTATGTGAAAAGACCAAATCTACGTCTGATTGGTGTACCTGAAAGTGACGGGGAGAATGGAACCAAGTTGGAAAACACTCTGCAGGATAGTATCCAGGAGAACTTCCCCAGTCTAGCAAGGCAGGCCAACATTCAGATTCAGGAAATACAGAGAACACCACAAAGATACTCATCGAGAAGAGCAACTCCAAGACACATAATTGTCAGATCCACCAAAGTTGAAATGAAGGAAAAAATGTTAAGGGCAGCCAGAGAGAAAGGTCAGGTTACCCACAAAGGGAAGCCCATCAGACTAACAGCGGATCTCTCGGCAGGAACTCTACAAGCCAGAAGAGAGTGGGGGCCAATATTCAACATTCTTAAAGAAAAGAATTTTCAACCCAGAATTTCATATCCAGCCAAACTAAGCTTCATAAGTGAAGGAGAAATAAAATACTTTACAGACAAGCAAATGCTGAGAGATTTTGTCACCACCAGGCCTGCCCTAAAAGAGCTCCTGAAGGAAGCACTAAACATGGAAAGGAACAACCAGTACCAGCCACTGCAAAATCATGCCAAATTGTAAAGACCATTGAGGCTAGGAAGAAACTGCATCAACTAATGAGCAAAATAACCAGCTAACATCATAATGACAGGATCAAATTCACACATAACAATATTAACTTTAAATGTAAATGGACTAAATGCTCCAATTAAAAGACACAGACTGGCAAATTGGATAACAAGTCAAGACCCATCAATGTGCTGTATTCAGGAAACCCATCTCACGTGCAGAGACACACATAGGCTCAAAATAAAAGGATGGAGGAAGATCTACCAAGCAAATGGAAAACAAAAAAAGGCAGGGGTTGCAATCCTAGTCTCTGATAAAACAGACTTTAAACCAACAAAGATCAAAAGAGACAAAGAAGACCATTACATAATGGTAAAGGGATCAATTCAACAAGAAGAGCTAACTATCCTAAATATACATGCACCCAATACAGGAGCACCCAGATTCATAAATCAAGTCCTGAGTGACCTACAAAGAGACTTAGACTCCCACACAATAATAATGGGAGACTTGAACACCCCACTGTCAACATTAGACAGATCAACGAGACAGAAAGTTAACAAGGATACCCAGGAATTGAACTCAGCTCTGCACCAAGCAGACCTAATAGACATCTACAGAACTCTCCACCCCAAATCAACAGAATATACATTTTTTTCAGCACCACACCACACCTATTCCAAAATTGACCACATACTTGGAAGTAAAGCTCTCCTCAGCAAATGTAAAAGATCAGAAATTATAACAAACTGTCTCTCAGACCACAGTGCAATCAAACTAGAACTCAGGATTAAGAAACTCACTCAAAACCGCTCAACTACATGGAAACTGAACAACCTGCTCCTGAATGAATACTGGGTACATCATGAAATGAAGGCAGAAATAAAGATGTTCTTTGAAACCAACAAGAACAAAGACACAACATACCAGAATCTCTGGGACACATTCAAAGCAGTGTGTAGAGGGAAATTTATAGCACTAAATGCCCACAAGAGAAAGCAGGAAAGATCCAAAATTGACACCCTAACATCACAATTAAAAGAACTAGAAAAGCAAGAGCAAACACATTCAAAAGCCGGCAGAAGGCAAGAAATAACTAAAATCAGAGCAGAACTGAAGGTAATAGAGACACAAAAAACCCTTCAAAAAATTAGTGAATCCAGGAGCTGGTTTTTTGAAAGGATCAACAAAATTGATAGACCGCTAGCAAGACTAATAAAGAAGAAAAGAGAGAAGAATCAAATAGATGCAATAAAAAATGATAAAGGGGATATCACCACCGATCCCACAGAAATACAAACTACCATCAGAGAATACTACAAACACCTCTATGCAAATAAACTAGAAAATCTAGAAGAAATGGATAAATTCCACGACACATACACCCTCCCAAGACTAAACCAGGAAGAAGTTGAATCTCTGAATGGACCAATAACAGGCTCTGAAATTGTGATGATAGTCAATAGCTTACCAACCAAAAAGAGTCCAGGACCACATGGATTCACAGCTGAATTCTACCAGAGGTACAAGGAGGAACTTGTACCATTCCTTCTGAAACTATTCCAATCAATAGAAAAAGAGGGAATCCACCCTAACTCATTTTATGAAGCCAGCATCATACTGATACCAAAGCTGGGCAGAGACACAACCAAAAAAGAGAATTTTAGACCAATATCCTTGATGAACATTGATGCAAAAATCCTCTATCAAATACTGGCAAACCGAATCCAGCAGCACATCAAAAAGCTTATCCACCATGATCAAGTGGGCTTCATCCCTGGGATGCAAGGCTGATTCAATATATGCAAATCAATAAATGTAATCCAGCATATAAACAGAACCAAAGACAAAAACCACATGATTATCTCAATAGATGCAGAAAAGGCCTTTGACAAAATTCAACAACCCTTCATGCTAAAAATTCTCAATAAATTAGGTATTGATGGGACGTATTTCCAAATAATAAGAGCTATCTATGACAAACCCACAGCCAATATCATACTGCATGGGCAAAAACTGGAAGCATTCCCTTTGAAAACTGGCACAAGACAGGGATGCCCTCTCTCACCACTCCTATTCAACATAGTGTTGGAAGTTCTGGCCAGGGCAATTAGGCAGGAGAAGGAAATAAAGGGTATTCAATTAGGAAAAGAGGAAGTCAAATTGTCCCTGTTTGCAGACGACATGATTGTATATCTAGAAAACCCCATTGTCTCAGCCCAAAATCTCCTTAAGCTGATAAGCAACTTCAGCAAAGTCTCAGGATACAAAATCAATGTACAAAAATCACAAGCATTCTTATACACCAACAACAGACAAACAGAGAGCCAAATCATGAGTGAACTCCATTCACAATTGCTTCAAAGAGAATAAAATACCTAGGAATCCAACTTACAAGGGACATGAAGGACCTCTTCAAGGAGAACTACAAACCACTGCTCAAGGAAATAAAAGAGGATACAAACAAATGGAAGAACATTCCATGCTCATGGGTAGGAAGAATCAATATCATGAAAATGGCCATACTGCCCAAGGTCATTTATAGATTCAATGCCATCCCCATCAAGCTACCAATGACTTTCTTCACAGAATTGGAAAAAACTACTTTAAAGTTCATATGGAACCAAAAAAGAGCCCGCATCACCAAGTCAATCCTAAGCCAAAAGAACAAAGCTGGAGGCATCACGCTACCTGACTTCAAACTATACTACAAGGCTACAGTAACCAAAGCAGCATGGTACTGGTACCAAAACAGAGATATAGATCAATGGAACAGAACAGAGCCCTCAGAAATAACGCTGCATATCTACAACTATCTGATCTTTGACAAACCTGAGAAAAGCAAGCAATGGGGAAAGGATTCCCTATTTAATAAATGGTGCTGGGAAAACTGGCTAGCCATATGTAGAAAGCTGAAACTGGATCCCTTCCTTACACTTTATACAAAAATTAATTCAAGATGGATTAAAGACTTAAATGTTAGACCTAAAACCATAAAAACCCTAGAAGAAAACCTAGGCATTACCATTCAGGACATAGGCATGGGCAAGGACTTCATGTCTAAACCACCAAAAGCAATGGCAACAAAAGCCAAAATTGACAAATGAGATCTAATTAAACTAAAGAGCTTCTGCACAGCAAAAGAAACTACCATCAGAGTGAAAAGGCAACCTACAAAATGGGAGAAAATTTTCACAACCTACTCATCTGACAAAGGGCTAATATCCAGAATCTACAATGAACTCAAACAAATTTACAAGAAAAAAAAAACAACCCCATCGAAAAGTGGGCGAAGGACATGAACAGACACTTCTCAAAAGAAGATATTTATGCAGCCAAAAAACACATGAAAAAATGCTCACCATCACTGGCCATCAGAGAAATGCAAATCAAAACCACAATGAGATACCATCTCACACCAGTTAGAATGGCAATCATTAAAAAGTCAGGAAACAACAGGTGCTGGAGAGGATGTGGAGAAATAGGAACACTTTTACACTGTTGGTGGGACTGTAAACTAATTCAACCATTGTGGAAGTCAGTGTGGCGATTCCTCAGGGATCTAGAACTAGAAATACCATTTGACCCAGCCATCCCATTACTGGGTATATACCCAAAGGACTATAAATCATGCTGCTATAAAGACACATGCACACGTATGTTTATTGTGGCACTCTTTACAATAGCAAAGACTTGGAACCAACCCAAATGTCCAACAATGATAGACTGGGTTAAGAAAATGTGGCACATATACACCATGGAATACTATGCAGCCATAAAAAATGATGAGTTCATGTCCTTTGTAGGGACATGGATGAAATTGGAAATCATCCTTCTCAGTAGACTATCGCAAGAACAAAAAACCAAACACCGCATGTTCTCACTCATAGGTGGGAATTGAACAATGAGAACACATGGACACAGGAAGGGGAACATTACACTCTGGGGACTGTTGTGGGGTGGGAGGAGTGGGGAGGGATAGCTTTAGGAGATATACCTAATGCTAAATGACGAGTTAATGGGTGCAGCATAGCAGCATGGCACATGTATACATATGTAACAAACCTGCACATTGTGCACGTGTACCCTAAAACTTGAAGTATAATAATAATAAAATAAAATAAAAAATATATATAACCAATATTCACTCAACAAATACACATCATGTCATAATCTACAAAGCAGAGTGAGGCTACAAGAATGAAATCAACACGAGCCTTTCCTCAAGGAGGGTTTTTAAGCCTTCTTTAAATTGCACTTGTAAATAACTTTAAAATTCCACATTTTCCTCAATTAATGTATCACTAAAACACACTAAGGGTATTGAGATGGAAGTCATCCTCTGAGTTCTCTCTGCAAAGAAACAGTTTGGTGACCATGGCTTTAGTTACAACTTCTGAGTCACTATCTCAAAAGATAATTCTGTTAATCCTGCTTTTCCCACGTGGACTACAGTAAGAAACATCACAAGGTACATGGCAAGGTGCCACCCAAACACAAGCTGTAGTTTTGGAGAATCATCGTGATAGCATGTCCTTATTAAGTTGCTTCCTTTTAGTGAGCACTTGCTCTCCTGCTACATGCCATGCCCTTGAATTTCTTCCTGTTTATCTACCAGGTACTACCAAGTTTTCCAGTCTTCCAGGACCACCTGCTCTTTCTTTAATGCCCTTTAAGCTTACGCCTCATTCTGTGTGACAATGGAAATTCAGGCACCTCCTTGCATGTTTCTGAGGCTAAGTTCTCGCAAGTCCTTGGTGACATTTTTTACCTGTCATTCTGGGCACTACTCTTATACCTTCCCACATCTCTGCCCAAAGTGTGGATACAGCCTTTTGTCTCCACATTCCAACCACAGGTGGCTACTGTAGCAAACTTCACTGACAGTGCGGGATAACATATGTGTTTCATAATCCAAAAAGAACAAAATTAGAAACCAGATAGCAATGCTCCAAGAGCTTTCATTGATTGTAGAGGCCTATCAAACACCTTGTAAGTTAAAGTGCTTTGTTACTGATTACGTTGCCTACCTTATATAAAAACAGCCCTAGTTGTTGTTCAATAAGTATAAAGTTTCAGTTATGCTAGATGAATACGTTTTAGAGATCCACCATAGAACACAGCGCCGAAATTAACAATACACATTGTGCCCTTCAAAATTTAATAAGAGGATAGCTCTCATACTAAGTGTTCTTATCACTAAAAAACAAACAAAAACAGAAGAACACATAGAAATTCTGGGAAGCGTTGAATGTATCTTTTCCCTTGAGTTGTGGTAATAGTATCACAGGGGCTTGCATATGTCCAACCTAATCAAATTGCACACATCAAACCGATGCAGTTCTTTGTATATCACTTAGACCCCCAATAAGCTGTTAAAATAAATAAATAGGAATAGAAGTTACAATAGACTACACCAACTGGGAAAAAATCCATTTTAGACCTCCATATCTTGCCTTTGTGAAAAATACTAGTAAGAAGAAAAGAAAATTATTTTAACACAAAAATATATTGATTTATTCAAAAACTATTTATCACCTGCTCAGGTAGAGTCACTGGGGATATATATGATGAGCAAGACAGACGCAGTTCAGAGTTCCTACCTTCAAGGAAATACCTAATTTGCAAAGTGAGAGATGTAACCATCACCACTTCCTTAGAGATAGATGATGCCCCAAAGATCTGATTGAGAGCTAATAGTGACTAAACATTGAAATTCTAACATCAGATCATTTCCCTTATGCCTGAGTTTTAGAGGCTTCTAGTGTTCATAAATTACAATAGAAAGATTCAACCCAAAGAAATGTAGAATGAAATCCCACACAACAAAACAGAGGATTAACAATGCAAAATAATGGGCAGTCAAACTCTTTATGCCCAGTAGAACTTCTAGCAGCTTATAAAGTGGAATTCTATTATCCAACCCCGATTCCCAGAGTTGTTTCTGTAGGGAACACAAAGCTGCCATGGATTTCAGATGAAAGCTGTAGGTTAGGACGGAGAGGAAAACGAAGAAAGGGAAATAATGCCTTTCCACTGTGGGATAAACAGACACTAGACAGCTCGGGGGCACACAGCACTCCCTTCTTAAAACATTTTCTTTGTCTAGCTTACCTGACTCTTGTGTGCTCTGTGCTCTCCTTTCCCTCTGACCATCTCTTCTCCATCTCAGGCTGGCCTGAGGTCCTCAAACTTGTCCCCATATATCGCAGGTCCACTGGAGTCTGCTCAGCAAGTTTCTTGTTGGCTGTGGGGAATTACATGCACTACTGTGGATTTTGCTATCACCTACATGCATAATAGCATTTGCCATGTGCCAGGCCTTAGTTTTAAGTAATTTGCATTTATTAATTTATAATCTGCAGATGATTCCAAAACTATCCTCAGTCCAGGTCCCAGGGTATTAGAGTCTTCCAACAAACTGGCTACCAGACACCCCTACCTGAGTATCTCATAGTTAAATCAGACTTAAACTGGCAGAAACCAAATTCAATTCTCGTCTCCTAAAATCTGATTGATTTCTCTGTTGTCAAACCTAATTAATGGCAATCATTCATTCATCCAAATGAGAAGCCTAAAAATTATTCCTGGCTCTGCCATTTCACTCACCGCCAACCGCTAAGCAGCCTCAAAGCCTGTCAATTCTACTTCCAAATCTCAGCCCCATGCTGGCTGGCATTGCCCTCGTTCAGGGCAATTCTCTCTGAGATGTTGAAATTGCCTCTACCCTGCTTCTTTCTATGGAGTCGCCTCTTGCTATTCCCTTAGATACACCTCTTTTACTGAAGCTACTTTATGCCTCTGTGCTCCTGGACAGGGGTTCCTTCAAACTTGACTGCTCTTGTCTTTGTGAGCCTTGAAAACTCCTGCCCATTCTTCAAGACTCAAGTGCCACTTCTCCTGTGAAGTGGCCTCTGCCTCTGCAAGTTGAGTCACTTACTCCCTTCTCTTCATCTCCACAATAAAAGTATGTACGCATCTACCACAATATGTGGAATTGCTTCATTTAACATGTATTTCAAACATCCTTGAAAAAGATGCTGCATGTCTGTCTTTGTCCCCTCAGCACTAGCATGGCCTAGCAGGTACTGAGAAATTATTGTTAGATTTAATTTAATTGAACTCAGCCAATGTAATGCTTCCCATGCTATGATAAGTGCTAGCTGGAGATGGAATTTTTTAAAGAGGGTGCAGGGGCAGGGGAAAGGCAGACATACATTTCAGATGAAGAGGATTTCTCAGGATTTTTCATTTCAGGTAGAAATAACATCATGGACACAGACGTAAAACTTCTCATCATGTTTAGAAAATCGTTAGTAACTAAACATGGCTTACACCTAGGATGTGTGGAGAAAAGCAAGAGAGAAGAAGTTGAGAAGGTACGTGGCATGAGATAACTAAATTACTTAAAAGTGAATCTTTGGGAGGCCAAGGCAGGTGGATCACCTGAGGCCAGGAGTTCAAGACCAGCCTGGCCAACATGGTGAAACCCTGCCTCTACTAAAAATGCAAAAATTAGCCAGGTGCAGTGGTTCGCGCCTGTAATCCCAGCTACTCAGGAGGCTGAGGCAGGAGAATCACTTGAACCTGGGAGGCAGAGGTTGTAGGGAGCTGAGATTGTGCCACTGCATTCCGGCCTGGGTGACAGAGCGAGACTCCATCTCAAAAAAAAAAAGTGAATCTACCTACCCAAAATATATTTCAATGCATTATTAGATACCTAAATTACCTATTCTGTTGGGCTCTTTATTATTGACATTTACGGTTGTTTTTTCCTTTCAGTATATCTCTTAGTTTCAAATCTTAACATCAATTAATCCTTCCAAAATTTAGATAAATAATACCTGGACCTAGAAATATCTAATACACTGGGAATTTTGATTACTGGTGACTAAGTCTACCCAGCAATCAGGCAAATAAATACTAATTGGGAAATGAGTTAAACAGGCTCTATCCCAAATTGAAAAGACTGCCAGTAATTCACACTAAGTTCTAACAAGGAATATTGGCAGAAGAGTACTTCCTGCAAGAAATATATTGCCTGGGGCAGAGAGTGGGTTATTTCAAATGTGAAATAATCACAATTTTATAGCATTAAAATGGCTACCATTTGTTGAATTCTTCTGCACTTTAAGCGCAATACTAAATTTTTTGCCTGTGCTGTCAGGTTAGTTCCTGGTGATGACTCTGAAATGGATTTTCTTACTCCCATTTTACAGACACAAGCCAGAAGCACAGAGCAGTTTAGTTGCTCAGCAAATACAACAAAGCAGGCATGCAGTGAGGTCAGTCTGCTCTCCAACTCTCAAGGTTAGTGTGAAATGGATGCTATATAAACCATCACAGATTTTTTAGCAGGGTAGCGATGTGACTTAAGGGGCAGAAGACTCAAATTTAGCACAGTCTTTGCAACCAGACTGTTGAGTTCAAATCCTAAAATTACCACTTTGTGATCCTGAGCAAGTTGCTTAACTTCCCTGAATTTCGAAGGAGGAACATGCATAAAATGGAGACAATAAAATCTCCTCCACAGGGTTGCTATGAGAATGGAATTAATACATATAACGAGCTTTGAAGTATGTCTGACATGTAAGGATCCTGCCATTGTAATTATTGAGAAAACCCTGCCGGAAATGTGGAACGTATATTGTTAGGGCAGAGTCAAAGCAAGCAAAGCAAAGCCATCCTAACTGATGAGGGATGACGAGTGCCTGAAATAGGGCACAAAGCTGGAGAGGAGAGCAGCAGAGCTACTCTATGCTTGAGAGCTCTACCCTAAAATGCAAATACCATTCTGGCCATGCCACCTTGGAGAACTTGATCCGCAGGGAGCAGCTGGCACACCAATGAACACAGTTTTATCAGGTTATAGACAGGAGCAAGGATGAGAAAGTCTAGGGGAAAAGACAAGCTACTTTTTAAATTTTCAATCGCTTTAGGAGTACAAATGGTTTTTGGTTACATGGATGAATTTTATAGGGGTGCAGTCTGAGATTTTAGTGCACCCATCATGCAGGCAATGTTGCAGGAAGTCAGGGACCACCAACGGAGGGACCGGCTGAAGTCATGGCAGAAGAACGTGGATTGTGAAGATTTCATGGACATTTATTAGTTCCCCAAATTAATACTTTTATAATTTCTTACGCCTGTCTTTACTGCAATCTCTGAACACAAATTGTGAAGATTTCATGGACACTTATCACTTCCCCAATCAATACCCTTGTGATTTCCTATGCCTGTCTTTACTTTAATCTCTTAATCCCATCATCTTCATAAGCTGAGGAGGATGTATGTCACCTCAGGACCCTGTGATGATTGCATTAACTTCACAAATTGTTTGTAGAGCATGTGTGTTTGAACAATATGAAATCTGGGAACCTTGAAAAAAGAACAGGATAATAGCAATGTTCAGGGAACAAGAGAGATAACCTTAAACTCTGACCGCCGGTGAGCCGGGTGGAGCAGAGCCATATTTCTCTTCTTTCAACAGCAAATGGGAGAAATATTGCTGAATTCTTTTTCTCACCAAGGAACATCCCTGAGAAAGAGAATGTGTCCCTGAGGGGAGGCCTCAAAAATGGCCGCTTCTGGGGGTGGCTGTATTTTACGGTCAAAGCTGTAGGGATGAAATAAGCCCCAGTCTCCCGTAGTGCTCCCAGGCTTATTAGGATGAGGAAATTCCTGCCTAATAAATTTTGGTCAGACCAGTTGTCTGCTCTCAAACCCTGTCTCCTGATAAGATGTTATCAATGACAATGTGTGCCCAAAACTTCATTAGCAATTTTAATTTCGCCCTGGTCCTGTGGTACTGTGATCTCGCCCTGCCTCCATTTACCTTGTGATATTCTATTACTTTGTGAAGCATGTGATCTCTGTGACCCACACCCTATTCGCTCACTCCCTCCCCTTTTGAAAATCACTAATAAAAACTTGCTGGTTTTGTGGCTTGTGGGGCATCACAGAACCTGCCAACATGTGATGTCTCCCCTGGACACCCAGCTTTAAAATTTCTCTTTTGTACTCTTTCCCTTTATTTCTCAGATCGGCTGACACTTAGCGAAAATAGAAAAGAACCTATGTGAAATATCGGGGGTGAATTTCGCCCGATATCTGGCTGAATTTCCCCCAATAAAGCAGCGTACATTATACACAATATGTAGCTTTTTATCCCTCACCCTTCTGCCATCCGTACCTCTTCTGAGTATCCAATGTTCATTATACCACTCTGTATGGCTTGGCATACCCATAGCTTGACTCCTACTTATAAGTGAGAACATACAGTGTTTGGTTTGCCAATCCTGAGTTACTTCACTTAGAATAATGGCCTCCAGTTCCATCTAAATTGCTGCAAAAGACATTGAAAGACAAGCTACTTTGAATGTTGTAGGGAAACAGGAATGTAACCTGGATGCCAAGAGAAATGCTGTCTGCTTTTTCCTGTTGATCACAGCTTCCCTGCCCTTGGCATATCTACCTTCTAGTTGGGGACACTTGAAGATACTTAATCCACGGCCCTGCATTATGAACTTGGTAAAATGAGGTAGCTGGTCTTCAAGAGTCATTTTTCAATATTAAATTTATATTAATTCATCAAAGAAGTTGGAGAAGTACATGGGAAAGGGCACTATGAGGTAAAAAAAAAAAAAAAAACAAAAACAAACAAACAAAAAAAAAAACAAAAAAAACCCCTGGTTCTTGAAAGTTACATGAAATACAGACTCTTATCTTGTCTATGTCTGCTCTCATCACAGAACAGTTAATAGATGATGCTATGATTTTGAAAATATTAAACACCCATTAATGCACCATTCTAGATCATTTTAAATGGTCAGTGAAATTGAAGACTTAGCTATTGCACTATATCAAGTAAAATAATTTTTTAAGTCTTCAAATTGCAGAATAATGTACCAATATCTGTGGTGGCATGCCTTCATCCTCTGCAGGTGGATGAAGGAATATATATTATTAAATATTCAATTTACTGGGAATACAGTTGATGAAGCACGCTGAAAAATGAATGTGGTTACTTAATAGACTACACCTTCAAATAAATAAGGAAAGATTGCTGCCCTGCTTGATATCTTCTATTTTAAATCTTCAAGCCAGCAGTTATTATTATAAATTAGTGCCTCTAAAGTGAGTTCTCAAGACAGTTTTCTATTGATGAACTGAATTTCCACTTTAAACCCGTCTGTTTAAGTTCAGAGAATACTACTGGTGAATTCGAAGTTAAGGTTGAAATTCAGTTGCGTTAGCTTTCTATTGCTGCTGTAACAAATTACCACAAATTTAGAGGCTTGAATCAACACACGTTTATTAACTTACACTCCTCAAGGTCAGAAGCCCAAAAGGAGCTACCCTGGGTTAAGCCTAAGGCATCTGCAGGGTTGTGCTTCTTCTGAAGGTTCTAAGGGAGAATCTATTCATCTCCCTTTCCCAGCTTCTGGAAGCTGCCACATTCCTTGGCCCGTGGCCCCTTCATCCTTCCTCAGAATCAGCAACCACGTCACTCCAACTTCTACTGCCACATCCCCTTCTCTCAGTCTCTTGCCTCCCTTCCCCTCAGAAGGAGCCTTGTGATTATACTGTGCCCACCCAGATAGTCCAGCATCACCTCTGCATCTCAAGATCCTTATTCAAATCTGCAAAGTCCCTTGTGCCATGTAAGGGAACGTGTCCACACATTCCAGGAGTTAGAACACGGACATCTTTTGGGGGCATTATTCTGTCGGCCACATCAGTGTATTCAGATTTTCTCCTTTCCCTCATTTCCATACCTCATGACACAAAGCCTACACAGAGAGAAGTCATGGAAACAAGACAATGGGGGACAAGCCACACTGAATACTTTACACATTTAACACTCTGAATACTTGACATTACCTTGCCACATTTCTGTCCCGTGTAACAGACCTATTCATTTCACAGAACTGCTGATATAATCTTCCACTTTCAATACAGCAACACAGTTTCATAGCTCAGTTTCCATACCTGGAATGTGCTTTGTTCCTGTTGCAGCCTCCTTGACAACTGTGATGTTACAGAAGTTAACACACACACACCCTCTCTCTTAGATCCCTCTTCATGATGTGTGAGGCTCAGGTGGTTCTTAACACCTAACAGGGCACACCTGGAACATTAAACCTGTGAGGCTATGTTCAGCCCAATAAGATACTTTCAATTTATACACAATTTATCTTTAATATATTCAGGCTGTTGATATCTTTGATGACTCCTTTTGGGGTTTATAACCTTGATCCAGAAGACGCCTACTGCATCAGAATAAATCTTTGTAAATTTGCTTCTAGTTTATGTGTACTCCCTCCCTTGAAAAAGTTGCTGACGAATCTATTTTCTTCCTCAAATATGTGAGCACAAGAACTTGCAGATCCTGACGTGGCTGTGAGTGCCATGTGTCCGCAGTGTGCCCAGAAATGTAGGTGTGAGCCTAGATGGACGTTCTTAGCTGGCACCACTGCAGGTCACTTGTCTTTGCCCCCAGGTGGCTCATATGTTTTCTAGCTCTTATACCGCCCTCGCCTCCACCCAGAGGAAGCTCATCTGGGCCCAAAGGCAAAACTCAGGCACCCTGAGAACCTACATCCCCTGGCACGAACTTCTGGCCAGCCCTTGACAGTTTCTTCATTTAATGGCAAAGTCACTTCAGGCCTACCAGGTGTCTCTTAGCTATTGCCTGGGAATTTGAGGAACTGTTGGAGGCTTGCCTGTGCCACAGGAGAAACGTCAGAGACTCCCAGGACTATCTAAGGCCCCTTCTGACTGGGCCAGCAGTTACCACCTTGGCTCCTCTTGTGTTGGCACGGCGCCATTGACACCTAGGACTCTCTCCGCTGGTAGAAGCATGCTCCACCCAGCGCCATGTGCCATCACTGCCCCAAACCATCTGGAGGGCTTTGTGCTCCCCACCCTGGGCTCAACTGAGGCACAGCAGGTGCAAGGCCCTTTCTCAGAAACCCTCTACAGCATCTGATATTTGACCATCTTCACTTTTGGGGTGGGGCCCAGGAAGCTGCATTTTAAACAAATACCCCAATTTACTTGGAGGCAAATAGTACATAAGCCACACTGTGTACACGTACATTTCAAATACAAAGATTTCAGATCAGACCTGCCCTTCATTTTCATGATTTTGCTTTTTTTGACAGTGCAGCAATTCCTGGATTGAGGACAAACACTGAATAACTAAGCTATTCTTTATCTGAAGCACGCCAGCACATCCTGTCTTTGTTTAAGCCAAATGTGCCTCCTCTGCTGTTATATATGATTGTTAAAGCACAGTGGCCTCAATTAACAGAAGACAAGCCAAAGCCATTATCAATACTAAATTGCTAAAATTGTTAACATCGTTGAGAATAGGAAAGAGAAATAAATGGGACTTCAGACAAAGAATAAATAAGGGGAATGGTTTCACTTGCCAGGAAAATAAAAGCTATTCCTTATGTCAAAAGGCACTGGGCAATGAACCATTGAGATGTACATAGCCAAACCTTGCTAGTGACAATTAAAAATTAGCAATCTAACCATTATCTTCTGTCCTCCAGTTAGTAACAAGGCAGAGAGTAGTTCTTAAAAATGTGTTCACCAGACCAACAGCATCAGTATCACCTGGTAACTTGTCAGAAAGTGTAATTTCTTGGGTTCCTCCCAGACCCACTGAGTAAGAGACTCGAGGATGGAACCCAGTAATCTTCGTTTTGACAAGCTTTAACAAGAATCTTTTGGTGGTTCTGATGCAGGCTAAACTTAGAGAACCCCTAGTATAAAGAGAAGCCAGGAGCAAGTTATTTCTGTATCATGCAGTGACTGAAAGTAAAAAAAAAAAAGCTGAGATGAAGTAGTTACAGGAAAGGAAGTAAGAAACACTAAGGGAAAAAGTCTCCAACACAAATCAGATTTACATTAAAGAATCTGGTTATTTTCAGACAGCTGAATCAGATGCTCAAACCTTTTTTAGCATTCTACGCCCACTTCTGGTCTATATCTTCCTCCCACTGGAAAAATCCTTCAGTTCGATTTAATTAGCATTACAGTTTACAATGTGTGTTCATACACATTATCTCATTTGATCCTCATAGTAATCCATGCAATAGGCAGAAATTATTCCCATTTTGTAAAGGAGATAACTGAAACTGAGAGATTAAGGGTTTTACATGAAACCACAAACTATTAATTAGCAGAGGCAGAATTTGAATTCTAGGCCTTTGCTAATCCATGATCTTTCTGTTGACTAAATTTAGCTACTTTTGGGAAAGTCCTCCTAAAGGATTTATTTCAGGATTTTTCAACCTCAGCACTACCGACATTTGGGGGGTTGCTAATTGTGGGGGGCTGCATTTGTCATTAAGTAGCAGTCCTGGCTTCCA
The DNA here is from genome assembly GCF_000001405.40 of Homo sapiens. NCBI lineage: Eukaryota > Metazoa > Chordata > Mammalia > Primates > Hominidae > Homo > Homo sapiens. The sequence continues at coordinate 102,538,445 of NC_000013.11, forward strand.
ACCACTGGATGGTAGTAGCACCCCCCTACACAACCACCCCTAAGTTGTGACAATCAAAAATATCTCCAAGCATTGCCAAATGTCCGCAGAAGGGAGTGTGGGGTAAAAGCATCCCTTTGAGATTTATGTTAACTAAACAAGTGATTCTCAAGCTTTAGTGTACATCAGAATCACCTGGAGAGCGTTAAACTTCAGATTGCTAGGGCCTGCCCCTAGAATTTCTGATTCAATAGGTCTGAAAGGGACCTGAGAATTTGGGACTCTAACAAGTTCCCGAGTTATGCAGATGCTGTTGGTTTGAGGATCACAGTTTGAAAAACAACGGGCCAAACCATTCATTCATAAAAGGTATGTTTGCTTTTTTAAATATTTCATTACACAAAAATGAATAATCCCACAACACAGCAGCTCTGAATACATCTTCTTCCCACACATCCACCAAGCTGAAGTTGAAGCTCAAATGGGGTTTCCATTATTAATACTTGACCCTTGAATATTATTTAAACAAAAAGTACTCTTACGCTGCTCAGTGGGAAATCTCTCATACTTCTGACTTCCCACATCTCTTTATGAAATTTTTATATGAGTGAGATCATGCAATATGTGTCTTTCTGTGCCTGGCTTATTTATTTCACCTAACGTAACATCCTCTAGGTTCACCCATACTGTCCCAAATGACAGGATGTCCTTTTTCATAGCTGAATACTATTCCATTGCGTATATATACCATATTTTCTTTATTCATTCAATGATGAACACTTAGGTTGGTTTTATACCATGATTATCATGAATAGTACTGCAATAGATATGGGAGTGAAGACATCTCTCCAACATACTGATTTCATTTCCTTTGGCTATATACCTAGTCCTGGGATTGCTGGATCATATGGTAGTTCTATTTTTAATTTTTTTAGTAACTTCCATACTGATTTCCACAATGGCTGTACTAATTTACATTCCCACCAACAGTGTGCAAGGGTTCCCTTTTCTCCACATCCTCACCAACATTTGCAATCTTTCTTATTTTTGACAATAGCCATTCTAATAGGTGTGAGGCGGTATCTCACTGTGGTTTTAGTTTGCATTTCTTTGGTGATTAGTGATGTTCAGCATTTTTTCATATTCCTGTTGGCCATTTGTATGTCTTCTTTTGAGAAATGTCTATAAAGGTCATTTGCCCATTTTTAAATCGGGTTATTTGTTTTCTTACTATTGAGTTGTTTGAGTTCCTTGTTAAGTTTGGATGTTAACCCCTTATGAGATGCATGGTTTGCAAATATTTTCTCCCATTTCATAGGTTGTCTGTTCCCTCTTGATTATTTCCTTGGCTGTGCAGAAACTTCTTAGTTTAATGTAATCTTATTTCTCTATTTTTGGTGTTGCTGCCTGTGCTTTTGGGGTCATATCCAAAAAATTATTATCCAGACCCATGTCATTGAGCTTCTCTCCTATGTTATCTTCTAGTAGTTTTGTTTCAGGTCTACATTTACGTTGTTGATCTATTATGAGTTAATTTTTACAGTGTGACATAGGGTCTAATTTCATTCTTCTGCTTGTGGATATTCAACTGTCCTAACACTATTTACTAATAAAACTGTCTATTTTCCATTGTGAGTTCTTGGTGCCTTGGTTGAAAATCAATTAACTGCAAGTACCTGTATTTATTTCTAGGTCCTCTATTCTGTTTCATTGGTCTATGTGTCTGTTTTTATGCCAGTATCATGCTGTCTTAATAGTAAATTTTGTAGTAGACTTTGTAGTAGATTTTGAAGCTATGTAGTTTGATACCTTCAGCTTTGCTCTTTTTGCTCAAGATTGCTTTGGCAATTCAGGTAAAAGTATGATTTTTTTAAAGGAAGGCTATTTTTCTTTAAAAGAATGAGTTGACTTTTATTAAAATATTTTGAAGTTTATAACGATAAGGAAAGTGTCCATAGCCAATACTTTTAAAGTAGTAGGAAGTCTAGGCAAGGTAAAATATTCCTATAATCTGCATGTTATGGCCAGTTCTCACAGACTGGCATCAACTCTGACCAGCCAGCAGGTTTTCAAGCAGTGCTGAAACACCTGAAGATTTGCAAATGAAGGCATTTCCCCATGTCCTTGATGCTTAAAGTGTGGTCCTGGAACCACCGGGGAACTTAGAAATCCAGAGTCTCAGGCCTTAACCCAAACCAACTAAAGCAGAACCTGCATTTTAACAAGAGTTCCAGCTATTTCACATACCCATTAAAGCATGAGAAACGCTGCCTAGATAAAGCTGTCAATTTTTCATCATAGTTATTAAATAGACCAAAAAAACCTTGGTGAACAAAAAAGATCAATTTTGTTTATAAACTAAAGAAAACAAGACCTATTCCAGAAGTTAGCAAATGTTGTTTTAAGTTACATTAGATGTACGTGAAAGATACATTGTGTATACTAAACTTTTCTAAATTTTTAGAAACTAAATAATTATACAGAGGGTATATCTGGAAACAAAATAACAAAATTTTTCTTTTCATGTGTCCTATTTTTAATAAAAACTATACAAAGGCCAGGAGTAAGATTCAAAGTAGAGAATATTGGCCAGGCATGGTGGCTCATGCCTGGAATGCCAACACTTTGGGAGGCTGAGGTGGGAGGATCACTGGAGTTCAGGAGTTCAACACCAGCCTGGGCAACATAGTGAGACCTTGTCTCTACAAAAAATTTAAAAATTACCCTGCTGTGGCCGGGCGCGGTAGCTCACACCTGTAATCCCAGCACTTTGGGAGGCCGAGGCGGGCAGATCACGAGGTCAGGAGATCGTGACCATCCTGGCTAACACAGTGAAACCCCATCTCTACTAAAAATACAAAAAAAAAATTAGCCAGGCGTGGTGGCGGGCGCCTGTAGTCCCAGCTACTCGGGAGGCTGAGGCAGGAGAATGGCGTGAACCCGGGAGGCTGAGCTTGCAGTGAGCCGAGATCGCACCACTGCACTCCAGCCTGGGTGACAGAGCGAGACTCTGTCTCAAAAAAAAAAAAAAATTACCTTGCTGTGGTGGCAAATGCTTGTAGTCCCAGCTACTGAGGTGGCTAAGGTGGGAGGACTGCTTGAGCCTGGGGGTTCAAGCCTGCAGTGAGCCATGATAGTGTCACTGCACTCCAGCCTGGGTGACAGAGCAAGATCCTGTCAAAAAAAAAAAAAAAGGACATCAAAGTAGAGACTATCACAGTTAACAGAATTAGTATTAAGGCATGGTCTTATTTTGATTAAAATTTCCTTTAAAATTTGAATCTAGGTAATTTTCTGGTTCAATTTTGTGTAAACTGAACAACTGACTAGATTTATTCAAATAGACAAACAGGAGATCATCATAGCGGACAGGAGGCAGGACTAGACTGCAACTCTGTCTCTGGTGAACAGAGCAGCATGTGGAGTCTTGCATCGTGAATTTTAGCTCCAGAACAACTCCAAGAACAAACCAGAAATCCCAGGAAGAACCACAGACCCTCTGAAGGACCCGGGAGGCAGAGGTTACGGTGAGCTGAGATCGTGCCATTGCACTCAAGCCTGAGCAACAAGAGCAAAACTCTGTCAAAAAAACAAAACAAAACAAAACAAAACAAAACAAAACAGCCTTCAGCCCTAGACGCTGTGACAGAGCCTACCCAAATGAGAAGGAACCAGAAAACCAACTCTGGTAATATGACAAAACAAGGCTCATTAACACCCCCCAAAATAATCACTTTAGTTCACCAGCAATGGATCCAAACCAAGAAGAAATTTCTGATTTATCTGAAAAATAATTCAAGAGGTTAGTTGTTAAGCTAATCATGGAGGCACCAGAAAAAGGCAAAGCCCAATGCAAGGAAATCCAAAAAATGACACAAGAAGTGAAGGGAGAAATATTCAAGGAATAGATAGCATAAAGGAAAAAAAAATCAAAATTTCAGGAAACATTAGACACACTTATAGAAATGCAAAGTGCTCTGGAAAGTTTCAGCAATCGAATTAAACAAGTAGAAGAAAGAAATTCAGAGCTCAAGGACAAGATCTTTGAATTAACCCAATCCAACAAAGACAAAGGAAAAAGAATAAGAAAATATGAACAAAGCCTCTAAGTAGCCTGGGATTACATTCAATGACCAAACCTAGGAATAATCGGTATTCCTGAGGAAGAAGAGAAATCTAAAACTTTGGAAAACATATTTGGGGTAATAATTAACGAAAACTGCCCTGGCCTTGCTAGAGACCTAGACATCCAAATACAAGCAGCACAAAGAACACCTGGGAAATTCCTCACAAAAAGATTGTTGACTAGGCACATTGTCATCAGATTATTTAAAGTTAATATGAAGGAAAGAATCTTAAGAGCTATGGGACAAAAGCAAAAGCATCAGGTAACCTATAAAGGAAAACCTGTCAGATTGACAGCAGATTTCTCAGCAGAAACCACAAACTAGAAGGGATTGGGGCCCTATCTTCAGCCTCCTCAAACAAAACAATTATCAGCCAAGAATTTTGTATCCAGCAAAACTAAGCATCATATATTAAAGAAGGGTACAGTCTTTTTCAGACAAACAAATGCTGAGAGAATTCACCACAACCAAGCCACCACTACAAGAACTACTAAAAGGAGCTCTAAATCTTGAAACAAATCTTGGAAACACATCAAAACAAAACCTCTTTAAAGCCTAAAGCACACAGGACCTATAAAAAAAAATACAAGTTAAAAAGCAAAAACAAAACAAAAAAAAGAAAACAAGGTAGCCAGGCAACAAATAGCATGATGAATGCAGTGGTACCTTGCACCTCAATACTAACAATGAATGTAAATGGCCTAAATGCTCCACTTAAAAGATACGGAACTGCAGAATTGATAAGAACTCACCAACCAACTATCTGCTGCCTTTAGGAGACTTACCTAACACATAAGGACTCACATAAACTTAAAGTAAATGGGTGGAAAAGAGCATTTCATGCAATGGACACCAAAAGTGAGCAGGGGTAGCTATTTTTGAATCATACATACAAACTTTAAAGCAACAACAGTTAAAAGAGACAGGTACATTATATAATGGTAAAGGCCTTATCCAAAAGGAAAATATCACAATCCTAAAGATATATGAACCTAACACTGGAGCTCCCAAATTTATAAAGCAATTACTAATAGACCTAAGAAATGAGATAGACAGCAACACAATAATAGTGGGGGACTTCAATACTCCACTGACATCAAGACAGAAAGCCAACAAAAACAAACAATGGATTTAAACTGTTCCTTGGGACAATCGAACTTAACAGATTTATACAGAACATTTCATCCAACAACTGCAGAATACACATTCTATTCAACAGCACATGGAACTTTCTACAAGATAGACCATATGATAGGCCATAAAACAAGCCTCAATAAATTTAAGAAAAGTTAAATTATATCAAGCCATCTCTCATACCACAGTGGAATAAAACTAGAAGTCAACTCCAAAAGGAACCTTCAAAATGCAAATATATGGAAATTAAATAACCTGCTCCTGAATGAGCTTGGGGTCATAAACAAAATCAAGATGGAAATTTAAAAATTCTTTAAACTGGATGACAATAATGCCACAACCTATCAAAACCTCTGGGATACATCAAAGACGGTGCTAAGAGGAAAGTTCATAGCCCTAAACGCCTACATCAAAAAGACTGAAAGAGCACAAACTAACATTCTAAGGTCACACCTCAAGAAACTAGAAAAACAAGAACAAATCAAACCCAAACCCCACAGAAGAAAGGAAATAATCAAGATCAGAGCAGAACGAAATGAAATTGAAACAAAAAAAAAATACAAAAGATAAATGAAACAAAAGTTGGTTCATTGGAAAGATAAAATTGATACACCATTAGCAAGATTAACCAATAAAAGAAGAGAGAAAATCCAAATAACCTTACTAAGAAAAAAATTGGGAGGTATTACAACTGACACCACCGAAATATGAAAGATCATTCAAGGCTACTATGAACACCTTTAAGCACATAAACTAAAAAACCTAGAAGAGATGGATAAACTCCTGAAAATATACAACTCTCCTAGCTTAAATCAGGAAGAATTAGATACCCTAAACAGACCAATAACAAGCAGTGAGATTGAAATGGTAATTTAAAAATTACCAACAAAAAAAGTCCAGGACCAGAGAGAATCACAGCAGATTTCTACCAGACATTCAAAGAATTGGAACCAATCATTTTGACACCATTCCTCAAGATAGAGAAAGAGGGAACCCTTCCTAATTCATTCCATAAAGCCAGCATCACCCTAATACCAAAACCAGGAAAGGGCATAACCAAAAAAGAAAACTACAGACCAATATCCTTGATGAAAATAGATGCTAAAATCCTTAACAAAATACTAGCTAACCAAATCCAACAACATATCAAAAGATAATCCACCATGATCAAGTGGGTTTCATTCCAGAGATGCAGGGATGGTTTAACATACACAAGACAATACACCACATAAACATAATTAAAAACAAACATCACAAGATCATCTAAATAGATGCAAAAAAAGCATTTGACAAAATCCAGCATTGGTTTATGATTAAAACTGTCAGCAAAATCGGCATACAAGGGATATAGCTTAATGTAATAAAAGCCATCTGTGACAAACCCACAGCCAACGTAATACTGAATGGGGAAAAGTTGAAAGCATTCCCTCTGAGAACTGGAACAAGACAAGGATGCCCATTCTCACCACTCCTCTTCAACATACTACTGGAAGTCCTAACCAGAGCAATCAGACAAGAGAAAGAAATAAAGGGCATCCAAATCGGTAAAGAGGAAGTCAAACTGTCACTGTTTGCTGACAATATGATTGTTTAACTCGAAAATCATAAAGACTCCTCCAGAAAGTTCCTAGAACTGATAAAAGAATTCAGCAAAGTTTCCAGATACAAGATTAATGTACACAAATCAGTAGCTCTTCTATATACCAACAGCGACCAAATGGAGAATCAAATCAAGAACTCAAACCCTTTTACGACAGCTGCAAAAATAAAACATAAAATAAAATACTTAGGAATATACCTAAACCAGGAAGCTAAATACTTCTGCAAGGAAAACTACAAAACACTGCTGAAAGAAATCATAGACGACACAAACAAATGGAAACACATCCCATGCTCATGGATTCTACTGCCAAAAACAATCTATGGATTTAATAGAATCCCCATCAAAATACTACCATCATTCTTCACAGAATTAGAAAAAACAACTCTAAAATTCATATGGAACCAAAAAAGAGCCCATATAGCCAAAGCAAGACTAAGTAAAAGGAACAAATCTGGAGGCATTACACTACCTGATTTCAATTATACTATAAGGCCATAGTCACCAAAACAGCATGGTACTGGTATAAAAATAGGCACATAGACCAATGGAACAGAATAGAGAACCCAGAAATAAACTCAAATACTTACAGTCAACTGATCTTTGACAAAGAAAACAAAATCATAAAGTGGAGAAAGGATACCCTTTTCAACAAATGGTGCTGGGATAATTGGCTAGCCACATGTAGGAGAATGAAACTGGATCCTCATCTCTCACCTTATACAAAAATCCACTCAAGATGGATTAAGCACTTAAATCTAAGACCTGAAACTATAGAAATTCTAGAAGATAACATCAGAAAAATCCTTCTAGACATTGGCTTAGGCAAGGATTTCATGACCAAGAACCAAAAGCAAATGCAATAAAAACAAAGATAAATAGTTGGGACTTAATTAAACTAAAGAGCTTTTGCACGGCAAAAGGAACAGTCAACAGAGTAAACAGACAACCCACAGAGTGGGAGAAAATCTTCACAATCTATACATCTGATAAAGGACTAATATCCAGAATCTACAGCGAACTCAAATCAGTAAGAAAAAAACAAACAATCCCGTCAAATAGTGGGCTAAGGACATGAATAGACAATTCTCAAAAGGAGATATACAAATGGCCAACAAACATATGGAAAAATGCTCAACATCTCTAATGATCAAGGAAATGCAAATCAAAACTACAGTGCAATACCGTCTTACTCCTGCAAGAATGGCCATAATCAAAAAATCAAAAAACAGTAGATTTTGCTGTGGATGTGGTGATCAGGGAACACTTCTCCACTGCTGGGGGGAATGTAAACTAGTACAGCCACTGTGGAAAACAGGGTGGAGACTCCTTAAAGAACTAAAAGTACAACTACCATTTTATCCAGCAGTCTCACTACTGAGTATCTACCCAAAGGAAAAGAAGTCATTATACGAAAAAGATACTTGCACACGCATGTTTATAGCAGCACAATTTGCAATTGCAAAATCATGGAACCAACCCAAATGCCCATCAATCAACGAGTGAATAAAGAAACTGTAGTATGTATATACGATGGAATACTACTTAGCCATAAAAAGGAATTAATTAACAGCATTTGCAGTGACCTGTACCCCAATAACCTATGGAAAAATTTAAAAATAAAATTAAAAATAAAATTGGAGACTATTAATCTAAGTGAAGTAACTCAGGAATGGAAAACCAAACATTGTATGTTCTCACTGATAAGTGAGAGCTAAGCTATGAGGACTCAAAGCCGTAAGAATGATGCAATGGAGTTTGGGGATTTAGGGGGAAGTATAGGAGGGGAGCAAGGGATAAAAGACTACAAATAGGGTGCAGTGTATACTGTGTATACTGCTCAAGCAATAGGTGCACCAAAATCTCACAAGTCAGCACTGAAGAACTTACTCATGTAACCAAATACCACCTGTACCCCAATAACCTATGGAAAAATTTAAAAATAAAATGAAATGAAATACCAAAAAAAGTCACAAATAGGCAAACAGGCAATATCATTTCCTTATTAACATATTTTTATTCCTGTATACATTATTTTTAAAATGATATTCAGTAGGTCAACACCTATAGATAGATTTTGAAACATTTTGAAATTATTATGAGAATAATTGATAAAGAAACAGTTGCTTTCCTTCTTCCATCTTAAGAAAAAAACACACAATGTAGAAGGTGACTAGAAATTATTTTACTTTGATGGTGCTAATTGAGATAAAACAAATAGATTTCTATTGCATATCATCCTTTTTGGATCTAATTTAACATTTTAAAAACTAAGCATCCACATTTTAACAATCAATATTATGTAATTACAGTCTGCATATGTTTAAATGATTGAAAAGTAATAGCACAGGACAAATGTCTTATAATTAATTGTATGTTTTATATGAAAAAATAACAAAACGACTAAAGGCTAAACTAAGAAAAATTTGCAGAATTATTTCTTTTAAATGAATTCACTGTATATTTAACTAGGGCATAAATGTGAAATGAAAAAATCAAGCAAATATTTTACCACTTATTCATTTCATAGAAGAGCTATCTTTGCCATTCCTGGTTATGGTCAGGTTAATTCCAAGATTAAAAAAATTAAAGCAAAATTTAATTTTTACACCTCTATTGTAATTTCTCTTCTCCTTCAGGGTGTTTGCCCCCAGATGTCCTGCAATGCTAAGTGGCTGCATCAACCCCTCTGTCTGCTAGCTGACCAGTCAGAGATATCTGATTCACCTCTATGCACTGCAGTACTGTATTATCAAAATAATAACTACATTTTTATGGCAGTCTTCAATGATCTACATTAAAGGAAATGGTATGAACCCCAGCTCCCCTGAAACTTTCCTCAAGTACTTCTCTGGTCATTATTGAGAAGACCTAAGCCTCAGACTACTTTCCAAAGTGCCAAAGAGATTTCTAAACCCTATTTATTGTAAAAAAAAAAAAAAAAAAAAAAGCATGAAGATCAGTCTCACAGCCACTGTTTCCACATCAATCATTCTGCTCCTTCTTTTCCTCTTGAAATGTCTGTTGTAGGGTTCTCCCCTTACCTGCTCACCAATTTCACCAATTGGTTTGTTACCATTTCATTATAGAAAGTGAATGTAATTCCCTGAAACTTGTCAACCAAAAAAAAAAAAAAAAAAAAGGAACCTGAAAACAATTACCTGGGTAACTGAAAAACAGCAAAGGTTTCCCTTGTATCTGCCTAATAGAAAAGAAATCAGACTTGGTGATTATTTGATAACAAAATGAATTAAAGTAGAAAATTTGGGCATTACCCAAAGTGTACTTTATCTTGAATTAGCCATTTGTGCTCTCTATTCAACCGAAATTAAACAAATAATGTTTAACCTACACCTCTCCACAACAGCTTGAATGTGCTCAGACTCCATCATTTGGATATTTCAGGGAAATTCTTTTCTATCTTAAACATCTATGCAATTCCCACTGGGGTTGTAGAGAGCCAGAGAGGCATCGCATCTGTGTTCTTTCCATACCAGGAATTCAACAAAAAGAAAGATCCAGCCACACCTTTATAGCACCTGCTAAAGTGACATGGAAATCTTGGCACTATTTAATATGCAGATATTTCAAAGACAACCCTAGAAGTGTTTAAAAGGAAAACTGTGTTGGAAAAAGTATTTCATGCCTTTCTTTATTTTCTTTCCTCAATATGTTTACTGAGCCTCATGTGTCACAAATGATGCAATGATGACAGACACAAAAGTGAGTAAGACAGCCTTTGCCTTCAAATATTCCATGCTCAAGTGAGAGAAACAGACAAGGAAATTACCAGCCATTGTAGATGTTGATTTTGACTACACATAAAGATGCCCAGGTATCTTTAAGAGCAGAGTTGGGGGTCCCTAAAGTACTCTTAAGATGGGATTGTTGAGGGGAGTTAGGTTTCCATAGAGAGGTGGGGCAAGAACTCAGATCAATGGCATGATATAAAAAATGTGTAATTAGCCTTGATGTTTTCACAGTAGTGATTATGAAGGGGTGTCATGTATACATACTGGCATGGCTAATTCCTATTTTGAGAGGGGACAGTACACAAAAAGTGATTTAAAGACAACCTGGAACCTGAGGTGTGTTCAAACATGTTGATTTTGTCCCAGCAATATTTAAAGCCTGCCAGAGTCAGCTTTGTTGTGTGTCAAGCTACTGTCTTTATGAATCTCCCAAGGCTGTTTATTTTAAACACCTTATTTTTGAAATAGCTGATATTCTCATACGTTTGTCTCTGCAGTTTTAAAGAGCCTTCTCCACTTACACATTGTTTCTTTACATTTCTGTGCCCCCTGAGGTTAATAATAATGAGTCAATGTGAAACCTTCACAAACACTTTAAATTGCCCTGGAAATGGAAAATCTCAATTATTGTGATTAAAGAATCCCTCCATGGAAAAATAGAGAATAATTTGAGGCTGCTAACAAAGTTAAGTGAAACAAGATCCCAAAATATGGTTTTATTTTACATTCTTCAATTCCCTTCAATATTTCTTGACATTGTAACATTATTTTTCTGAGTGAAATATAGATAACTATATTTCCTTAGTCTCTTTTTACAATAAATAAAGCAAAAAGGACCATAACAGACCTAGAATATGGTCCAAAGAGAGCAACCCTTGGGATGGAGTCAAATAGAACCAGAAGAAATAGGAGGAAAAATCCACAAAGTAAAAAGCTAAAACTTGTCAATCATATGAGAGTTTTAGAAGAGAGTAAATGATATTTTATCAACATGAGAACAGAGACTTATTGTCATTGTAATGAAACCATAGTGATGTATATACATACACACATACATATATATATTCTCTATATATAGTATATACATACACATATGTGCATACACATATATAGAGTGTGTGTGTGTATCACTGCCATGCCACTTCCCAGTTGCACAAAGAAAATTTTACTTTTTTATTGAATAGTGGAGTTATTTTATGCAATGACCATCAGTGCTGTATAACTACAGTGATAAAATATTCCCTCAATAAGCTATTAGTTATTCTTAAATCATCCTCTCACATGAACTTTCTATAGTATATCTCAACCAAAAGAATTTGCTTGAATTTTAGAAAAGAACGTGTGTCTCTTTAAATTTAAAAACACTAGGAAATTAAAAATTTGATTTCAGAAGTTGTGCTTAACCATTTATAAGTGTTCAAGTAGAAATATTTCCTGAGAAAACCTTGAAGCAGTTTCCACAGAGGGATCCCATTAGAAAAATGATAAAACGGAAGAACTCTCCAAAGATCATGGTTGCTGAGCCAGCATTCATTCTCCCACTCTTCCTCCGGAATACATCCGCAAAGTGTGTACCTTTCTTCCCCAGCTACAGTGGTCACAGGGAAAGCTGACTCCGCCCTTGTCTTTAGTATAATCTCATTTTCCTTGCCAGCCATTGGCTCAGGATTCTGACCTCTGGGGGACATGAGGGACGGCCTGCAGCAACATCATGCCACCAGCCTGGGGATGAAGCCAGCATCGAAGAGGTCAGAGCAGATAGAAAGAAAGGGCTCAACAATATCTTTGTTAAGCCACTGAACCAAACCCTGAAAGCTACCTTGTCTCAGAAGTCCTGTGACGGTGAGATTACATATTTCTGTATTATCTGAATTGGGATTTCTGTTACTTGAAGCTGAAAGGATCCTTAAGACATAAAGAAATCATTAAGGTGTCATTTAAGCTGTGTTTAAACTACTGTGCTCCATTAAATGTTTCTGTTTTTTAGGTAAGGGACATTGCAAGTGAGAGTACTATCTTAAGCCATTAAAAATGACATGTTAGGGAGGCAACAACTTCCCCAAAATAAGTTGTAACTTCTCTATTGATCCAAAAATTAAAAATGTTTGGTTTTCATAGTTAATGAAAGAAGGAAAGAAGAAACTATAAAATAGTTTGAAAACATAGGTTATTTGGGTCCCTGAGAACATGAATCAAAATGGAATTTTAATAAATTGAACCCTATTTTCAATGCACAGCAGACTGGATGAAGGCAACTTAATATACTTAGCTACTCCTCCAGTGCTTGTATTTTGAGTTTTTTGAAGGCCTACTCCACACTAGATATTGGGTATAGCATTTTCACAAGTGTCAAAGTACAATCTGCACAAATCTCTGTAGGGTATAAATCAATATGCCATTTTATAGATGAAGAAGATGGCACAGCCGGGCATGGTGGCTCACGCCTGTAATCCCAGCACTTTGGGAGGCCGAGGCAGGCAGATCACGAGGTCAGGAGATCGAGACCATCCTGGCTAACACAGTGAAACCCCGTCTCTACTAATAATCCAAAAAAAATTAGCCGGGCTTGGTGGCGGGCGCCTGTAGTCCCAGCTACTCGGGAGGCTGAGACAGGAGAATAGCGTGAACCTGGGAGGCGGAGCTTGCAGTGAGCCGAGATGGTGCCACTACACTCCAGCCTGGGCGACAGAGCCAGACTCCGTCTCAAAAAAAAAAAAAAAAAAAGAAAATGGCACTTGACGGGTTTAATAGCCTGGCTAAGTCTACACAGATAGTGAGTGGTAGAGCCAGGAGCCTGTCTCCCAAGACCATGTTTTTGATCACTAGACTATACCTCTTAGGTAGATCATTGTATTAAAAAAAAAAAAAAAAAGCTGTCAATAGGTTGCTAGTTCTCTATTGCTACTATAATAGATCACCACTAACTTATTGGTTTAAAATAACACAGACCAGAAGGAAGAAGTCAGTTCCACTGGGCCAATGTCACAGCGTCACAGGGCTGATTCCTCCTAGAGGCTCTGAGAAGACAATTCATTTTCTTGTGTTTCCAGCCTCTAGAGGCTGCCTGCATTTCTGGGCTCATGGCCCCTTCTGCCATCAAAGCACCTTATTCCAATCTGCTTCCATGATTGCATCGCCTTCTTTCTGACTCTCATGTCTCCTTCCTTTGTTTCATAACAACCTTGTGATTACACTGGGCCCACCAAGAAAATCCAGGACAATCCTCCATCTCAAGATCCTTAACTCAAGTACATCTGCAAAGTCCCTTTTCCCTGTAACATTCACAGGTCCCAGGTGATTATGTGGACATCATTGCAGGCCATTATTCATCCCACCACAATAAGACAATCCAAGATAAAAGGTCACAAACATAGAGAATGAAAGAAGATAAACACAAAAGAAAACTGGGTAAGAAGCTTACTGCAAATAAATATACACATATTTGTGACTTCGTGGCAATCAAAGTCTGAATAAAATATATTTTATTAGTTACAACAGCATGCCAAGGAGCTCAACTATTAGAGAATCAGAATTAATTTGCTTTTTTTCCCCATTTGCTAATTCATCACTACCACTTACATTAAACACTAGGATGGAAACTATTTACACACATTGAATTCCCAATCCCCTGTTCCTCCCAACAAGCTCTGTCCTGAACTTCTGTCCTGACTGGTCCAGAAACCAGCTATCCTGGTGCTTCCCAGACCTCTGTAACTGAGATGGAAAGGGAGAGAAGCCGGTGGGAGTGGAAGAAGTCAAGCCTGTGCACATGCCCTCTTTCCTGGAAAGCTTCTGTTTCCCTCTAGGGTCTCGGTCTAGCAGATCATATAGGGCCCTGTTGTAATTTTAATCAGTTAGGTCTTTTCTCATAATGAGATGGGAGCCACCAGAGGGGTCTGAGGTGAGAAGTGATATGATCCAACTTATGTTCTAGCCTCAGATTGGAGAAGTAGTATGGAAGGAGCCTGCTGAGTGAGGAGAAACCTCTCCCATGAGGATTCTGCCCTGGTCTCTCATCTGGGCTTAAGCCCACTGCCCGTCTTCTCTCTGCTGGACCATTGCAACGACTAAGTCCAGGCCACAAGTTTCTTCCCACTCAGGTGAGTTTCTTCCAAAGACAGTGAGCCACTGTCTTTGTCTTGCACACAGACCGAACTCTATTCTGCCCCACTGTCATGCTAACAAACTCTTATTAGCTCCATGTTTCCTACATCATCAAATCCTGACCCTCTTCTTTGTCATAGAAGATTGTTCCGGGCTGGGCATGGTGGCTCACGCCTGTAATCCCAGCACTTTGGGAGGCCGAGGTGGACAGATTACTTGAGCTCAGGAGTTTGAGACCAGCAGGTAACATGGTGAAACCCTGTCTCTACTAAAATTACAAAAATTAGCCAGGCATGGTGGCACGTATCTATAGTCCCAGCTACTTGGGAGGCTGAGGCATGAGAATCGCCTGAGCACGGGAGGCAGTCAGCCAAGATTGTGCCACTGCACTCCAGCCTGGGCAACAGAGGGAGACCACGAGACCCTGTCTCTGTCTCAAAAAAAAAAAAAAAAAAAAGACTGTTAAGACTGCTGCCGATCATTGCCCACCTCTCTCTGTGAGCCTTTTTCAGTGTCTGAGTGCACCAGTCTTGATTCTTGTGGCTGAAGATACCATTCCTTCTGCCTAGAGGGCCTTTCTCCCCTTCTCCCTCATCACTTCCCCAGGCTCTTTTGATCCATTGTTTGTGTTCCCCTAGAACTGTGTTCATTCTTGTATCTCTATGCTGTATTTCACATAGTGTTTTGGGATCTGCCCAATTAGATGTACTCCTCCTCCTTTGACTACATATTGCTATATTTTAGGCCTTGGATCTCAATAAGATGGAAATGTCAGAACACCAAAAGAAAGAAACTAGTCATAGTTTCCTTAGACCCTTTTATTCCTTATTAAATATTGAGCTTTGCTCCAGGCCTTCTGTTTACAGGCGGAAAACATCAATTGTTTGAACATCCTGGAGGTACTGCCTGCTCACTTTTGTTGAAGGTAGGGAGAAACATCCTTCCTACTGAGCTTAGAGTTCAGCTTCTGCAGGGAATCTATTGCACATCCACTTGGTACCTAAATGGAAGGAAGTCAGGTTTCTTTTTATTCTGTTTAAAGACTATGAGCCTAGAAATTATAGCTTCTTGGTCAAAGCCAGTCACAAAGCCCCCCATTCATCCCTGGAAGGCAAAGCCTCAAAATTGTTATTGGCCTCTCACTAAATAGGTTGATAGTGTAAGTCTAGGCAGAAGGATACCTGTACAAAAATATGGAATTTGCATGTCATTCAACCTTCCTTAGTGCAAACACAGATTTCTTTACCAGAAGGGGTGCAATGACCTTTTGGCATACATCATTCATACATGTTTCTTTAGGTTTTCAGTTATCACATAGAAAGGTGATTGCATCTCATACGTTGTTGATGGGAATACAACATGACACAATCTCTATGGGGGAAATTTTGCAATGTTTCCAAAATTAAAAATGTACTTTCACTTTAACCAAGAAATCCCATAGCTAGTAATTTATTCTACAAATATCCTTGCACATGTGCAAAATAACATGTTACAAGATTACTCATTACTGCATAGCTTGTGATGATAAAAATTTGATAGCAACAAAAATGTTCCTCATTAGAGGATTGTTTAAACCAGGGATTTTCAACCAGGAGTGATTTATTTTTGGTTGTCACAACTGGAGAGAGGGAAACTTACGGCATCTAGTGGGTAAAGGCCAGGGATCCTGCTAAGCATCCTATATTGCACAGGACAACCTCCACGACAAAAATTATCTAGCCTTAATTCTCACTAGAACTGAGGGTGAGAAATCTTGGGTTAAACAATCATTCACACAATGGAATATTACGCAGCCATTAAAAACAGAATAGGAATACTTTCTGTGTACAGATATTAAAAGATCTTTGTAATACATTAAGTGAAAAAAAAAAGGTCAGGGATGGTTTACCTGTTAACTTTTGAGAAAGAAAGAAAGAGAGAAAGAAAGAAAAGAAAGAAAGAAAGAGAAAGAAGAAAGAAAGAGAGAGAGAGAGAAAGAAAAAGAAGGAAGGAAGGAAGGAAAAAGAAAGAAAGCAAGCAAGAAAGGAAAATGTGTGTGTGTGTGTGCGCACGCACACGTGAGCGTACACTCTGTCTGCAAAAAGAAACCCTAAAATGATACACGGGGAATTAGTGAAGATGATACCAAATGGGGATTGATTGGACTGGGAGTGCGGGCTGGATGGAGACATAAGTAGAAGCTATCATTCTAATTTGGAATCACGTGTCCTTATTACTGATTCAAATCAATGCATAAAGATTTAGGGCACAAAAATAAATAAGACATGTGAGGTCTTTGAGAATAAAGGGATTATATCTTATTTATCTTCGCGTCCCAATTATCTGGCATTATGCTTGCCCTGAAAGAGACACTTAAATATTCATTAAAAGAATTGAGGCAGGGCACAGTGGCTCACGCCTGTAATCCCAGCATTTTGGGAAGTTGAGGCGGGAAGACTGCTTGGGGCCAGGAGTACGAGACCAGCCTGGGCAACGTAACAAGACCCTGTTTCTAAAACTAACAAACAAACAAACAAACAAGAACTAAATTCAAGCCAGTAGCTTTCACATTACTAATTACCTATGCATTCATGAGCATTGGGCTAGTTAAAAAACAAATGAAAAAATAACTTATTCCCTTTGGCCTCATGGAGGTTACAGTCTGGTATAGAAATAAACACATAAGACAGTTAACAATCCAATTATTTGGGTGATTTCATGAAAAAACTGAATTTTACTCTATAGATTTTCAGAAAAATGAAAATGAGCTAAATTAAGCTGTGAGCCAATTTATCAACTGCTCCTTTCATTGAACATGCAAATTCGTTCTTTGTTAATTTACGAAGACATCTGACTTTGATTCACAGGTTTACTATTTCAGTTAGTGGATTGAAGCATAGAATTAAAACAGTGACATCACAACAAACTCCACTAGACAAGACAAAACAAATTAGCTGCCGCTGATTCACTTGAAGTTTAACATCATCTGTCCAGGAAAATGTCACTCAGAACTGAGAGATTGCTGCCCCCAAGAGGCTAATCAAAAAACTCCAAAATAAAAAGGATGAGGTTCAAGAGCTAGGAGACGGCAATTGAGAAGAGAAGACGTGGGCTGGAGCTTTTTTTAGAAGAAAGTGAGACTTGAGCCCCAAATTCTAGAAGAAAAAGAGGAGAAGATTGGAGCTCCTAAGAGTAGAGATGAATTTGTAGCAAGGGAAAGATAAGAGAGTGAGCATCCAATAAACATCAACGGCAGCTGCTTTAGGGAGACTTCTTAGAAGTTTTTACTTTTTTCCTATTTCTGCCCTGTATTTCCCCATAACTGCTTATGGTTAAAAATCACTAAACATGCTTAAAGAGTTCCATGCCTATATCAATTATTTGGGAAAAGCTGTAGATTTTAAAAGAGTAGATTTTATTCTACTCAGCAGTAGGCCAGAGGAAAGAACCCCCCGTCGGAATCAACTATTAATTGCAGTGGAAATGAAAGCCTGCAAACAAAATCACTGCTCCTCAAAACTCTCCGTGAAGTAGCAGGCAGAAGGAAGAGACTCTGGAGCCCAGGGTCTAATCCAGCCAAAGATGGTGAAGTGCCCCTCCAAAGCAGTTTGCTCCCCAAACCCTTGGGATCTCTTTCAAGACCTTAAGCCCCTACCTCATCAGAGATCCTACCAAGAAATCCTGCCAAGAAGAACTCACTTGGTTTCCAGAGATCGGGAGCTTAAGTTCCCAAACTCTGCTGCCCCAACTGGGGAGAATATTTTCAACATAAGTTAAGTTGGAATTCATATGTGGACATTTATCTATGGCTGCATATGTTGTTGTACAGGTAGGTTAAATAAACATATGGGAGGTTTGGTTTCTCTGTTCAGATTTCAAATTGCTGACTTGCAGAAATTTCTGAGGAAGCAGAATAGCCTGGTAGAAAGGCTTGCGACTTTGACGTCAAAGAGACAGTAAATTTCAATTATGATTCTGCCCTATATTTGCTGTCAGTTAACTTATCTGAATGTCAGCTTCCTTATTTATAAAATACAGATATATTTTATACAGATACAGTATAAAATGTAGATCTATATTTATAATATATAATATATATTTATATATCTATAGATACCATGTATATATGTAATATAAATATATTTATGTATTTATAGATATATATTTTATATTATATATGTATTATACATATATAATGTATGTAATATACATATATTATCTATAGATATATATTTTATATATGTAATATAAATATATATAATATATGTAATGTAAATATATTTTTATATATCTATAGAGATATATTTTATATATGTAATATAGATATATATGTATATATCATATATAATATAAATATATAGATACATATTTATATAATATATAATATTAATATAAATATAGGTATATATTATATATAATATATAATCTATAGTTATATTATAGAATATATATCTATAGTTATATATTTATAGAATATATAACTATAGATATATATTCTATAAATATATATCTATAGATTTATATTATATATAATATAAATCTATAGTTATATTATAGAATATATATCTATAGTTATATATTTATAGAATATATATCTATAGTTATATATTTAATATAATATATAACTATAGATATATATTTATATAATATATAATACAAATATATAGATATATATTTATATATAATACATAATATAAATATATAGATATATCTTTATATAATACATAATATAAATATATAGGTATATATTTATATATGTAAAGTCCAGATTATAGATATATCTATAATATACAGAAATATATATTTATATATCTGGAGCTATATCCTATATAGAGAGATATATTATATCATATATATTTTTATATAGATATATATATAAATAGGGATATATAAATAAATACAGATAGCTATATTGCTATAGCTAAAGGATTTACAAATGACATATATTAAGCATACATAAATACTATGTGCTTTATAAATGGTAGCTATTATTACCCAGTCATGACTAACCTGTACTATGTTATACAAAGCAGAAGCAAGTTTGATTGATGTGCCAAAATGCATAGTTCAGACACTGAAAAACGACAGGCCATTAGGAAGGAGGGGATTGATGTCGGCAGGAAATATGAGTAGACTTTACAAATAAGTGAGATGAAACCTGATCAAAAACCTGACAGTTCATTTGGAAAAAATGTCATTACCACCTTGAAATATTTGCAGAGATAGAAGATATAAAATTTACAATGTGCATTCAAGCTTGATTAAATATTAGACCATTATGAGAGATTTGTTATCCATATCAAGAAAATCACTTGAGTCATGAGATTATACCTCCTAAATATAGCTTTGATGGCGACAGATATATATAATTCTGAAAATAGGATCCTGTTTTTAAAGAGGCATACTATTACGGATAAGAGTTTATCCCAATAAAACACCATATGTTAGAGGCCTTCCTGAAGCTGCAGTAACAAATTATCAGAAACTTGGTGGCTTAAAATAACACAATTATTCTCTCATAGTTCTGGCGGCCAGGAGTCTAAAACCAAGGTGTCTGCAGGGCCACATTCATTCCAAAGGCTCTAGATAAAAACCTTTCCTTACCTCTTCCAGCTCCTAGTGGTTGCCGGCATTCCTTGGTGTCCTTGGCCTGTAGCTGCAGAACTCTAGTCTTAAAAATATTTACAAGAGTATAAAACAATGCTACTCTTCTCACACATTTTGTGTTTGAAAATATAGTTTTTTTAAATTAAAATTTCATTTCATGTTAAGCATATAAATAAAAATTTTAAATTTGTGTTTTAATTTTAATACAGTAAATGTCAACAGAAAAAAACACACAAACACAAATACTCTTTGAGATTCTCTATGCTTTTTAAGAGTTAAAATAATCCTGAGACCAGAAGGTCTGAGAACTAACAAGTTAAGAGAATTTGATTTATTGATTTTTCATGTCTGATTTATTAAAGACATAGAGGTTTCCTAAGAACCTCAGAAAATCTTCCTTGTTAGATTTGTCATTCTGTCTTTTGAAGAGTTTGAGAGAACTGTATTTTTTCCTGTTTAACTTAAAATATCCTAGGGAATGTCTGAAGTATATAAGTTGTGTTGATTATCTAAGGTAAATCAATTTGTATTTACAAATTAATTCAATATTCATTAAAGAATCAGTGATAACTTTGTTCGTATTTTTGTATAGCATTTACTAGTTTGATTTTATAAATTTAATAAGATTTTTTGCAAATGAGATTGCTTTCTTGATTTCTTGCTAGTTTATTGTTGGTGTATAGAAACACTACTAATTTTTGTATGTTGATTTTGTATCTTGCAGCTTTACTGAATTTATCAGTTCTAAGAGTTTAAATAATTTAAATAGTAAAGGCTATATTTTTTAAAAGTTTAAAATTAAACTTTTAACAAGTTACATGTTATTTACAACACAAGTAAGTATAACAATCCTTTCTATGCACAATAGAAATTTAGATATTAAAATATATTTCTAAAACCCATTAACAGGTGTTAGGAACATAGATAACTAAGAAAAGTGGGCACAGGACAGGCACATTTTGATAAAGGCCAAGAGATATGAGAAGTGTCTCCAGGAAGAACCCAATAAGTAGCATACTTGGGGGTGGGGTTGTCAAGGAGGGGTTGTCACAAGGCCCCTGGTAAGTGCAGGGAAATTCTAGAGAGGAAGAAAGCCCAATAGAGGCCGTAGACATTGAGGATAATCTTTATCAACCTCTTAGGTATTAATCCCTTGTCAGATAAATAGTTTGCAAATATTTTCTCCCATTCTGTAGGTTGCATCTTCACTCTGTTGACACAGGAAGGGGAACATCACACACCAGGGCCTGTTGGGGAGTGGGGTGCTGGGGGAGGGATAGCATTAGAAATACCTAATGTAAATGATGAGTCAATGGGTGCAGCAAACCAACATGGCACATGTATACCTATGTAACAAACCTGCATGCTGTGCACATGTACCCTAGAACTTAAAGTAAAAAAAAAAAAAAAAAATGGTCCCCTGGCTGGGGTAAGATGGTATATTATTGAGGTTTTAATTTTTCATATCCCTGATTATTAGAGATGTTGAGCATTTTCTCATATATTTGTTGGTTATTTGTATATCTGCTTTTGAGAAATGTCTGCTCATGTCACTTGCCCACTTTTTAGTGGAATTATTTATTTTTCTATTGTTGATTTATTTGAGTTCCTTGTAGATTCTGGATATTAGTCCTTTGTCAGATGCATAGTTTGCAAATGTTTTCTCCTATTTTGTAAGTTGTCTGTTTAATCTGTTAATAGTTTCTTTTGCTGTGCAGAAGTATTTTAGTCTAATTAGTTTCCATTTATGGATTTATTTATTTTGTCACATTTGCTTTTGACCTTAGTCATAAATCCTTTGCCTAGGCCAATATCCAGAAGAGTTTTTCCTAGGTTTTCTTCTAGAATTTTTATGGCTTCGGGTGTTAAAGTCTCTAATCTAGCTTGAGTTAATTTTTGTATATGATGAGAGATAAGGATCCAGTTTCATCATTCTACATGTGGCTATCCAATTTTCTCAGCACCGTTTATTGAATATGATGTCCTTTCCCCAGCATATGTTTTGGTCTGCTTTGTCAAAGATCAGTTGGTTGTATGCATTTGGCTTCATTTCTGGGTTCTCTATTCTTTTCCATTGGCCTATGTGTCTACTTTTATACCAGTAGCATACTGTTTTGATTATGATAGCCTTATAGTATAATTTGAAGTCAGATAATGTGATGCCTTCAGATTTGTTCTTTTTGCTTATATTTGCTTTGGCTAATCAGACTCTTTTTTGGTTCCATATGAATTTTAGAATTGTTTTTTCTAATTCTGTGAAAAATTATATTGGTAGTTTGATAGGAAGTACATTGATTATAGATTGCTGTGGATGATATGGTCATTTTCACAATATTGATTCTTCCAATATATTATAAGCTTGGTCTGTGTTTCCATTTGTTTGTGTCATCTATGATTTCTTTGATCAGTATTTTGGAGTTCTCCTTGTAGAGATCTTTCACCTCCTTGGGTAAGTGTATTCCTAGGTATTTTATTCTTGTTGTGACTATTGTAAATGGGATTGAGTTCTTGATTTGATTCTCAGTTTGGTTGTTATTGGTGTATAGCAGTATTACTGATTTGTGTACATTGATTTTGTAACCTGAGACTTTACTGAATTCATTTATCAAATCTAGAAGTCTTTTGGAGGAGACTTCAGGGTTTTCTAGATATAAGATCATGTCATCAGCAAACAGAGATAGTTTGAATTCCTCTTTTCCAATTTGAGTGCCTTTTATTTATTTCTCTTTCCTGATTGCTCTAGCTAGACCTTCAGATTCTTTCCATGGTAACCACTGTAGTGTCTCCTTTTTTTGTTTCAGATTGTATTTATTTGGGTCTTCTCTCTCTTTTTCTTGGTTAGTCTAGCTAATGGTTTCTTGATTTTGTTTATCTTTTCAAAAGGCAAGCTTCTCATTTTGTTAATCATTTGTAATTTTTTTTAGTTTCAATTTTATTTCTTTTTGCTCTGATACTTATTATTTCTTTCCTTCTACTAATTTTGGGTATGAATTGTTCTTGCTGTTTTAGTTATTTGAGATGCATTAGTAGGTTCTTTGAAATCTTTCTGTTTGTATGATATAGGCATTTATTGCTATAAACTTTCCCCTTAATACTGCTTTTGCTATATCCCATAAGTTTTGCTGTGTTGTATTTCTACTATCATTTATTTAAATAATTTTTTAAATTTTCTTCTTAATTTCTTAATTGACCCATTGGTCACTCGGGAGCATGTTGTTTAATTTCCATGTATTTGTAAAGTTTCAAAAGTTCTTGTTATTGATTTCTAGTTTTATCCCATTGTGTTCAGAAAAAAATACTTCATATGATTTAACTCCTTGTAAATTTGTTGAGACTTGTTTTGTGGCCTAACATGTGGTCTGTCCTGGAGAATGTTCCATGTGCTAATGAAAAGAATGTGTATTCTGCAGCTGTTGGTCCATTTGGTCTAAAGTACAGTTTAAAACCAACGTTTCTTTATTGATTTTCTGTCTGGATGATCTGCCCAATGCTGAGAGTGGGATGTTGAAGTCCCCAACTATAATTGAATCATAGTCTGTCTCTCCCTTTAGTTCTAGTATTTGCTTTATATATCTGGGTGCTCTGGTGTTGGGTGCATATATATTTACAGTTGTTATATCTTCTTGCTGAATTGATCCCTTTATCATTACATAATGAACTTCTTTATCTCTTTATACAGTTTTGACTTAAAGTCTACATTATGTCAAATAAATATAGCTACTCCTGCTTGCTTTTGGTTTCTGGTTTTTTGAAATATCTTTTTCTATCCTTTTATTTTCAGTCTACATGTTTCTTTATAGGCGAAGTGAGTTTCTTGTAGTACGATATAATTGGGTCATTTTTTTTATCCATTCACCCAGTCTATACCTTTTAAGTGGAAGATTAATTCATTTATATTCAAGATTAGTGTTGATAGATGATAAATTACTCCTGTCATCTTATTGTTTTCTGATTGTTTTATATATCCCTCTTTCCTTTCTTCTTTCTTTTGTGTTTATCATTGTGGTTTTGTGGTTTTCTGGAATTATAAGGGTTTTCTTTCTCTCTATCCCTTGTTTATCTGCTCTATCAGTGAGCTTTATACTTCTGTATGTTTTCATGAAGGTGATATAATCTTTGACTTCAAATGTAGTATTCCCTCGAGCATTTCTTGTAAGGCTGATCTAGCGATAATTAATTCCCTCAGGTTTTGCTTGTCTGGGAAATACTTTATTTCTCCCTCATTTTTGAAGGATAGCTTTGCTAGGTTCTTATATCTGTTTCTGTATTCAATATATTGTAACATGTTGTTTTGGTTAAAGTATATAAAGAACATTCAGATTAACAGAGACAAGTATTTGGAAAAGGTAGGAGTATTTTTAATTATCTTTTCAAATAATTACGGCTATTCTTCTTTGATACTACACCAGAATTCCGTAAGTGATAGTTTAGTAAAAGTTAGTCGCAATGTGGAATCTGAAATCATATTAATGAACCTTTTGTACTCTGTGACATTAAAATCCAATGGTCTTTCTTGCGATTAAAATAGATTTTTTACCTATGTATGATTTTATAACATCATGCATTGGTCATTTGGAATATATTGGTTCACTGAGTTAATTACTTCTTCCAAATGTGGACACATTTTACTTCAAAATATCAAAAAAAAAAAAAGTGTGTCAGTATCACCCCCAGTCTCAGTAAGTGCTGGGAAAGTGTTGAACTCACAGTGACAGACTCAAGTATCTAATTTTATCTTGAAAACTGAAACTTTATGATTGGCAAAAAACTGTCGGTTGTTTTCTTAAAAGTTGCAGGCTCCTAACAGGCAAATAACATGTGAAGGGGGAAGCACATAGCAACTTATATTATGAAAATAGTCTTGACCGCAAGGATCCCCTGAAAGGGTCTTGGACAACCTAAGGAGTCTAAGGATATATTTTGAAACTCACTCTTTTAACTACTTTAAATATTTTAAAGCAGAGAAAGAAAAAACAGGCAAAGAATAGACTAGCTAGAGAACTTACTGTAATACCTATGTGTATCCAACTTCCACAAAATTATAAATTTATTTATCATTTCTATTCTTACTTGAAAACCTTTTCAAGGATGCACTTTAATCCCTTAACTAAGAAGGTAGAATTACCTTTCTTGGGCTTGCAACAGCAGTTGGCCTTATGATATCAAGTACAAGGGCTGAGAGCTTCTTCCAGGATGATTCAATGTGAGCCATTCCCTGAGCAGCTTCTTACAGAAAAATAACTTAGCAGACGTAACTTCTTACACAGCTTTTTGTGATTAAGTTAAGATTCTGCAATATCTATCCAAATCCAACTTATACTTTTACAGTCTGAATTGAGTATACTAAATTCTACACCCTCAAGCTGGAGTTGCAACACTGTAAGACAACAATGTTTTATGAGATTCTATACTTCATATAGCTTATAAACAACTATTCATTAGTCATTATATTGGCAACTAATAGATATGCAACTTAATAGAGCCTTTTTAAAAATAAGAAAATCAATTTAAAGGAAATACTTTATTTTTATATTCCAAAATGAGCATTTTTGGAAAAATCCAAGACATTAGATTTTTGTAATGTTCTCCAAAAAAAGGTTAGAGAATGAAGAAAAACCCACTCATAACTGCATAATACAATAACTAATAACAATTTAAGTATGTCTTTCAAATAATCTTATACACACATTTTTACATAGGAGCAATCATAGTATACATAGATTTTAAAGAATTTTTTTAATTTAGCATTTATCATTAACAATTGTCCCAAAACTTCAAAATTGTTATTTTATCATGACATCAAGTGAATCATTTACTCATTCTCTAATAGCCAGATAGCCAGTTTGTTTCCAATGTTTTACTCTTACAAATAAAATTGTAATAAACACATCAGGCACATAATGAAGAAATGTTTAGGAGCAATGCCAGACAACTGGAAAAAGACTAGTGGAATCTTCGGTACAAGAGGCATTTTGCTACCTGGCGTGCTCACAAGATCACTAGGTTCTAAGTTCAGAGAAATAAGCAAATAGATACCACAGGAGGTAGAGCAGCAAAGAAACCCTGAAAATTAGGTAGCTGACCCAAGCTAGGGCTGCCTGGCCCTGAGCAAGGACACCCAACTAAGGTGGGAAGTGGTACGGGCACTCAGCCCATGCTTTTTCAGCCGAACTATGTGCCATCCAAACTCAGGACTGTATCCTAATTTGTACAAAGACAGCATCCTTTAACCAAGCCCAGTGCCAAGGAAACCACATCTACCCCTACGAGGTGACTTCTTTCACTCAAAAGCTAGAGGAGGGACTGACTGTTATGTAAGATCTGAAACACTAGGGTTGCAAGAGCAGAGTAGAGCCAAGGAAGAGATGGGGGATGGAATTAAAGGCAAATAGATGAGTGTTTATGATGAAGAAACAAAGAGAAGTTCAGACGCCATGGTGGATTGATTTTAAGATAATTGAATATGTGAAAGGACAGAAGGAAGACAGTCAGAAGCAATAAAGTCTCTCTAGGGATAAAACCCAAAATAAGTTTTGGGAAAAAAAAATCGCACCTTTTAAAGAGTAGCTTAAATTTACTGGTTCTAACGTGGTTGTTTGGTGTTGACTTCCCACAGCATTCTTCCTCCAATGCTCAGTACTGACAAATACAGAGTTAGCTATATCCTTGTTTTTAATTAAAGTAAGTTATTTTTGCCTGTTTCGTGAAAGGTTGAAGAGGCATGGTGTAGTGTTTTTGTGTGCAGGTATCCAAGTCAAAAAGACACGCGTCTTAAGCTCAATCTTTCTGAGCCTCCTCATGAAGTTCCTAATACATCTTACATAATTATTGTGGAAAAAAGTAAAAGGCACAATATATGGAAAAGTTTACCATACTATTAGACTCATAGTTGGCCTTCAATAAATATCATTTTTTTAGGTTTACAGTAGAAGCTTAGATTACTAAATATAAACAAAAAGTTAAAGTTAGAACCAAAGACATTTTAATTTAGAAAAGACTTTTAAGACCATGGGGGAAGTAGAATACAAATGTAGAAGCCATAAGGGTGCTGAAGACATGGCGACGTGCCACCAAGATCCCACATCAGTGACCCATAGCCCAGCAGCTGCCTTCAGGGTCAGCCCCTTCAGCAGCAGTTATCACTACAGGCAAAGGAGCCAGGTCAGAGAGAATGTGCGGAAACCAGAGGGAGCAGTCACAGTCACAATAGAAGAGGGACAACCAACAAGAGCCTTTGGTGGGAGGATGAAGCCAACCACAGATACCCCGAAAGGGTGAAGCTATGGAAATAAATACCCTGGCCTTCCTGTCTTATCTCCATCCCATCTCTGCCAGGGCCTCCCATTTACTAGGAGCTAGGATGGAAGGAAACCCATTGACGAGAAAAGTCATTCTCTCAGAGCACAGAGAAGGATGAAGAAGGACAGAAAGTGGACCTGGAGTGGTAAATGGAAAATATCCAGTGCATCTTGGTCCCTCGGTTTAAAAGTAGTCTTTTTTTCACCTACGCCCTTATTTTCCCTAGCCCCCAGCATGACTGTGATGTCCCACTCTGGTTGACCTGACAATGAGCTGGCTTAAGCAAGTAGCATAAACATCCTCTTCTCCCCGTGGAAGAGCCTTTCCCAATCTCATCTTCCCATAGTTCTGGTGGCCTCATTCCCCCAGGTCCCCAAAGTCACCAGGTTCTGAGCAGCTTGTTTCCTCAGAAAACTCCTATCTTCAGTTGGCACCCAAATCGAGACTGTCTGGTTTTCAAACTGATGCTGTGTTCCCTACTGATGCGTTAACTCTTGCACCATAAGAAAGGGGACTCCACTGAAATTCAACCCCTGTTTTGTGTCCAGCAGACTTGAGAACATTTCTCTCCAGATAAAGCAGGTGGGGAGGGGGATCCATGACTTCTCTTCATGACTCTGCCTTGTTTTTCCTTTCTCTTTAAAGCCTACTTCACAGTACTTGGCATTAATCCCTGACATGTGACCCTGGTGCCCTGTGTGGGCCACCATCCAGCCCAGCAGGGAAGAACACAAAAAACAGCCACTTTGCAAGCTGTAGGTCACCTTACTGTAAATGTCAAAAAGAAAGTAGGCTCATGTCCTCCTTAATCTCTACACTTCACGGGTATACATAAAGCAAATACAAAGGGTAGTGAATATGCCTCCTTACAAAAGAGACTTTTTGTAACAGATGTTGAAAGAAAATTTAGAATACTAATTTCTGTAATTCTTAACTGAAAATTGTAAACAATATGTATATGTCATAATTAACATGAAAGTAAATCTCATTCAATTTAGCAAATATCCTTTTAGCTCCTATTATGCACTTTGAGTTTTGGTAAGAACAAGAGAAACAAAAGATGGGGCTGAGAATTTAATGAAAATAAAATTGGCATCATTCATATGACAATAATAGTAATAACAAAAATTAACTTTCTACATCATGACCATATGGACTGATACTATTCCTGTAGCCAAAAATCTATGATGCCTCTTCCCAGTGCTTCCCCTTCCTTCGAGTAGCTGGCCTGCTAGCCCCATGGCTAGAATGGCAGCTCCATTCTCTCACTGACCCCAAATCTCTGGCCACAGTTGATTTATACAGGCTTGACTTCCTGAGCTAAGCTGTTTCAATGGGATTTCCTTGGAATTTTTGACCATCTGACCCAGAAATCCAAATTAACCCCTCTCTGGCATTAAAATTAAAAAAAAAGACTTTTGAATTGATTATGGAGAAAGAAAAGGGCAGTCTTTTATTAGTGAAACCATGACATGTAAAAGTCAAGAATTCACTGGACACGTGTCCCGTCATGTGCAGAAAGCGCATGAAATAAGGAGGAAGGAAGCCCACCTACTGAGTGGACACATAGAGTCAAGACCTGGGCAAAAGGCCCTGGTGATACTTGCTTCGCTGGTTCCATCAGTTCTCTGACTCTGCTCTATCTCTTCCCTGATAGAGTTTTGGAAGGTCAATACTTCCTAAGCTCTGAGGATACCCTCTGAGGCTGACAGCTCTCACCTAATCAGGTGAAAGCCGCTGCATCTTTAATAAATCTCCTAAGTAACACAGCCTTGTTGCACACACTTCAGTAAACAGAGGCATGTCCTGAGGTGTCTTGCCATAATGGTGACACCCCCAAGGTGGCAGGGAAATCAGGAATGGTCCGAGGCACCACTGGCCGCAATAGCTGCTCATGCCGTAGTGCAGCTCCTCCAGCACACTGACCTCCCTCTCCCAGCTTCTTCCACAGGCTCCAGTGCTGCTTCCCCTTGTCTGGGAGGCACTCTCTCTCCCCCACCGATGACTGCTTTCTAGCCCTGAGCACTTACTTTCTGCTGTCCATGGTCCCCACATCTCAACCCTCATCAGTATGACCACTCACCTGGTGTTGAGAGAACACAGCTGCCCAGTGGAGGGAATTGTAACTGCCCTAAATCCAGCAGAAACACAAAAAGGCATGAAATCACCTACCAAATTATGAAATGTGAGTTCAGTTTTATGTCAGTGTATAAAAGTAATAAATATTCTCATGATGGCAAACAAGATTGGAGGACTACCAGGGCTGTCTTGGAGAAAGACCTTCTACTATGAAGATATCTATTATTCCGACACTGCTAATACTTTAGTCACCATGTATACCTATAATGTCACCGGGTTCATGCACATTCTTCTTGTCACATCAGCATACACTCTCATCTATCACTAAACTCCAGCATCACTGCTATCAATTAAGGAGTGAATTCTAGTGTGTCACTAAAGCATTAAAACGTGACTTGTGGCTGGGTGTGGTGGCTCATGCCTGTAATCCCAGCACTTTGGGAGGCCGAGGCAGGTAGATCACTTGAGGCCAGGAGTTCGAGACCAACCTAGCCAACATGGTGAAATCCTGTCTCTACTAAAAATACAAAATTTAGCTGGGCGTGGTGCCACACACCTGTAATCCCAGCTACTCAGGAGGCTAAGGCATGAGAATCTCTTGAACCCAGGAGGCGGAGGCTGCAGTGAGCCAAGATCATGCCACTACACTCCAGCCTGGGCAACAGAGAGAGACTCCATCTCAATAAAATAAAATAATTAAAAAAAAACATAACTTGTTAATGCACCCATATCATAGAAGTTGTAGCTATCCTAACTAAATAAGTGATTTCATTACTTTAGGGAGGGATGAGAAGCTTAAATTATTATTGTTTTGAAGTAAACTTTCATCTTATTGTTTAAAATCACCTATGAAAGTCCTCCTTTTGGCTTAAATTTTGTTAAATGGCAATTTTTGGCTTAGGATGACAAGTGATTTTTCTACTAAACTAATATATCCATGTGTCATTATGATTTTTATCTCAGGAGTCTTTCCAAACATTAAGAAACTCTTCTTTATGATCACCTTATATTATAATTAAAACAGTTACTGGCCGGGCACAGTGACTCACACCTGTAATCCCAGCACTTTAGGAGGCCGAGGCGGGTGGATCACCTGAGGTCAGGAGTTCAAGACCAGCCTGGGCAACATGGTGAAACTCCATCTCTACTAAAAATACAAAAATTAGCTGGGTTCAGTGGCACGTGCCTGTAATCCCAGCTACTTGGGAGGCTAAGGCAGGAGAATCGCTTGAGCCCGGGAGGCGGAGGTTGCAGTGAGCCGAGATTGTGCCATTGCACTTCAGCCTGGGCGACAGAGTGAGACTCTGTCTAAGAAAAAAAAAAACTGTTATCATTTCTTACTAGCAGAAACTTGTCCTTACCTTAGCATTTAGGTCAAATGCAATGTGTAAAGTCCCTGGATTATCCAGAAATAGATTATAAATGAAATCACTTCTCTAAAAGAGAAAAAGCAAGAAACATCTACTTTGGAGTGTACACTGCTGCAATAAGCTGATTTAATGCCAAAGTGGAGACATTTTTAGCATGCTTTCCCAACTGAGGCCAAACAGATGCCTTCTCATTTGAGGGGGTGTCACAGGGAATCGTTTGAGCAGTCATCACATATGTATGCTCAACAGAATTCAGCAAAAACAATTGGGAAATTGCAGTCTGGTAAGAAATTTATGATTAGCTCATTTCTTTAGGTATATTCATACTAGGAAAGACAGGACTGCTTGCTTGTTTTCACTGAATTTCCATTTCTCCAGCCAGAATGGTGAGCTGTAAAGATGACATTGATAATGAAAGTCCTAGAAACCATTAACCATAAACATTTATGGAGTACCTATTCTGCCCAAGGCAGTTTGCTCAGAAAATCTGAGAATCTACTGTATCAAAGATGTTTTAACAACATGCAGCAGCTATTACTACAGTCCATGCCTTGCCTAATAGCAAAGAAGACAGTCTTTACTGTGCTGACATCTGCCCTGGAAGGCATGTCTCTGAGTATGGCTGCACTCCTTAATTCTCAACTAAGGACCTCTGCATCCTGGGGAATTCAGTTAAATGGTCCAGTGTGGGGGAGAAGGAGGGCAATCCCTCAGCAAGGAGGAGTTGTGAAAGATGGAAAAGACACAGGACCTGTGGGTGACAGTCTATCTAATAAGGATCATGTACAACGGTGACACGTGCCAATCTCATTGCATGGTAGTCACATGATTCAAGAACCTTTTTGTTCCAGCTGTTCCTGACAGCTGTTCTCCTCCCTCTCGCTCAGCACGAAGTTCCTGAAGCACCCAGATGACAGCCTTATGTTCAGTGTGGTCACCTGCACTGCCTGATTATACTTGCTAAATACTAAGATGAAAATACACTTGCTCTATCTCCTGCTTTCATTTCTTCTCTCTATCTCTCAGTCTCTAACTCACATGTATTTACCCGCTTTGCAAGTTTCTGCATGTCCATGTTTTTAAATGTCCCTATAAGCAACACTTTCCTAATTCATTTACTGTATCAAAGAAAATATCTCCTCCAGTACCTTCATCCCCATTAAGCCTTGGAGCTAAGTACTCCAGAAATATCATCCATTACTTTTTCCTTGAAAGTCATGCAAAAAAATTATGACATTTATATATAAAGATGGTTTTTTTCAATCTAAAGATGTTGAAAAATCTCCACAGTAGGAAACTATTACTACAGACTGCATATGAATGCCTGTATCCCATGAGATTCTACCACCGAGTCTCCCGAGATGGTGTATTGAAAGCCCCTTTTAACCTGAACTCTTCATTTGGATTGCATTTGCAGGAAGCTTGTAAATGCTGTATATAGGGAATATTTGTTGACTGATGGAATCAATTTAAATGCAAGTCGTGAGTTTTAAGAAAATTAAAGCAGCTTTATATAGAAGTGAAGTTAAGGCAAACTCCATGGCTTGCTGTGAAGTGGAATTAGAGTGCAGGCACAGATACCAAAATCTATATTCTTCACTCCTGGCACTGGCTGGTAACAACAAAAAAATCCTGAAAGGGATCTGCTGGAGACAGGATTGGCGAGAGCAGGGGAAAAGACAAACGGCACTGCTTCAGCTGGAGCACAGAGGACAGGACCCGTTCAGGAGCCAGAGGAGGAGATGGAAAGCAACCCACAGAAGCCATGAGGCCCTGGGGGCTCTGGTAGGACACAGCAAAGAAATGCAGGTGGATGGTTCCCTCTATTGGTGAAAAAATTGCAGATCATATTAGTTGCATCATTGATTTCTGGGAAACAATGAAGAAAATATCGGCAAAGGTAATATCTGAGGATACCAAGGTAAGGTGGGGAAATCTCATTTGCAATTTTAGGAAAGGAATCCAGTTTGGTGGTCTGGAGCATTTGTAATAGCAAGCCAGAGTCACATGGAAGCCCAGGAGCTCGCTTAATAACTTATTTTTATATTTATTTATTTATTTGTTTGTTTTGAGCCAGAGTTTTGCTCTTGTTGCCTAGGCTGGAGTACAATGGCGTGATCTTGGCTCACTGCAACCTCTGCCTCCCAGGTTCAAGTGATTCTCCTGCCTCAGCCTCTCAAGTAGCTGGGATTACAGGCACCCACCACCAGGCCCGGCAAACTTTTTTTGTATTTTTAGTAGAGACAGGGTTTCACCATGTTGGCCAGGCTGGTCTCGAACTCCTGACCTCAGGTGATCCATCTGTCTCGGCCTCCCAAAGTGCTGGGATTACAGGCGTGAGCCACTGCGTCCAGCCTTAATAACTTATTTTTAGGACAAAATGTATGTGTAGATTTTATTATATGCAGAAACACAATTACATTAAATCTAGCTCTTTGTTTCATAGTAAATTAGAGCTTAGCACAAATACTATTCCTCCTGTATAAATGATTTATTTAGCTAAACAAATTACATTGTAATTCTCCTCAGTTTAAAAATGTAGAGCTTATGGGTTTTCAAAAGGTTCAGGGGAAACATACTAAGTTTCAAAGCCTAAAACTGTTAACATTCCTCCCTTATTCTTACTTTATCATGATATGCTATGCTGCAGATGTTTCTCAGAGACATTCAGTGAAAATCTAAGTCTCTCTGTTCATCATTTTTAATAGCCATGTGAGTTCAAGTCTTCAAGAATGGTTGAAAGGGGACAAATAAGGAACTCTCTTTTCTTAAATTAAAAACAAGAAAGTCTTCACCAACTTAAGCATCTGGGAAGCTATAAACTGAGAGTAATAAAAATTGATTAACCTTAACTGGAGAAAACTCCCACAGACCTTGAAATATTTTTGTGTAGGAGATAAATAATACAGCTGACTAATGATCTCACAAGTGCAAATATAGAAGACGAACTGGAGACATCTACAGGATCTTCCTTGTTCGGAACACTGCTCAGGTCTTTGTTCTTTGATGGAAATCTACATTTACGAGCCACCAGATCTGGCCTGTCAAACCTACTTTTCGTTTTGGTGACTGACTGATATCCAGATGACATGAACAGCGTTTACATGTGACACATAAATATGTGCATGCAATTTAAGAGCTTTGCCGGTCATCAGATTTGGAGAAGGAATAAAGGAAAAAATCATATGCATTTTTTAATATTTACATATCAATACAAGACTAAATTTCAGTCTTTGTGCCTCATAGTGAGATCAGCAGAAACTCTGCCTGCTTTTTTTCTATTGAGAAGTTCAACAACTTTAGAAACAAAAAAAAAATTACCGTTTAATTCTTTTGCAGTACACATTTTAGTCTAAAAAAAAACCCTTTATTATTTTCCATGATTGAGAATCAGTGTGTCCTTTTTGCTTAAAAGTATCAAAGAATGAAAAAGGATTTCATGCATCCAGATATTAATTGAGGAAGCCGCTAGTGGCCTTTGCTGTAAGAATATTGATATTTTAAGTACATTTTGAAAGGTTGAATAAGTGAAAATAAATAGTGCATCTATGCTCATTGAGTTTAGACATTTAGATCAGAGATTCTCAACCTGAGAGTCTCAATAGAAACTCTATTGATCATTTGTGAGATTTGTCTCAAGAAAGTGTTTGCTCCTAATGAAGCGTTACCAGGAGCAGTTTGAGAGGTGGGGAGTTTTCTTATCGTGAGACTGGACTCAAGATTCAGTGCAGTGGCAAAGTCATTGAGCTTTGCACGTCAGAGGGAAATAAAGGTTTTCCTTAAACAAAGAAACTCTCATTCGTGTTAATAAGCTTTTCTGAGGGAGAAAGAGAACGATGAAGTGGGGAGTTGTACATATCTTGTATCCGAATTTCACAGTAAATAATCATTACTGTTGAACCTTAATAGCTGTATTGAATACAAATTATTGCACTGCATTATTTTTACCAAAATGAAAGGAGGAGAAACTTTTGTGAAAATCTGGGTATAACCATGGCAGTTGTCTCATATTTTAACTTCATAATAGGAGGAAAAGGCTGGGAGAACGGAAGCTAAGAACTATTGATTTAAATAAATTCAAATGACTACAGTCAAATGCTTATAAGAGAACTAAGCAGGTGTCTTAGTGGCCCAGAAGATCTAGCTTTGGCAGTTTCTGACCTACACACACCCCAGATTTTGAGAGAAAGAGAGAGTGCCCTACCTTGATCCCCTAACTAGCAACAGCACCAAATTTCTAAAGTCAGAGGAGTAGAAAATTCATAGGAGGTGAAACTCCCCAGCTGAAGTCCTGGATCTGACGCACACTAATTTTATGAATGGCATTTCTTATTTAACCTCCTTGTTCCTCAATGTCTTTATTTATAGTATAAAGAAATAATGCCCGTTTCCTGTCTCTTGGTGTTACATGAGGATTAAATATGAAAAAGCAGATGAATGTTCTTTATCAACTATAAAGCACTATACAAATACAGTAATTACCCCCCCAAGACAGTGTAATGCCTAAATATAATAGGTGCTAAATATTGCTTATTGAGTGAATGAATAACCAAATGAGAATTGACCTGCTCTTTCTCCAACACTGCCCCCAACCCAACCCCATGAAGCAGCTACTACAGAAGTGAAAACTAGACCCAGAGCACATTGAGAGGTTCCCTTTAGGTCTTTTTTAAATTAGTTTTTTTAATTAACAAATAAAAATTGCATATATACGGTGTACAGCGTGATGTTTTGTTCATATGCATACATTGTCGAATAATTAGATCAAGCTGACTAACACATCCTTCACCTCACACACTTACCATTTTTGTGGTGAGAACATTTAAAATGTCTCTTAGCAGTTTTCAAGTGTACAGTACATCATTATTAACTATACTTACCATGCTGCACCATAGATCTCCAAAACTTACTCCTTCTCACTGAAACTTTGTACCCTTTGACCAAGATCTCCTCATCCCCACCCCCACCCCCAGGCCCTGGTTATGAGCATTCTACTCTCTACTTCTATGAGTTCAACTTTTTTAGATTTCACATATAAGTAAAATCATGCCTTATTTGTCTTCTGTGCCTGGCATATTTCACTTAGCATAATGTCCTCCGGGTTCATCCACGTTGTCACAAACGACAGAATTTCCTTCTATTTTAAGACTGAATAGTATTTCATTGTTTATATATACCACATTTTCTTTATCCATCCATTAGTGGACAGTTAGTGTGATTTCATATTTTGGCTATTGTAAATAATGCTGCGATAAACATGGGAGTTCAGATATCTCTTCAACATACTAATTTTATTTCCTCTGCATATATACCCAGAAGTAGGATTGCTAGATCATATAGTCTATTTTTAATTTTTTTAAGGAACCTCTATACTGTCTTCCACAATGGCTTTACTGATATACATACCCACCAACAGTGTATAAGTGTTCCCTTTTCTTTGCATCCTTGCCAACACTTACTAACTTTCATCTTTTTGATAACAGTGTTTCTAACAGATGTAAAATGGTATCTCATTGTGGTTTTAATTTGTATTTCCCAAATAACTACTGATGTTGATCATTTTTTCATATACCCATTGGCCATTTCTTTATCTTCTTTTGAGAAATGTTTGTTCCAGTCCTTTGCCCACTTTTTAATCCAGTTATTTGGGTTTGTCGCTATTGAGTTGAGTTTCTTATATATTTTGGATATTAACCTTTTATCAGATGTATGGCTTGCAAATATTTTCTACCATTCTGTGCATTGTTTCTTCACTCCGATAATTGTTGCCTTGGTTGTGCAGAAGCTTTTTAGTTTGATGTAATCCCATTTGTCTATTTAACTCTTTAATCCATATTGAGTTGATTTTTCTATGTGGTGTGACATTAGAGTTTAGTTTCATTCTCCTGCATGTGGATATCCAGTTGTCCCAACGTCCTTTACTAAAGACACTAGTCTTCCCTTTCTTGTGTGTGCTTGGCAACTTTGTCAAAGATCAGTTGACCATAAATGAGTGAATTTATTTCTGGGCTATTTATGCTGTTCCATTGGCCTATATGTCTGCTTTTGATTGTACCATGCTGTTTTGATTGTTACAGTTTGGTAGATTTTGAGATCAGGTAGTAAGAGGAGAGATTTTTTTATAGGTTTGAACATTTCTTTTTAATACCTGGAACTTTAAATTTTGTTTGTTTGTTTTGTTTGAGACGGTGTCTCACTCTGTCACCCAAGCTGGAATGCAGTGGCATAATTTCAGCACACTTCAACCTCTGCTTCCTGGGCTCAAGCAATCTTCCCTCCTCAGCCTCCTGAGTAGCTGGGACTACAGGCACAAGCCACCATGCCCAGCCAATTTTGTTTTCTTATTTTATTTTTTATTTTTGTAGAGATAAGGTCTCATTATGTTGCCCAGGCTGGTCACGAACTCCTGGGCTCAAGCGATCCTCTTGTCTCAGCCTCCCAAAGTGTTGGGATTATAGGCATGAGCCATGGTGCCCAGGCCTAAAATTGTTATTTCTTAAGGTGTTATTCAGTATATTTAAGTACACATTCACAGTGGGTGATCTTGTACTGAATAAAAGATAGTTAGGAGCTGTGCCAGATACTGCTAGTTGCCTACCCAATAGTTCTTTTTCCTTCTTATTAAACAACCTCTGTATTGTGGCAGTGAAAGCAGCTAAACATCTCCCAGGCTCCCCTGTAGACAGAGAAGTTCAGCACCGTGTAAGAAATAGAAAGTTATTTTAAAATATTTACTCAACTGGCAGATACATCCATTTTGTCCCCCCCTCTTCTTCTTTCTTCCTTCTTAAAACATGGATATAAAAGGCTAGAACCCCAGTGGCCTCTGTCACCCAGGAAGAAACCCTAAGGATGAAAATCCAGGTGCAAAGCAGAAATGCAGAAGGAGCCTGGCTCTCTGATACCAGCATGCCAATGAGAACTGACTACATCTGACTGTGACATTTTATTTTATTTTATTTTTATTTTTGAGACAGGATTTCACTCTGTCACCCAGGCTAGAGTGCAGTGGCATGACCACAGCTGATTGCAGCCTTGACCTCCCACGCTCAGGTGATCCTCCTACCTCAGCCTCCCAGGTAGCTGGGACTACAGGTGTGTGCCACCATGCCCAGCTAATTATTTGTATTTTTTGTAGAGACAGGGTTTCACCATGTTGCCCAGGCTGGTCTTGAACTCCTGGGCTCAAGCAATCTGCCTGCCTAGGCCTCCCAAAGTGCTAGGATTAAAAGCATGAGCCACCATGCCCGGCCTTCCATAATGTTTTAGGAAAGAAAAATAAGCCTTTATTTTGCTTAAGCCACTGTTATTTCAGATCTCTGTTATTAGCAATGAAACATATTCCTAGCTCTTAGAGGAGCCTGATTTTTTCAAAGTTTTGTTTACCATTTAAATAAAGATAAAAAAGTCTGAATTAATAGTTTCTATAATATAATCAATACATTTCAATGAAATATGAATCCAGGACACATCAGTAAGTGAAAAGTAGAGAAACAGAATTATAAACTATCACTACCATAATATTTACAAAGATAACACTTTCCAAACTAGACCTTAAATTTTCTTTAGAATATTATGATGCCTTTAAAATTCTGTTTCCTTTACTGGATTACTTAATTTTAAATACCTTTTTTGGAAAGTGGTCTTTCTTTTTCATTGACAAGTAAAAATTGTGTGTGCATCTATATGGTATACAACATGCTGTTTTGATATAAGTGTACATTGAGTAATGGCTAAATCAAGCTATTTAGCCTATGCATTAACTCACATACTTATCTTTTTATGGTGAAAGCATTTAAAATCTCCTCTCTTAGCAATTTGCAAGTATACAACATATTGTTATTAACTATATTTACCATGATGTACAACAGATCTCTTGAACTTATTCCTCCAGTCTAACTGAAATTTTGTGTTCTTTGTTTCTCATGGTTTCTAGAACAGGAGATGGCACATCCTAGACACCTTATACATATTTTTTTTTTTTTTTAAGATGGAGTCTCGCTCTGTCACCCAGGCTGGAGTGCAGTTGGGCGATCTCAGCTCACTGCAGCCTCCACCTCCCGAGTTCCAGTGATTCCCCCGCCTCAGCCTCCCAGGTAGCTGGGATGGCAGGCACATGCCACCATGCCTGGCTAATTTTTATATTTTTAGTAGAGATGGGATTTCACCATGTTGGCCAGGCTGGTCTGGAACTCCTGACCTCAGGTGATCTGCCCGCCTCAGCTTCCCAAAGTGCTAGGAGTATAGGCATGAGCCACCACGCACGACCCCTTATACATATTTTCAAGGTAAGGGAGGCTGGCACTTGACATAACATAGTACTTATCTAGCACTGATAGAATTGTGGGGTGATTAATCTTCTTTTGGTTTTAGTTTATGAAAAATAAACTATTTCCTAAAGAAGAATGTGGGAGAGAGAGAGAAAGGAAAGGAGATATCAAATATATCAAAGACAAATTCACTCTTTTGTTTTGAGCCATCTTCTTTCTCAACAATCAAAATGCTGAAGTTTTTTTAACCTGATGGACAAGGTTAAGAAAGACAAGATTAAGGTTAATAGATAATTCACCAAATTGTTCCCTAATATCCAGCTTTCAGAGGCATGACTCTGGATTCAAACATTTGCTTCACTGCTTACTCTGATGTCCTTGGACGAGTCACTGAACCTCACTGAGAGTAAATTCTTGCATCTCTAAAAATGAGAATAATAGAACCTTATGTGACACTCTCCTGCAAATCAAAAAGAACAAGTCAAATGGACAAAAGATCTGACTAGGAAACAAAGTGCCACTACATTTATCAAGAGCGTTTCAAATACGTTGGATATCAGAATTGCAAATTCAAGCAATGATGAGGTTTCATTTTAGACTAATCAGACAGGAAGAACTTAGAAAACTGGATAATTCCACTGCTAGCAGAGAGACAGAGATAGGGTTGCCTGTGCTGCTGGTGAGCCTTGGCCCGATTCTCAGCAGCCATTCTGGGGAGGAGTCAGACAGGTCCCTGTCGAAATGCAGGTAGACTGTTCACTGTGGCCTACCAAGGATGGATCCTGGGTGACTCTCATAGGAATTCTCACCCAGCTCTGTACGAAGCATAAGCGGAGACGGTCCTTGCTCTGCCATCCCTGGGAAATGGAGGGGTAAACCAGGCCGCAAGCACATAATAGAGCACTAGCCAGCTGTTGGAGGTAGTTGGATGGTGTACACAGGACAACACATAGAGATTTTGAAAACAGTGTTGAGTGAACAAAGAAAGAAACAAAATAAGACAATACAACAAACATAAGTTAGAATAAAGGCACATACAACAGCAATACACATTTTGCCAGTAGCACATACATGCAAAAGAGTGTGCACTGCACTCCTTAGAACTGCACCCTGTGAGGATGGGAGTGAGGATTTTGGCTACAGGCAAGGAGGAAAAGAAACTGAATAAATAACTTTAAAAGTAATTGAGGGAGTCAGGTGTGGTGACTCATGCCTGTAATCCCAGCACTTTGGGAGGCCAAGACAGAAGGATTGCTTGAGCAGGAGTTTGAGACCAGCCAGGGCAATATAGTGAGACCTTGTCTCCACAAAAAAAAAAAAAAAAAAAAAAAAAAATTTAATTTGCTGGGCATTTTGGTGTGTGCCTGCAGTCCCAGCTACTCAGGAGGCTGAAATGGGAGAATCACTGGAACCCAGAAGGTGGAGATTGCAATGAGCCCAGATGGTGCCACTGCACTCCAGTCTGGGCAACAGAGTAAGACCCTGTCTCCATAAATAAATAAATAAATGTAACTGAGACCACAAGTGTAAAAGAATTTAGTATAGTGCATGGTACAAAGTAAATGCTGAAAGAATATTAGCTCATATTACCTCTTTTTTCTTCTTTCTCTAAAAATTAAAAAATAATAGTAAAATAGGTCGGGCATGGTGGCTCAGCCTGTAATCCCAACACTTTGGGATGCCAAGGTGGGAGGATCACTTGAAGCCAGGAGTTTGAGACCAGCATGGGCAACAAAGCGAGACCCCTGTCTCAAAAAATAAAATAAAATAAATTAACCAGGCGTGTTGGCGTGGTCCCAGCTACTTGGGAGGCCAAAGCATGAGGATCATTTGAGCTTAGTAGTTTGAAGGTGCAGTGAGCTAGGATCGCACCACTGAACTCCAGCCTGGGCAACACAGCAAGACCTTGTCTCAAAATAAATAAATAAATTATTTAATTAGAATAAAATGAAAATGGGGGGAACATATGGTACATTAGCATTAGCATAGCCTTTGGAATCAGAGACAGTTGTCAGCTATTCTATGAAATTGACCAAGATACTTAACTTCCCCCTGCCCTGCCCCCCGAGACAGAGTCTCACTCTGTTGCCCAGGCTGTAGTGTAGTGGTGCAATTTTAGCTCACTGCAACCTCCGCCTCCCAGGTTCAAGCAGTTCTCCCTGCCTCAGCCTCTGGGGTAGCTGGGATTACAGGTGCCCACCACCACACCCAGCTAATTTTTGTATTTTTAGTAGAGACAGGGTTTTGCCAGGCTGGTCTCGAACTCCTGACCTCGGGTGATCTGCCCGCCTTAGCCTCCCAAAGTGTTGGGATTACAGGCGTGAGCCACGGCGCCCGGCAACATACTAACTTTTTGAGCTTCTGTTTTCTGATGTCTGAAAGGATGATAAGACCAATTGTAAGGCGTGGTTGTCTAGACAACTAAATTTAGATCATATAGGTAATATACCTACTATATAGTATGTTCGTACTTTATTTTCCATCTCCCTTCACCCTAATATGTCCCCAAATTTGCTATAATTTGTAGAGTGTGGCTCTCTTTCATAACTTTTGGCTGTGAGAGTCTCCTTCGCCCCACAATATCATAATTATTTTTTCAGAACAGTCATTAAACACTGCATTGCCTCTGTCTGTTTGTTCCAAACTGTAGAAAAACCCTAGTCTTTTGGACACAATCATTTTATTTGACCTTTTCTGCAACTTATTCAGCTTCATTCTATCTTTCCAAAAGAACATTGATCTGTCCAAAGAAAACAGCATTCCAATCCATACTCTTGGTTTGTTTATATACTTAGCATAACTTCTCGGTTCTATTTTCTTTATGTTGTCCTGCATTCTGTATGCTTTTTCATCTTCCAGCACATATCAAGCCAACATCTTCAGGGAGTGGTCTGCTGGGACCGGTTTACCATGCCTCACTCAGGTATCTCCTAGAACAAAATCACAATTTACCAAGCGCAGTAGGATGAGTCTAGACAAGATACGGGCTTGTAAAGAAGGAATTCAACCAGAAGGTGGCACTATTGCAAAGCCAATCTAAACGCATTGCTTTCAAGACGCATTTTCTAGGATTTAATCATATACACAAAATAAATATTGAATCAAATTTTATATCAATAAAAGAATAAAGAAATGTGTACTTCTGCTTATGATAACTATAGTGGAATTATAATTATAAAACTGAACATGTGTTTTAAAAGTTTACTATCAGGACAGCATGCTTCTTTACAATATGTAGATTTGCAGTTAACTATCAATTGTGGCCAGTTTTAAATATCACAGCCATTTAAGCAAAAAGGCAAACACTTTTCTGGCTCTCATGATGTGCTAGGGATAGTTCTAAATACTTTATACAAAGTCATTTAATTTTTGCAGCATCCCCATGGAATTGGTCTTATTGTTGGATTAGCATCTCTATTTTTTTCTAGATGAGGAAACTGAGGCACAGAGAGGTTAAGTCACTGGCCCCAAGTCACAGAGCTGACAGGTGAGAGAGCCAGGACTCAAACCCATCCAGGCTAGCTCCACTCTGTGCACTTTACTACTGCAGTGTGCAACCTCTGAAAGTTAGAAGGAACTGTAAAGGTCATCATGTCTCATTCCCACTGGAAGCAGAAGCCCTTCCTTGGCTACCCTGACAGGACAGGACAGTGGAGGAATCCCACTCTTCAACATGAGCACACATCAGGGATCCATGGGCCAAATCACCCCCACCCACCGCCTCCACTCTGAGCAAGGCTCAATGTAACCTGCAAGACTGGTTCTCCCCTTTCCCTTCTAGCTCCATAGTAGACCACCTGCTGCCCATCATCACTCTTTTTCCTTCACTTATGTTAGTGCCGCAAATGCAGCAATGCCTGTCTGAATCCCAGGTGTGATCTGAGTTTAATTCTCCATCACAGGGCCCTGTGTAAACCACTTTTAACTCTAGTATTAAAGTTAAAAGTCAAAACTATTAAGAATAACTGTAACCACAAAACCTTGTTCATAGGTACACAATATAAAAATACACTCTGATATCAATAACGTAAGGTAGGGGGAGTAAACATGTAGAGCTTTCACATGCAATCCAACTTAAGTTGTAATCTCAAAATGGGCTATTACAGCTCTGAGGCTCATATGCAAGCTTCATGGCAACCACAGTTGCATTCCTATACGCTCACAACAAGCTATCCAAAAAGGAAAGTAGGAAAACAATCCACATATTTTTCAGGTTCTATTTAATGCCAAGCTTTTTTTTTTGGCATGTTTTTTGCACATTTTGTTGGTAATAGTGCTGTTTAAAATGGCCCCCAAATAGAAGTGCTGCCTAGCGTTCCTAAGCACAAGAAGACTATGATGTGCCCTTACGGAGAAAACACACAGAGAAACTTCACTCAGGCATGAGTTCAGTGCTGTTGGCCATGACTTCAATATTAATGAATCAACAGTATGGTACATCCAGGAAAAGGCAGTGGAAATTCATCAGTCTGTATACAAGGGCACTCCAGAAAGTGCTGGAGTTATGTCTACAGTGTATTATAAACCTATGTGTATTAGTTCATTTTCACACTGCTATAAAGAACTACCTGAGACTGGGTAATTTATAAAGAAAAGAGGTTTAATTGACTCCCATTTCCATGTGGCTGGGGAGGCCTCAGGAAACTTACAATCATGGTGGAAGGCTAAGAGGAAGCAAGGTACCTCTTACATGGTGGCAGGAAGTGGGGCAGGAGGAAATGCCACACTTTTAAACCACCACATCTCTTGAGAACTCACTACTGTCATAAGAACTGCATGGAAGAAACTGCCCCTATGATTCAATTACCTCCCACCAGATCCCTCCCTCAACAATTTTTCCAAACAACTTTTATTTCCTCAGTCTTCCCTAACCCTGTGGAAAAAGAAGCTGCCATTGACCAGTCCCAGGGTAAGGCCGATATCTTTTCTACTCCCTCAATATATATTTTAAAAAATGCCTGCTAAGTATTATGCAGGAAAAGGGTTGTATGAATTGTAATGAAGGGATTACAATTCAATATGAGATTTGGGTGGGGACACAGAGCCAAACCATATCACTATGGAAAACATGGATTGATGAGATAACCACTGATTTAAAAAGCATGTGGACAGCATTGTTTCGAGGCTGAAAGCCAAAGACATTTATGTTATGTTCCTTAGGACAAAG
The DNA here is from genome assembly GCF_000001405.40 of Homo sapiens. NCBI lineage: Eukaryota > Metazoa > Chordata > Mammalia > Primates > Hominidae > Homo > Homo sapiens. Next base: position 102,582,912 of record NC_000013.11, read on the forward strand.
AAAACGTTAAAGCTTTCTCAGCTACTGGTTGGCTCACTCATTTCATTCAAAAGGCCAGATGACGTGAGATGTTGAACTTACAGCTGAGGTACGGTCTGCGATCAAGAGGCTGAGGAAGAATTTTTAAAACCTCTGCCGGAGCAGGTGAGGTAGCAGGGCTGGAAAGGCCACTCTGATTGGGCTACGAGGTTGAAGTGCCCCCTTGGGACTCAGTTGGCCTACAAAGATGCTTTCCAGGTATCCTGCCTCCAATGTGTGCTCAGACAGTGTCAGTGCCCAGCAGAGCTGACCGAGACAACCACAACAGTGCAGCTCGCCATCTTCACCAACATGCCAGGCGGCTTGCTCTTCTTACTTGTCATTCTCCATCACTACATGGCCACCAGTAATCCCAAGAGGCAGGAGTGTGAGTGGGGCTTCTCTGCCCAGGGTTCCAGGACACAGTCTGAGGTGAGATGGAGGGTGTGAGGGGCTTTTGCACTTCACCCCTCTCCCCATCACAACATACAAAGCAATGCCACCTGGATTTTTCCAAACAACTTTAATTTCCTCATAGTCTTCCCTAACCCTGTGGAACAAGAAGTTGCCATTGACTCAGTCCCAGGGTAAGGCTGATATCTTTTCTACTCCCTCAATACATATTTTTAAAAATGCCTGCTAAGTATTATGCAGGAAAAGGGTTGTATGGAAGAGCAGGTTTTGAACATCAGTGAGGCTGGCTTGTTTTACAAGGAAGTTGGCAAATAAATCTACCTAACAGGGTGGCATCTCAGTTGACAAAAATGTTTCAGCCAGAAGCTCACAGGAACATAATCCTGTATTTCCTAGCATAGGAGCAGTGGTTCAGAATTTGCTAACTCAATGTCTGCTACAACCTTGTAGAATATAACTACCGTGACTAACAAGGATCACCCATACCTCCCTGTCATGCTGAAATCGGGCATGTCCATGCTTTCATCAATGAAATGGGAGCAGAGGGGACATGTTTGATGTCCAGACAGAGTGTTCAGAGCACTATATCCTTCACTATGCCCTGTTTTCCATTAACCACATGGTCGTCTAGCAATGTTCTAGTCTACAGCTTCTCCATGAGCCAGAGCCTGGACAGAAGATGTCAGGGAGTAAATCAATGATGATCATGCCAGAGAGAGAGAACATGTGGTTTGGAGTCACTGAGATTTGGGGGGCCATTTTGATTACAACATAACCCAGGCTATCCTGATAGAGAAGGTTCCTGTATAATGCAGACAAAACATCATGTTGGCTTGGATGAAAATGTTAGCAGTGGAGGTGATGAAAAGTAATCAGATTCTGAGCGTTTTCTGAAGATCAAGCCAACAGGTTTTGAAAATGGATTGGATGGATGGCAGAAGAGTGAGGAGACAAGATTTTTGGCCTGAGCAACTAGAAGCTTTAAAGTTTCGTGTAATTGAGAAGAGGAATACTAGAAGAAGAACAGATCTGGGGAAGACACATAGTTAAGTTTGGAGCATGTAAAGTGTGATATTCTTGTTAGACATCCAAGTGGAAATATCAAACAGGAGTTAGAATGTAGGAGAGAGGTCGAGCTGGAGACTCGCATTTTAGAATCTTCAGGTTGCTGATGGTACTCAGAGCCATGCAATTAGATTTCATCATCAAAGGCATAAGTGTAGGCAGAAAAGAGAAGAGGTTCAAGGACTGAGTCCTAGATCATGCTGACATTCAGAGGTCAGGAAAAAAAAAAGAGGAACTAGCAAAGGCAGCTGGAGCCATGAAACATGAGACATGAGGAGAGAGCAGTGTTCTCAAAACCAAAGACAGTCTCTCGAGGAAGAAGCAGCACTCAACTGTGTCAAATGCTATGGACAATGGTCAAATAAAAACATGAGGCTCAGCTTTCAGAGTTAGCAGTGTGGAGGTCCTTGAACAGACAGTTTCAAAGGTGAACCTCATCCTAATGGATTCTTAAGAAAATAAGAGGGGTTAAATTAGAGAAAACACAAGTCAAAAATGCTCAAAGCTTAACCTTGTGCCATCTAGGAAGGGAGACAAGTTTACAGGGTCCAGCTCCAGTATCAAAAGCAGAGCAGAGAAGGTACATTTGAAGAGGAGAGGCAGGAAGCTGACAACTGGCACACTGCTCCATGGCATAAAAATATCTTAGAGAAACTTCCCAGTTTTAATTATCCGGACTGTAGTGCTATACCAGCACTAAGTACAGCAAATAAATACAGTTTAGGTCAGTGTTCTCCAAACTTCCTGATGACAAGAATCACCCAGGATCTTTGTTTAAAACACAAATTACGATGCATTTCTACTAGGGCTTCTGATTCCGTAGGTCTGAAGTGGAACCCAGGTAAACTGTATTTTTAACAAGAGTGCTGGGTGATTCAGATCTTTGGGCAGGTTTGGAGACACTAGTTGAGGAAATATTTTTCTTAGTATTCAAGCAATAGATATCTGCATCTGATTTTAAAGTGTGTATGGGGTCTGCGTGTGCATATGTAAATGTGAGTGTATTTTATATATTGTATACTGTATACACACACGCATATATTATGCAATTTTGTTAAACATTTTGTTTTAAAAAATATGTATACAAAATCTTCAAGAAATCAATTAATAAAAAAGATTTTAATTATTTAATTTTTTATAAAGCCTCTTCTCTTTCCTTCCTACCTTCTCCTATTCCTTTTATATTCCCCAAAACACCTCCAAAACACCCCAAAACAGCTTTATGAATTCATTGGGAATTGGCTCATTCTAAATGAATACTTATAGTCAGTTTTAGAAGACTTCAGAGAATTCTGTCTGGAACCCCAATATGTGACCACCCCAGTTCACATGAATATACACACAAAGTGATTTTTATAACCAATTTTCTATTTGTCATTACTTTATAAAAGAAGAAAGAATAGTGCCTCAAGATCAGACATGTCTGTTGTTTAAAAAATTAGATTCTAGAAACAGTATAAATGTATCTGTCCATAAAATATTTGACAAATTATAAAGTAAATTTTGATGATTTACCTCAAGAAAACAAGGTCCCTTTACTGTATGGCTAAGCTGATTTTTAAAAACATTTCTTGCAAACTAAGAAGTCCTCTTTTAAAAAAATTGTGTACTTTAGTAAGTCTTAACTTGAGGTGGTGTAAATCTGACCAGTTTTGGTTTTGTTTATTGAGTCTCTACTACATACAGTCACATTTTACTAATAGCAAATAGCAAATAGTTATTAGCACTGTGGAAGCTATTTTTTCTCATGTAACTTTTTTTTTTTTTGAGAGAGAGAGAGAGAATCTTGCTCTGTCGCCCAGGCTGGAGTGCAGTGGCATGATCTCTGCCCACTGCAACCTCCGCCTCTCGGACCCAAGCAATTCTCATGCCTCAATTTCCCGAGTAGCTGGGATTACACGTGTGCACCACCACATCCATTTTTGTATTTTTAGTAGAGACGGGTTTCACCATATTGGCCAGGCTGGTCTTGAACCCCTGGCCTCAAGTGATCCACCTGCCTCAGCCTCCCAAAGTGCTGGGATTACAGGTATGAGCCACCAAGCCCGGCCTCATTTATACTCATATAACTTCCAAATTGATGATAGAGGAAGCAGAGGCCTTGCTAAAGGTCAGGTAGCTAATTAGTGGCAGACCTAGACCTAGAAGACAAAACCCTTTATCTGCTGCCCAGATGCTTTTGCTACCATATTGTTGGCTTCTCTTGTTCACTTCAGGATGTTCGGTATCATCATTGAGATTCGCCTTTAACTGGAATCTTAAACCTGGCAAGTTTTTCTGACATTCCAAATGTGGGCAGATGGACAGGTTTTATGAAGTCCCACGCAGGTGCCACAATTGACAACAGCCCCAGTTAGGCAGGTCCAGGCATGAGCCTATCCAGTGAAGCACCACAGGGCAGGAACTACACCTTGGACAATGGCTTGTCTGATTTAATACATGTCTGCCATCCTCATGGTGATTTATTGTCATGGAATTCAGTGAGAGAATGTTTTTGCTGATTAATATACATCAGGAATTGAGGTGAAACAAAGTAAGTACTATATGCCCTGTTCTAGCAGAAGCTGCTTTAAGTAAGGGAAAATTCCATATGATGTCAAATAAAAGTGTCAAATTTAAGGATACAAAGGAATCACCTGTCAACCCAAAAGCAGAAGCTGATTGGATCAGAAGCTCACTGTAAGCCCCCATCACACACTACATACCCATTTGCTTCTTCTCTGCCTCGGGTCAGGACTCTACTCCTGGTCTATCGTCTGTGGCCAGAAGGTAAGTGGGTTACATTCTTCCGGCCCACTTAGCAGGGACTGTGGGTTGAATGCCTCTAAGGATGGGAGTGGAACTTATATAAGCCATATACAGACATCTGACTTTGTCAGAACTAAAGTAAATGATGACCTTTATTACCCAAAAGGCTTATGTTTTGGAAACAACTGTACTTGCAAGAAAGGACCCATTTCCAGCTTCTCAAGAGATTTAAAAACAAACACATGGAGTTAAATAAACTGATATATCCAAACAAATTAATAGTACGCCTAATTAACAAGAAAGAATAAAATTCTACGTACGAATATTCATCAGGAAATATTGTGAAGCAAAAAACAAAGAAAAAAATAAAGTGCAGGACAGTGAGTATAGTATACTACAATTTGTGTAAAAAAGGAAAGAGGAAATATATGCATCATATTCTTTGTATGCATACGACATTTCTGGAAGGATACACAATTTAAGTCTAGAGAATTTTACACTCTTCAAGCTGCAATGTTTCTTGGGCATTCCTTTCTCTCTGTGATACTACAACACATAATGTTATCCTGTTTTTGTATTATTCTTTTTTTCTCACTCCTAAGAACACCAAGTAATAGAGTTAGAGAGACTATGCAATCAGTAATTACCAAATAGTGTAAACATTTGATATTAAAATAAATTGGGCAAATGCACAAAGATTTGAGAACCTATTCTGAGTTAGAAGCAGTGTGAGACATCACTGGGTATGGTAGAACACAATTCTTTGGCCAGGGAGGACATAGTGTAGTTCAACCACCATTTCTGAAGCACTCAAGTGCTAGGTGGTACACAGTTAGGAAGATAGGACTCTCAGATGACCTGGGGTAGTTTCTTCTATCCAGGGGGTTATCCATGAGTAGAGGCCTCCTACTGTCTGTCTAGCAGTTCACACAAGGTTACTAACCATGGGGGGGGGCACTTCCTGTTGTAGATGATGCAGGACATGAGAGCACCAAAACTGGGAGGATTCTTGGCTTCCCTCAGGAAACAATTCAAGGGCAAGCCAGTCGTGTTAGCAACCTTTTACTGAACAGCACTGCTCCTTGCAGTGCACCCAGAGTGAGCAGCATATGGGCTCTTCGCAACTGGGTTTATACTCACTTATACCCACTTACAATTGCATGCAAATTAAGGGGTGGGTTAATGCAAACTGAGGGTTGGGTTATTTAGAACTTTTTAGGGAAGGGGAGGTAACTTCCAGGTAGTTGCCACGGAAAAAGGTGTAGCTTTTGGGTTGCTGCCATGGCATTTGAGAACTGTCACGGCACTGGTGGGACTGTTTTATGTCAATGAGCAATGAGGGCAGCGAGGGATCACTGTTGTCACCATCTGCTGGTTCCTACGGTTTCTTCACCTCATTCATTGGCACCAGGAAATAAGTCCTGCCAGTCCCCCACCTCATAGATACTCCATTACCAATGCTTCACTAGGGTGAAAACAAAGTGGACATCAGTGAGGCTGTGGGGGCAATCAGGACCATCCAAAAGTCCAAGTTATTGTTCCTGCTATGGACTGCATATGTGTTCCTTTAAAATTCATGTGTTGAAACCTAATCCCCCAAAGTGATGGTATTTGAAGGTGGAGCCCTCAAGAATGGGATTAGCGCCCTTATAAAACAGGCCCCAGATAACTCCCTCACCCCTTCCCCTGTGAGGACACAGTAAAAAGACAGCTGTCTATGAACCAGAAGATGGGCCTTCACCAGACTGAGTCTGCAACTTGCTCTTGGATGTCCCAGCCTCCAAAACTGTGAGAAATGAATTTCTATTATTTACAAGCCACTCAGTTTACGGTATTTTGTTATAGCAGCCTGAATGGATGAAGACTGTCCCCATGGGCACACGATAGAACTGTACTTTTCTGCCTCCTTGGACTTGGCCGCGGCCATGAAACTTGCTTTGGTTAATGAAATGTGAGCAGAAGTGATGGAAGGTCTGGAAGCTGATGCCTATTTCCCCATGTTCTTGTTTCTCCTGCCGTGGTGACCAGCTACATTCCAGACAGTGCAGCCTTTCAACCTGAATCCAAAGGTGTGACAGCTTGGAGCAGAGCTCTCAGCCAACCAGGAATGGAGATGCTGCAATGAGTAGACAAGGGCAATGTCTTTTAGCTCACCGGAATTTGGGCTTGTATTCTGCCACAGCATAGCCTGGACTATCCCTGATCAACACAGAGGTCCTAAGAAGTTATTTACTGAAAATTCCAGTGAATGTCTCACAGCTGGAGAAGGCAACAAAGAGGAGCATAGAATTGGGCCTCGTGCCCAGGATTAAGCTTGCAGATGCAAGATGCTGCCCACGAAGGGAAGCTCCCGCCTAAGCCCCCGCTCTGTGTTTCCCCGTACATACCATCTGCCCCACACAAATAATCAAGGCCATCTGCCACATAATTCTCTTATGTCTTTAAACCTACAGTCTCTAGTGTCCTCTGGAGGTAAATGGATTCACTGTTCTGCCCAGTTTCTACTGGTTCTGCAGAGGGAAGGGTGAGCCTCTGGTCCCCAGGACAGCTGTTCAGAGCTGTTGGGGAGAAAGGGAGAAAAGGCAGCTCTGGTCCCACAGATGAGAGGAAAATGGTGAGAGATTTCACCATGTTTTGTGACATACGTGAAATTAAACACACCTCACCACTCCAAGTATTAATTTCCTGTCAAAAGCACCTATTTTTCCTATATGAAAAAATCACATTTCTCCTATTTACATAACATCGGCTCTTTTCTGTGTAAAGTAATAACCCTAGCCGTATAATGCTAAAAGTACATCTCCCCATCTCTGGCCTGGGAAGGCATTTTAAAAAAATTTCTTGCATTAACTGACAATAAAAGACACCATTCTGAAATTGATTCAACTTCGATATAGCTTTTGGGGTGTCTGAGTCTTTTTTTTTTTTTTTTGATATGGAGGCTCACTCAGTCACCCAGGCTGGAGTGCACTGGCGCGATCTCGGCTCACTGCAAACTCCACCTTCCAGGTTCAAACAATTCTCCTGCCTCAGCCTCCCAAGTAGCTGGGATTACAGGCACCCGCCATCATGCCTGGCTAATTTTTGTAGTTCTGTAGAGATGGGGTTTCACCATGTTGGCCAGGCTGGTCTCGATCTCCTGACCTCGCGATCCACCCACCTTGGCCTCCCAAAGTGCTGGGATTACAGGTGTGAGCCACTGTGCCTGGCCCATTTTTGTTTTGCCCAAAGAATATCCTTTAGTATTTACTTTTTGCTGTCTTTCTGGTGACACATTGCCTCGGCCTTTGCGTCTCTGAAGATGTCTTGATCATGTTCTCTTTCTTGAAGGATGTTTTCATTAGCTACAGAATTCTGGGTTGGCGATTATTTTCTTTCAGCATGGGTGAGCTGTCGTCTCATTGTCTCCTGGTTTTCTTCATTTCTGTTTGGAATCGGTTCTCAATCAATTGCTGCTTCTTTGAAAGTAATCTTTTTTCTCTAACTACTCTTGCCTTTTCATTTTTTTTTTACTATGATGTCCCCAGATGTAGATTTTTTAAAATTTATCTTGCTTCAGGGCCATCAGACTTTTTGAATATATAGGCTTTCAACTCTCAGATATTGCTTCTAAAGCATTTTCTTTCTCATTTCTTAAAAGCTTGTTAGAACTTCCCACTATTACATCTATTACTCTTTTCATCTCTTCTGTGTTTTTCATCCTTTTATTTTTCCAGGTATTTTTTAGTATTTTCTTGCAATTTATAATTCTTTTTGGCTAAATGACAGTAACTATGAAACTCATTCTTAATTACGAAACCGAGTTTCTTAATTAAGAAACTGAGTTCCTAATTTTGTTTTGCTTTTGTATTTTTCAGTTCTAAAATTTCTTTTTGGCTCTTTCTAAATTGGCTTTGTCTTTTTTAAGTTTCTGATTTTCTGCCCAAATGCTCAACTATATCTTTATCTTCCTGAATGGAGTAAATATAGGTATTTTAAAGTATTTTGCTTCTGCCAGGCAGAACTAGCTGAGTGGGTTTCAGCCTTGGCTACCCATTAGAATAATCTGGGTAGATATAAAATATCTCAATGCCCAGGCGAAAATCCAGACCAATTAAATCAGAATATCTGGAATTCTGGGAATCTGTGGGCTCAAGTAGCGATATTTTTAAGGTTCTCCAGATGATTCCAATGAACATATACCATTGAGAATAATCACCTTGATCCAAGTTCAGGACTTAATATTATCTATAATGTGATATCCCTCTGGGGCCAGTCTAAGTTTACTTTCAATTTATTCCTATTTGTTGGGTGTGGACTTTGCAGCCTCAACCCAAAATATAGGTTTTCCATGCTGTTCCCACTCTTGGCAGGCTCTGGCCTCCACTCTTGTACCCATAGCCCTGGGAGGCTGTAAAAAAAAATTCTGTCTCTCAGCTACCTCTTTACGCACTGGCAAATGCCCTGAAAGGCAAAGCTGTCTCAAATGTTAGGCTTAAGTCTCTGAATTTATGTCTTTTACGCGAACTCTTCACCACCCTGTTAGCTCTCTGATCCTTCAGGAAGGTATCTTTCAAGCAGATATTTTTCATACATTGTCCAGTTCTCACTTTCACCAGAAGGCCTGGTCCAAACTGCTTAGTTTACCATTTTATTACTGGAGGCTCAAGTACCTGGAACTTGATGTTGTGTAGTTTACTTTGGTTTGGAGGTATGTTAGCAAAGTGGATATTTGTCACGATTTCCTGGCATCATTGGAAAGCTTTCCTATGTTTATGGAATTTCCCACATTTTCAGTCCTGCTCTCCAGGTAAGAAATCAGAACTACTTGATCAGGCTTCCATACAGCCAGGCACGGCCTTGTAACTTAAACTTTGCTGATCAGGTCGCCCTGGCTTTTGGACTCAGTTATCTTTGGTAGAAACGGTAACGACGGCTTTTGCCTTTGGGGGGCAGCAGTGGCGAACCTTCATGCATCCGAACCTGTTTCTTTGGTGTGAGCTATTTTAGTTTCGGGTCCTCGGGGTGGGGGCGGACGTGTTGTGAGGAGCAGGGATACGTGTTAGTGCCTGCGCGAGGTCAGGTAGTCAAGGGTCCACAAAAAGCTGAGAGAGGCATCAGGCCGCGATGCAAGTCTGACGCCGAGTAAATAGGAGAGGCAGAGAGGCTGGGTGGAAGCGCCCTGGACCACCACGCAGTCCAACTTGGCAAAGCCGGCCGGGGAGTCCTGGAGCCTGAGACAGCAGTCCGCGAAATTGCCCGCCTCCCGAAACAGATCTGCTCCAGCATCCCTTCGCTTCCATCACGGGCTGGGAGCCGCCCACGGGAGGTGCGGCCTCGCTGCAAGGCAGAGGAAGATTTCAAAGCCCAGCGGCTGGCACATGTAGGATGCTTATGCAATCTCTAGAGTCTTGGAAAATTAAATTTTAAAATATTCTCTAAACGATAGGCTGCAGCAATAGTTGCAAGGAAGGCGATTCATAGAAAGCTATTGCCTTCCACAGCACCTGTGCCTTGGATTGCAGCCTCAAATGGGGCAGGTGACAGGAAAAACATCTGACTCAGCACTTCCTGCTTTGAACAATGCTGGGTGAGAGAAGTTGCTGTGCGTCCAGCCTATTATTAATACTTTACCCTCCATAAGATGACCAACGCCTAGGCCTACTGACCTTGTTTTTGCCTCTCCTCCTCCTCCTCATTTTTTTTTGTTTTATTATTATATATTATTACAGATTATCCATGTTTCTCTACTTATACTCTCTACTTGTTTCCAATATCCAATGAACTGTCACACAAACTGTCTTAGCATTAAAAATTCCCCCCAGTGATAATGTCATTAAATCAAAGGAGGAAAAAATGTAAGCACTTATAATATGTACAACATTTGGCTTGAAGACAAACAGTAAATGACTGTATTGAGTTAAAGTGATTTCAGGGGTTATATAAAATAGTGGGTTTCAAACTGGTACATGGATAGTTTCGATGAAATCAATTTCCAGATGCCTGAAGTCAACCACTTTTTTCTAAGCTTATCTGCCTGGCAGCGTGCCTGTGGCGGAAAGACATGATTCTCTTTTGCACCTATTTCAGTGCTGGGTCTCCCACCTTTTAGGGAAAAGGAACACATCCCGAATCTTACTATTATGCACCACCTGCAGGTGTAATAGCCTCTGGGGCATCAAATAACGGGACAATTTGAAATACTATCACTAAAACTTTATTTAATATCAAAGTTCAATAACCAATCCTATCCATCTTTTTTTAAAATCAAGAACAATTTTTGTTAAGACCACAATTAGCAAAAAAAAGTTACAGCATTTTTGAAACATTCCACAATCTATTATGAGGAACAAGGGCTAGGGAACAAACACCAAAGCATAACAGCATATGCTCTGCTGTGTGTTATGTTAAACCACTTTTCATTTGTCTCATTAAATCCATCTTTTCTACAATTTAAGCAAAGGTTATAGAGCAAAAGATGACATTTGTCATATGAGTGATTCTTAAAATGGGAGCTTCAACGTACGTCTGAATTTTGTTCACATTACTTTCTGGGCATATTATGTAATACTTATATATCCTGGTTTCGCTTCTTAAGAATTGATGATTCAATTTTACAAGAGACACAGACATACAAATCTTATCCTTTTAACTAGTCCTGTCATTAACAGAAGCATGACTTATTTATACCAAGCATCTTTTTAAGAGCTCTATTTTCAATAAAAATTTTTTTGTCCTGTAATTTTTAATCAAAGCTTAAGACTTACTCATGTTGTTGTAATCAACTTTGTAATAACTGAAAGATAACCCAAAAGAATAAGTTTAACATTTTTCTTCCAGGAAAATTTTTAAAATTAATATATTTTTATTGCAGATGATGATACATTATCAATATGCCTTTCCATTATAAATGCAAATTACAATGAGAAAAAATTCCATATAGAATGGAAATAAAGTTTCCAGAAGAAATAGTGATATAAAATGTCTGCTTTTAAGTGTTCAGATATTTTATAAATAGTTGATGGTAGCTATCAGAGTTACACTCAACTGGGTATATTTACATGAGAAACGTGAAAGTTTCATTAAATAATGACGATATTTATACTATGCCAGAAATTACATCCTTTATAATTTTTAAAATTTATGATAGGCCGGGCGCAGTGATTCACGCTTGTAATGCCAGCACTTTGGGGGGCCGAGGCGGGTGGATCACCTGAGGTCGGGAGTTCGAGACCAGTCTGACATCAACATGGAGAAACCCCGTATCTATTTAAAAAAATACAAACATTAGCTGGGTGTGGTGGCACATGCCTGTAATCCCAGCTACTTGGGAGGCTGAGGCAGGAGAATCACTTGAACCCCGGGAGGTGGAGGTTGCAGTGAGCCGAGATCCCGCCATTGCACTCCAGCCTGGGCAAGAAGAGCAAAACTCCATCTCAAAAAAAAAAAAAAAAATTGTGACAAATTTAGACTTCATTTTACAGCTGTACAAAGGGATACATAACTTTTTTAAAAACATGTTTATGGGATATGTAAGCAAAAAAAGAAAAATCTGGCCGGGTGCAGTGGCTGATGCCTGTAATCTGAGCACCTTGGGAGGCCGAGGTGGGTGGATCCCCTAAGGTCAGGAGTTCAAGACCAGCCTGGCCAACATGGCGAAACCCCGTCTCTACTAAAAATACAAAAACTAGCCAGGTGTGGTGGCATGCACCTGTAATCCCAGCTACTCGGGAGGCTGAGGCAGGAGAACTGCTTGAACCCGGGAGGCGGAGGTTACAGTTACCCGAGATTGTGACATTGCACTCCAGCCTGGGCCACAGAGTGAGACTCTGTGTCAAAAAAGAAAAAGAAAAGGAAAGGAAAAGAAAAATCTAAAGAACATTGTTACGGCAGTCTAATAAAAAGTCTGCCACCTAGGTTTCATAATAAACTGTTCATTCCCCATTTATTCATTGGGTGATACTCTGGCAAAGTCATGCACATGGTGTGGTAGAACATACTGGGGAGAGATTGTGAGAAGACAAATCCCGTGTTTTCATCAACCTGTTTTGTAATCCATGACAGTCAGTTAACTTTGTTTCTTCATCTATAAAATGAAGTGATTGGACTATGGTTCACTTGAAACTGGGAGCCATTCTGTTCTATCACTATAAGCTCTATACTGAATGTCTTCTGCGAGTTTGTTATTCTGTTTTCGTCTGTGTTAATTTGAAATTCTTTTCTAGAGGTAATGTAAACAGTTGGGAATAAGAAGAAAAACATTCAACTTTTCTTTTTCCTCTGCACTAAAGAGAACATGCTTGTGTAAGACTTATGGACTGAATAAATGATCAAGGAATCAGCTGAAACCATTGCACAGCCATAAGAATAATTTTTGAGACTTAATGGAGGATCTCTGAAATTCTGTGGGTTGGAAACCGCATGCATAAGGCTTTCCTTTATACCAGGTATTCTTAACTTGGTGTCCATAGACAGAATCCAAGGGGTTCAAAAACTTCCGTAGAAAAAAGATACAAACCTCTTAATTTTTTTCACATCAAGTATGAATGTAGGCAAAAACCAGGGTAGTTATGCTGTTATGTCACCAATAAAAATCAGTTCATCGTAGTGCAGTTTTCACCGCTATCTCCAAATAATTATATTCTTCACTATTTTGAAGTTATGGTAGTTTATTAGCCTTGGCCCTAGCTCCTGTTATTTAATGCAAAAGAAGTACACCTGTAACTATACACACACACGTAAAGCTCCTGCTATATAACAAAATTGCCTTTAGTATTTTTGATAACTGCATTTAAACATAATTTATTTCCTGGGTAATCCTATCTATTTCATTGTATGCATTTTAAAACACTGCTTGAGAAATAGGCCTCACCAGATTGCCAAAGGGGTCTTCGGCACAATAAAAGGCTAAGATTACCCTGGCATGAGCATAGACATAAAGATCATTAGAGGACCACTATGCAGCTTGCAGCAACTGACGGCAGGCACTGTGAATCTGGAAAACTGAAAATTATGGCTCTATAATTGAGTGGACAGCCGTAAGGAGCAATCAGAAACTTCAGTGTAAGAGGAAAAAAAAAGATGTTTTTCAGAAATCCCGGAAGCTAAGGATCAGCAGAGGATAGGAGGGGCCCATTTCAGTCTCGTGCTTTGTTACTGGCTACAAAGGCGACGGAATGACCAACAACCCACTTCCTGTTGACTGAAACTATTGCCTGTCTCCACCCTATTGCTCCCCCTCACCACCTCACCCCCATCAAAGGGGCATAACAACACAGGGGAACCCAAAGTCTACACCCCTTAACCTACGACCTTCCAAAATCATGTCCGGAGCTTTCGCCGACACCGCAGACTCCTTAGCGGCTAAGCGTGAGTGCGCCGGCTCCCTTGCCTCGGGTCAGCAGCACCCCGGGGCTGGGGCTCCTGCAGCAGCCGCACCAAAAAGTTTCATCCACAACCTTAAGTTTGGAAACTATCGTTTGCCAAGCGAAGGGTTCCCATTATTCCTGGCTGGCGGTCCATCTCCTTGCCCGTCTCTCGGGGAGTGATTCGGTCCGGGACACCAGGACTCTGCTTGGAGGCCTGCTGTTGCCTAAAAACCCCAAGCGCGGGCCTCTTCAAGGCCCCAGGTTCGAGATCCGAACCCTCCAGTAATGTCCTCAGACTCCTCCCCCTTCACTGCAGCCCGGGCAATACTCGGGCCTAGCTCCTGAGAGCGGCGCCGTTGGCTTACGTAGCAGCACGTGATTGGCCACCGCTCCCTGGCAGGCCGGGATTGGTGGAAGACGGGCCGACCCCGCCCCTCGCCCCCGCCTCCGGCCCGAGGCCGCACGGGTGTCCTCGCGCTGCTAGTCCGCGCGCAGCCTGGCAGTTTGCCGCTTCCTCGTCCTCCATCCTGCGTCCATGGCCACCGCTGCGACTGAGGAGCCCTTCCCTTTTCACGGTCTCCTGCCGAAGAAGGAGACCGGAGCCGCCTCCTTCCTCTGCCGCTACCCGGAGTATGATGGGCGGGGGGTGCTCATCGCAGTCCTGGACACGGGGGTCGACCCGGGGGCTCCGGGCATGCAGGTGAGGCGGCCCCCGAGGGCCCGGGCGCGGGGGCGCGGGCGGCCGGGGACGCGGGTGGGGACACAGTCTCGGAGCCCGGCAGGCCAAAGCCCCGCTCTGCGGCCGAGTCCGGGCCGGGGTGGGCAGCACCGGGGTGGGCAGAGGTCAGAGCCAGGCGCGGGAGGGACGGGCGCCCGCCAAGGGGACTCAACGGCGCACAGTGCCAGGGTCGCTGGGCGGGCGAGGGCCCGGACCCCAGGTTGGGCCGTGGTCCCCCCAGCTCAACAAAAGCAGCGTGCCCGGCGCGGCTGCCTGGGGAAGCCTGGGTCCCCCTTTGGCCCCAGGGACTCCCCTTCCTTCTCGCTTCGGCGCTGCCAGGCCGGACCCCCCAGGCTCCTTCCCTCCACGCCGCCTTCCTCTGCCTACCCCTCGTGCCTCGGACACCGGTCCCAGCCTGACGTTTTTAAAGAGAATTTTACAGCTTTTATCATTGGGGTGGGGTGGAGACACCAGATAGGCAACTGACATGTGAGAACTTAATGTTTAGGGATCGGGAGATTTGGTTTGGGGAAGAATAGTTTGTCTTTAAGCACGAAAGCTGGGTTTCCAGAAGATAACCCAGTCCTCTTCCGGAATTGTTTCCTGTGGTAGTTTTGTGTATTCTATTTTTAAACGGTCTTCTGCAGCGTGTTTGCTTAGGGTCATTGAATCTTGTGGCTTAGTCTTCGTTTACATAAGGAGAATTCAGTTAGGTTTGGTTTTGGCGAGCTTCTCAGACCTTATGAAAATATGCGACTTTTTTTTTTTTAAACCTGAAAACATACGACGGTTTTTAAAAATTACTTAGTTTTTTGCCTTAGGCAACTTTAAAATCTGTAGATTCAAGGTATCATACCAGAAGGTAGTTTTTTTGAAAGTATGTTGTCTCTCGTTAAAAGCATTCTGTTTAAAGTCTTTAAAGTTTAACTTTTGTACTTTTAACCCTTTACTGAAATCCAGTAATAAAATTTCACCGTTATTCAAGATCCATCTCCCAGCATCCCTGACTAATCCTACTGTATGCTGATCTCTCGTTGATCAGCCCCTGGCTATCTTATCCTCCTTTCTACACTAAACACTCATCCTCCTCCCCACAATGTCCCTTCCCTTCTGGATCCTTTATCGTGCTTTCTGATTATTGAGGTAGCATTTTGGAAGTAACGAGGGGGAGTCTGGCCGAATCTGCTTAGAAACCCCTGGGAATCTTGATTCCTGGTGTGTGTTCTTCAGCACCACTCTGGAGTACAGCACATCTTTTGTGAATCAGAAGAGGATCAGGTACTGAATTCCCTCCCGGTAACTGGAGTTATATAGTTGTCGTTGTATTAATAACTTAAAGACTTAGAACAATGACAGCTATCAACTCATTTGGGGCTTTATTACAAAGTAATAATGCTTTTCATTCAGCTGTGGAGTGTGTTTACTTTTTATAGGATGAGTGGGAGGAAAACAGCTGGGATAAGTGGTTCACCGGTTCTTTTGTCAGGATAATAAGAGGGTCAGAAAAGTTTGGAGAAGTGCTGCTTGGTAGAATTTGTTGGTAGAATTTCCAGATCTGTTTCTCACATTATTCTGTTACTCTCTCTAAAGTAACAATAATTTTCACCCCACAGCCTTGTTGTGAAAATTGATTATAAGAGGACTGGCTAATTACATGTGACTTTTTTAAATGCTCAAGAAAAATATTAAACTATTTTGGCAATGATATTTATTCTTTTTTGTATATATAATTTCAACTTTTATTTTAGATTCAGAAGGTAGAAGTACAGGTTTGTTACATGGGGGTATTGCCTGATGTTAAGGTTTGGGGTGTGATTGATCCTGTCACCCAGGTAGTGAGCGTGGTACCCAGTAGGTAGTGTTTCAGTCTTATTTCCACCCCTTCCCTTTGGGATCCCCAGTATCTGTTGTTCCCGTCTTTGTGTCCATGTGTACTCAATATTTAGCTCCCACCATAAGTGAATAGAAGTTTATGCTGGATCTTTCATCACCAACTATTTGGAGGGTAAATATATGTTAGATATTTGCATGTAATAAATATTCAGATGATAAAATATTGAAATAAAATGAAAGCATAAGTCTTCTCTTTTAACAACCTTGACTCAGATATTGGCCTAAACATAGCCAGTTAAAAGAAATTGGGTACGGTGGCTTGCAAACGTGAGGATTTTTTTTTCCTGTACCTTTAACAGATTTATTTTGTAGATATATGTGTACATCATTAAGATTAGAGGATGGATAGAAAGAAAAAGGAAGGAAAGAATGAAATAGGAGGAAGATGAGGCTGAACTGGCAGTTTGGAAAGCCGGGTGGGGTCTGAATAAAGGACTAGAGGCACAAGTGAAAACGTGGAAGAACACAGTGGGTTGTCTCAGTCTTTGGTGACTTCCTTGGGCCCAATTCTTTTGTGACAGGTCTGTGGGCATGATCAAGTGGAGGATGGGTGGCATGAGAAGAGTAGTAGTTACGTAAGTGATTTCATATTTCCTCAGCAGATATTCAGGCACCTACCAGGTGCCTAAGTTTGTGTTAAATGATATAGTCTTGCAAACTGTCACTCTTGCAGAGATTGACAAGGATTATTGGGGGGATGGGGCAGGGATTGGGGCAGCATTGGCCAGTAAGAGCTGGACTGGTCAGGTTTCACAGACCAGATGGAACTTGGACTAGACCAGAATATATGTATGCAATAGCCAGGAGGTCTCCCTTCCACCAGTCTTGTTTCTCTTTGATCCATCCTTCACATTTCTAGAGTTAGATTCCTTAAAAAAAAAAAAAAACCTTGTATTATACCCTCATTTAAAACAAAGCCATTTTGGAATCTCAACTGCTTTTGTGTAAAAATTAAAAAAAAAAATTGAATGGTATATATGAGGCCATTTGCCATCCAACTCTGGCCTCCTTATGTAGCCTCAGTTCTCATCATTTCTTATGTCCATAGCCCCTTCATCCCCACCTTTCATCCTTTGCCTCCCCTTGAACATTTCATTCTTACACTCACCTAGATGTTTCAGGTCTTTTTGCCAATACATGCCTTTACATGTGGCGTTTCATCTTCCGTCAGGCTTCTACCATCCGTCATCTGTAAACTCCTGCTTCATCCTTTAAGATCCAGTCGGGTCTTGACACCATTATGTTTTGGAAAATCAACTGATTTAATTCTGCGCGCCCCCTCCCCCCACCACCTCGTATTTATGTGTGTTTGCCATTGTGTTAGGGCCTGCAGCTTCAGAGGTGAGTAAGGCCCAATCCCTCCTAAGAGTTATTTAGGCTTTTTGTCTCTTTGCTGTTATAGCAATTTGCTTAGATCCCCTTAATAGCACCTGAAATATGTATTTTAGTGTTTCTGTTTAGATAACTTTTTCCTGGTTAACTTAAAAATCTTTGAAAGCATGTATCAAAATTGTATGACATGTGCTTGTAATGTTAAATGTTTTTGTTGAATGGAAAAAATATATATGGGCATAATGAAGGAATATAATTTCCTCATAGAGGGAAAAAAAAGGTTTGAGGAGGTTACGAGTAGTTTCATAAAACTCTATTTTTACATTCACTAAAATTTTATTACCTCTCTTTCAGTTAGCTTTCCCTCATTCCCCCCAAGTTGGGTTTTGTGTTTTTACATGTTTTTGTATGCTTTCATAGATAGTGTCCTAACCTCTTTTTTTTTTTTCCCTCAAAGACAGGGTCTCACTCTGTCACCCAGGCTGGAGTACAGTGGCACAGTGGCAGGATCACCACTCATTTCAGCCTCAAACTCCTGGGTTTAAGCAAGCCTCCTGCCTCAGCCACTGCAGTAGCTGGGACCATAAGCATGTGCCACCATACCCAGCTAATTTTTTAATTTTTTTGTAGAGACAGGGTCTCACTGTGTTACCCAGACTGGCCTGACCTCTATTATTTGTTGTCCTGTTTTGTCATCATCTCTCTACTTACTTTTTCTTTCCAACCAATAGTAACCTTTACAAAAGCAAAGATTGTCTTATTTATATTAATCATTATATTCTTAGAATAAAAGTCACTGGTTAATATTTATTAAATCTTTATTTGCTTAAAAGAATATTTTCAGTACCTTTCCTGAAATTTTAAGTCAACTCATTAACTTTGTGTTGTTTATGATAGATTGCAAACTTCCCGCCATTTGTTCTGGTCCTCTCTGCAAATGTCCTACCTTTTGTTCTGGTCCTCTCTGCAAATGTTTGGCAAATCTTCCAACCTTCACTAACTCCTCTACCTTACTGGTTACATTGAAGACATACACTAACTTAGATTCTTGACATTTTGGGAAAAGCTTTGGGCAATTTCTGTTTCATCCAGCCAACATAGCCCAGTAAGCATTTCCCAGTCTCCCACCCCAGGACCCAGGATTTAATACCGAAGCTCTTACCGATACTAACTGCCCATGCTTTCAGTCCCTCTTTCCCATGTGAAGCCTCCCCCTTCTCAGAGATGAGTGATATAGTTCCATTGTTAGCAGTTCAGCTTCCTCCTTTCCTTTACTTCTCCCAAAACACCATGGCAAATCCTCAGGGGGTTTGCCTTTTTAAAACCCTCCTCTGACCCTACATTTCTGTTTTTGTCTTTTTATGTCTAGTGAAGTGGTTTTCTTTATCTAATATTAAAGTAAGAAATTCATGGATAGGATAATTGCATGTATAATAATTTGTAATGAAAATTTGTGTGTGTAGGAGAGAGATCCTTGTAAGTAAAGCATGTGGAAATAGGTGACAAATAAGCCATTAAATCCCATTAGGCTTTTTTCCTTTGCTAATATATTGATAATGAGGTTTCTAATGAGAGATCTATCTGACTTGTTAGTGCTCTCTTGTTATTCTTGATCTCAAGTCACTCAGGTTTGCTTATTGAGGTGAAGATAGGTGATTTGGGTTCTTAGTGCTACTGTATATCTTTCAAATTTCATATTGGAATACATTTTAAAATAGGTGATTTTCTTATATGATTAGTACATGACCTAGCTAGTTTTAATTTTATAAAGTAGTATCAACTTAATTTTGTTTCCATTTTTATTTTGGTAGATTTTCTTACATTTTTCTCTTTTTTAATTATATTTTTGAGACATATAGCCTATCTCTTCAGAATCAGTATCTGATTTAAGTTTTATAGTTGTATCAGGGTTTGGTATGATTCCCACAGTGATTTTTTTTAATTATGACTTTGAGTTTTCTGAGTATTAGAATTCTTATTTGTTACTATTATAGGACAGTTCCCAAGAAGTAAACATCCAACTTGAGAATTACCATACATGAAAATAACAGCTGTGCCTGGGAGGCCTTTATGACCCCTTCAGCTATCAGGCCCTCAGTTGTTCCATGGCAACAAGATTGAAATGAGATTTGGGGTCCACCAACCACCCATTTGCTTTGTCCGGTAAAGGAAAAAAAAATGTGTGCTTTTGTTTTCTCCACATCGAGAATTTCCCTCTCCTTCTTCAGGGTATACCTTAATTACAGAGCTTGGAGGTTATTGCAGAGGAAATACTTGTGTTGGGGTGAGGGGCATGTTGGTCAGAAAGACCCAGAGCAGTGGACATTAAGCTTTGTCGTAAAGAGTGTGAATTCTCCAGGTGGAATTGGAGTCTGAAGACTGTGCTCTTCCACTTTACTGACAGTTTCTACGGTTTTTATGTTTCTGTTTCTTTCTTGAGGATGGAGTTTTTTTGTTTTTTTGTTTTTTTGTTTTTCGTTTTTTGTTTTTTTTTCAGTCGTTGTGTCTCTGTTTTCTGGCTGATTCCTGCTGGTAACTCAGTACATATTCCTGAATGCAACAAATTCCCTTTGGAAAGCCAGCCAAGAAAGAGCCCAGAAATTATTTTCCCACAAAAATGTGTAAAAATATATATTGTTACTTGTAGCAATCATGTTATGGCTCAAATGAAAATTTGTGGACTGGCAAGAAATCAAACCTTTGAAAATCAGTCTTAGTGCTAAGTAACTTGTGTCTTGTAATTCAGTAATGAAGTATTCATTGAATGCCTGACAGGCACTGCTAGGTAGTGGGTATATGTATGTTCGTGAATAAAGTAGACATGGCTCTTGCCTTCATGGAGCTTTCTATTCTAATAGGGGGAACAGATGAAGATCACCTACTTGTATCATTAGAAATAGAATTATGTTCTGTGAAGGAAATGAGGTACAGTGAGAAAAAATAATCCAGTTTAGGATGGCAGCTACCTAAAGGAGGTCATCGAGGAGGCCTTTCTGCAGGAGGGACTTTAATAGAAAACTGAGAGAAGATAGAATCCTGTGGAACAACTGAAGAGATAAAGAATTCTAGGCAGAAGGAACCTGTTTAAAAAGTCATGAGGCAGGAAAAAGTTTGGCATGTTTCAGGAATTGAAAGGAGGTTGGCGTGGTTAGACTCCTGAGTAACGGGGTGGCAGGGGTCAGATGGTGCGAGGCTTTTTATGCGAGTATTCTGAGTGCTCCATGAATACATTGATGGGCTTAAAGGAGAGGACTGATAAAATACAGCTTGTTTTAATACAGGTTGAGTATCGCAAATTCGAAAGTCTCCAATGAACATGTCCTTTGAACTTCATGTCCATGATTTTGGAGCATTTGGAATTTTCAGGTTAGGGTCACTCAGCCTGTATTACTTTTGATGGGGCCAAGAGTGGAAACTGAGGGACCACTTAGGTAATTCACCTCATGGAGGCAAGAGATGGTGGTGGTTTGGAAAGTTAGGATAGTGGTAGTGAAAATGCAATGGATTTGAGCTCTCTTCTAGACAAAGAATTAACAGGATTTCCTGTTAGCTTCGCTGTGAGGAGTCAACTGAAGTAAAGAATCAGAGGAGGATTGTTAAGTTTCCAGTGTGAACAGCTGGGCGTGGGGATTCCTGGGATGGCAAAGCCTGGAGAAAATCAGGTGGTGGGGGGCATGTTAAGCTTGAACTTTGTTGCGTTTGAGGTGCTAGTGTGGCATCCAATAATGGTGCCATTAAATGGTACCATTACTACTAAACATTTTTTCCCCCTAAAGCTCTAAACTTGTCCAGCCCACAGCTCACCATCTTTAGATCTTTTCTCAAATGTTACCATCTCAGCAAGGCCTTCCTTGACCAGCCAAACTTATGTTGAAAACCCCACACTGACCATCTCCCTTCCCTGCTTAATTTTTCTCCATAGTTAATTTTCACCATCTGACATGTTCTTTTTTTTCCCTAATACCCAGTGTGATAGCACATCTGACATGTTCTTTATTTTACTTTGTTATTAACTGAACTGCTTTCTCGCTATAAGATCGTCAGGGATTTTTGCGTATGGATCACTGCCATATCCCCAGCACCTAAAATAGGGTGTGGTCTATAGTAAATGCTCAGTAAATATTTGTTTATTGAATATATGAAACGACTTGAAGGATTCTGTAGTGTTTCCACGATTAAATTTTCTTACTAGTATTTGTTCAGGCTTTTGGCTTAAAACAGTTCAGTTCTCTTTTTTAAGTGAATGTAGATTTTGTATATACACACACATATATATGTGGATTTGCATTGTTTAGGAATAAAAACCTAAAATCTACCATTCATATTTTAATTTTCTTAATTTTCAGGTTACAACTGATGGAAAACCAAAAATCGTTGATATCATTGATACAACAGGAAGTGGCGATGTGAATACTGCTACAGAAGTAGAGCCAAAGGATGGTGAGATTGTTGGCCTTTCAGGAAGAGTGCTTAAGGTGAGACCTTTTGTCTTCTTTTTGAATTTTTTTTTTTTTACTCTTGCCTCAAAGCATCTAATGTTTTTACCTTACATTTGGTGGTGGTATTAGTTATCCATTGCCACATATCAGATTACCTCAGAACATCCTGGTTTAAAATGACAAATATTTATTACCTCGGAGTTTCTGTGAGTCAGGAATCTGGGTGTGGCTTAACGGGGTTCCAGTCGCCCTGGAGGTTGCAAATGGTTAGCCATGGCTGTGACTTCAGCTGAAGGCTCAGCTTGGGAGAAGAAGGGGAAGTTTGTTTCCAAGCCTACTGGTGGGTCACTGGCAGGCCTTGGCTCCTTGCCATTGGGCCTCTCCGCAGTGCTGCAGTACCTGGCAGCACCTTCCCTGGGGGAGTGAGCCGAGAGAGTCCCCACGATGAAAGCCACAGGCTTTTTATAAAAGTGACCTTCTAAGGGACCACCTATCACTTGACTATATTGAGCTCATTGGAAGTGAGTTAATAAATCTAGCACACACTTAAGGGGAAGGGATTTCACAAGAAATGAATCATTGGAGCTGTCTTAGAAGAAGCCATTATTTTGTTGTTTGATGAGGTAATTAGAATTGGGCGGTATTTTTCAGTGAGCTTGCCAAATTTTATGTTTTGAATACAAAGATAGAGAAAGTAACCACATCATAGCTTTGCCTTCATGTTTTACTGTCCCTTCATAGTATTCCCAGTTAACTTGACCATGAAGAAATACTTAGGCTATAGTAGCTGTTAACTTAAATGGCCAGCTTTGTCTTTTTTTTTTTTTTAAACTTCTTTTTTTCTTTTTTTTTTCGAGACATAGAGTCTTGCTCCGTTGCTCAGGCTAGAGTGCAGTGGTGCAATCTTGGCTCACTGCAACCTCCGCCTCCCGGGTTCTAGCAATTCTCCTGCCTCAGCCTCCCAATTAGCTGGGATTACAGGTGCCCGCCACCACGTCCAGCTAATTTTTGTATGATTAGTAGAGACAGGGTTTCACCATTTTGGCTAGGCTGGTCTCGAACTCTTGACCTTGTGATCCGCCTGTCTCAGCCTCCCAAAGTGCTGGGATTATAGGCGTGAGCCAGGGCACTCGGCCTACCAGCTTTGTCTTATTCTATGTCCTTGGTAGAAAGGCCTGGGTAAGCTAAACGTAAAAAATAATTATAAAGCAAGCACAGAGGAGCTCATGAGCTAAGGAGCATGAAGGATGGATGGCAAGAATTTGTGATCCTGTACTCTTAAGCAGCATTAGTTTGGAACATAAAATTATGGTTATTTAGTTAGCTTTTCCCACCTTTTGCCATCTATCTGAATTGTTCTTAGGTCTTGTCTTTTAAGTAAGCTTGTTGTGGCAGCATATTGGCTTTCTGTGCCGTGTAATAAAGCACCACAGACTTAGCCGCCTAAAACCTTGTGTATTCCTGTATTTATTATATCACTGATTCCATGGGGTAGGAGTCCAGGCATGGCTTTTTGTGGGTCTCTGCTCAGGGTCTCACAAGACTGCAGTCAAGATTAAAGGCTCAGCTGAGGCTCAGGCTTCTTTTCCAAGTTTACATGATTGTTGGAAAAATTCATTTCATTGCAGCTGTAAAACTCATGATAGCTTGCTTCTTCAAGGCCAGTAAGAGAATCTCTGACCTTGGTGATGACCCCAGTCTTTCTTTTAAAGAACTCACCTGATTAGTTCAGGCCCGCTGAGAATCATGTCACTTTTGATTTGCTCAGAGTCCTTAATTGCGTCTGCAAAATCCCTACACCTTCTTTACGTACCATAACGCAATCATGGGAGTGACATCTCATTATATTCACGGGTCCTGCCTTCACTTAGGGGAGGGACGTGGGTCTTCTTAGAAATCTGCCTGTCATGGGCAGATAGCAGCCATTAATAATCCAGGTTCTACTTCCTTTTCTGTGTGTTAGGAACTGATTATCTGTGTCCCCACCCCCTGCCAAAATTCATACATTGAAGCCCTATCCCTCTTTGTGTTGGTATTTGAAAGTTGGGCCTTTGGGAGGTATTTAGGGTTAGATGAGGTTATGAGTATGTGTCCCCTCAGGATAGGATTAGTACCCTTATAAGAAGAGACATCAGAGAGCTCTCTCTAGAGCAAGCTCTTTCTAGGGCATATGAGGACACAGCAAGAAGGTGGCCTCTGTAAGCCAGGAAGAGGGCTTTCACCTATGCTCAACCATGCTGGCACCCTGATGCTGAGCTTCCAGCCCCTAGAACTATGAAAAAATAAGTTTCAATTGTCAGAGTCATCCAGTTTACGGTGCGGGTTGAGAATCCCTTATCTGAAACGCTGGGGACCAGAAGTGTTTTAGGTTTCAGATTTTGGAATATTTGCATTGAATATACCAGTTGAGCCTCCCTAATCCAAAATCCGAAATGCTCCAAAATCCAGAACTTTCTGAGTGCCAACATGACACTCAAAGGAAATGGTCAATGGAGCATTTCAGATTTTCGGGTTAGAAATGCTCAGCCTTCTGAATTACTCTAGAGTTTGGCCTGTCTTCCCCCAAGTCAACCTTGTTATTAGAATATGTTTCAAAGGGAAACTTGGGATTCCTGTGAGCTATGGTACTCTGAGAAGCTAGAGAGAATTCCTAGTAAGTCTTGCAGGCTTAGAGCCATATAAAGTATTACTCGAGCATTTATTTATTTATATTAATTTTGAGATGGAGTCTTACTCTGTCGCCCAGGTTGAAGTACAATGGCACAATCTCGGCTCACCTCGACCTCTGCTTCCTGTATTCAAGTGATTCTTCTGCCTCAGCCTCCCGAGTAGCTGGGATTACAGGCATGCGCCATGACACTTGGCTAATTTTTTTGTGTGTTTTTAGTAGAGATGGAATTTTGCCATGTTGGCCAGGCTGGTCTCAAACTCCTGACCTCAAGTGATCCACCCACCTCGACCTCCCAAAGTGCTGGTATTATAGGCATGAGCCACCATGCCTGGCCTCATTTATTTTTAAATAGCTGCAGTAATCCCGGCTTTAGATAAACCACATGAACTAATAATATCACTAGTGTTCAAAGGTAGAATTATATGTGTACCATATGTATTGCTATTAAATAAAGTCAAAAAAATTATAAGGTTTGTCTTTTCTCAGCTTGGTGACGTATTTCTTTAGCTCTAACATTAAGTATTCTCAGCCCCTCATTGTGGGTTTTTAAACTTAATTTTTAATTGTGTTCAGTATGTCTTAATAGTTTAAAAAGACAAATATTTTTACAAGGCTTCTAACAAAAAGAGTTAAATCCTGTCCCACTTCTCCCCTACTGTTTTCTACTTTAACAGTACATTAATACATTAAATTATCTTCAGTTTAAAATAACATGCTAATATTTTTTATTTCTTGATTTTTTTTTCTAGTCTTAATCTTTACTTGTAGAATTAATATGTGGAAGAAGAGAGTTTAATTCTCAGGTCCTTTATTTCCAAGAATTTTTTTTGCATTTTCTCTTAGGTAACTTCCTCTCCGTTGTTTTGCTGTTTTTTTCTGGAACTCCTGTTAATTGAACATTGGACCTCTTGACTTGATCCTCCAATTTTTAAATTTTTTTCCACCTTTTCTTCATTGCCTTAATCTTTTTCCTTCCTGAGAGATTTCCAGCATTTTCTCAACATTGTAACCCTTGTGTGAATTTTTTAAAATTTTGCCTATTTTTAATTGCAAAAGCCCCTTCATGTTCACTGGGAGCATATTTTTGTATCATGTATGCAACATTTTATCTCTGAGATAAAATTTTAATTTTTTTCTATTTCATTGTTTCTTCCCTCCCCTTCCTCCTGTTCTCCTTTCTTAGTCTCCTATTCTGCTTCCTCCTCTCCTTTCTCCCTTTTTCTTCACCCTCTCCTTCCTCTTTCTCTGCCTCCTCTTCCTTGTTCTCTGCTTTTTATGTTAGATATTTTGTTTAGGTGTCTAATCATCCCTAGCTGTCTTATTTTAGCAAGGCACAAGAAAAGGTGATTGGAAGCTCCTCTGCTTATGTAGGGTCTTTTGGTGGGTTTCACTATAGGGTAATGATAACATTTAGGGGAACCCCCATAATATCAGTATACACTATATTTTTTTCCCTCAGGATGCCCAGTTACCTTAAAGAAGTCCTTAGCCCATTTGGCCTGGGGTTTAGGGGAGGAGTGAGCAAGAAGTCTGGCCGTAGGTATTCAGGTAACCACACCATGCAAGGGGCCTGGAGTGATGTCATGCAGACTCATTTTTATGTCTCATCCTTTTTGTATTAGTTCCTTTTCACATTGCTATGAAGAACTACATGAGACTGGGGAATTTATGAAGAAAAGAGGTTTAATCGACTCACAGTCCTACAGGCTTAACAGGAAGCATGACTTGGGAGTCCCAGGAAACTTACAATCATGGGGAAGGTGAAGGGGAAACAAGACATGTCTTCTCATCATGATAGAGCAGGAAAGAGAGCCAGCAAAGGGAGAAGTGCCATGCTTTTTTTTTTTTTTTTTTTTTTGAGACGGAGTTTTGGTCTTGTTGCCCAGACTGGAGTGCAATGGCGCGATCTCAACTCACTGCAACATCTGCCACCCGGGTTCAAGCGATTCTCCTGCCTCAGCCTCCTGAGTAGCTGGGATTACAGGTGTCTGCCACCACACCCGGCTAATTTTGTATTTTTAGTAGAGACAGGGTTTCACCATGTTGGCCAAGCTGGTCTCAGACTCCTGACCTCAGGTGATCTACCTGCCTCAGCCTCCCAAAGTGCTGGGATTACAAGCGCGAGCCACCGTGCCCAGCCCCCATGCATTTTTAAACCATTAGATCTTGTAATAATTCATCATCACAAGAACAACAAGGGGGAAATCCACCCCCATGATCCAGTCACCTCCCACCACATCCCTCCCCTGACACGAAGGGGTTATATTTCGACATGCGATTTGGGTAGAGACAGAGCCAAACCATATCACCTGTTCTTTGCTTTGTTGACATGTCAGCTTTTCTCTGGTTCAGCTTGGTTGGTGAAGTTTGGGCAGGATGTGGGATGGGGCAATGGGAGTGCTCTTATACAAATTTTCCGCCAGTCTTCTTAGTCAGAACTCTCTTCTCCATCCATCCATAACATGTACTCACACACATGTTCAGTTTAATTTTTTTCAGGGATGTGCAGGTGTTTAGATATTTTGCAGTAGTCAATAAAAGGAAGAATTATTAATCACTGGGATTCTGACTAGTTGCATCTCTGCAACTCTTTAGTACATAGTTTTCAGAAAGCAGCACAATGAAGTCTTCAAGTTTCTTTGATGTAGTCGTGCATTTATTTATTTATTTATTTATTCATTTATTTATTTATGACAGAGTCTTGCTCTGTCGTCCAGGCTGGAGTGCAGTGGTGTGATCTTGGCTCACTGCAACCTCCGTCTCCTGGGTTCCAGCAATTTTCCTGCCTCAGCCTCCCAAGTCGCTGGGATTATAGGCACCCGCCACCATGCCCGGCTAATTTTTTGTATTTTTAGTAGAGACTGGGTTTCACCATGCTGGCTAGGCAGGTCTCGAACTCCTGACATCAGGTGATCCACCCACTTCGGCCTCCCAGAGTGCTGGGATTACAAATGTCAGCCACCGCGCCCAGCTGTCATGCTTTGAAATGAATTAAATGTTTATAGTCTGTTTTTTCCACATAGCCCATAAACTGCTAACAGACTTTTATTTTTCTGTCAGTTTAAGATCAACTGTTAAGTTAGGTGCTTTGAACACTTTAGTAGCCTCATTCTCTAAGGATGATATTCCTAGGCTTCCTTGAGAAACCAGTGGTAAGCTACTTATGACCTATGGTACTCCCATGAGCAGATAAAAGTACAAAAGTGAATAGAACTTTAAAACCTTTTATTGCAAAATATACATACATAAAATACATAAAACACATATATACAGTTTTATGAATAGTATAGCTAACACCATTGTACCCACCCAGATCAAGATAAAGAGTATTGCCGTACATCAGAAACTTCCTGCATCCTCCTATATCACAGCCTATTTCAACTTTTGTGATAATCATTCCTTTGCTTTTTTGTGTGTAGTTTTACCATATCTGTGTGGCTACATAAAATATATTGTTTAGTTTTGAACTTTACATAAACAGTCTCATTTCATTCATAAAATTTCATCATACGTCATTTTTCCCTTGGTGTTGTGAGATTTCAGATTCCTGAGACTTGCCCATGTTGTCACGGGCAGCAATGATTTATTAAGTTTCATTGCTGTGCAATATGCCATGGTTTGTACCTACTACATTCTATCCATTCTGCTGTGATGTGTGTGTATCCTGTGCACATGTGTGTGGATGTCTCCAGAATGTGTGCATAGGAGTAGAATTGCTGAATCATGGAGATATGTCACTAGGTCATGCCAAACAGTTTTTCCAAGTGCGTGTTTGTTTGTTTTTTAACTGGACAGGACATCTTCTTGACCAAGTGTCTGTATTAAAGGACATTTCCAGGCCGGGCACGGTGGCTCACACCTGTAATCCCAGCACTTTGGGAGGCCAAGCACTTTGGATCATCTGAGGTCGGGAGTTCAAGACCAGCCTGACCAACATGTCGAAACCCCCTCTCTGCTAAAAATACAAAAATTAGCTGGGCATGGTGGTGCACACCTGAATCCCAGCTACTAGGGAGGCTGAGACAGGAGAACACAGAGGTTGCAGTGAGCCAATATGGCGCCACTGCACAGCAGCCTGAGTGACAGAGCGAGACTCCTTCTCAAAAAAATAAAAAAAAGACATTTCCACTAGCAGTGTATAACAAATGTTTTCTGACCCCATGATCATAGAGATATTCTCCTATATTTCTAAGAAGTGTCACAGCTTTTCTCTTCTGTTTGTTCTAGAATTCACCTGGAAGTGATTTTATATGCTTAGTTTGAAGAGTTCTGTTTCCTTTTTTCTGTAAAAAGACCCAGTTGTCCCAACACCATGTGTTCCACAATTTTCACTCTAATTTTTAATGCCTTCTTTTCACTTGGCACCCTTCAAAATGTGGTGAGCTTCTGAAGTCTCTTTCGTATTCTCTTTGTCCCTTCGTTTTTGGATGCTTCCCCGACTTCCTTTATTCTAATTTTAGTAGCATTTTGGAAGGAAGCACAGTACCTTTTTCATTTTACCACATTTAACTGGAAGTCATTTTAAAAATCAACACTTAGTCTTAAATATTTTTGGTTTTTAAAAAAAATAAAATAAAGATAAATCCAGGCATAATGAATGACTTGGCCAGATTCAGCATGGTACTTAGATGCAGTGACAGCCAAAGGAAACTGTGCGTGTGCCCTGGCCTGTGTGATGAGGCTGGCAAGACTGAAATCATTTGGAAGCAAAAGCCTCTAAGAGGGCTTCACTGCATGGTACCCTAACACTCAGATGACACTTAGCCCGTTAAGAAAAATGTTTGATTTGTTAGGCATCCTCTCTTTAAGAGAGTCAGAGAAATGAGGTGTAATTGGTAATTAAAAAGATTACGTGTATCATATGACAATCAGTCTTAATACATTGTAGTTACTGTGTTATTAGAACCATTTTTAAGATACCAACCTAAAATGGTCAAATGTAAAGATTTTATTCTTAGAAAAAATAACTTTGTTTATGTAGAATACTCAAATATGCAAAATAAAATTTCATAATTGCCTCATAAAGTTAGCTTTACTCTAACTTGGCTAAAGTTAGATCAGATAGCCCAGATTATAACTTTTATCTGATTTTTTTGGTGTAATTTTTGTAACTAGTCTGCCTTCGTGGTAAGGAAGATACATAGTTGTGATTTGAGAAGTATCTGGTTCCATGGACCGTGCAGACTTTGATCTCATTTATAATTAAATTATGTCTATTGGATTGTTTTTATTGTACTTTATGTTTTTTTAAGAAATTGTGATTAAATATAACTTAACGACTTTCTATTTTGCAGTTATTTTAATTAGTTACTTCATTTAATCTTTTGGCATTTCATGATTTTCTGTAATGTCTGTACAAAGAAGTTGCTGCTAGCCACCTGTGTAGTGGGACAGTAGTGAATAAATACTTGGAATTTAAAAGCTAGTGACTACTTCCCTTTTTGTTGTTGCAGTGCTTTATTGTTTTGCCGTGGGCTGTTGCAAAAACATTAAAGTTCAGAATTCCTATTCTTTAAAGAAGGTTCAGTTTTGAGTGAAAAGTGCTAGCTTGTATGCCAGCGTGTTTGAAATTACACATTCTGCAGACATCCAGTTGATTTGGAAGTGATTAATGGCACAGAGGCCTTCAAAAGGTCACTATTTAGTATTAGCTCCTTGAAGCTCTGTGAATGATTGTTTTCCTCTATTTAGTTGTGAGGAAATTTCATCCAAAAGTTTTCTGCCTGGGAAGTAATTGGATGAAGGACATGGGGATGAGTTAAAGGTATTGCACAAGTGAGGATTGATGAGGCTACCAGCTCTGAGTGTTTCAACCTTGTCATTTATACATATTTAAAAGCTGGTTTTGATGACCACGGTTCCATGATTGCAAAGAATATGAATACTCTACATTTTCTTGATTGATCATTCATGTTGGTTGATGCTCAGTTCACTTTTTTGTTCACAAGAATAAGGTAGAGATTTTCTTCCTTTTACAGATGAAGTAGAAGCCTGTGGGTTCCTTCTAGTTAGTGATAGAGTTTGGATTCAGAGCCAGATTTATCTGACTTTAAATCCCATATCCTTTATACAGAATTTTTGGTTTCCATGATAGAACTAGGTTCCAGTTTTCAACTTTCCTCTTGTTCAGGCAAGTAATTTGATTTCTCTGCTGCTTTGCTTTCTCTGTTTGTAAACTAGGCGTACTGTTTGCATCGCTCTACTAAAAGTTTAAAGTGTTTTAAAACACTTTGAGATCGTTTAAAAGATTATTACAAGATTTTAGCAGTTTATTGAGATAGTGTATGTTGAAAGCACTTTTTAAACCATGAAGCATTGTATAAATGAAGGTATTATTCTAGTTGAATTATTTATGGATGAGAAAAAAGAAGTGATAAAGACATTAAGTAACTACTTAGAGTATTAAACACGTTGTTGTACATGAGCATCCTTATCCAATTTAAGCTTATTAGAGTAGAAGTAATATACTTTTTTGCTCAGTAGTGTATCATTGGAATTGGAAAGCATTTAGTGAATGAACAGGTTACTCTTTTTTTTTCTGTAGATTCCTGCAAGCTGGACAAATCCCTCAGGCAAATATCATATTGGCATAAAAAATGGCTATGACTTCTATCCTAAGGCACTCAAGGAAAGGATACAGGTAATGTACAATCTGGTACCAATGAGTTGTATTCTTCTGACTTGTCTTCTTCCTCAGATTTTATTCCTACTGAAGAAAAAGAAATATTTCATAAAATCTCATTAACTTAGTTTTTTGGGTGGTTGGTGGCTTTCAAACAATGACTGCTTAAAGATTCTGCTCAATGGAATGTCATCCGTGTAAACTTGTGATTCTTGATCTTGGGTACATGGATAAGTTTAGGGAATCTGTGAATACACTGAAATTATATTCAGATTTTTGTGTTTTTCTGGGAGATGGGATATAGCTTTCACTGGATTTTTGAAGGACTTTTTTTTACTTGAAAAAGGCTAAAGACAGTGGATTCAAAATCCAGACCACCTTTTCGTTTCTGTTCCTGTAGTTTCTGTGATAATGTCCCTCCCCTGTTTAACTAGCCTTCTTGCTCCCAGTTAGTCATCATTTAGTGTTAAGGTAAGTGTTAATTCAGTCCTAAAACTGCTGAAGTGTAAGAAGTACCAGTGTGCCATTAGAAAAATAAGAGTGGTAAGCAGAATGATAAAGAGCCTGCTTTAAAACAGTTCAATAGAACTTTCTGTGATAATGGAAATGTTTGAAATGTTCAGTTTCTGCTCTAACCATTATGGTAGTCACTAGCCATGTTGCTATTGAGAATTTGAAATATGTTTAGTGTGACTGACGAATTGAAATTTTATCTTAGTAATATTTTAAAATTTAAGTTTAAATAGTGTCATGTGGCTAGTGACTACCGTTTTAAGAATGCTGATACAAGTAGCTGATACAAGTACCTAATACAAGTCCAGGGTTGCAGCTGTAAAATAAGGTATAATCCTGGGAAGTGAGCTTGATGGATAAGATGTGTGGGGCCTTGCCTCTGTCGTGTTATTTCCCCAAGGGCCTGTGAAGCATAAGAAGTTACTCAGATTACCTTATTTGTCAGTTTCTAATCATTCTGCAAAACAAACAAGAATAATGCGTATAACTTCTATTACATAATATGTTATTTTAAAATTTCAGGCTGGAATGCAGTGGCATGATCACAGCTAATTACTGCCTCAACCTCCTGGGCAATCCTCCCATGTAGTTGGGACTACAGGCACGCACCACCACACCCATCTAATTTTTGTATTTTTTGTAGGGATGGGGTTTCACCATGTTGCCCAGGCTGGTCTCGAACTCCTGGGCTCAAGTGATCCGCCTGCCTCATTCTCCCAAAGTGCTGGGACTACAGGTGTGAACCATTGCATGACTGCATTTTATATAGTATATTAAATGTAATCAGCTGTGTTGATAAGATGTGATTTAATATGCAAATATAGTGTTGTTGAAGTGGACTGTTCCTTTAGCTGCGTTGGGAGTTACCGTGAGTTAAAGACACTGAAGATAAAGGTTAAAACCAATTTCAGTGACATAGAACCCTATCAAGTCAAAGAGGATGGAAAAAAAAATAGGGAGGACATTGAGGATGCCTGCATTGTCTGTCAAAATGCAGCTGTAGTCTTACTCTAGTCCTCTGCGTACACTAGGCTTATGGCATTTCCCAATTTTGTATGGGCCCAGAATACAACATTTTCTTCCTTTTAATGACTGGGAATTCAGTCAGTATTCTTGGAGAAGAGAAGGTTTTAAATTGGGGAATATGATACATAAAAATACATCTGGATGTGTCTTGGTAAACTTCTCTTAAACCCTGGGTGCAATGAATTGACTAACCAGTTTTTAGTAAGTGATCCATGGCTTTATCTGCTTCATTAGAAACTTTTTTTTTTTTTCTCTTTGAGACAGAGTCTTACTCTGTTGCCCAGGCTGGAGTGCAGTGGCTCAATCTCTGCTCACTGCAGCCTCAGCCTCCTGGGTTCAAGCGATTCTCGTGCCTTAGCCTCCCAAGTAGCTGGGATTACAGGCACCTGCCACCCCACCTGGCTAATTTTTGTATTTTTAGTAGAGACGGGGTTTCACCTTGTTGGCCAGGCTGGTCTCGAACTCCTCACCTCAGGTGATCCGCCTACCTCAGCCTTCCAAATTGTTAGGATTACAGGCGTGAGCCACCACACCCGGCCAAAAATGATTTTTTAAAACCTCTCTATGAGAATTGTGTAGTATCACAACTGTACCAACAAAGTCCACATATAAATGCCTGTCTAGGTTTACCTGAGTATTTGTCAGCCTAATTGTAAGGTAATTTTTCTGTCTTTGCAGAAAGAACGGAAGGAAAAAATCTGGGACCCTGTTCACAGAGTGGCCCTTGCAGAAGCCTGTAGAAAACAGGAAGAATTTGATGTTGCCAACAACGGCTCTTCTCAAGTTGGTGCTAGTCGATTTCATTTAAACATTACCCTAGAACCATATTCCCATAGAGTTTCTACAGAACTAATAGACTGTTTTTCCACAAGTTTTCTTTTTTCACAAATTTTCTTTTAAGTTGGTTAATTTTACTAATTTTTCCTTTATTATTTATCCTCAAGTCAATGTACATATGTATGAATTTTTAAAATTTAACACATAATACACGTAGGGTAAAAGTACATAAATTGTGTTTGGTTATGAATTCTCCCATGAAAGCTGCACCTAGGAATTTCTCTTGTGCCCCTTCCTTGTCACTGCTCCCTTTTTCCTTCCGAAAGACAACCACCACCTTGACTTCTAACACTGCAGATGATTTTGCCTATTTTGATTTGTGTAAAATGGAACCATATAGTATGGTTTTGTTTTTTGTTTTTTGTTTTTTTTTTTTGAGACGGAGTCTCGCTCTGTTCCAGGCTGGAGTGCAGTGGTGTGATCTCGGCTCATTGCAACCTCTGCCTTCCGGGTTCAAGCTATTCTCGCCTCAGCCTCCTGAGTAGCTGGGATTACAGGCACGTGCCACCACACCCGACTAGTTTTTTTTTTTTGCATTTTTAGTAGAGACAGGGTTTCACCGTGTTGGCCAGGCTGGTCTTGAACTCCCAACCTTGTGATACGCCCACCTTGGCCTCCCAAAGTGCTGGGATTACAGGCATGAGCCACCGTGCCCGGCCTATGTATTCTCTAATTATATGTATTATTGTCACTTTTAAAAAGGGTTTCAAAATACTTCATTTTTCAGTTAATATATTAGACCTCAAGGTCCTTGTTTCAAAACATGGGAGGGTGTAGTCCTTGGTTCCCATATACTGATTTGTGGAATTGATACTGATGAACTGATTATCTCTAAGTCACCTGAATTATTTTAAAAGTAATTAAGTTTTCCGGGCTTTATCCCCTGATAATTCTGATTTACTAAGTGGGATTAGAAACAGCATCGATGTTTGTGATAGCCTTTACATGATTGTGATTTGCGTGAAATTTAGTAATTATTGGCCAAGATAATAATTTGCTATCCTACTAGTTTCTGATGTGACAGCCTCAGATTATCATAAGGACAAATAACTTGCTCAGGATTGCACAGCTAAGTTGCTGAATTGAGATTTGAATCCATATTTCTTCCCTCTAGGTTAATACTCACACCACACTATTTATAGAAGGCAGATTGATTTTAAGCAATATTAAGTGCTTTTGATCAAAGACGACTACCTTTTTCAATAAATTGCCAAATAGTAAATATTTTTAGTACTCTCTTATGACTGCTCAACACTCCCCTTGTATCATGAAAACCTAGGCAATATGTAACTGAACCAGGAAGGCCATGTTCCAGTAAAGCTTCATTTACACAACTTTGTCACAGGCTAGATTTGGCCCATGCACCATGATTTGTCAACCCCTGCTGGATCTTAATATAGTAACATAGTCTAGAGATATTCGTCTCAATTTCAGTATTTATATGCCTTTCTATCTCCCAGCTTATTTCTGTTTAAACCAGTCATTTTCCTAATTATTTGAGTACCTAACTTATTTTTTTATATACACTCTAGGTTAGAGAAATGTTTTGGAGAGGTAACACCTGCTAGTGCCAGTTGTTGTCTAGTGTGTACGTAATCGAATTTAAAGCACTTGGTTTTATTCATGACCACAGAGCTAAAATAAGGCTTCACTTACCCCCATTAAATGCTTCTATTTAACATAGCAGTTTCTAAAAGATATAAGATGATTCATGGGTTTTATTATTTATTTGGATTCTTAAGAAATAAATTTGAGATAGAATAGGTCCTGATATAAAAATCTAAAAGTCAATAGATAACCTATTTTGTAGCAGTTTTAGAGTTGCTTTTGGAAATAAGTTAGATAACAAATATGTAACAAGCATATCTTGGCTAAATGGAATCACCAACGTGTAGCACAGTGTATTTCCCAAAGCAGGCCTAGTGAGTGAATAAATGAGATTGAGTAAAATAACTGTTTTTTAGATCTTTATTAATTAGATCTGTATTAATGGGTATCTGCTTCATTGAATTGAATGACAAGTTGCATAGATAGAACAAAATTTTCTTACATTTTTTCAGGGTAAAATAATTTTACTATGGATTAACATTGTATCTTTGGCTGTATGTTAATACAACTTTTAGAAGGACAGAATGTACTAATGTTAATCAGTTTTCCAACTGACTAGGCAAATAAACTAATCAAGGAGGAACTTCAAAGTCAAGTGGAATTGCTAAATTCTTTTGAGAAGAAATACAGCGATCCTGGCCCTGTATATGACTGCTTGGTATGGCATGATGGCGAAGTCTGGAGGTAAACTTCGTGTATTTTATACATCTTCATTTACAAATGTTTTCTTTTCTACTCTGAAAAACATTAAATGCTCAGAGCTGCACAGAATTTTGGTTTATTCGTGATATCACTCAGCAAAATCATTTAAGGGCCAAATTGGCATCTGGGTAGTTTTGGACAAGCCCCTTGAACTTCTAGTTATAATTATTGACACTAAACCTGACTTTTATCTGATTTAAATAAACTTACTTCATTAATAATTTATTAGTATGTTGACCATCCGTATATTTGGAAATGTTTCCTCATTTGTTAATTGAGATAGTGGTGCTTACAGGGCTTTGTGAAAATTAAATTTGATGTTTCTAGATATAGTAAGCAATCAATGTACGCTGTTGCTGCTGCTGTTTCTATTACTAAAACTAATAATAATAATGCGATTTATACCAAGTTACCCATCATGTACGTTTTTTAGTTTCTTTTTTAGTGCCTTATATACTGCATATGTGCTTCTTGGAGTTGATTAGTCTGCCTTCTTGAGTTACTATCTGCATGAAAACAGGAAGACATTGTTAATACAGATATTTAGCCATATGTGTGCTTTAGGATTTCTGCAAAAAAAAAACAAACAAACAGGGACTATTTCTTAAACTTGTAGTCAAGAATTACTTGTAGTCTGCGTCCCTGCTTATACACAAAGAATTGCATCACAAGGTGGGGCACACACAGATCATGCCATGACTGCTTCCTCACTGCTCTCACAATTGTTCACCTTCACAGTGCACCCTTCTTAAAGGAGGGTTCTCCTCCCACGTGTGCAGGTACTAACTCATCTTTCATCAAAGGTGTATGCAATGTTAAGTTGAATGAGAAATTTCTGCTCAATTTGGGGATGATGGTGTTAATAAAATAACTGCACATAACTCTTTCAATCTAGATATTAAATATTAATGCACTTTTGTGTGTATTCATACATGTTGTTTTGTTGTGTGCATATGCATACACGTTTTGAAAAATTATTTTCCAGAGGCTTTATACAGAATAATAAACCTTGATACATCCACCATCTGGGGTAACATGATACAGTCACACTCAGTGATAAGCCTTAGGTGCGTTTTAGTGTGGGAAAGGAGGCAAGGTTAAATTCAAGGAAAATGCTAAATACGAAACAGAGTATATTTAGGAAAGTATATACTACAAAAGAACTTAAAGAAATACTAAAATATTAGCAGGGATTGAGTAGTGAGGCAATAGGTGGTTTCATTTAAAGTGTTTGCTCTAGGTTCTGAAAACACTGCAGATTACTTTGTCTTAGGAAAAGGAATCCGGAGTCAGGATGTCCAGGGTACCAGTGTGTGTTTCCACAAGATTTCCTTGGTCTTCAAGGTGCTTGATAAAGTGACTCACTTGTAGCAGTTTGTTGACAACTATTCTAAGGGTTTTGTTTAGAACTTTTGAGTTAGAAATGAAATTTAATCTAACATTAAGTGAAATAAAATCTGAAATCTCAGAATAACATTTTAGAACATTTTATTATAATAAATGAATATAGCATAATTATACTTTCAGGTGGTACTAGATATAATGTAACTTTTTTGCATAATACAGTATATCCTATAGGGCTTTGATCTCAGAGATCCAAAATTTTTTGAAGAGAACCTTGTAGATCCCAGGGTACATAAGGTTAATCCAGTCCTGTCTGCAGATGTTCTCATTTCACATTTCAAAAATGCCAACCATTTCTGAAGGGAGGTAAAGTGACCTATTCTTTAAGTACCGTGGGTTTTTTGTTTTGTTTTGTTTGATGACGAATGTCCAGTCTGTGCTCTCCCTGCCACATTTCTGCTAATTGTTTAGCGCGTATCTCTGCACTTAACGGGTGGCCTCAGATGACTCTGTTCTGAGCATCTGTCAGGACGCAGAGCCTCAGACTCATTGTCACTCCAAATGGAACAAAAACTGGTTGAGAGAAACAGTGTTTACAGAGGATTACATAAAGGAGAAGCTATTAGTTGATTTCTTTACAGTGGATTTTGACCTTGCTTATGTCATGTTTCCTTTTAGATTCTTGATGAAAGCTCTAGATTCTTTCCACAGAAAATTGAGAGATGTGTGAAAATGTCGAGAAATACATAAAACAAAAGCCTTTTCTCTCATCCTCCCCACTTACATGTACCCTGCTCTGTGTATGAGCCTCATTTTGATATCCTTTCTCTGTATTCTAGCTGCTACTTGAATTCAGTCAACTAGACCTTCAGAAAGTTATAACCTTGCACCACATTCATACTTGTCCTCTGTCGTGTTATTTAGAGAAGTCAGTAATAATTTATGTTTTGATGTGTTGGTTGTATTGTTGAGTCATTCCAATGATGGTGGTTATAAGAAACTGACCTGTGGAATGTGTCACTGTATTTGCTGTGAGAATGTTGTTAAGGATGATGATTTCGTTAATTCCTTAATCATGTGGCAGATGTTTATTGAGTACCTTCTTTGTACCAGGTTGACACCATAGAAGCTACTCCATGGACTCTAGATTCCATGGAAGCAAGTGTTGGGAACGTCTGAACCAGTCTAGGAAGAATCGAGAAAGATTTCCCAAAAGTATTAATAACATCTTACATTGAGACTTGAAGGATCATCACAGTAAACTAAGCAGAGAGGTAGAAAGGGTGGGGGAAAGATCCAGAGGATGTTGGAGGAACTGTGAGAAGTTTGGTGTGGCCACAGAGGATATGATGGGAGCAGGAGGTGAGGGAGGTGAGCAGATGATTATTAGGGGCATTGCTCTGGAGTTTCAATGTTAAGAGCCGTTGGAAGACATGGAAGGTTTTCAGCAGGAGTCAAATGTAGGGGCAGAGCAGGCCATCAGCTCATCAGGCAACAGCGGTAAGGAAGAGACAGTGGAAATAGGCGGACACATTATGGAGATGGGACTGTGCGGTTAGATGGGCTGGGGGAAGAACAGAGGGAGGACTTTGTAGATGACTTCCAGGATGGATGCTGGCCGATTGCATAAATTTTGGAGACAAGTGCTACTTCTGTAGCATGTGGAAGATTTGGTGACATGCATTTTACCCACTAATCTCAAGCCTGATTCTGTTTAATATGTGACTTGTTTGCTCTTTGCTTCATTTTCTCCATAAGTGTTTAGTTTCCTATACCTTCGTATATTCTATTATTTGAAATTACATCAGTCATATTAGGGCAATGCATAAAAACAAATTTTTAAGAATCCTTTTTTCCAAAGTGTTGTAATTTGTTAATGAAATATGCTTCAGTATTTATGATAAATCATCTCTCTGTGCTCTACCAGTAGGCTTCTATTAATTTACTTGGCAATTTTGACTGACTTGCATAGCTTGTTAAAATACAGTTCTTGCATTTAAAACATACTTAGAGCTAAAAACATAATATTGAACTTTTAATGATGTTCATTTCATTTATGACTTTTTGAATATTAAGTGTATTTTGTTTTAATCAGGCTATCTTCTAAAGTGTTCGGAATATAATTTAAAAACTATTTTAGTTAGTAAAATGGAAAAAACATGAAGGAAGACAACCATAAAGTAATGTAGAAAATGCCTTCTGTGAGAAATAAATTTAAGTCTGTTATAACTATAGGACTGAAGCTCAGTAAAATTCACCTAGTTTCAAAGAGCTTGTGTAAGCCGTTAGATTCTTGAAGCCATTACTAAAAGAAGCAGCTGGAAGTTAGACCTAGGCCATGTGTCTGAACTATCCTAAACTGCTCTAAAACTCTAAGCCAAGTTTTAGCTGTAATTCTTAAGAGTCCAGGTGGTTTTTAACCTAGAGTTTTGTGAAGGAGGGTATTTTTAAAGCACTTTGTGCATGATTTAAGAACTGGTTGCTGTAAGCTATCTTACCTAATCCTTACTGCCCACTCTAAGAAACAGGCTAAACCAGGCAGTCATTATATTTATATTTGTTGTGGTAGAGGTAGTAGTATAGTAAAATAGTGGAGAGACTATGTTACATGATTTTTAGAAAGGTAAGAAAATAAATTTTACTGTCTCCATTTCTTTTTAATTAATAGAGCCTGCATTGATTCTAATGAAGATGGGGACTTGAGTAAATCTACCGTGTTGAGAAACTACAAAGAAGCCCAAGAATATGGCTCTTTTGGCACAGCTGAGATGTTGAATTACTCCGTTAATATATACGATGATGGAAACCTGCTCTCCATTGTGACCAGTGGAGGTATCCCATTTCAGATTGACCAATGAGATATAGATTTATGAGGTGATAAAGTGGTACGTTGCGATAGCTCACAGCAACCTTCTAGAGAATTTTAAGCTAGAGATCGTAGCTAAAGGACTAGGTCCAGAATCATAAAGGTGATTTGATTTACCTGCAAGATGTTGTTTTTTAAGGTCATAACCATGTGGGATCCAGTCCAAGAATATAAAAGCATGTTCCAACATCAGAAAATCCATCAATAGGCTGGGTGCAGTGGCTCATGCCTGTGATCCTAGCACCTTGGGAGGCCGAGGTGTGTGGATCACCTGAGGCTGGGAGTTTGAGACCAGCCTGACCAACATGGAGAAACCCCATCTCTACTAAAAATATAGAATTAGCTGTGCGTGGTGGCACATGCCTGTAATCCCAGCTACTCGGGAGGCTGAGGCAGGAGAATCGTTTGAACCTAGGAGGCGGAGGTTGCAGTGAGCCGAGATCGTGCCATTGCACTCCAGCCTGGGCAACAAGAGCGAAACTCCATCTCAAAAAAAATCCATCAATAGAATTTATCTCATGAACAGCAATTTTGCCTCGAAATCTTAACTCTTGAGAAATTCACCCATGAGTACAGAGAATCAGATAAAAGAATCCTCACTACGGCACTCTGTGTGATTTCAAAAAAGTTGGAAACTAAATACCTATTAACAAAAAAATATATTTTTTAAACAACTGTGTGTTATTCTTACTGTGAAATACAGTCATCCTTTGGTATCTGGGGGGATTGGTTCTGGAATGTCCCTCAGATGCTCAAGTACCTGATACAAAATGACATAGTGTTTGTGTATAACCTACACACATGCTCTCCCATGTGCTTTCAGCATCTCTACATGACTTCTAATACCTTATAGTATGTAAGTGCTATATAAATAGTTGTTATACTGTAGTTTTTTAATATTTATATTTTTGATCCGTGGTTGGTTAAATTGCATGTAGTTGGTGCGGAACCTGTGGATACAGAGGGCCGAATGTATTATATAGCAATCAAAATGCTGTGTGTATAAACCCCTAATACATAAATTATATTGAAAAAATATGTACTGATGATAAAACTTGTAAAATTCTAAAACATGCCGAATAGTACTATGCAGTGTTTATAGATATGTGTGTTTATATCGTGAAAATGTTAAATATATAGATGGAAAGATTATGCACACCAGCTCCAGGATGGTGGCTACTTCTGGGGGAAGTTCTCCCTCCCAGGGTAGGGGGAAAAAGGAGAATGAAGTGGGATGACTTTAACTCTTTAACGTCCCCCTCCTACCTCCCAGTTCATTGAGGTATAGCTTAAGTACAAAAACTTCACATACATACATATACATAATTTGATAAGCTTTTATGTAAATATATCAGTATATCCAGGAAACCACCACAATCAAGGTAATGAACATACTCATTACCCCCAAAAGTTTGCTCTCTCTATTATCCAGCCTTTCTCCACCCACATCCCGGGGAACCACTGATCTGTTTTCTGTCACTCCAGATTATTTCACACTTTCCAGAATTTTATGTAAGTGGAATAAAAAATATGGTTTTCTTTCCTTCACTCAGCATAATGATTTTGAGATTCATTAATGTTATGATTATAAAGCTGGCTCTTTATTTCTGAGTAATAGTTCTTTATATAGCTACACCACAGTTTGTTTATCCAGCTTCCCATTGATGGACGTTTAGATTGTTTTGGTATCTGTCGACATATATTTTTATTTATTTTTGGGCTGATAGCTGAGAGAACCAGTTGGATATGGTAAACATGTACTTAATTTTTTTTTTTCCTTTTTTTTTTTTTTTTTTTTTTTTGAGACAGAGTCTCGCTCTGTCGCCCAGGCTGGAGTACAGGTGGCACGGTCTCGGCTCACTGCAACCTCTGCCTCCCAGGTTCAAGTGATTCTCCTGCCTCAGCCTCCTGGGTAGCTGGGATTACAGGCGCGTACCACCACACCTGGCTAGTTTTTGTATTTTTAGTAGAGACAGGGTTTCACCATGTTGGTCAGGCTAGTATCAAATTCCTGACCTCGTGATCCACCCGCCTCGGCCTCCCAAAGTGCTGAGATTATAGGTGTGAGCCACCACGCCCGGCCACTTAACTTTTTTTTTTTTTTTTTTGAGACAGAGTCTCGCTCTGTCGCCCAGGCTGGAGTGCAGTGGCGCGATCTCGGCTCACTGCAAGCTCCGCCTCCCGGGTTCATGCCATTCTCTTGCCTCAGCCTCCCAAGTAGCTGGGACTGCAGGCGCCCACTACCATGCCCGGCTAATTTTTTGTATTTTTAGTAGAGACGGGGTTTCACCGTGTTAGCCAGGATGGTCTCGATCTCCTGACCTCGTGATCCGCCCGCCTCGGCTTCCCAAAGTGCTGGGATTACAGGTGTGAGCCACTGCGCCCGGCCTTTTTTAAGAAATATTCAAGCTGTTACCTAAAGGGGCTGTACCCTTTTCACTCCCACCATGGTGTGTGAGAATTCCAGGTGCTCTGTATCCTCAGCAACACTTGCTGTGGTCAGTCTTAATAGTGGTCATTCTAACTGGTGTAAGGTGTTTTGAAGGAAAAAATCACATTAAACTTGTGCTCTCCCAATTTTATCTGGGGAAAGAAATAAGAAAGCCAGAATCCGCAACATTGGGCGAATGTTTTCTTGCATGACAGCAGCTGGCTAGAGCAGAGGAGTCTCAGCATTGCTGCAGACCCTGTTTCAAAGCCACATAGAGATGCCTGCCTACTTCTCCTGGAGCTCCAACACACTATAGTCCCCAAACATTAAGGCCCAGTGCCAGTTGTCATTTATCATTGTGCTTGTATTATTGTTTTTCTGAGACTAGTGGGATATTTCTCTATATTCATGTCTTTTAAGAAACTTTTTCACTAAAAGGCTAGTTTTTTGTTTTAGTATTACTTTATATATAACATGTACAAAAACAGATACAAATCACAAGTTGTACAACTCTTTGAATTACCACAAAGTGGACACTTCTTTGTAACTACAACTCAGGTCAAGAAATGAAACATAATGAAACTCCCATCATGCCCCTTCCTAATCAGTAATGTACCCTCCCACCTCCTACAGTTAACTACTATCCTGATCTCCATTGCCACATTAGTTTGGACCATATGATGTTGCTGTTTTTGTGATCGGAAATGATAAAATAGTGGCAGTTTCAGATGGTTCAGCCTTTTTTTCATTTATATGAAAATTCAATATCCATTTTTGTATGTGACTTCTTTAGTTCAGCCTTATTTTTGTGAGCTTTATCTCATAGTACATAGTAGTAGTTTATTGCTGTATAATTGTCAGTTCTATGAATTGATGT
Organism: Homo sapiens; assembly: GCF_000001405.40. Classification (NCBI taxonomy): domain Eukaryota; kingdom Metazoa; phylum Chordata; class Mammalia; order Primates; family Hominidae; genus Homo; species Homo sapiens. The sequence continues at coordinate 102,626,383 of NC_000013.11, forward strand.
ACATGTAACCATTTACTGTTAATGAATCTTGTGGTGGTTTTTAAGTTTTTGAATTTTATAAACAGTGTTGCCATGAACATTTTTGTGGGTGTCTTAGTTACATGTGCACACATTTTGGTATTGTGTGTACCTAGAGGTAGGATGGCTGGCTCATAGGCTGTGGCAGTGTTCAGCTTTCACTCCAGCCAGCAGTGTATGATATGTACTTCCATCCACACTTGCTTTGTCAGCCTTTAATATTTTGGCAATTCTAAAAGGTACGTAGAAGCATCTTTTTGTGGCTTAATTTGCGTTTCCTAGATGACGAATGAAATTAAACATCTTTTCGTGTGTTTATTTGCCCTTTGGGTATCTTCTTTTATAAAATGCTTTTTCAAATGTTTGAAGGGGGGATTCTCCCTTTTTTTATTGTGAATTTGAAAGATTTTTATATATTCTGGATATAAAGCTCTTTGTCAGCTATACATGTTGCAAATACTTTCCTTTGTGACTTGAGTTTTTGCTCTCCATGAACAGGGTAGCAGAGTAATGTGTATTCTTTTTATCATGATTAATAATATGCAAATTGAATTGAATAAACTTTCAGTCCATGAGAATGTTTTGTCATTTCCCCACCTTTGTGTCTCTAGGAGCTCATGGGACACATGTAGCTAGTATAGCTGCTGGACACTTTCCAGAAGAACCTGAACGGAATGGGGTAGCTCCTGGTGCTCAAATTCTTTCCATCAAGATTGGTGATACAAGACTAAGCACAATGGAAACAGGCACAGGCCTCATAAGAGCTGTGAGTGTTTGTGAGTTGTTGATTCAGAAGATTAATGATTAATGATCTTGGATATTTTTAGGTTTATAAGTGCTCCTAGTTTACCAAGAATACATTGAACTATATATAGTGTACAGGACTTTTAACAAAGCAAAAATATTTACTAATTTATTTTTAAATTATTTTTATTAAATATTATTAGGATTTGGCCTAACCTTTGTGAAAAAATTACTTACTTCATACTCGTCATTTCTAGCAAATCTCCTAACAAGCAATTTTGAGATACTTAAAAAGAAAGACCTCTTAGCCAGCTTTCTCCATCAGCCTAAGAGGAATTTAAAACCTCAGCTAACATTCTGTACGTCATTTTAACGTAGGAAAGTATATTTAATTTTAGTGATTTTTTAACCTAGGAAGGACCATTCCATTCCCTCTACCTCTGTCCCCCTCTAACCCCACTCTTTTCTAGAAATGCTAGTTTTTTGTTTTTTTTTTTAATGACTACTTTTTTATGTGTCTCCTCCTACCTTTTTGTGTTTATGTGCTTATATGTCCAGGTATATGGTGATATGCCTGGAGGTAACTTATAAATTAGAATATGATTGGCTAAGAAACTATAGGATTATATATATGCCCTTATTTTACTGGCTAATCTGTTTCTGTAAATTGCTGCCTAAACTAGAGTCTTAATCTCTTTAATAGATGATAGAAGTTATAAATCATAAGTGTGATCTTGTCAACTACAGTTACGGAGAAGCAACTCACTGGCCAAATTCTGGGTGAGTGTTCCTTGACAGTTGTTTAGCCATAGAACCTTAGCCAGTGAAGAGTATGAGATGTTTTTCATAAGTGGATTGAGTGTCACGGTGGAAGAAAGAACAGTTGCAGTGGTTAGATGATAACTGTGTTCAAGAGGACTTTCATCCTCTTGAAGTCCTGTTTGGCTCGTAGGCCGCACACCCCCGTTCCTGTGTTCACATCTGTGACGATGTTAATGCTGTTCACTGCACCATGCCTGAAGTCTCAACTCTGAGCATGCCTGTGCTGTCCTTTGTGGCTCTTCCTTGGTTAGGTCTCCCTCACAGTTCTTCTGAGATATGCAACCCACAGACTCTGGTGTTTTTTCACTGTCAGATGCACTGCATCCTCACTTCTCTTCCCAGGCAATTTAGATCTGACAATCTGTCTATCATTATAATTACTAGTTCCACAAGCACTCTGAAGCCATCCTCAGTTGTATATACATACCCGACAGACGCCCAGACTTGCTGAAATTTTGCTATTCTCTTTAGTGACTTGCATCTCATCTGCAAAACTTACTGTTGGTTGCGTATGTTCACTAACTCGGTCAGTTTTCACATCTCCTCAATCCATTCTAGTGTGTCTAGGATGCACCCCCACTCCCCTCCTTCCTCGTTGGCTTCATTGTCTTTCTGCTGCCAAATCCAGTGTCATGGCCTTGACCTAATGTTACCTTCCTTTTTTTCTTCATAGTAGTAGCTATTTGAAATTACCTCGAGTATTTACTTGTTGATCATCTCTCCCCCATTCCCATCACCAAGCTATCATCTGGTTTTTGAGACATCACTTTACGGTCCTCGTAACATGCACCCTGTTATCATGAGTCATTTCATTCTTCCCTCTTCTCTCACTTCTTTATTTTACTTAACTGTATTTCTTTCTCTACTTTAACTTTCATCCTCTTGAAGCCCTCTTTTGCTAATATTCTTCCCTTTCTCAGATACTCACACTTACAACTTTGAAGGGTCCTGTGCATGGCTCTGTACCTTTTTAATGTTAACTTCATTTTCTTCTTCATGGTATAACCTCATCTCCTCTACTTAATGTCAGTATATTTTTCTTGTTTGCTGTCAAGCTCTAAGCAGGTTTCTTACACTTTAAAATCTTGCTCTTAAGTTCTTCCTAGTGCCTTAGTTACCTTTTCCACAAAAGTTACTGGTTCTTTTGGTCAATTTCTACTCATAATTGTATGTACGAATCTTCTGAGGTGTGTCTTCAGGACTATGTTAACTGGGGGATGGAAATAGAACCACCTATTGCCCGAGTCACTACTAATATTTTACTACCTTGTAGTATATTTTCCCATATATATTGTTTTGCACCTAGCACTTTCCCCACGTTTAATTTGGCCTTATAACTGCTTCCCTACCCTAAAGCCCAAGTAGGGTATATCACTTAGAATGGCTGTATCATGTTCCACCAAGGGTGGATGTACCAAAATTTATGTAGCCATATATTTAAACAAGGTTTTGGTACTATATACACTTTGGGAATAGAGGCTGATTATATGTTCAAAGGAATTCTCTCTTTTTCAGGAGAATTTGTGAAGTAATTAATGAAGCAGTATGGAAGCATAATATAATTTATGTTTCAAGTGCTGGAAATAATGGTCCATGCCTGTCTACAGTTGGTTGTCCAGGTGGAACTACATCAAGTGTGATAGGTTAGTTTCCTGTTTTAGAAATAGATTTGTTTAGAAACAAGCAAACAAAAAACAATAGTTAATGAAATGTTACCTGTATCTCTGCTACACGTAAGACACTGTACACCTTAAGTGTGTCCTCAGGAAACTTATAGTCTGGTAGGGGAACCAGCACATCTAGAACTGACCGTAATTTAAAGTGGACTGAAATAAGTGGTTTCATAGAAATACACATGCATGCTTTTAGGTGCATTAGCATATTTAGTCTAAAATATCCTGGGATAAATAATCCTGGGAGATAGGTATTTTGTATCCAAAAGCAAAGTTCTTAGTAAAATGTATGGTACATAGTAGACTTTCCTTGTTTCCTTATTAAATTTTATTCTTCCATCGTATTAGAGAGAGGACTGGTGTTGAGAGATTAGGCAGTTTACTCAAGTGAACAGTGGATTTGGAATCAGGATCCCCGTTTGTTTTCTTTTCTTAATGATTAAATCCATCCCACAGGTGTTGGTGCTTATGTTTCTCCTGATATGATGGTTGCTGAGTATTCACTGAGAGAGAAATTACCTGCAAATCAATATACTTGGTCTTCTAGAGGACCTAGGTAGGTGCAGGTAGAACGCGGAACCATTACGTATATTCGGTTAAACTTTACACTGTTGAGAAGGGCAGAGTTTTAGATAAGTTTGCTAGTTTTTTTCTGTTGGTTTTTACTTTTTTTTCAGTATTTTCATTTTGATTAACAGTCTCATCTCAGGGACAGATAAATAAAATAAATGAAATAGTTTCATTGTTACATGGAGAACATCACTATTCTGAGTATAAATTCTTATTCCTATATCCATAATTCTTCATTTATAAGAATCTAAAGAAAAAGTAGGGACTTGGATATCTTTATATAGTAGTGATGGCCTTGTTTTAAATAGTTTTTGATATTTGAACTTTGGTGAAATGAAAGCCCTAAGCTTTTATAAAGCATCACAGTCATAGGGCCCACGTACCTGTGGCTCATGTCTTTGAAGTTATAACTTACTTTGAGCAATTTTGGGTGAGATCCAAAAGTAAACAAGTTCTGACTGAGAAATGAAGTCTATCTCTTTTGGTTCCCTGAAGCCCTCTGAACTACATTTATCTGATTCTGTGAACTGATTTTCTGAAGAGGTATATTAAGTCCTAATTTATGTAATTCTTCGTTATATCATCAGCGGGTACATGCACCTTCTGAAAAATAAAGCCTATTTTAATTCATCTGTTTGGAGTTAATTTATAAAAAGAATAGACTTTGAATTTAGTTCAGCAAATACCTTAGTGCCTACAGTGGGCAAGGCATAAACGAACAGTTTGTGATCTGAGTTTCAAATGCCATTTTAGTATGATGGGACTCCAGAGGTGGGAGCAATCACTTGAGCCCTTCATGGAGAAGACGGTATTGAAGTTGACCTTAAAGGATGGATAGGATGTTGAGAGACAGAAGAAAGGAGTTCTATATGCCAAGAATAACATGAACCCAAAGATGAGCAGGTTTCAGTGTAAAGTTTTTTGAGGACATAACTAGTAACTGAGTATGTTTGAAGTATAAGATTAGTGGGGAATATTGGAAGATAAGATTAGAAAAATTGATTGTGCTCAGGTGAGATGCAATAATGTTATATTCTTTGAGTTACAGATATCTTCCTCATTTTCTCTAGGTGGTTTCCTCTTTAAAAAATAAACTTATCTTAGTAGCTTATTATAAAGTGTCATTGAAAACAACCAGGCCGTGGATATCCACATGGATCAGAAAGCTTTGCTTTGCGCTGTCATTGTAGACTGCCCCTGCCAGCCCAGCTAAAGACACTCAATAAGAGTGGCTTAGGAGAAGAGCCAAAAGTCAGCAAAGCTTGATGTGTTTTTGTTCAGTTAATAAAAGTGTAAAATTATTAAACTTATTCTCTTCTAAAACTGAGTTTGGAATTTTAAGTTTTATCTTATTGTCAATGTAAAAACAAAGTATTAGAGAATGTTTAAACCAGCCTTTGCCGATACTCGCCATAGAGCATTTAAAGAATTATTTTAAGAAAACACCAAGGAGTTCATGAATTATGGGGGAAGCTTGGATTAAAGTAGATACTGATTCACAAAGCAGATGTTCTAAGAATTGAATTTGTTTCATTTTTCATAAACATGAAATAATATTAGAAATAATTTGCTTTAATTATTACATTAGATGGTATAAAATATGAAACATTGATTAATGGTCACTGAACAGAGCATGTTCTGTAATCTTTGAAAAACGCTGCCTCTGCATCAGCATTGACTGAGACACACAGCAACTACTGACTTCCAGGCATTTGCACGTGTGGCATATTTCTTAAAGACGTATTACCAAATGTCTGGGCCGGGTGCAGTGGCTCACGCCTGTAATCCCACCACACCACTTTTGGAGGCCAAGGTAGGTGAATCACTTGAGGTCAGGAGTTCAAGACCAGCCTGGCCAACGTGGTGAAATCCCATCTCTACTAAAAATATAAAATTTAGCTGGGCATGGTGGTGGGTGCATGTAATCACAGCTACATAAACAGGTCGTGAAATTTTATTATATATTGTAATTGAGAAGAAAAATATTAACTGGCTTTTTTTGAATTTTAAGGAAACATTTCTGTTTCATGAGACTTTTTTTTTTTTCTTTCCTGAAACAGAGTCTTGCTCTGTCACCCAGGCTGGAGTGCAGTGGCATGATCTCGGCTCACTACAACCTCCACCTCTCAGGTTCAACCAATTCTGCCTCAGCCTCCCAAGTAGCTGGAATTACAGGCGCTCACCACCACACCGGGTTAATTTTTGTATTTTTAGTAGAGATGGGGTTTCACCATGTTGGCCAGGCTGGTCTTGAACTCCTGACCTCGTGATCTGCCCGCCTCGGCCTCCGAAAGTGCTGGAATTACAGGTGTGAGCCACTGAGCCCAGCTGAGACTCATTTTTAGAATACTGATTTAAACATCTAGAAATGCTTTATCATTTACCACTTTAACAAGCTAGTGGAAAATTAATAAAGAGCAATAAGTAGTCAGAATTCATGACTCTTTCCAGTTATTTTTTCCAATGCTATCAAATACCAATGCTCATTCTGAACACCATTAGGCAATACAGTGCAAACAAGAAGGTAGAAAATCACCCTAAACCTTGTTATCTGTGATATGTGCAGGTGACATATTGATGAACATCCTTTTAGTCATTCTTCCATGAATTAGTGGGAGATGACACTGTTCAGGCACTTTTGTAGCCTACTTGTTATTCAGTATTACATTGTGAGCATCTTTACAGGTCAACAGATATTTACCTAGTAGTAATTGTTCTAAGATGGTTCCTAAAAGAGGTGCTGTCAGCCCATTTCAAGAGGAATATATATGTATTGCTTTCAGTTCTCTATAAAAAATGTAAAGCCAAATTGCTCTAGTGTTTCTACCCAAGAGTAAAAATAGTTCACTCAGTTGGGAGATGGTATAAGGAGAGTCTGGCAGCCTCTGTGGGGAATGTATGGCCACTTAGCCAGGGAGGCGGAAGTGTGCTATTCTGTGCCATTCCTTCTTTACTTGGGGCAGAGGACAGAGCTTTGTTGGATGATAATGTGGTTATGAATTCTGAGGGTTTTAATTCATCAGACTTTGCTTGTTTGAAGCCCTCAGCTGGACAGTCCTGTTAGACTTCAGCTGTCCAGTATGGCAGCAGTCAGGGACGTGAGGTTAGTCTGCGTTAAGATGTGCTGTAAGTATAGAATGTACACCAAATTTCAAAGACTTGGTACAAAAAAAACAATGTAAACTAATTCATTTTTCTTTGTATCTATTAATTACATGTTGAAATGCTAATATTTTTGCTATGTCTAGTTAAACATACTAAAATTAATTGCATTAATGTCTTGTTAGCTTTTTTTAAGTGTGGCTTATAGAAAATGTTAATTTATATGGCCCACATTATATTTCTATTGTACAGTGCTATATTAGACCTTAAACAGAAGGAAAGTTTCTTATTACAGATAAGAGAGATGTACACTCATCAAAGAGTCAGAACAGTGACATTTATTTTCTCTCTCTAAATATACCTGACACTGTGGCCTGTCACACATGCCCAGATATGTATATACACACAGACATTTCTGTACACTTACAAGGAAAAAATAAATGCTGCCTATGGGAAAATGGCTCTGCTGGGTGTTTTCCCCCATTGATTCTTCATAGTAGTATCTGTGTCACTATTTGTAATGAGTGCAGTTAGTACATAGTGTTATACTATTGGATTTAACCAGTGGTCGTCTTAAAAATGCCCATGTATGTTTAGCTTTCACCATCCTAAGCAAACTTCAATGGCTTTCCATTTAGTGCTGACGGGGCCCTTGGTGTGAGTATCAGTGCGCCAGGAGGAGCCATTGCTTCTGTTCCTAACTGGACACTGAGAGGGACGCAGCTGATGAATGGAACATCTATGTCTTCCCCCAATGCATGTGGAGGCATTGCCCTGATCCTTTCAGGTAAGCGTGTTCTTTATTGTCCTTACATTATTGCAGACCAATATTTTTGTTTTCTGAAGCTCTCATGGTAAGAACATGTGGTAGAATTGATAATTCCCTGGGCACAAAGTAGAGTTTAAGGTAACGAATAACTTATGTGATAATGATAATTTGAATGTGTGTTTATTCAGCAGTATATTTGTTGGCTGTCCGCTGTTAACGACTGTCAAGCAGTATTTTAGCTCTGGGGCTAAATTAGTGAACAAAGCATCAAAAATAGCTGCCTATGTGGAGGTTACATCATTATATATATTATAGTTGGGATAAACAGACTCTGAACAAAATAAAAAACTGTAGATGTTGCATGTTAGAGGTTAATGGATGCCGTGAGCAAAATGAGGTAGAAAGAGAAGGAGGGATTTCTAGAGTGGTGCACAGGATTAAATAGAGTGGCACTGGGCTTAGCCAGGACTCAGATTTAGGGTAGCCAGGCTGCTGTGAAGCTCCCTCCTCAGAAACGTCCCTCTTTAAGTTGTCTCTCCTCTGCCTCCTTTCTTCCCCGCTTTTCTCACCCACACCACAGTTTCTTCTGCTCACCACATCTCCTCAGCATGGCCTGTCCACACTGGTGCTATCAGCATAAGCCTGTGATGATGTACCACTTCAAGTGCTACATCCTTCTCTAGGTTGAGCCCACACTCTTAGGATGGATCCTAACATGACCCTCTTTCTAGTTCTCTTCAGCCTCACCAGGTATTTCAAGGCCTCTTGGCCTCCATCTTTGGGTGTACTGCACTCTGCCTCGAAGTCCTGTCTGCCATGTTGTGGCCTTGCAGACTCCTGTACATTCTCTAAGAGGCGGCTTATCTGTCAGTTCCTCTGATGTCTGACAATATCATCAATGTTTATGTGTTTAATGAGCTCTGGAGAGGACAAGAATGATACAGCACTCATCTTATGAATTGGTGGCCTCCATATTCTTCCCATAAAACAGTAATTCCCAACCTGGCTGTACCCTAGAATCATCTGAGAGTTGTTTAATAAATAACAATCTCTGGGACAGTCCTCAGAGATTCTGATTTAATTGGTCTGTCATGAGACCTCAGCATCTTTTTTGCTTGAGTTCCCCTGGGGTTTATAACATACAGTTGGGTTGAACACCACAGCCAACAGCCATCTTGTTTAACCCAGCAGTGTTTGAAAGAAAATGTCATTCACATGCTTTTAGATATCTGCTTTGTACGTTTATATTACGCCACAAAGCCCACACCAGTCTCTCTGCCCACCACATAATGAGAACACAGTGATTTTTGTGGAATGAAGCCTTCATGTAATGCAAGCAGTTTGAGTCAGACTGTTTAGTTCAGGTCTTCAAAAAAGATTTTAAAATGAGTGTTAGAACACAAGACATTAACACCAGAGGGTCTACAGGTGATCGATCATACTGGTGGGCGGCTAAGGTTTCAGATAGTGAGTGCTACACTACTTGTTTTTGTTTCTTAATTTTAGGTCTGAAAGCTAATAACATTGACTACACAGTTCATTCAGTCAGAAGAGCTCTAGAAAACACTGCAGTGAAGGCTGACAATATAGAAGTATTTGCTCAAGGACATGGTATTATTCAGGTATTGTTGCCTATATGAAAAATGGGTTGTAAAGCATCATTGAGATAATATCTTAGATATTATTGGGTAATATTTTGTTTTATAACAGTGATTCAGTATATCTGAATTATGGATTATATGGCCATAGAACTACAAGCAAAAAGGATACACAAACAAATTTTGTAGTTAAGACAAATCTGTTGCACTAAGATCAAGAAATGTAATAGATGGAGGCCATGTAGAGGTTAGAAATTCAAAGAAATCGAGGTCAAAAACTGGCCAATCATAACGGCATAGGGATTAGTTCCTAAATTTGGTCACTTGAGAATAACAGTGTGAATAGAGTGGAGTGGAAGATGTGACTGGTGTTGTTTCTAAAAATGTAGAATTGTCCTCTTAGTTGGGGTACTAGGTAGTTTTGAGAGGTGAATATAGACACTAACTTTTTGTTTTACAACTGAAATCAAATTGATTGGTAATTTGCAACAAAATATTTTTTGACCCAACCATTTATATCTTACCATGTATATTATTTTCACTAGGTTGATAAAGCCTATGACTACCTCGTTCAGAATACATCATTTGCTAATAAATTAGGTTTTACTGTTACTGTTGGAAATAACCGTGGCATCTACCTCCGAGATCCTGTTCAGGTGGCTGCACCTTCAGATCATGGCGTTGGCATTGAACCTGTATTTCCGGAGAACACAGGTCAGTAATAGGCTGGCAGTAAGCTGACGTATTCACATTTGCTGTTTGAATGAGTGGTATCATAATAAAGAATTGCTGTTTGGGCCAGTGTTGTGAAGAGAATACATGAATTGACAGTATGATTATTTTAAATCTTAGTCATAAGAGAAAATATTAGAGCAATTTGGGGTCCTTGTACAATGGCAATTTAGTTAGCATCTTAAACTACCAGGGAAAACAGTAGAATGAGCCTCAGTGACCCACAGCTTTATTAAATTGTGGATAATAAAATATCAAATTTCTTTTCCACTTTACCTACTTAGGTATAAGACAGAGCTTTCTGTTGAAGAATGAAAAGTAGAAGCAGTCTAGGAGAACTGCAGCTCGATTAGGTGTGAACAAAAATAATCATCGCTATTATCTGGCTGTCTTCATTTCAGTTGAATACTATGACCTGTGTGCAGTAATGAAAACATTCACTTAAACTCTTTATTTTAAGGTCATACCAGTGCTTGGTGAAAGTATAAATGAATCATGAGTAATCTAAATTGTAAGGAAGATTATTTGACTGTTTTATTTAAGCTGTGTTTTGGATGCATTTTACAGCCAACCAAACCAAGTCGCTAAATTTTTTTGGAAAGATGTAACATTTTTAAATGGAAAAAAGGAAAAAAATACTCATCTTTAATTTTTGGTCTTTTTCGTGCCAGAAAACTCTGAAAAAATATCCCTTCAGCTTCATTTAGCTCTGACTTCAAATTCATCTTGGGTTCAGTGTCCCAGCCATTTGGAACTCATGAATCAATGTAGACACATAAACATACGTGTGGATCCCAGGGGCTTAAGAGAAGGATTGCATTATACAGAGGTATTGATGTATCTTCATTTTTACTTTCTTCACTCTTTAAAATGTTTAAAAGGTTAAAAAAAAATCCAAAGTATATTTGCAATATATTGCTTTCTTGCTAAGAAATAACTAGACCTATCCATCTGCCAGGTTATTCAGTTCTTCTGGTGTGTCTATATTCATTTAAGCAGTGAGTTTCTAAAGAATCATATTTTGTCCTTGTATGAATAAGTAAAAGGAAAGAAGAGGTACAGCAGAACCTTTCAATTAGATCTCCCTCTAACTGGTGTTTTCTTTTGTCAGCTAAACAAAGCTGCAGTTGCTTGTTGTTGTTGTTGTTGTTGTTTTAAGAGACAGAGTCTTGCTCTGTTGCCCAGGCTGGAGTACAGTGGTGTGATCGTGGTTCGCTGCAGCCTTGAACTCTTGGGCTCAAGTGATATTCACACCTTAGCCTCCTGAGTAGCTAGGACTAGTGGCGTGCACCACCAAGCCTGGCTAAATTTTTTTATTTTTGTAGAGACAGGATCTCTCTATGTTGCCCAGTCTTGTCTTGAACTCTTGGCCTCAAGTGATCCTCCTGCCTTGGCCTCCCAGGGCTTTGGGATTACAGGTGTGAACCACCACACCCAGCCAGTTATACCTTTTAGTACTCAGATGAAGAAAGCATCTGTTAAACAAATAGTTGTAAACCAGGCATAGAATAGTATCACAACAGTATCTCCACATCTAAAGTTGTCTGTAGTACTAGTTTGAGCTAATTTTTCAGTTGGGAGTAATTAAAATGCACTTATTTTGTACCTGACGTCTCATTTTCCCATTTCAACTGGTCAAATGTTGCTATACATTTGTTTGGGCTGTTTGCTATTAATTATGTGACCTAGTGTCAGGAAATTGGTGTCAACCTCTGGTTAAGACCTTGATTAAAAGTAGATTGATTTATTCTGTCAGTAGTTTAGACCTTCCCCCGCTCTTTTAAACATTTGTTTATGGATATTGACACTTACCGATTCTTTTTTCAAGGTATGTGGCTATGATATAGCATCCCCTAACGCAGGTCCGCTCTTCAGAGTTCCGATCACTGCAGTTATAGCAGCAAAGTAAGTAACAGGTTACTCACAGCTTACTGGTACATCTAAGATTTTAATGACTATTCATGGAGTCTTGTGGACTTTTAATGATCACTAATACAGAACCAGGTAATGGGGATTTTGTCTTAGTTCTGCTCCCAGCTAGCATTTTTAGGTGTCATGTAGTCAGCCATACTGACTCTTGTGTGCTCTGAGAGTAACTGATGGCACCTGGCATCTGCCCTACCTCTGCATCAAAACTATTTCCACCACAGTCACTCTGAGCTCTGCATTGCCCAGTTCAGAGGATAACTCAGGCTTCGTCTGACCCGATCCCACTGTAGTATTTGACAATATTACTTCACTCCCCTCCATTCCTGCCCTTTTTGTCTCTGTCGTTTTTGGGATTTACTCTCTTCTCTTAATGCTTCCACTTTTCTAGTTATCTACTGTAGAAGCAGAAGTTAAGAAACTCTTAACTTCCCATCTTATTCCTCTGGAACCAAGGAAAAATCAGCAGATTATATTACTTCCTGCTTAAAGTATATCAGTGGCACCTCCAAAGGTCAAGTTCAAGCTCCTTAAAATAGCAAACAATGCTCCCTCACAATTATAGCCCTAGCCAGTGTTTCCTGTCATTCCGTACACCAAATTACACATTTTGGCCAACTCACTGATTTTGGCACTTGAGGATTCTCAGGATTTGTGCATGTGCACAGCTGATAACTTGGTTTCAATTTCCTGTCTCTTCAGTTAATGACCAGGTGCATTCCTGGTCATCCCTGGGTGAAGGGAGTCCCTTCTTTCTGCTTCGTGGCACATTTTACGTGCCCCTGGACAGACTTTAGCCAATATATTGTAATTTTTTATTTAACTTACACTCTTTCACTGTGAGCCCACCGAAGGCACAGAGACTACTGTTATACAGGATGTATAAAATAAATTATCTAGTGGATGAAGGTGAGATTGGGATTGTGAGAGTACTGGAAACCAAGTGGAAATTCTAAACTAACAGTTCTGTTACTCTGGTAAATATTAAGTATGCAATAGATCTCAGCCCATGAGAAACACAGGATGAAATTGAGGAGAATAAATTTAAAAAGTGGTATACATGTGGAAAAATTGTGCAACAGTTAAATTCTCAGCCGTATATTCCCTCGAAGTCCAGTAGTAATTTAGACCAGGTAATGTGTAAGACCTTCAGGAGTCAGCTGCCACGCCATCTCCTTCAGGAAGCTTCCCAGGCTCCGTAACTCTTCTTGTCTATCTGGAGCATCTTATGTTAAATGTCTCTGATGATGATTCTCTCCATGCTAGATTGTCTAGGTTAAAGAATCATATTTTCTTCTTTGTTACGTTTCTAGCTCCTAATAACAGGGCCTCATGTAGTAGGCACTCATTTAACCGTTTGTCCTACTGACAAGAATTTGTCTCTAGCATAAAATTTGTTTCCGTGGTGGGTAGTTATGCATTTGAACTTTATTTCATTGATTTCTTACAAAAGTGCTTTGAAAGTAGTTTGCCTTTCTTTACTGTTTTACATCATGGGAGTGTTTTGAAGCTACAGGAGGAGCTTAATTTAACACAAGTCTCATAGCTATAATACCAGTGACATAAAACTTTATCATTGATTTTAATATCTAGGACTCACTGTAGTTTGGAATCTGGTAATTGGAAAATTCTGTGAATGTTGTAGAATGCCTTTAACAAAAAAGAGAATGCTTTTTTAATAGTGTGTGTGAATGTATCTTACAAATCATAAAATAGGCAAAAAGTAGAATCATCTATACTCTGCTATTCAGAGGTTATCTCTGCTAACCTACTGCAAAAATTGAACAATATCGTACCTACTGTTTTGTAACCAGCTTCTAAGTCCCTGTGTTTATTTCCAATGAATTGTTATTTTGCGTTTATCCAATGAAATCTAGAGTATCTGTGGTCTTATAATAAATATATACATTTAATTACTTTTATTAATTTTCAGAGTAAATGAATCATCACATTATGATCTAGCCTTTACAGATGTACACTTTAAACCTGGTCAAATTCGAAGGCATTTTATTGAGGTTCCTGAGGGTGCAACATGGGCTGGTAGGTAAAATTAAAATCTGTGTGACCGCTTATCTCTGTTTACGTTCTAATGACTATAGCTGTATGAGGTTCGTTTATCTGTAGCATGTATTTCCCTGGTACTAATATATGTATTTGGGTACCTTAGACTTTCTGTAAAGTTCAAAACGTTTTTAAGATCTAGTACAATTTTGCATTGGCCCATACAGGAAATTAAGCCATCTTAAGATGTTTTTAATATTTAAGGTTTGAGCTTAGTTTAGAATAATGCCTTACCTGGTAATAATTTTTTTTTTTTTTTTTTTTTTTTTTTTGAGACAGAGTCTCACTCTGTCGCCAGGCTGGAGTGCAGTGGCATGATCTCGGCTCACTGCAACCTCCACCTCCCCAGTTCAAACGATTCTCCTTCCTCAGCCTCCCGAGTAGCTTGGACTAGCAGGCGTGTGCTACCACGCCAGGCTATTTTTTGTATTTTTAGTAGACACGAGGTTTCACCATGTTGGCTAGGATGGTCTCGATCTCTTGACCTCGTGATACACTCGCCTCGTCCTCCCAAAGTGCTGGGATTACAGGCATGAGCAACTGTGCCCGGCCTAATTTTTAAAATACTACAAATCAGTTTAAACAATGCAGCTGTTGCTTAAACCTCAAACTGTTAAACTCTCAGAATTTTAGAAATAGAGCTTTAATCTTTGAAGCTCTGTTTATAGAAGATTTTCACTTCAGTGTCTCTGAAATTTTGAGAGTAAATGATTGCCTAACACAAAGCTCTTGAATTAACATGTTATAGTCCTGTGAGAGTGCTCATGTCATTCTTTTTTACAAGAGCTGTGGGTGTACCATATTTTCCTTCACAAGTTGTGTGTCCTAAATTTACAATTTAGCAGTCAGTATAGAAGGGTATGTCAGTTGTCAGAGCTCACTCCCATTGATAGAAGGAAGCAAATACGGGCAGTCAAGAAAGTGTCACCCAATTTAAATTAGTAGCCAGCATTGTTGATACTTCTTGGATTTGGCCCCTCTGCTAAGCACTTTACAGAGATTATCTTGTCTAGTCCCGTCAGAACCCTATAAGGTAGATAGGTGTCATTAGTAAAAATGGCTTGTATTTTACTTAGGAGTGTGTTTTTTGTACTTGTATGAAAGTACAGATATATTTACATCTGAGACTTTATTGAAAATGAAATATTGAAATCACACATGTATGACTTGGTTTGGGAATAACTGGTTGTATTTGGTTCCCCATACCATTTTCTGGTCATCTATCTGTATGCTGTCCATCTGTTTGTCACCTGGTATCACAGGAAATACCAGACTTTTCTTGTTTTTTGTAATTAGGTAAAGGCAAAATAATAGCAAAAGCTGAGAGCTAAAGCAGTGAATTGAACAGCACCCAATATAGCCTGTTAATTTGCACACTGGTTTATAATGGAGCTATTGCAGCAGTGAGAGGCTTCTGAGGATAATCGGGTTGTACTACACTCATTCATTAAGCATATTTTTCTGTACCATCTGTGCCAGGCCCTTTTCAGTGGGCTAAGGTGGTGAGCTACTTAGACAAGGACCCTGCTTCCAGAGGCCTTGAGAGCATCTAGTCCAAGATATTGCAGTTAAGAGAACTGGATTAGAGGGAGGCAGCACAGAGTAGCGGCAAGGCCACGGGCTTTGGAAATTGAGAAGTCTGGGTTTGGATCCACACTCTGCCATACGCTAATGGTTACCTGGGGGCAGGTTTCTAAATTTTCTGGACTTCTGTTTCAACTGTAAATATAGTCGTTAGTCTGTTGTAAGGATTAGGGATTTTATAGTACTTGGTACATAGCTTGTCTTCGTTGGGATTACGCTCACACTTGACAGTACTTCTAGAGGGTGGAGTCAGAGTTGCTGTGTTCAGCATTCCTGGGGTCCCATTCTCATAGGGCCCCTGGGACTTGTAGAGCTCCAGGCTCTGGTAAAATGTGCACTGGTAAATTAAAGAATACAAATCTATGGTTAATTAATACTGAATTGGGTACTTGTTTAGTGATAAATGGCACTGATTTATGATTGGTTTAGGTTGGTATTGAAAATAATTTGTTTTTTTAAATAAAAATTATCAAATGATCTAGAATGCAAGTAGTTAAGAGAATTTAACAGTCTTAGTTTTATTTCAAATAATTAGAAATATTGTCATAACACTAGATTTTGTATTCTTAGCAACTGACTAGGTTCTGAGAGCTCTCTGCACACCTGGTTTTATGAGCCACGGCATTGCGCCTTGCTTCAGTTCCCTTGAATTAGCTTGGGTGTTCTTTAGAAAAGCTGCCAATCTGGCATTGCGGTGATCTTGGCTTACCTCCAGCGCTGGCTCAGAGTAAAGTTAAGCATAAGTAGTCGTGCCAGGCTTTGTAGACGCACACAGTACACAAGTAGACCAAGAAGAGAGATTAGGAAAAGTTATCAATGAGGAATTGAGGCATGATAACAAATAGAGGTTTCCAAAAATATAACCTTCCTTACTTTATCTGGAATTGACTGGTTTTCAGCTAAAACAAGGAGGGATTTTAAAAGGTACCCGATTAATGTAATTGTGTATGCATCTATGGACAGCTTGCTGTTTCCAGGTGTTTGCAGCCTCATGGTGGTGGTTCATTTTAATACCAGTTTCTTTCGTTCCCATAGAAAATCTTCTAGTCTTCTACCTTTATTAATATTTTGTTGATTCTTTGTTTTTATGGAAATATGCAGATTTGAGTGTACATTTTATTTTTGATCCCTATTATGTCCCTACATGGGAATTATCCCTAAGTGGGCATTATTAAAGCCACTTTATGTCAATTTTAGGTCTTATAAGTTTAAAGCTTTGCTTCTTTCTTTCTTATTTTAGAAGTGACAGTGTGTTCGTGTTCTTCTGAGGTGTCAGCAAAGTTTGTTCTACATGCAGTCCAGCTTGTGAAGCAAAGAGCATATCGAAGCCATGAATTCTATAAGTTTTGTTCTCTTCCAGAGAAAGGAACACTGACTGAAGCTTTTCCTGTCCTAGTAAGTTTAATTATAGTTTATAATCCTAACACAATTTATTTGCCTTTTTGGTATGGGCTAAGACTAAGTATTTGCATTTGATTTTATAGTTTGTATTTAGCATGTTGGGATTATATATTTTTTTAATGCCAAAAAAATGAAGTAGAAAAATAGAAAATCTAATCAGGGTACTTGAAATCAAGTTGGAGGTAATTATGGCTGTAATTCTTGAATAGCATAGTCAAAGAAACATACTAGTCTGGTAGATTCTCGTGCCTTGTAGTTAGGACCCTGATTTAGATTATTCTTTGTTGTACTATAGATTAATTTCTTTAAGACCTGTTTGCTTGTCACTTAACTTATTTTACTAATGCTGTGTTGTTAAGCTATGAGGCTAATTTGCATTATAGGAAAACTGCTACTGCTTCATGTCTAAGTTATCTCAGATGATGGCAGACTGCATTCTTATCTGTGGTGTTGGAAATGATGACTAGTCTTTCTTCCATAGAAGGTGAAAGTACTGATGTTCTTCCTTCAATGCGCTCCTTTGTGTTTTCAGTTGGTTCTGGGATTTTCCCAGTATCTCTTGGTTTCTGGTTACTTTCATTTGTGTTCTTCCATGGATCAGTGTTGCTTCATCTTTTTAAACTTTTAAATCACTGATTACTAGAAAACTTACTTTAAAACTCAGTGCTAAGAGCAGGTGTTTTTTTTTCCTTTTCCTTATCTTTATTTTTTAATAGGGAGAAAGATGTAAATGACCATAATGTCATTTTGTTTTGGTTGCCAGGTAGCTGTGAGCCCAAACTCAATTGTGCCTATTGAGTATGCCTTACAAAGTTGAAGTATCTTTATTGTGTCGTTATACTTGATTATTTTTCTTTTGGTCCTAATTTTTTATTTCACTTCGAAATAATAAAATCACATTTGCTTTATTATATGTGCTTTCAGAAGCTGCCTAGGATCTTTTATGACAAGAAGCATAGGGTTATGAGTAAATAACTATGTATATTTAAATACACCATATCTCTGCAAATGATTTGTCTAACTCTTACTTAGCATAGCTGTTAAAATTTTTGAGTTTTCTTGCTACAAACAGGAAAAGTTTGAAAACAGAATTGCTCTGAAACAGCTAGTATTTATATTCTGTAATTTGAGAAAAATAAGAAAAGAGATATATTTTATTTACTTTTATTTGCAGGGTGGAAAAGCAATTGAATTTTGCATTGCTCGTTGGTGGGCAAGTCTCAGTGATGTCAACATTGATTATACCATTTCTTTCCATGGGATAGTGTGTACTGCTCCTCAGTTAAACATTGTAAGTTCCACAACATTTTCATGATTTTTAATGTCAGTTACTTGTGTTACTGGAGAGTAACTTCATTGGTTAGATTTAAACTTTAATGAGGGGAAATTACCTGTGGTTCTGAAGATAGCAGTAGGCTTTGTGTGTGGGTACTTATAAACTTTATATTGGACACATTTATTTTAGGTACAAAATATTGCTTATTTTTAGTAAAGTTTGAGAAAGTAATTTGAGAAATCCTTTGTAGCATGCATCGGAAGGAATCAACCGCTTTGATGTTCAGTCCTCCTTGAAATACGAAGATCTGGCTCCCTGCATAACTTTGAAGAACTGGGTCCAAACACTGCGGTATCATTCAATGTTTTAGGAACTACAGATATTGAATATAGATTGGGGGGATCTCTTACACTCTTAAAAAAGGGCCTTTTTTTTTTTTAATCCACCTGCATGCTAGAGGTGAGAATTTTATCCTTGCCAGCAGATCTCTGCAAGGCAGCCCCAGTATCAGCTTCTAGCTTCACTGTCCCACCTGACCAGCAAAGTCAAGGATGGTGGATAGCCGATCCCAGTCATGACTAGTTAGGATCAGTGGACATTAACCTTTTTATTTCTTGCTGTAAAATAGCAAGTTAACATTCTCTCTGATATTATTTTGTGAATCCTAATGCAGTCATTTTTAGAAACTGCAATACCATTAGAAACTGTTTATTAAATGGTAGAAACTTAAGTACTGTAGCCTGCTGTTTGTGCCTCAGCAGCTCCCCTTACAAAAGCAGGGCACCTTGACCTGTGTTCACATACTCACTGTGTTATAAAGATACCTGGTTTCTTTTGTTTAATCTGACCTTAACTCATCGGCATGAAGCCTAGTCTTAAGTGTATTAAAATAACCAATTAGGGACAATAGTCAGTGACACGGTGATGTCTAAAGATATACTGCTTCCTAGAATTATCAATAAAAATTAAAACATCCAGCTTTTGAAGATATATCCAACTTATATCATCCTGATGTTTTCTTCCTAAATCTAAAAAATTGGAGCTAAATTTAGAGTAGATTATGTTTCACTGACATTTTAAACTATATTTAAAACTTACTCTTCAGTGTCAGTTTTCTCCTTTATAAAATCTGTACATTAGCAACTTCCTTCAGAGGACTACTAAAAATATGAAATAACATTCCCTCGGCCAGGAGGAGGGCTGAGTGTGGCCCCTGCCATCTGGTGAGCAGCAGGGGTCTGGGGAGGTCTGTGCTGCACACAACACAGTACTGTCAACAGTTTGCACAAGGGGTACAAATCAGAACCTGTCTTGCAACACTTTTAGTTGTCACCCTAGTGTTAGGATTTGGTTGTATTGAGAGCTGTTTGTTCACATTTGAAAATGTTTTTGCCATGAAAAGATTGCCTTTGTCATATTTATTGCAAAATCTAAACTGTATGTATTGATATGATTCAATCAAATAATTATGTAAGTTAGTGATTAAAATATTGTAGAGTATACTGAAAAGGATAGCTCTCAGGAAGGTTCATCTGCACTTTTTGCAATATGTTACAGATTTTGTTGCATATGGTTTTATTTGTCTCATTCAATGAACTCTTGAATCAAACCAGTTATGTAGTTTCCTCATTACAGCCCAGTGAGTGCAAAAACAAAACCTTTAGGATCAAGAGATGTTTTGCCAAATAACCGTCAACTTTATGAGATGGTCCTGACATATAACTTTCATCAAGTAAGTGTTTGCCTAGTAAAGTGTACCCTTAGGATGAACTTTTGTGTTTTATTTATGATTCATAGAATCAAAAATGGAAGGACAGTGTATATGGTATATATAAAAAACAGAATCAAGTGATTAACAGTTAATTTGGAATTACTCTTTAGGAAATTATAATTTGTAATTAAATACCATTCAGTTGTAAAGTCACAAAATGTAATTGAGTGGTGACCTAGCCTTAAGCCTTAGTTTATAAAATCACTGATCACTGTCCATTGGTGCCATCTGACCCAGGGGTGATTAGATGGCTCAGAAATACCATCTGCCTTCTGGTGATGGTGCTGGGCCTGATTGCTTTCTGCGAAGAAGGCACTGGAACAGGGAAAGGTCAGAGTAGCTCCCAGGTGGGATGGGTGGCAAAAGTAATGGAGGCCAGTGTAAATGCTGGACCAAAGAATTGTTGTAAGATCAATGAGATTTCAATAAAACTGTTACTGAAACACACATCAGTTTGGTTATAATGTTAGGGAAATGGATTGGTTTCAGTGAATTTTCACATTTCAGTTTTATAAAGTAATTAGAGGTCCTGAAGTATGTATATGTTGCTTTATTAATGAATACACATAGCCAGGTGTGTATTTTTAAAAGTTTGTAAGAGAGCAGTGACTTTTATAAGTGCTAAAATACTGTGTGTTCTATATTTTCAAAATTTTTTACCACAAGTATTTTTAATGTTTTTTAAATGAAAAAGTCTCATGTCAATAACAATATTAAAAATTTGTATCAGAAATTATATGCAAATCATGCCAAGTAATCTTTTTTGTTTTTTAATAGCCCAAGAGTGGGGAAGTAACTCCAAGCTGCCCACTACTTTGTGAACTATTATATGAATCTGAATTTGACAGCCAACTGTGGATTATTTTTGACCAGAACAAAAGACAGATGGGTTCAGGCGATGCCTATCCACATCAGGTATAAAATTGATGGTGATTTTTAGAATTAACGGAAGCTGTTTCCTGAACTAACAAAATCCTGGTTTCTTGTTATGGTAATGTTCATACTTTAAAAAAAACAAAAATTATAGCTTTGTGTTTAGTACTTTTGCAAACTGTGAGAGCCTGTTTGTTGTAGTCGGTGAAGAACAGATGGTGTCAACTATTTCACCATGTAGTTGTGCTGAATTAGAGGAGGACAAGGGTGAACCTTGCCCACACTGGCCAGCATAACTTTTGGTGTGTGGTGTTTCTCCTTCCTATACACTGATTCTACCTATCTGAAGGTAGAATCATCAAAGCATGCATCAAAGAGATGCGAGCCTCTTGAAATGATCCTAAGTCTGAGGGGGCTAAAGAGAGCACTGCAGCAGTGGCCGCATGTCTTCAGTTCATTTGTACTTTTAAATTTACTACCTCGTTGGACAACTCTGTAATGAGCACTTACTACATACCAGGCACTATGCTTTGTGCTGTTTTATTGAAGGGAAAAATCACATAATTTATAGACATTTTATCCCTTAGATATTACTGCAAAGAAATGAGATATTTCCTGTAATATGTATAATTTTATGTTGACAAATGAAAATAATTTATGGAGATTTTTTTCAATTAGTTGTTAAAGGAATGGTATCGATTTTCCTCAAAGCAAGTAGCAGTCACATCTCATTACAGACTGGCCTACTGCAGTGCTATTATTTTGGTTACTTTTTAAATCTCAGAAAAAGTGGCTGACACAGGATACAGCATCTCTTCCTCTTGAACCTGTTAAGTGGATAATAGATTTGTATCCCTTGATCTCTATTGGTTTCCTGTTTTTTTCCTGTCTGTAATAAAGGAGTGACATTTTGGTTGTAATTTGAAGATCAGCTGGGCATGGTGGCACATGCCTGTGATCCCGTCTACTCAGGAAGCTGAGGTGGGAGGATCGCTTGAGCCCTGGAGCTCTAGGCTATGGTGCACTATGATTGCACCAGTTAACAGCCACTGCACTTCAGCCTGGGCAACATAGTGAGTCCCCCTCTCTAAAAGGAAATAAGGATTACCAGTAGTCATAAGTTACACGTGTGTGTGTGTGTGTGTGTGTGTGTGTGTGTGTGTGTATTTGTCCTAGATATTCTATGGTGCCTCAATTTTGCTCATTTTTTTGGTAGTGTTTCTTATATGTCTCTGAGGGACCCATGAACTAGAAAATCACTGCTTTTGTCATTCTCAAGCAGACACTGAGTTTTGCTAAAAGTGTGGGAGTATTCTGTCGTTCTGGAAAGAATGAGGGCTTTGAAGTCAGACCTGACTTCAGCTCTCTTATACTTTACTCTGTGTGATGTTAGGCAAGTCACTTGATGTCCCTGATCCTGTCTGCTCACCAGCGTACTAGGGACTTTATGTGTTATATGAACGTCTGGATAGTTAGTTCCTTGCACTGTACCTCACATATTATGAACAAGTCTGTGAATGGTAACTTTCACTTTATCCTCTTTCAGTGATTTCCGTTGACTTGGTTAAACTTAACTTTTCCCAAATGTTGTTTTTCTTTTTCAGTATTCTTTGAAACTGGAGAAAGGAGATTATACAATTCGACTACAGATTCGCCATGAGCAAATCAGTGATTTGGAACGCCTTAAAGACCTTCCATTTATTGTTTCTCATAGATTGTCTAATACCTTGAGCTTAGATATTCATGAAAATCATAGTTTTGCACTTCTAGGGAAGAAGAAATCAAGCAATTTGACATTACCACCCAAATATAACCAGCCATTCTTTGTTACTTCCTTACCTGATGATAAGTAAGTGATAACATTGCTTATACTTACTGCCCATCGTATACACTGTAGTCCTTTTAATGTCAGTTTATGACATCTAGGCTAAATTTAGAGGATGTAGTCATTTTTTTTTTGGCTGAAGTATTTCTTCCTTTGATTTTTGAAGTCTTAGCTATGGGAATGAATTCAGTGTGGAATTGTTTTCATGTTTTTCCCCTTACTTGTCTTTGTGAAACTTTCTCTTTTGTTGCTTTTTTTCTCTTTGAATTCTCTTGTTTAGAATACCTAAAGGGGCAGGACCTGGATGCTATCTTGCAGGATCCTTAACATTGTCAAAGACTGAACTAGGAAAGAAAGCTGTAAGTATTAGTTTTTTAAACACTGAAATTACCTATTAAAAAATTTCATTTCTTTAAAGATAAGAATTAATTCCACATTTCAGAATGGATAAAAGAGAAGATATACTCTTGGGGAAAAAAATTTAATCCTTTTTTCCCAGGTTACTAGTGAAAGTCAGTTAATATTTAGTTGTCTTTTAAAATGTATGCTACTTTTGAAATATTTAGGCTTCTTTTTCACAAGCCTACAGTACTCAGGCCCTGAACCTGTCTTACCTCCTACGGCTAATACACTTGAACTTCCTGTGAAACATGTAAATACAAATCAAACTTGGCTTAAATACATGTGATATTTAAGATTAGAACATGTTATAGAAATTTAACCAATAAGATTGGTTGTCCATATAAGATTATGGACATAGGAATAAATCAGATTATCTTGGGGTGCTTTTAAAAAGTAGTCAGAACAATTACCCTAAAACATGTTTCTTCACACTTCTACAGACCTATCTCATTGGAATTTCACATGGTTAAGTAGGAAAATATGAGATGTTTCTTTTGGTATTGCCTTTTAATTTCAAAATGATGCTTTTTTTAGAAATATGTTTCTGGTTGTTGTACTTTAGACATATATGTTACAGTTTTATAAGTACCTACCTGTTTTTGTTTTTTCCTTCTATGTTTTCATTACAAATTTATTATGAGAATGATGTTTATATAGATCTATCACCTTTTGTCATAATAATCATTTTAGCTCAATGCCAGTAAAAGTTGTCATTCTTAACAGTTTTGCATTTCTCTGTACTATTACTTCTTACAGAGCTAAGTAAGCCTGCTACATAAATGCTGTTATCAAAATGAGTAGTTCTCATACATCTTAAGAATTATATTTATTTTTTGCCACTATTGAACCAAAAGCCATTTATTTACTGTCATTGAAGCATAATTGGGGAAACTTGTGCTTAGAAAGTTGCCTACCCTGACATTTCTTGGGTCTCATTTCAGTTTATACTGTTTATACATACGTACTTTAGTATAATTTGAAGTAAATCAATAGTTAATGGTTTGTAATTAATACATGCACTGATTTAAGAAACCCTGGTAGTTTTTTTTGTAGATTTCATTTCACAGGAAGCATAGCTGCTCCAGCTATTGGGCGTCAGCTGTGAATTTTCGTTCAGATGACAGATGACACTTTGAAGAGTCTGCTTACTTGTGAAGAGTATAACAGAAAAGCATTATTAGTAAAAGTGGGCTTTTAGCAATTCAGAAATAGTTACTACTTCCCAGTTACATTGTTTTAGGAGACAATTGTGAAATTAAATTATAAATATGTGGTGTTAACTATGGTAGCTATTTATCAAGGGAGACCTTCCTGGGAGAAAGCAGTAACTTAAAGCTGTTGAGTTCATTATAACTTCCATCACATTGTTTATGTAATCTTTTCTCAGTGGTTTAGCGTTTTCTTGTTTTTTGGTAGTTGGGAAGGTAACTTTCACTTCACTTTGACTTTCACAGTAACTTTGTTGCTTTTTATAAGAATGCATAGGCAATGGGGTTGTTGTGGTACCCTTTAATCAGACTAGACCATCAACTAAATTTACTATTTTAAGAAATGCTTTTATAAGCAATAGATTTTGATCTACTAAATTTTTCAATAAGAAGTTGACATGTACTCTTAGTAATAACATATTTGAGTACTTTTTCTTATGTAAGGAATGAAAGTGGCAATGTTGCTTTCTTTAAAAGCATGCCATCTTAATCACAGACCTGAGCCTTCTAAGTGGTGTAACACAGGTGGAACATAAACTGAAAGACAATTAGACAGAGGTTCTGTCTCCATCCTGTGTAGATTATGCATGTTTTCTTACAGAATGTCGTTCTAACTCCCAGGGGCAGTCTGCAGCAAAACGACAAGGAAAATTTAAAAAGGTACTGATTGTCAGTTCTTAAAAAAGATGTCTTAAAGCCTTATTTGCATATTAAACTTTTTTCTGTCACTATTATAAACCTTTTTTTTAATAAGTCTCCCTTAGTTTCCTTTCTTTGCATTCTAAAGTATAGTGCTCTTAGCTGTACTTAGAAGCATTGTTGACATACTGCTTTTCTAAAGGTTTTTTTTTTTTTCCCCACCATAAATTCCTGGATGACTCATTTTCTCTGTGTATACAAAAATTTTAATGCTATTCATTTCTTGCTACAGATATGATAACAAGTAGCAATATTTGAAATTTTTCATATTTACAATTTTATAGAGAGATGGATGTGATAATTTTTTTTTTTTAGCCATATAAGCTAAAGCACTTATTTTTAAAGTCTAAAAGCACTTTTAAATTGGGTGATTTGATTAATAAAATGTTGCAGCTTTTTAAAGCGAACTTTATTCCCTGCTCTTGTATCCATTCTGGTTCTGAAAGAAGAGAAACAATAAAGATCAATGGATGTAGCAGGAACAGAAATAAGGACTGTTCACTGACAATTAAAGCTTATGCTAAGAACACAGATTTTAAGCCCATCGCTACTAAGTGGTCTGATCAGCCTCTCTGCAGCATATTAAGCAATCTTTGATTTACTGCTGGGGCCAGATTTAACTCAGAAAAGAAAATGTCTGCTATAAATATATTTTAGGGCCAGGCGCAGTGACTCATGCCTGTAATCCCGGCACTTTGGGAGGGCAAGTTGGGCAGATCCCTTGAGCTCAGCGGTTTGAAACCAGCCTGGGCAGCATGGTGAAACCCTGTCTCTACAAAAAAATGCAAAAATTAGCCAGGCGTGGTAGCACACACTTATAGTCCCAGCTACTCTATTGGAGGCTGAGGTGGAAAGATCGCTTGAGCCTGGGAGGTGGAGGCTGCAGTAAGCTGAGATCACACCACTGCACTCCAGTCTGGGTGACAGAGTGAGACCCTGTCTCAAAACAAAACATACATACATATATATATATATATATATATATATATATATATATATATATATATATATATATATAAAAGGGACCACATATTTAATAAGCTTTCTGGTGAAGACGTGCTACGTCATTCAACATTTTCATGATTTCTTTTTAAACAGAAAGAATTACAGTGGGAAAATCAGTAATGTCCTAATGTATACTTGTTAATTAGTAGTGATATGGAACTGGGGAATCACCATTCTATAACAGCTTATCCTTTATTAAAATGTCTTCTGAAATGTCCATATTATTACATAATAGTAAATAATTTGTCCAAACAAAATACAGATACTAGGAATCATCTTTCTGGAGAAAGATCTAAAGATCAGTATTTCTCAACTGGGTGTCTTGACCGTTTGGGGGCCACGTAATGGGATAAAAACAGCATTTTTTTAAAATAGGAAATGTCAGTTCATCAGACTCATAAAATTGTAATTTCATTTTATGTATTAATGTGTATATCTTTGGGACATTGTAAAAATAGTTTGCAAGTTACTGCTTTAGAGAACAAGGAATAGGTATTCTAGGAATCTATTAAAAATAGAAGGCACTTATCACGAAGGCCATAGCCAATTATTTTTCTTCTTATTTTTGTTGACCTTTTGCAAGTTTGGGTAGATTTTGTTTGAATTAGGTTGTATAGTTAGGAAAACACTGAATGAATAGGAAGGCATTTACTTGGTGATTAGTAAAGCTTCATTTGAAGAACTTGGCAGCTAGAGTTATCTCTGCTCGTTCCTTTCTGTCTTCAATGCAAGTACACAATAAAGCTCTTATTTTAGAAATAATTAGTATTACAGTTTTATAGTCACATTACAAAGAAAAAAATACATGTATAATTTCCGGTTGATTAAGATAAATAGCATTTTGTATATAATTCTTAATAGATTTTTTCCTCTGGGTTTCAGTGACTTGATTTGAAACGGTATGTCACCCTTTTTAAAATTCCTTGTAAAATGCAATAATATATTTTCTGTTTGTTTGTATGTTTTTTTAAGAGACAGTCTCACTCTACACTCCAGGCTAGAGTACAGTGGCATGATCGTAGCTCACTGTTGCCTCCAGCTCCTGGGCTCAAGTGATCCTCCCACCTCAGCCTCCCTAGAGTGGCTGGGACTACAGGCGTGTGCCACTATGCCTGGCTAATTTTTACTTTTTATAGAGAGAGGTCTTACTACGTATGTTGCCCAAGGTGGTCTAAAACTCCCGGCCTCGGACGATCCTCCTGGCTCAGCCTCCCAAAATGCTGAAATTACAGACATGAGCCACTGCACCCAGCCTGAATATTGTCACTTTTAACAGATCATAAATAGCATTCAAATATGATATAAATTTTAAAAATAGTTTATGTGAAGCTTTTAAATTTTTGAGTATTCAGTTACTAACAATTTTAAGAACTAAAGAAATTGCCATTTTGAACCACAATTTAACTTATAGTGCGTTGTGTTGCCCAAAGAGTAGTTATTGGTTTGGCAGGTGAGTTTGACTTTCTGAATAACACTGTTCAGTTTGAACACTGTTGAAATACTTCATGAATAGCTGGAATGCCTTTTTTCTAAACTTAACATTAAATATATACTGTAGAGAAATCTTCATAGCATTTCTGCTCTGAAGATTCTTCTTGACTGTCTTTTTAAACCATAATCAAGATTTCTCAAGAATAAAGGTACAAAATTATTTCTATTAAATTGGTACTATGTTAACCCCTTGAGAATTGTCATAAAAATATTAATATTTATTGGCACAAAGAAGAAATTATTGTGATACAGCAAGTGAAAATAGCGCCATTTTTCTTTTGATTAGAAATTAAAACTACCAGGTTTATAATTTTTACTAATAAAAAATTCCCTGTCCTGAAACATCTTGTAGGATTACACTAACATTTATAATTGTTAATTTGATATATTTAACATGTAAAATGCTGATTACAAAACCTTGATTTTTGTTTCACTAAGATAATTCATCATAAACTTTCTTTGTCTCTTTTTTTGCTTTTAATGATAGTCTAAGGTTACTAGGATATCTTTTTTCCCACTTTTGATAGGTCTTTGTTAGAATTAATTGTAAATCCTAAATTAATTTTAATAGATTGTTCATTTTAAATTCAATTCTCTTTTCTCTTCTGTACTAAAACAATAGCAAATACCTCTGAGTCTGAGGAGGAAGTGCCTCACAACACATAGGCTGCCTGCCTAAGAGCAGCATACCTCTCTCCCTGATACGGTGAGGAGGTGTGGGAAGCTCAGGGAGAAAGACTGGAGACCACTCTTCTAGCACACTGGGTGGCAGAGAAGCTCAATTCCATGGAGAATGGAGCTATATTAACAGAAAGTAAATATTGGAGGCCACTTAGCCCCTTTAATTCCTAGATGTGTTGTCTTTGCTGTACAGATGACACTGATGCAGTCTGTTTCCATAAGAACTTGGTGGTAGAAGATCAGCTCAGATTTTGCGCTTACCTTGGCTTTGCTCAGGGCAGTGCCTACCCAGAGAGTGAACCTCAAGAAGGAGAGGAGCAGGACAGGCAGCTGGGTCCTGAAAGAGCTAGCCCAAGCAATAGACCTGTTTCCTTTTCCCAGTCTCATGTTTCACGTGAGGCCTTTGTTTACAGGTTCTGGCCCCCTGACCTCAGAGGGAGAATGACAGCCAGTGGCTACAAATGGATTTATATGGTTATCTGACATCAAAGTGGTTTTCTGTGCTTTAAATGAGTCAGTGTGGAGATAGGATTATTATTTTGTGTTGGAATACTATTAGAACTACAACCATAGTTCCTGTTGTTTACTGTTACATCATTTTATACCCCGAAATTGTGTTGGTGAAAATATTTAAAATGGGAATATTTGTGTCGTATATGCTCCTAAAAATCCTATTTGCGGGAGGTGAGGACTTGCAGTATTATTTTTTTACTCAACCAGAGTAAAGCTTTTTCAGTGAATGTCTTTTTGGGAACATTTGTTTCAGTTTTACAAACTTTGTTAATTAAAATGAATATAGTATTTTAATTTAGCACCATTTTAAATGCAAACCTGAAGATAGAATTTGAGGAACTGACTTAATAAATAACGACTTAATTAAGGACACCCAGTTACTGTGCCAAAAACAAATCTAGCAGGTATAGCATGTGATTTCATTTCCCAAATAATGCTTTACCTTTCACAAGTCAAGACTTATCTGTGAATAAAATAAATACAGTTACTCTCCATTTCTCTGCTGCTGTCTTCAAAGCAAAACTTCTCAAAAGAATCACAGACATGTTGACTTCCATTCTCTTTTCATCTCTGTCTCCTCCAGCCTGGACTGCTCCACTGTCCCCTGACACTGTTCTTGTCCGGGGGGGTCAGTAGGCTCTGTGCTGCCGGGTTTTCAGTTCCTTCCTTCTTCGTCGTACACTGCCTCTCAGCTAAATGGGCAGTTGATCATTTTCTCTTTCTTCTTGGTGGTTTTTCCTCAAGGCTTCCGTGATCCCAGGTGCTTTTTGCTTTCCTTTTCTCACTCACAGAGCTGCTTTTTCCATTCACTATCCCTAACTGACCTTATTCATCCACATATTTTTCAACATTGTCAGCAACACATTGGTTCTACCTTTAAAGAAGATCTCAAATCTATTCATTTTCTCCCATTTCTGCGACCCATTTTTAGTCTAAGGCAGTGTAGGGTTTCCTAGGTTTGTTTCCTAACTTGTTGTCTTCTTGCCTCCACCTTTACCCTCTATAATCTATTTTCCAAATAGAATACAAACCAAAATTTTAATCCATACAGGAACCAGAGTCATTAAACAAAAAGCAGAAATCTTTAATCATGTCACTGTCTTTTGTAAAACTCTTCTGGTATGCTTCTTAGTGCACTTGGAATACAATATATAGTATTTTTTCTTTTCTTTTTTAAACCATATTCTGTCAAGCCCTACTTAAGTTGGCTGCTGCCTGCTTTCTCAGAAGATACAGCTGTGCTTGCTTTATACCCAGCTCAGGTCTTTACACTTGCTCATCTGCTCCTTGTTCATTGAGGGTCGTTTGCGTAAGATATTACCTCTTCAGAGTGGCTTTCTATAACCACTTTGTGTCCATCGGCTCCCCCTCGTTACCTGACAGTCATTCTATCCTTTTCTGTTTTGTTTTCTTCCTATCAGATGTCAGCATCTGGTCTGTTCTTTACCTATTCTAGCATTACCTGGCACATCGCGGGGACTCAGTAAGTCCTGTTGGTTGGACTCAGTAAGTCCTGTTGGTTGAATGAAGGCATAAGCGTCCCCTTAAATTTACTTAGAGAATCTTTTCTTAGTTTGAACTTATTTCATCCCCTTCTCAGATTTAAAATGTGAAAGGTCAGTGTACTTTTGTCATCTGTCTGCCAAGTAAAGCCAAGAATACCAAATATACTCAAATGGAGAAAAGTATGTTCTTATCTCTTTTATTTTAAAGGAGATATTTGAAGTATCAGTACTCAGCATCAGTTTGTGAGAAAATTACTGTGACCAGAGATTGGAATTTTTGGTGTATTGTGACCCTTAGAATCTAGAATACAGTGTAGTACAACTTAGGTGCAGCCCATGTTACATGACATGTAGCTGTTGAAGATGATTTTGATGTATGTAAAATTAAGCATATTAATCTAAGAATCTCTCTCCACATTCGTAGGATGTAATCCCTGTTCATTACTACTTAATACCTCCACCAACAAAGACTAAGAATGGCAGCAAAGATAAGGAAAAAGATTCAGAAAAAGAGAAAGATTTAAAAGAAGAGTTTACTGAAGCATTACGAGATCTTAAAATTCAGTGGATGACAAAGTAGGTTTTTAAATGTATTTTAATTCTTTAAATGTTTAGTTCTATTTTCCCAACTATAACAATATTGTGTATATATACATAGACCGTATTTAAAATTATTAACAGCAGTTGGTAGGATTATAGGTGCTTTTAAATTTTCCTCTTTTTATATAAATGTGTAATTTATTTAAATTATAAATATATAATTTTGTGATTAAATGTTTTAATTTTTATTTTAATCACTCTAATTTGTTCTTGGAAGATAATTTTATTGGAAAGTATAAAAAAGAAAAATCACTTTTGCCCACAATTCATAAATAGTCATTGTCCTCTTATTATTATTTTTTTCCTCTGTGTTTGTACATGTAGCAGTGTGAATAAAATTAGTTTCCATTTTTCAGTTACTTTTTTATTATGATTTAACAGCCGTATAAAATACTATTTTTAATGTCTGTGTTGTATATGGTTCTATGGATGCAACATAATCTATTTAAACGTTTTATTTTGCATATATATGTTTATAGCTTTTCTTCATGATGCTGCGATAAACATTTTTATACATAAAGGTGATTTTTTAAAATTTCCATCATATTGCATCTTAAAAGTAAAAATCGTCTCGCTGTGTTTTGCCAAATTGCTTTCTGAGATGAGTATAATAATTTACACTCCATCTAGCTGTGTATGTGTGCTACTACACAATGCAAAAACCAGCCATTACTGCTGTCTTAAATTACGTCTCTAGTTATTATTAAAGGAGAGCTTTTTAGATGTTATCATTCGTTATTAGTATAGCTTCTGACAGTTGAGCATATTCTTCACCTTTTTTTCTATTCAGACATTAGGTGTTTCTGGTCGATTAAAACTTTTTACATAAAAGATATTAATGCTTTTCTGTACTTGCCACAGATTTTACTCTAGTGTACTCTTTGACTTTGGGCTTGCTTTTTACTTGAAATTTATTCTATGTAGTCAAGTCAGTTGCTTTTTCCATCTGTTATGCAATATTTCTTTTACTGCTGATATTCTATGGGAATCCTCTTCAGCTGATTATGTATGCATCCTTGCAGTTATATGGTTTTAGAGGGAATAGAAGTCATCATGATGTGAAAATATTTCCCAGAGATTGAACCATTGTAATGTCAGTTCACTTGCAAATATACCTTTCCCACTTAAAACTAAATTGTATCTCCACTGGAAGTCAAAGTCTTCAGGTCTGTCTCTGCCTGATTTTAGGATGTCATAAACAGTTGACAATATAATATAAATTCTTCAAAAGTAAAATTGCAGAGATTGTCTTCTGGCATGACAGCCTGAGGAGACCCATGATGCTGGTCCCCAGTAAAACTAGTGAAAATTATTTAAAAACAAAACAAAACAACTTTTTAAAGCCTCTGGAAATGGTCCAAAGGACATTGAGCAAATGAAGAAGCATCTATTCAAAAATACCTACAAGAATTGGATAAGAAAAGCAAGAGTCTGTGATATTTGAACCAAGACCACTGCCTCCCTTTCCTCTCCCAGTTAATGAGCCAGAAATTTTACTTCAGATCTTGCCTTCAAGAGCTCCAGCTCCTGGGGGAGGGAAGGCTTTCCTCCTTGGAGGAGGAGGACGTCATCATTTCTCATCCTGACCTACTGCCAGTTGCAGCGGCTCAGTTCCAGCTGAGTGCTCTCAAGAGGTAGGGGCTCTCTTGTAAAGTACTGTTGGGAACACTGGGGCCCCAATGCCCAGGAGGCTGTGGTTCCATACCACACGAGGCAAGCTGAGAAGACCACAGGAGAGTGCTAAGCTCCTTAAGTGGGGGTGTCACTCAAAGAAAAACATGCCATTCTTCCACTCCCTGTTCCAGAGCTTGGGCTTAGTGATTTTGCCAGTGTGGCCTAAGGAGTTCATAAAACTGATAGCTCCTAATTTCTTGCTGAAGGAATTGACTTCATTTGCAACAGAAGATGGAGAAGTCCGTGTGCCTTAAGGGCTCTCTCAAAAACAGTGGAGAAAAAAGGAATGAAAAAAATGAACAGAGCAGAGCCTCAGAGAAATGTGGGACACCATTAGTGCACCAAAGTCCATGGAACAGGAGTACCAGGAGAACAGAGAGAAAGCAAAAATATATTCAGTGAAATAATGGCTGGAAACACCCCATATTTATTGAAAGACATTAACCTACATATCCAGGGAACTCAATGAACTCAAAGTAAATGCAAAGAAATCCACAAATAGACATAGCATGTTAAAAATACTGAAAGTCAAAGATAAGGAGAAGATCTTGAGAGGAGCAAGACAAAAACTCCTCATCACTTACAAGGAAATGCTAGTAAGGTTAACAACTGACTTCTGAGCAGAAACAGTAGAGGTCAGAAAGCAGTGGGATAATATATTCAGAGTGCTCAAAAATCTCAACCAATAATCCTATATCCAGCAAAACTGTCCTTTAAAAATGAAAATGAAATAATTCCCAGGTAAACAAAAACAGAGAATTTGTTGCTAGCAAACCCACCTTATAAGAAGTACTAAAAGAAGTTATTCAGCCTGAAAGCAGGTGATCTCTGGCAGTAATTTGAATCCACATTGGTGAGAGTGGGGAAAGAAACACTGGTAAAGTTAATTATTATGGAATTATAAAAGACAGCATAAAGTTCTCATTTTTTTCCTGTTAACTAATTTAAAAAGCAGTTCTGTAAATATTGTGTATATATTAGGCCTATGTAATATTTAAATGTAATATTCTGTAATATGTATTTGCTTATAGCACAAAGGAGCAAAACTGTATTGGGCTAAAAAAATGACTGCAGATAGTAAAGTAATTATTATAACAGTTAATTAATTGGTGTATTACAGTAATAGATACAACAGATAGAATACTACTACAGAAGGAAGGAGAGGGGAATAGAGCTATAAAGGGATAACATTTCTGTATCTCACTGAAATTAAGCTAGGAAAAATCTGAAGCTGATTCTTATAAGTTAAGATGTATATGGTAAGCCTTAGAGCAACCACTAAAAAAAAAATAAAAATGAACTTGAAAAAAATCATTAAATAAATTTAAATGTTCATTTAAAAATATTCACTTAATACAAAAGAAAGCTGTATAGGAGGAACAGTGGAACAAAAAAACAGGATACATCAAAAACAAAAAATAAAATCGAAGACCTAAGTCCAAATATATCAATAATTTAAAGTTTACAGGAAATTAAGAGAATCCCATTTACAGTAACATTGAAAAAAATAAAATGTGTAGGAACATGTTTAACAAGAGATGTAAGAATTATACGTCAAAACTACAAAACAATTGTTGAAAGAAATTTAAAAGACCTGAGTAAATGGAAAAGGTATTCTTTGTCTGTGGACCAGAAGACTTAATATCATTACACTATTCTTCATATTGATCGAATGATTCAGTTGAATCCCCATCAGGATCCTTTTATAGAAATTAACAAGCTGATTCTAAAAGTCATATGTGATTCCCTGAGACTCAGAATAGCCAGACAGTCTTGAAAATGAAGAGCAAAGTAGGGCTCACACTTCCTGATTCCAAAACTTAAATAGAAAGCAACAGTAAACAAGACAGTGTTATACTGGCACAAGGGTAAGACATATATAGATCAGTGGAATAGAATTAAGAGTCCAGAAATAAAACCATGTGACTATGGTCAGCTAATTTTTAGTTTTGGCAAGGGTGCTGATGCAAAGACCATTTAATGAGGAAAGGATAGTATTTGCAGCAAAGGGTGCTGGGACTGGATAGCCATATAGAAAAAGAATGAAGTTGGACCCTTGCCTCACATCATATATACAAGTTAACTCAAAATGTATCAAAGAGCTGAAACTACAAAACTCAATGAGACGTAGTGGTAAACTTTCATGACCTTATATTTGGCAAAAGATTTTTAAAGATACCAAAAGCATAAGTAACATAAGAAAAAAAAATAGATAATTTGGACTTAATCAAGATTAAAAGCTTTTGTGCTTTTAGCATAGCATCAAGAAAGTGAAAAGAACGGCCTATTTGCAAGTTACATATTTGTAAGGAGCTTGTATGCAAAATATATAAAGAACGCTAACCTTTTTTTTTTTTTTTTTTGAGACAGGGTCTCTCTCTGTCACCCAGGCTGGACTGCAGTGGCACGATCATAGCTCACTGCAGCCTTGAACCCCTGGGCTCAAGGGATCTTCCCACTTCAGCCTCCCAAGTAGCTAGGACTACAAGTGCACGCCACCACCCCCAGCTTATTTTTTTAAGGGATGGGATCTCACTATGTTGCCCAGGCTAGTCTGGAACCCCCGGCCTCAATTAATCCTCCTGCTTCAGCTTCCCATAGTGTTGGGATTACAGGCATGAGCCACCTCCACACCCAGCCCCCAGAATATATAAATAATTCCTACAATTTCATAATACAAAGGCAAATGGCTCAATTTTTTAAATGGGTGAGTAATCTGAATAGATATTTCTATAAAGATGTACAAATGACCAGTAAGTGCATGAAAAAATGCTCAAAATCGTTAGTCTTCAGGGAAATGCACATCAAAATCACAATGAAATACAACTTCACACTTACTAGGATGACTGGAATCATAAAGTCAGATGATGAGTTTTGGCAAGTATGTGGACAAAGCAGAATCCTCAGACACTGATGGTAAGAATACAAAAATGATGCAGACTTTTTGGAAAACAATCTTGACTGCTCTTCAAATGATTAAACTTAGTTTCCATATGGCCCAGCAGTTCCACTCCCAGGTATATACCCAAGAAAAATAAAAACCTATATTCACACAAAAACATGTTGATGACAGTTTATAGCAGCATTATTCATAATGGCCAAAAGGTGGAATGTCCATCAGCTGATGAATGGACAAACAAAATGTGGTGTATCCATACAGGGGATTCCTTTTCAGCCATGAATGGGATTAATACATGCTCCAACATGAATGCACCTTGAAAATAGTATGTTAAGTGGTAGTAGCCAGTCACAAAAAGACCATGTATTATATGATTCTATTCATATTAAATGTCCAGAATGAGGAAATCTATAGAGATAGAAAGTAGATTAGTGGTTGCTTAGTGCTGGGGAGGCTGGGGAGATCTGATAGCAAAAGGGTATGGCGGTTTCTTTTTGTATTGATGAAAAATGTTTTAAAGTTGACTGTTGTGATAGTTACATATATCTGTTACTATGCTAGAAAGCATTGAAATTCACACTTAAAATGGGAAAATTGTATGGAGAAAAAATTGAAAAGGTTGTTTACCTAATAGGTGTTTTAGAAGAAAACAGCAAAAAATTATTAGCATTCCCTAGCAAAACTTTAAAAACCTTAGAACATTTTTTGGAAAAAAAAATTTATAATTAAGGTGCAGTAGTTTTAAAATGTAAAACGAAAGTGTTGATTTTGCCCTTGGATAATTGTTAGCGAAAAGAGAAAAACAGGACTTAATTTTTTTTGTACTAAGAATTAGTGTAAATTTTGTTGTCTACAAGTTAAATTTATTTTCATAGAAAGTTAGTTATAGTATCAAAATCCCGGTCAACCTTATTTTTATACTACTGTGCAGTTTTGTTAATATATTAAGTGACTTTAATGTAAGTTACCCACTTCTGGTGCTAGTTTGTATGTTAATTTGTTTTTATCCTGATACATATAATCAGGTAGAATTGGGAATTTTATTCAGCCTCCGCGTCGGGGAACATAGAATAACTCTTTATTGACTCAAGACTGGAATTTTCAGAAAAGTTTAAATTTTTATTTTTTCTAGAATTTTCAGAAAAGTTTAATAGATCTGAGACATTTTTAAATCTTTTAATCTTTCTAGCTATTTGTGAATATGCTTTTCTTCCTTTTAAATAAATATAATAGCTGGTATGTAAGAAAGCTATTGATGCATATTTTTATTTGGATATCTTATTGAACTCTTAATTGGAATAATTTTCAGTTTGATTTATTTATTTATTTTTTTTAATTAATTAATTAATTTATTTATTTTTTGAGATGGAGTCTCACTCTGTCACCCGGCTGGAGTGCAGTGGTTTGATCTCGGCTCACTGCAACCTCTGCCTCCCAGGTTCAAGTGATTCTCCTGCCTCAGCCTCCCGAGTATCTGGGACTACAGGCATGTGCCACCACCCCCAGCTAATTTTTGTAGTTTTAGTAGAGACGGGGTTTCACCATGTTGGCCAGGATGGTCTTGATCTCTTGCCCTTGTGATCCGCCTGCCTTGGCCTCCCAAAGTGCTGGGATTACAGGGGTGAGCCACCATGCCCAGCCCAGTTTGATTTATTTTTGTTTTCTAGTTAACCATTTATACTACTTGCCAATAATGATAATCCTTGTCAATGACTATACTTGTATTTCAAATTAATGTCTTATTTTATTGGCTTAAACTTCCAAACAATGTTAAATAATAGAGAAGACAAATAGTCTTTTTAAAAGAAAAAAGTAAATATTTCTCTCCTTCTTACATACATAGGCTGGATTCTAGTGACATTTATAACGAATTGAAAGAAACATATCCTAATTATCTTCCTCTGTACGTTGCACGACTTCATCAATTGGATGCTGAAAAGGTTAGACATGTTCATTCTGATATATCTTATTTTGTTTGTAATTATATAAGTTTGTGTTTTGAGGAAAAGTGCATTATCTTTCTCTTCTGTTCTTGCTAACTAAAACATGTTTTCTCAAATTGAATGTTGTGTTAAGCTGTTTTCATGAAGGTTATTATAAGACCTAGCCACTACTGTGAGTTTAGTTTAGGATTCTTGCTCATGCTTGGTCAATGAGATTAGTAATAGAGAAGATACCTTAACGATTGTTTTCATGACCTTAACCTAAAGGGCAAGGGGCAGAACGTAGTAATCCTGGCCAGATGGAAATCTGAACGCCTTCACTGAAAGAATTCCTACTTTGCATTAACTTTGTTAATGATTCTCATTTGTGAGAGTTGGCCATAGTTCTAGTCTGTCATGACATGGACCAGTTCTCATTATTCATCAAAGCAGTGGGAAAGTGCTGTCCTAATCAGTTGAAAATCATCAAGGGTTTAGAGTGAACCAGAGGGTATTTAAAGGAGATTTCTTAAAAGACTTTAACAAGAGAGAAGCAAATTGTTGGGAACATCATGGTAATCACAGTTAGACTGTTGATTATAATGTTTACTCTCATCTTTGTGTTTTTCATGATGGATCAGAAAGAAATGGTTTCATCAGCTAGGGCTTTCTTTTTTTTTCCTGTGTTCAGGTAGTGTGCAACTAGAGTAATGACAATAGCCAATCACATTTCTAGAATCTTAAGAAATACAGAAAAGGAGTTACCTTTGTTAAAAAAAAAACTTTACATTTTTATGAAGTTTATATTTTGCTTACTCTCACCATTGTACTCCAGCAGGGAATGTAAATAAGGTATTTTTATTATGCATCTGAGCTCAAGTTTTATAGAGATACCAGCAATTAGAAAAATCACAGTAGGAGATAGCAGGGAGCCCCTGGGCTACAAGTCAATTACATAGTTTACTCACACTGCAGTTGTAGGTCTCATGGTTGAGACAGCAGAAGTGAAATTGCTTTCGTATACTGATTGATATACCTATTTTTTATTATTTCTTTTTTCCTCTCCAGGAACGAATGAAAAGACTTAATGAAATTGTTGATGCGGCAAATGCTGTTATTTCTCATATAGATCAAACAGCCCTAGCAGTTTATATTGCAATGAAGACTGATCCCAGGCCTGATGCAGCTACTATAAAAAAGTACCTAACCAGTAAATAATCTTTCTTGCATCTCATTTCCTAGTTAACTTGTTTAAAAAGTAGGGACTAATATTATAGAGGATATTGCTTTTCTGATGTTTGTTATATCCTTATAATGGGAATTATCACTATTTGGATACTCCCCTCCTTAGAAATTTTAAAATAATTTTGTCCAATCTTTTTAAGAGTAAGCCCAAGAAAAGTAGTTTGCCTTCTCTACTGTTAAGTGCTGTCAAGGTAGAGGGATTTGAATATCTGTGATCAAGCAGTCCAACCACTTGAGGGTTTATGTGAATTGGACCATATCAGGAAGACAAAAATTAACAATCTATAAAATAATTTTTAAAATGTTTATTGTCCAGTAACATGAAAAACCTAATATTTGGTTTGTAATAATTACATGACAAACCTAATACGTGGTTTGTAGTGAAATAAATGATAATAAAATTAGGTTAAAACTATCTGGCAACTTTTATGAAACTGGTTTTATAGTATTAGGGAGAATAGGAGGAGAGAATTTATAGTTTTGCCTTTATAAAACCTAATGCTGTGTGTAAATAGAGAAGCTTCCCTGGGTTTATGAGTGGTTGGTATGGTTCCTTCCATGCAAGTGTGATTTCCGTATGTTGGTGTAATTAATGGTCCAGTGACTCTGAACCAAGCTGCCATTTGGTCACTTTCACCCTTCCATGAACTCTTAAACCATCACCTCATGGTAGCTCTCCCAGTGTCAGTTACTTGTTTATCACTTTTGTTTATTTTTGACTTACAGGATCATTAACTAGGTAGAAATATCCTGATTCTTTTGTGGTTATTATAACTAATAAACCAAAACTATTCAGGCTACCTGAAAATACTAAATTTTCCTTAAAAATTTTCTCAGTTTCAGTCAGTATTTTTTTCTACATAAAATACTTGGATTCCAAACTGCTAGAATTCTTTCCATTATATCATTTATATTGATACTATAGGATCTTATGAATCTTACAAGCAATAATTTTCAAGTGGGATAGAATATATTTAAAATTGCTTCTTTGGCCACTATTATTACCTTTTCATATTTTTCAAAAGAATAGTCTCAAAACATTGCCATTTTGTTGTTGTTGTTAATAATAACAGAAAATACAGCCACCATTTATTAAGTGCCGATTATGTATAAGGGACTATTGAGGGCATTTTAAATACATTGTTTTATTTAAATTTAGTCTTCCAAACAACATGGAAGGCAGGGGCCTTTGTATCCCCCTTTTAAGGAAGAGAAAACTGAAGTTCAGAGAGTTTAGATGACTTGGCCCAGGTGCCACTGCTAGGAAGTTGGAAAGCACATAGTCAAATCAGGATCTGCCTCCACAGCCAATGCCCTTTCTTTTCTCTGTATATTCTTCTCCCTTCTTGAGAAGGTTAACATAACTCAGTATTATCTCACAGAAAAAGGAGCATCGTCTGCCTCCCACCCATCCTCATTGTGTTCCTTTCTGTCTCAGGGTGATCATTGTTAATCTTATTGCAAGAGGAGGCTGGCCTTGGTCACTTTAAAACTGTCTTCCACAGATCACCAGTGATAACCAGTTGCTAAAAAGAATGGCCCATTTTGAGTCTTCTTTGAGCTCTCTGCAGCCCCCGACATTAACTATCCCATATACTTTCTAGCTTTTGTTATTTTTTACATTTTGTGAAAATAATATGATTTTCTCAAACTCGGGTGTTACATGAAATAACACATATGGTTTTCTCAGTTTTACCATCCACAGAGGAAACTCAATCTCAGCTTACAGTGAGCCATAAACTAATACGATATTAGTTTTGTTTTCTTATTGGTCTTTATCACTGTTTTTAATCTCTTTTTTTTTTTTTTTTTTTTTTTTTAGTTTCTACTCTTTGGAGATTACTAGACATTGACTATCATGGCTATTGAAATAAGCTGGGATAAAACTAGAAAAGAAGCCATAAAACTTTGTAAAAACGCTAAGAGTGGAGCTGCTTTAAGTTTTTAGCGACACTGGGTCAACTTGTTTATCCTTGTAATTAAAGAATTTCTATTTCTCTCCAGGCCTTTGCTTTGGCCTGACTGAAATAGACTCTGACCAGGTTGTGTTTGGACAGAAGACAGTATTCAGAGTTGAAATATTATACAAGATGCTATCAGGAAATACTTAGCATTTCTTACAGATGTCATCTATGGGCAAGTAGCAGCCAACTTAAGCATTAATTTCTCATTTCCATGCAAAATTGCTTTCTCTTAAATCAGTAACATCAAAAATTGTAAAATGCCATTTTCTAATCTTAAAAAATATTAACTTTTAGTTAATATCATGTTTTAGTTAAATTTAAACTGCACTTATTTAGGCATTAAAATACTGATTCCAATTAAGTTGCTTCCTAAAATGTAGCTATTATCTTGATGGATACCTAACTAGATTTGATTTCAAGGTCCTTATTGAGCAAATACTTCATGTAAGGCATCACTGACAAGGACTTAAAACATGAGCAAGATAGTCTCTACTCTTATGAAACTTATCATCTAATATAGAAGATGAAATTGCCAGATAGGAAATTATTAAGAGATAATGAAATACAAGTATTTTTAAATAAATATTTCAAATTGTAAAAGCCTGTAGAAAGAAAAGCTGACTTTCACCTGAGTGGAAAAAGCCTCATGTACTATAAAGGTATTCAATCTCAGCCAGTCAGTACAAAACCTAAGGAGAGGAAAGGAATACTCCAGATATGTAGAATTTAGATTACGTGATAAGAGGATGCTAAAATAGAAAGGGATCTTACAGCTAATTTAACCCAGGTCTGACAAATGCAGATTACCTGTGTCACCCCCAGGTTGCCTTCTGATTTCTGCATCATTCCAGCCCTTCTCTGGGCAGCCAGGATCCATCAGGCAGCATTTGCCGAGTCTGCCCTGCAGACTCTGGCCGAGCGACGGATGAAAGGAGTGCTCAGACACAGGTATCCAGTGAAAGAGTGGGCTAGGGGACTGCCAGCACTAAGGGCCAAAGAGAGTTAGCAGTCCCCCTGAGCCAGCGACGCTCACATTTATTTAGTAGAGATTTAATGACAAAGGCTTGGAGCAAACACAATTTGTGGGTAATAAACATTGTCGACCCCCAAGTAGAGAGCAGTCCTGCACATGAATGATCAAAGGTTGGTTTTTGGAGACAGGAGTAGTCAAATTTGTCTAGCGCAAATGATCAAAGGTTGGTTTTTGGAGACAGGAGTAAACAAATTTATCTAGATAAGTTCCTTTACATTCCCTTGTTATCTGCCTTTTGCTCCCTGGCTCCAGATAAGAGAATTTGGCTGCCTTCAGCCAGATCCTCTTTCAAAGCTTTTGCAAAACCTCCCAGCCTTCCAAGAAGGTTTGCATCTTTCCCTCTAACTTTTACCTACCACTCTGACCAATTTCCTACATCTCCCCATTTTCTGTTTTTTTGCATCAGGTTTTGTTGATTGAAGAGTACAGATGTGTGCAGCAACTGGTTTGTCTGGCGTAGTGGTTACTGCTTGTATTCCAGCTTTGCATCCTAGAATTAGTAAATAACATAAGACAAAATGAGTATAATCAGTAACATTCTTTTCCAATCAAGGAGTGACATGTAGTGTTTCTTGGCACCTCAGTCCAATGTGTGCTGTTACTAAGGAACCCCACTGAGGGTATGTTACCCCCTTCCAGCCAAGCAGTTACTTTATTGGAGGCTGGGAAGGTGGTGTCTGCCCAGGTAACAGGGCAGAAGAAAGGCAAATCTAAATGATGATCCCAATAGCGTGTAGCAGGTATGGGTTGCAGGCAGAGTGAGAGAATAAGAAGGGTTAATACCCAAAAGAGTTGCAGTGTACAACGGAAAGCATAGCAAGGAACAAATTATCTGGAGTGAATGGTGTCTATGTCCAGAGCAGGATTCATTCAGCCTTCTGAGTTTTCTTCAACATCTCCCAGGTAATGTCTGGGGTTTGTGTCGTCTGAAGAAGCTGCATCATCCAGGGCTATGGGTCCCACAGGGTCATTTTCTTCATTTCTGGTACCGGGTTGGGTCCTAGCCACGCTATGGTATGGTTTGATGCCTCGTGCTGGAATCCAAAGAGGACCTGAGGGGGTGTGAACACAAGCATGTCTTCTTCCCAGTGTTAACAATTCAGTTGAACCGCACCATACATTACTGTTTATATCTTTCCATAAAACTGCAGGTTTATGTCTTGAGAGGTTTTAGCAAAATGCTCTTCTATAGCTGATTGAAATTTATCGTTTAGATTTTAAAAAGTAAGGGTAAATAAGGCTTCTGCCAGTAGTGTTGCAGGGTCCTTACTCATATTCACTTTTTTGTTGTTTTCTGAGCATATTTTTAAGGGTGGATTGGACACGTTCTACTGTGGCCTGTCCTTGGGGGTTGTGAGGGATGCCTGTGGATTGTTGGATGTTCCACATATGACAAAATTGCTGAAATTTTGAGCTGGCATAAGCTGGACCAATATCAGTTTTAATTTTTGTGGGCCGCTCCATAAATGCAAAAGTTAAAAGAAGATGTTTAATAACATATTGAGCAGACTTTCCAGGAAGAGCATGTATGCTAATTAGGTGAGAATTGGTATCAACGGATGCATGTACATATCCTAGTTTTCCAAATTTAGGGATGTGTGTAACATCTGTTTGCCATAACTGATTAGGTTCTAGTTCTCTAGGGTTAACACCTGTTGAAGGAGGGGACATGCGTGTGAGCTGGCAATTTGGGCATTGCAGGATAATTTGTTTAGTCTTTGGGTAAGTTGAAATCGTTTAGATAAATTTGTCCAATTTTGGTGGAAACATTGATGCGAATGGGTGGCTTGGTCAAGCAGTGATGTCATAACCTGCAGGTCTGCTTGATCATTGCCATAAGCTAGGGGGCCAGGCAGTGAGCTGTGGGCCCAAATGTATGTAATAAAAATAGGATGTGTACATTGATCCACCGATTGCTGAAATCAAAGAAAAACTGCACACAGGGTGGGCTTGAGAGTGGACTTAATAAGGGCTGTTTCAAGGTTCTGCAATAAATAAACAGAGTAAGCAGAGTCACTAACCATATTGATTGGCTGAGCAGGAAAGGTCTCTAGGGCCAGTATTAAGGCTCCAACCTCAGCTTTCTTGAGTGTTAGTAAATCCAGAACAAGTGAGGGAATTGTGCAGTCTCCACCAAATAACCACTTTTCCATTTTTACCAGAGCCGTCAATAAAAAGCATTAAAGAATTAGGTATTGTGGGTGGGGGGGTGTGGCGGTGAACCACTTTTGTAGGCATAACTACAGGAGTACTAGATAATAACTGAAGTAGTTTATTGGCAGGAAGGGCATGTTCTATATGGCCTTTGTAATCAGAGAGTGCTATTTGCAGGTCTAGAGATAAGGGCAAGACTGCTTTGAATTGCTTTTTACTTAAAGGACTTCCGATGACATCACGGTCATAACCTAGCAACTGATTGCATCATCTGCGGCCTAAATAGATGGTTTTACTA
This sequence comes from Homo sapiens, assembly GCF_000001405.40. Taxonomy (NCBI): domain Eukaryota; kingdom Metazoa; phylum Chordata; class Mammalia; order Primates; family Hominidae; genus Homo; species Homo sapiens. The sequence goes on from NC_000013.11 coordinate 102,670,421, forward strand.
ACTAGCTGGGTACAGGGAGATAGAGTTTTAGTTCTGGTATGTGAGCAAAAAACTCATTTTAGGAAGCATAGCCCTGGGGACATCTGTCCTATTAATCCTGTTGGGGAATGCTTAGTAGGAAAAACAAACAATTGAACTGAATATTGAATATCGTGGGTCTGTGCAATCCTGTTGCCTCTGAAAAATAGCATGCTCTATTTCCTCAATTTCCCTTTTTGCTGCAGGAGTTAAATACCTGGGAGAGTCTAGGGCTGTATTGCCCTTTAGGATAGAAACAGGTTTTGTAATGTATCAGTTATGCCCAAGGTGGGGTGAAGCCAGTTAATATCTCCTAGTAATTTCTGATAATCATTTAATGTGTGTAAGTTGCTAGTATTTAACTTTTTAAGGTCTTACTGACCGGTAAGTTAGAATGTATCCACGATATTTCTAAGGAGAAGACAATTGTACTTTTTCAGGTGCTATGATTAAACCTCTTAACTGTGTATTCTTTACGACAGAGGCATATAGACTTACAAGTCCTGGCTCCGTTGGAGCTGCTAGTAAAATATCATCCATAAAATGAATAATCTTGCAATTAGGAAAGTCTTTTCTAATGGGGAGCAAAGCCTGATTTACATGATACTGACACAGTATTCCTTGAGGAAGTACTTTCCAATGAAATTGGCGAGCTGGCCTTTATTGATAACTGGTATTTTAAACACAAATTTTTCTCTGTCCTGTTCTGCAAGGGGAATAGTATAAAAGCAGTCGTTTAAGTCAATAAGACTATAGGTCAAACTACAGGAATTGCCGCTGGGGAAGGGAGGCCCTGTTGTAGGGGCCTCATAGGTTGCAAATTAGCATTGATAGCCCGTAAGTCATGCAAAAGTCTCCATTTGCCAGACTTTTTGGGAATGAGGAAAATGGGCAAATTCCAAGGGCTGTTTGACAGTTGTATATGGCTGGCTTTTAATTGTTCCTCAGCTAATTCATGGGCTCTTTGTAATTTCTCTCCCTTTAAAGGTCACTGTTCTACCTAAATAAGATTTTGAGAGAGCCTCATCAGGGGTAGGGGAGAAACAACAGTGGCCATTATTAGAAAGAGATCTGCAGAGTGACCTCAACCCTCTTGTAAATGGGCTAGCGGCTCCGTTTTCTTTAATGCTTTTCCTTATCTCTTTATAAGCGTTAAAAGTAACGGGTTCATACACCTGATTGTGTTGTCAATTTTGCGTTACCAGGCAGGCCAAGAGCTCCCCTTCTAATGCCGCTTGCCTAAGACAGGGTCCCATAGCTGTAGCATATTCCTTGTCTTTTCTCCAATTTATTGGAGGACGGGGCTCAGGCAAAACCTCCGTTTCCTCTTTGTTATCTTTGCCCGGTAACAGCGGGGCTGAGGGAGAAGGGGGAGGAACCATGGGTTATGGGAAACAACAGTTTGCATTAGGTCCCTTAATTGAGCCTGCGAAACCGAGCCTCCACTAGCTTTAAGCAGCTGTTTCATTACTTTTATATACTGTTGCTGTTGAGCTGATAACTGTTGTCCCATGATGAAACCCTAGCCTGAACAATTCCCTCGAACTTGGAAATCCCAAGCGGGCACCAGTGACTTACTGACTGCGCAGTCTCTTCACCTTCATTTTCGAGGGTTCCATTGTGATCCATTGCAGCGTTCCTCTCATGGGGCACCACCTGCCAAGTCTGTCCCTCAGACTATGGCCGAGTGACAGATGAAAGGAAAGGAGTACTCAGACACAGGTATCCAGTGAAACAGCAGGCTAGGGACTGCCGGCACTAGGGGCCGAAGAGAGTTAGCAGTCCCCCTAAGCCAGTGATGCTCGCATTTATTTAGTACAGAATTAATGACAAAAGCTTGGAGCAAACACAATTTGTGGGTAACAAACATTGTCGACCCCCCAAGTAGAAAGCAGTCCTGCTTGTGAATGATCAGAGGTTGGGTTTTGGGGACAGGAGGAAACCAATTTATCTAGATAAGTTTCTTTACATTCCATTGTTATCTGCCGTTTGCTCTCAGGCTCCGGATAAGAGAATTTGACTGCCTTCAGCCAAATCCTCTTTCGAAGCTTTTGCAAAACCTCGCGGCCTTCCAAGAAGGTTTGCATCTTTCCCTCTAACTTTTACCCACCACCCTGACCAATCTACAAGTATCAGCCTGGGTGTGGAAACCTGCCTTGTCAACCCATTGCTGTTCCAAGCCCCTTTCTCCTTCACAAAATCAGGATAGTAGTTGTGCCCGACACCTTGGATTGTTGGAAGGCATAAGCAAAGGACTGCTGAGAAGACATTTAAGGATGGCACCTGGCATCTAAGAGGAGGGGGAAGGAGGGTGGATCAGGCAATGGCAAGCCATGCAGATGCCCCACAGCTTGGAAGTCCCAAAAGTCTACTTGTAAATCCTTTTCTTCTTAATTCCAGTGTAAACAAGCAGTACCCAGAAACATCTCTACAAAAAGGCAGTGAAAGTTGGTTCTTCAAGCTTTGAGGCACTGTGCTGAGAAGCACTGAGGGATCTTTTAGGCATAGTTTCATTTACATTGCAAATGTATTGGGGTTGGTAATTGCCCTCTTTGATGAACTCTGCCAGTGTGAAGGAATTTCTCTACTACCCACATTGCCTCCCTGCCCACTTTCAAGGTACAGGATCAAATGGGCTTTGAACCTCTGAGAATACCCCGGTCTTGGGCAATGTTTCAGCAGCGGCATTTTCTATGGTACTTAGCGTTCATGTTCCCTGCCATGCGGCCTCTTAGATTAACAGGACTCCTTGGTGCGCAGGATTAATGTGGGTGAGCCCTTGAGCCTTCAAGTTGTTGGGTTGATGGCTGTCTTTCCTACTGCGGATCCTTGTTGATGGTACAGTCCCGGCAGTTTTCACATGCTACACATTTCACTCTGAGTCTTTCAGAGTCACTCTTAGCTGTTAGTTTGTTCCACAGCTAAGTGCCTCAATCATCATCATTTTCTCAGTACTTTTAGTCCTCATTGTTTTCACGTGTATCTGACATAAGTTGGACAGAATGCCTCAAATAAGCACACATTCTAGAGACTAACACTTTTCCCTGGAGTGTAGGTGGTGGTTGTATTTCATTCAGCAATGATTTATTGAGTTTCCATTCTGTGCCGGGCATTGTCCTAGGCACGTGGAATGCATTGAAGAAAACAAAGATGTCTGCCCTGGATCAAGGCAATGTGCCGTAGTGATTAAGAGCACAGATTACAGATTTCTACTGCTAAGCTTAGAATCCTGGATCTGCCACTTCCTAACTGGAGGACCTTGAACAAATTGCATAGTCTCTTTGGGCCACAGTTTCTTCCTTTGCAACATGGCAGTAATTAATAGTCTCTTACTCAGAATTGTTTTGAATGTGAATGAATTAACATGTTAAAATGCTGAGACAGTTGCTGGCACATTCAGAGTAAAGCATTACATTTATTTGTCCTAGTCATGAACTGAAAGTTTTAAGACATAACCTCTGGGTATACACATAGACAAATGTGTAATGATTACTATTTATAAGAAAACTGAAAACTCAAAAGTCGTTTACCTGATTAAGAGTTATATAGCTAAAAAAATTTAGAATAGTGATTAACCTTTCAACTCTGTTGCTTCTGGCATTCCGTTTCAACCAGGTGCAGCTACCCTAACTCATTTAATCTATATGTGTAATATAGTAGCTCATTTGATGTTTATTAATAAGGCATCATATTTGATGTACAATACAATTGTACGTACCTGGATATACAGTATTTCTGCATTATAAATCTTAGGCAAAAGAATACATGAATTTAAATTCAGATAAGAATTTACTTTTAAAGACATTTTACTGATATCTGAAATATTTTTTAATTTGCTGTACAGTGACATGGACAAACAAAAATCCACCCTCGTAGATGCCCTTTGTAGGAAAGGTTGTGCCCTGGCAGACCATCTTCTTCACACCCAGGCTCAAGACGGAGCCATTTCCACTGATGCAGAAGGAAAGGAGGAGGAAGGAGAAAGTCCTTTGGATTCTCTGGCAGAAACATTTTGGGAAACTACTAAATGGACTGATCTCTTTGACAATAAGGTAACGTTTCTGCTTCTTGTTTCAGCAAAGTTCTTGGGGTTACCTCACAGACCTCTCTTGTGCCCCATTGCTGGTTAAAAGAGGAAGAAGATAAATGGAAAGAATCTACGCTGGGCTCTGAATATGACATGTTTAGCCTAGTACTTCATGTTTGTCTCACCTTTTTTTAAAAAACATTATTTTATGGTACTGCAAACTGGCTGTTAAACCACAATAATTTTAAAAACAGTTTGAGAATATGTGTAGTAGGCTTTTAGTTAAACCAGTTATGTATGTAGCTAAATTAAGAAAGTCTTCTAGAAAATGCCTTCAGGCCCACCCTTCTCTAGTTATATGCTAATTTGTTGGTGGTAGGAGATTGGGGGCAGGTTGAGGAGACATACTGGTTAGTTGTTACTTATTTTCCTCAAAACTCTTGAATTTCTCAGTAATTATCATCTTGATTTGTAGCTAATCAGTTTTAAAACCCAATTCATAAAAGCATCGTTGATGAACTTTTTTGGATTTTGGTTACAAAAACATTTTAAATCTCTTTTAGCTCTCTACTATAATTCTTGCAATAGCGTTTATACAAGTTATTAATCTTCTTTTCCTGTGGAAATAAAATAAAGTAAATGGAGTCAGTAGGATTCCCCTCGCGTATCACAGACCATCATTTTGTTTTAGTAGACAGGTGCTTGTTCTCAGAATTAACTGGTAATTTGCAGTAAAGAACCCTGGAAGTGGGAAGAAAATTCTTATATGGTTCAGATTTTTCCAACACAGTACAGTGGTGCATTTAAAGAAGGTACTCAGTTACTCAGTTATATTTGGGAAACTGAAGGAGCCAGTATTGCAGCAGAGGTCAGGAATTTGAATCTGAAATTAGAGCCCTTGAGTTTGGCTCCTGCCTCTACCACTTTTATGTATGACCTTAGGCAACTTACAAAATTTTGATACCTTAGTTTCTTATCTACACGACCTGCCTTAGGCTGTGATGAATGAGTATTAAGTACATGCAAAGTCCCCAACAATATTTGCTGTTATTGCAAACAATTATTGAAGGCCTATGTGCCAAACACTACTTACTACTGGAAACATAAAGATGAATAAGAACCTGCTTTCTGTCTTTGAGGAATGTAACAGAGATTGACAAACACTTGATGAACATATAATAAAATTGTTATAGATCATTCTATTTTTGCAATACTACTACTATATTAGGGGCTATGCATTCTATTACCTGTTTACTGTGTTTACTGTGTCTATGGCAACAATTGTTAAATACTTTAGTTGCCTTTACAATACAAATCAGTGTCAGGATTTTCTTTGAGTACATTCTCCACATTCCAAAGTAGAGACCAAAAATATATATAAATGATTATAAGTATATTTGACAGATGCAGTAATTACAGGTAAAAACTTGTACCAAAGAAACCATGTTTATATAATCTAATACTTGTTTTTTTACTTCTATCCTCATTTGCAATTTTGGCATTTTTTATTTCTATCCTGATTTGCATCTTTGTAATTATTTATGTTAGCTCTGGTTTCTTGTGCATGAAGAGGTATTTTTAAGTGGATTTCCACGGCTAATAATTTCTCATATTAGTTTTCTTCCCAAAAAACAGATGGTTCATTCTGTGGAATACTCAGCTCTTTTGAAGACACCAATTTTCTTTTTCAAAGTTTTTAAAAATGTACTCTATGTACCATATTCATTTCAAAAGCTACACTTCTGTTAAAGCCTTAATTTTATGGTTAAAGCTAATGCCTTAAAATGTAAATTATTTTATAAACAAGCTTTATCATGTTTTACATTGTAGGTTTTGACATTTGCATATAAACATGCATTAGTAAATAAAATGTATGGGAGAGGCCTTAAATTTGCAACTAAACTTGTGGAAGAAAAACCAACAAAAGAAAACTGGAAAAATTGTATTCAAGTAAGTGATATTTAAAATGTCACTGTTAAGCATCACTTTGATATTGCATAGTGACAAGATAACTAGAAAGGATTAGGACTGTGATATAGCAATACTGGTTTTATTGTGACCAGTTATTACAGTAATTAGCGTAATATGAACTATAGAATAAATATATGAGAGACAGTCAATAAGCTATTTAAATTTTAAAAACACTTTTCACTGCTATCCAAAAAACTGATACTAGCCTCAAATGTTTTCAACAAGGGCAAATGCATTTTGAATTTTGTAACCGTAGAAGCCAGTTTTTCTTTATGAAGGAAACAAATCCTTTTAAAGGCATGTTGCCTCAACTCTAAAATGGTTCAACTTCTGGAGTTTATATTTGATTTTATTCTTCATTTGAGATGGTAGGCATTTTTAAAATTATCTTACCATATACAATATTATGTGCAGAGAAATTTTATAGTTGAGGTTTCTGCACAAGTTAGTTGTCAAGTAAAAAAATTTAGCTGATTTCTACAGAAGTTACTTTAGTCTGACCTCGTCTTTGAACATGCTTAATTGGTTTATGCCTAAAGGATACGTGAAGGCAGGGGAGTTTGGTGGTGCCAGATTCAGCTAAAGGGCAAGTCCAGGTTAATTATACTTTATATGTAAGGTACCCTTTGGATGTAAAACTGATCAGTAGGTTCCTCTGAAAATGTTTGATAATTAGAGTAAGCTATATTCATATTTACTCTTAGAGCTTTTTGTTTACCTTCACCAGTCAGTCCAAATTGTAAGACATTTTAAATTAGCTCCTCCAGATCTTTGACTAGATTAAGAGAACTCTTTCTGGAGCCAGGTGTTGATATGTCTAATGTGGTTCTCATCATGTGGAATCTGATCCGTGAGCACTTAGGTTTGTAAAGCCAGTGATCCCTGCCGACGTTCACATCAGGGAGTGTTTCTTAACTTGTCTGCCCTCCACTCTGCCCCCCCCGCTGCCTGTTCTCCACACAGCAGCTGGAAAAGATGCCTTTTGACACCTGCTGTTGAATCTCCATCACATTTGGAATAAAATCCAAACTCTCCCCAGTGGTCCATAAGGCCCCTGCCTACCTCTCCAGACTTATTTCATATCACACTTGCCCATACAAACTCTGCTTCTGCCACACCAGCATCTCTGCTTAGCACAAACAGCCACACCTTTTCCTACCAAAGGACCTTAGCACTAACTACTCTGGCTGGATGGAATGTCTTTCCCAGATTTTCGCACAGATTTCTTGTCATTCAAACTCAACTGGAGTATCACCTCCATAGAGATCCTTTCTTAACCATCTAACTCCCCAGTTAGTTTATATTGTGTCAAATATTATTTCTACTGTACACCTGATAAATATCTTATTACTTGTTTATTCATTTATTAATTTGCTTATTATTTGCTTTTCCTGAAAGTGGGAGGTGAATTTGTTCAGTGCTGTTTTCCCAGTGTTTGACATGATAGTTACTCAGAAAAAATGAATGAAAGGAACTTAGGTTGGTAGGAAGGAAAGGAACAAGTAAGTTGGAAGGAAGAAGGGAGGAACACAGGTTAATAGGAAAGAGGGAAAAGGACAGTTGGTAGGGATAATGATGAGAACAATAGGTTGGTTGGTAGGAAAGTTGGTTGATAGTAAGAAAAGTTGGTTGGTGGGAAGGAGGATCAATGGGTGGGTGACGGTTGGTGGAAGGAAGGTTCTATATGCTACTACCTTACTGTTACTATTTAATACAGAATTTATTCTAAATACTGAGCTTAAAAATCTGTCACTTCCTTTATAATAATATATTATTGTATTTTGTTGTAGCTGATGAAGTTACTTGGATGGACCCATTGTGCATCTTTTACTGAAAACTGGCTCCCCATCATGTATCCTCCCGATTATTGCGTATTCTAAAATAGGAAACAAGACTTTAAATTTTAAAAAAGGAAGTTTTATAGTGAATGGGTATAAAAACAAATTTGTGGCATTTTTAGTCTAATGCATGTTTTCATCCACTATCCAGTACTGATTATTAAAATGACATGTATTTATCAGAGAATTCACTGACGTGTGGCTTAATACATGTAAATCTAGACCTCTGACATCATGGTGTTTTCTTAATGCCTCACATTGCTGGCACGGGGATGTGCCCTGCCTGCCAGCACCTAGGACTTCGAGTTGGGTTGCAGCTTATGACATGCATGATAGGTTTTGGAAGGTAACTTTTAACTGCAAACCTATAAAGTACTATTTTTTATTTTATAAATGAACAGGGTTTTAACGTGCTCAACTTTAATTTTTTTCAATTGTATGAAGGCCTTAAAAAAGCTACATTAAGCGTAGCTAAAATTATTTATTGGACTAAAAACTAACAGAACTTCATTTCCAGAATTTTTTTTTTTTTTTTTTTTTTTTGGCAAATGTTTACATTCAATTAAGGGGAAAAAGTAGAACCAGCACAAATGAGTGGCAGTTGCTGGAGCATAACTGCTTCAATAAATCTTCATCTTGGGGTAATTACAGGCAAGTCATTTTCACATCCTCTTGAGGTTCAGAGCATCAGAATGAACTCTATGAATACATGTGTAAGTGCCAGACAGCTGAATCTTTATCAGGTATTGTAAAGATACACATATGATATGTTTATTAAAATTGAAATAATGTAAAACACATGAATAAATTTGCAAAACCAAGATCACAGTACACCATATGCACTCTGGTACCTTAATTTTTTTTTATAAATAATAAAAGTGAATATTGAAGCTTCTTAAAGTTGGTCTTAATTTTTCATAAATAAAATTTGGGGTTATAACAGAAATAATACATTAAATACATAGACAAAAAAAGTTAAACATAAGATAATCTATTTTACAGTGTTTCTTATAGGCTTACAATTATTTGAATGTATTTCCAGTTCTTGTATGATTAACTTTTGTGCATATCTAACTTTTTATTATTTTTATCTTTGGCTACTGCACGTGCATCTCTCGTCATTCCTCCACCAAATAAACAGACAAAAGTAGTATTGAAAAGTTTACAGTCCCTTATCTAATGGCAAATTGTGTGTATGTATGATTTTTTTATCTTGTTCTCTTAAGATTTACTGCTGCTTAAAATTACTACCAGTAATCCTTAGTCACTCCCAACTGTTTCTGCTGTATCTCATGAAGTGTTAGAGCGTTTATGAGAAACATAAATACATGTATAAGCATATTGGTCACACCTTCTGGGCTAGCTAGGGTCCAAAGTCTATCCATGAAAGCTACATGCATGTTCTCTCTCACACACTCATGGACTTTCACCTGCACACACATACAGGTCCCCATTTGTATAGGTTTAGTCCAGTAAGAGAATGGAGAAGCTCAGTAAAGGTAGGATGACTTCCCAAGGTTATACGGCTGATCAACTGTTGGAAATTAATTACAGACCTTGCTTTACAACCCAGGTTTTGCTATTTCAGGTAAGTACTACCTACAGCAGGAATCAGTAACGTTTGGCCCTTTAACCCAAACTGGACTGCTGCCTGTTTTTGTAAATAAAGTTTTATTGGAACAGAGCCATGCCTATTCATTTGTGACTCCTGTAACTGGAGGCAGTTATACAAAGCTGCCATGTTAGCTCCTGTTTCCTGTCTGGTTCATTCTGCATTTCTGTGGTGACAAGTGGACCCAAGTAAGCTCTAGAAGATGTTCTCAGTAAAATCATTACTGTTTCTATGTGATTACATTAAAAATAATACAAACAGTAGGATGGTACTTCAAAAAGTCAAGCAGTTTTCCTGTTTCTGGTCACAGTAGCCAATGTTTGCACACCCACTGAAAACAATTGAAAAAACTAGGTAAAAATAACTTTTTAAAGAACCATTAGAGACAGTACAGGGTATGTGCTCAATACTGGTTCTGTGGCCCCTTTCCAATAATAAGAGGCAGTTCTCAATTGTTACTGGGAGGAGTTTTGCCATCTCATGGGATTTCTTTCCTTCCTCATGTTAGCATGCTTTCTGGGAGAACTTCTCTTTACCGCAGAAGAGCCCCACCTGCTTCTCTTCTTAGGCACCACAAATCTCAAACCCTTTCTCCCTCCACCCCCAGCTCTAATGAAATGTGCAGGGACTGGATGACTGGAAGCCCCAGCCTGGGTCTCTGCTGTCTAATCCTGGCTCAAGTACTGACAAGTCAAATCACTTGACCCCCATGAATCTCCTTAAGAAAATCGTGGTGTTGAATCAGTGTGTCTATTCCAACTAAAAAAATTATTTCATTTGAATTAACTGAGTCTTTGCCTCCACTGTGTTTCGTTCTCCGTCCTCCCAGCAACCCAGCATTCAGAATACATGGGTCTTTGTCTTTCCCTTTAGGATCTAAGTCAGAGAAGCCTTCATAGGGAGATAGATAATAGGGATTCTTGCTATCTCCCCTAAAGGGGAAGGGGAGGAAACCTTGAATGGAGAGAATTTTTTGAGGAATAAAGAAGTGAGAAACTGAATTTCAAGAGTCTCAGTCTGAACATAGCAAACCAAGGGGTGAAGAATTTATCAGTAGTCATGGGTGGTAAACTGAAAAAGGGAAGCTGACTAAGTAAAATCCCGGAAACCAGAAGAGGAGGATGTAAGTGACGCTCTAACATGAAGGGTTTTTGGGCATCCCAATCAGCAGAATTTCTACCTGCCTTCTGATACCCTGAGACAGCCAGGTCAGGATGTGATGGTGCAGTACCTGCTAGCACTTTGCTGCAGAATGCCTCTGCACTCAGTTCTGCAAATGTACTGTTTTAGTTTCATTTAAAACCCCTTTTTTTGTGAGAAGATTTCAAACATCAGGCAAGTTTGTAATGAATTCAAGCTGAGTTCTCTCGAGGGACAAACATGTATAACTACAGTTCCAGTGTCAGTGCCAGCTGTCAGGTTTTCACTGTGCAGCTAGGGCTGCCTGCATACCCAGTCATGTAAACCAAATTCACTCTAGAATCGGCCAGGTCTTACCAAAATGCAAATAGAATACAAAGCAACTGGAAATATATTTCGTAATTTCATTTTATGTGTGATTTTAAAAGTTAAGCTACTTCAAAACTCATCTGTCTAACTTATTTTCACTAATAAGTGTAACTTGCCTGGAATTTGGCAGATCTAAGCTGGGCTTGGGCTAGATGGTTTCAAGCCTGAGTCATTAAGATGTGAAATTTACAGAAACAACAGAGGATTGAGGAACAAGTTAAAGGACACTCTAATGGTGCAGTCTGCATAATGCAGTAGTATGAAATTCTACAAAAAACCAAGATGAAAGGAGGATCAGATTTAAGAGACATACTAATCAAATTTGGACCTGATTGGGTTCTGATTGAAACTAAAAATAAATGTCATGACACTTACAAGACAATTGGAAATTTGAACACTACATATTTTAACGTATAATGTTACTTATTTAATATAAAATTATATTTTAGATGTGATAGTATTGTGGTTACGTATCTTGTATAGATACAACCTGAATTTACAAAAGGAATGATTTGTCTGATTTGATTCAAATTAATATGGGAGCAGAGAAAGGAATGTTTTAGATTAACCACGGTTTTCCATGAGTTGAAATATACTTACTTAGCAGAATATTGAGCTATAGTTGCCATATAATAAACTGCACGTATTTAAAATGTACAGTTAGTCTACTTTATTTAAAATTTTCTCTAATAGTGTAAAGAAAAAGGTGACTAATCAATTCAGCCATTCTAAAAGGACACTTCATTTACAAAATAAGCATAGGATCATATTCCTTTGCCCTGGAAATGTGAAAAGTTTTTAAGAAGACATTTAAAGGAACAAGTTTCATTGCTGTAATTTTCTTAATAGATTCCTCTACATTGTATATTTGAAAGATAGAGGATTTGAAAGAAAATTTGCATAACATTTGGGACAAACCGTGGGTTTTTTAACAGCTTTATTGAAGTGTACTGAACATATGATAAAGTTTAACCATTTCAAGTGTGCAGTCTAATGTCTGGAATGCAGCCATCAGCACAATCTGGGTTTTTAGCACTTCCCAATCATCTGGAAGAACTCCCTCAAGCTCATTTGTAGCCAGTCTCCGTTCCCACCCCTAGCCTCAGCCAGTGAACTGCTTTCTAATCCTATAGTTTTTCTAGAAATTTTATATACATGGAATCGCAATATGTAATTTTTTGTGTCTTCTTTCGCCTAATGTAATGTTCTTAAGTTTCAGCCACTTTGGGTGTATCTGTTCATTCCCTGTTGCTGCTGTGTATACTGTGTTGTGTGATGTACCACATTTTGTTCATTCACCAGTTGATGGATGTTTGGATTGTTTATATTTGAGGCTATTAGGAATCACGCTGCTGTGCTGCTGTGAACGTTTGTTTACAAGTCTTTGTATGGGCATATCTTTTCAAGTAATGTTGTGTAGATATCTAGGAATGAAATTGCTGAGATGTGGTATATTTCTTTTTACATTGTAAGAAACTAGCAGACCATTTTCAAAATGACTATCATTTGACATTCCTACTAGCAGTGTGTGAGACTTGCAAGCTTTGCACTTCCTCATCAACACTTGATGATATCACCTTCTTAACTTTGGCCATTCTACTGGTTGTGTTACAGTATCTCATTTTAATTTGCATTTCTCCAGTAAATGAACTTACTAGACACTTGTATATCTTCTTTGATAAAGTTTCTATTCCGATATTTTGCCCATTTTTTCAGTTGTTGGATTGTCTATCTTGAGTTGTGAGAGTTTTTTTTATGTGTTTTGGATACAAGCTGTTTTTTAGATGTGTGTTATGCAAATATTTTCTCCCAGTGTGTTTCTTGCTATGTTGCCCAAGCTAGATTTCTGGATTCAAGTTATCCTCCTGCTCGGCCTTCTGAGGAGCTGGTACTACAGGCACGTGCCACCGCACCTGGCCCAGTGTGTGTAATAGTCTTTTGAAGAGCAAAACTTTTAAATTTTCATAAGGACCATCTCAGCATTTTTTTCATTTACAAGTTGTACTTTTGGTATCATATCTAAGATATCTTTATCTAACTTAAGGTAACAAAGGTTTTTCCCTATGTTTCCTTACAGAAGTTTTACAGTTGTTATAGCTTTAGTTCTTGTATTTAGGTCTGTGATCCATTTCAATTTAATTTTTGTGTATCGTATGAGAGAAGGGTCAAGGTCGTGTGTGTGTGTGTGTGTGTGTGTGTGTGTGTGTACAATTTGAACACTAATTTAAAAAGCTATATTTTCCCATTGAATTACTTTGGCACCTTTGTCAAAAATCAGTTAACCATATATGTGTGAGTCTATTTCTGGACTCTGTTCTATTGATGTATACATCTATTTTTATGCTGAAATCAACTGACTTGCTTATTGGGCTTCATACTAACAAAGCAACGTTTTCCAGATTGAGTGACTTTCCTGGCCTTGCTCACACAAGACAGAGAAGCAGCTGCAAGTAAAATTGGCTGGAATAATTGGGAGTCACCAGGCAGATACCCTGTGCTTTCCACACAGTATCCAGATGTAGAAGACACGCTGCCTTTTCCTACAACTTTTCTTCTGTTTTGGGGGTTCTGATCTTGTAAGTTTTATATCCTAAGGGAGGACATTGCAAAAGGAATGTTCATTTTCCTTCCCTTTTGCTTGAGAGAAAGACGACTTCTTTAGCACCATATATATATATAAAAACATATATATTTATACGTGGGAGTGGGGGAAACATGATTTCCTTTTTAAAAAACAGTCTTAAAATCTTGGAAACAGGTTTGTATCAGGTAGATCTTGCTGTTAATGAATCCACTGTTGCTTATTTTAAAAGAAGAAACTTTAATCACCATCAAGAGGAATTGAAGAGTATTTAAAAACATCACCAAATTTACCTGAGAGACTCATTCTCAGAAGGCAAATATCAATAAAGGAGAAAATAGAGATAATTAAATCTTTGGAATTATGGCTAGAATGCCCATTTGTTCCTTAAACTTACTTCTTGTTTTACAGGCATATTTAAAGATCACTTTAAGAAATACCCATATGTATTATTAGAAAGTCATACTAATTGCTGTCTCAATTATTGCCTCTTTAAAGTACTACTTTTTTTTTTTTTTGAGACAGAGTCTCGTTCTGTCGCCCAGTCTGGAGTGCAGTGGCGAGATCTTGGCTCACTGCAAGCTCCGCCTCCTGGGTTCATGCCATTCTCCCGCCTCAGCCTCCCTAGTAGCTGGGACTACACTACAGGCGCCTGCCACCACACCCGGCTAATTTTTTTATTTTTAGTAGAGACAGGATTTCACCGTTCACAGGATGGTCTCGATCTCCTGACCTCGTGATCCGCCCGCCTCGGCCTCCCAAAGTGCTGGGACTACAGGCGTGAGCCACCGCACCCATCAAAGTACTACTTCTTATGAAGCCTGTCTTCCCACCAGGTTCTTCAGGAGCATCTTGATTCTTCTTGGCCTTTTTATTTTCACATGATTTTAGACTTAGCTTGACAAATTCCACAAGAAAGTATATTGGGATTTTTACAATGATTTCACGTAAGCTGTTGATCAATTTGGAGAAAACTGACATATTTACAATGTCTTCCAATGCACAAACTTGATGTCTCCCCATTTACTTATGTTAGTTTTAATTTGTCTCGATAATGCTAGATACATTTGCATCAATTTCTTGCCCATCTTTTGTTAGATTGATTCCTAAGTCTTCACTATTGCAATTGTAAGTGGTATCTTAATTTAAATTTCATTTTCTAACTATTTGTAGTTAGAATTTACAAATAAGATTGAGCTTTCACTATTGACATTTGGCAACCTTGCTAAACTCTTACAAATTCCAATAATTTCACTGTGGATCGCCTGCAGTTCCAGGGGTTGGTAAACTATGAGCTGTGAACCAAATCTAACTTGAGGCCTGTTTGGGCAGGCTAAGAAGGTTCTTACCTTTTCATAAATGGTTGTAAAAGCAAACAAACAAATATATATATATATATAGCATAGTATGTGACTAGAGAGCCTAAAATACTTACTGTGAAAAAAGCAGACAATACAGAAATTAACTAGAAATTATTAAGATAATTGACACAGAGGGAGACTCTTTGTAAATTATCTTAAGAAGTTCTTAAGACAACATTGTTCTCATTCCGGCAGTTTTATTTTTCACTTTTAATCAACTTTAAGCCTATTAACTGTTTTCTATCATTCAATATCCTCTTTTTGCTGCAGTTAAAAATCTGCAAAAGTAGATTCTTCAAACTAAGATATAGTGACTCTGTCAAGCCCAGTTTCAAAAAGCATGTGACAAGACTATATTGCCAAGTTTAAACATATGCTCTATAGCAGAAATAGGGAAGAAATTCACTTATTACTTTATCCATGTAAGATTTATTAAACATGTAACTTCGTTGGAACCAACAAAGCTACTTTCATGTTTTTATGTTGTTCTTTTTAGATATTTAGATTAACCAGATAATCTTAAATTATCTTAGAAATTAGAAAGTTTCTGCAGTATTGTTACATTTGTTCCAAGTATACAAGTTGTTTCTATGCACTACCTTCTCAATCCTGTGAAAGAAGTCTATTACCAAAGCAATTTCTAACACATTGCTCAAAAGACACAGTAACGTTGTGAAAGGCATTTTGTTGGATTTAGTCCCATTTTAGTATCCCCTTAAAAAGTTTGACTGATGACTCTGGATATTCAGCCAACAGTGTTGTGTCAAAAACTTGCTTGAATTTATCTAAAAATTCATAGTCGGTGCTGAACCTGAATTTGTTTGCCCAAAGCAGCACCGTCCCTGGCTGGGAAAGGTACACCATGGTGGTGAGCAGCTTGTCCAGGAAGTAGTGATGGTAGACCACATCTGAGGCTAGGACGTAATCATAGTAAAAAGCTGACTTGGGAAAGTTTTTGTCCAGGTCTTCCCCCCATACCAGTTCTTTCACTTCAGGCAGATGTGCTGTACATTGTAGTGTGTTTTTTAAAAGATTGTATTGAAGGTTTCCCAGGACATCAGGCAAATCTGTTGCTGTGACTTGAGCTCCTAAGAGAAAAAGAAAACAATGACCTGGAAACATCTGGGCAGTCACAGTGTACATATACCCAGGGAGAAACACAAGAAACAACTGGATTCCTTAGCCTTGGCTCTATTGGTGGGTGGGCTGGACATGTTTGACCTAATGTGGGCTGGCTAATTCTTGTGGGTGGTCCGTCCCGTGCACTGTAAGATGGTGAGCAGCCTCCCTGGCCTCCAACCACCTGATGTCAGTAGCTCCCCCACCTCACCTCACCTGTGGGATTGACAACAGAGATTCAGAGTCATGCCTCTGGACTCAACTTCGTCCCATGGAAACTGGTTGATTGGAGTTTATTAACCTCTCTGAGACTCAATGATCTCTGTAGATAACAGCAGTAATTCCTGCCGCATGACATTTTGGGGAGAGTCACTGAGTGAAGTTAGGGCCAGGCACCTAAACCACAGCCTGTCATAGAGTAAGCACTTGCTATTGTTGTTACAGTAAAGATCTGGATACTAGGTCAGGAATAAACAAACAAACCTAAAATACTGGCCACAATGGAAACAAGGCCTGGTCCGGCACCAATTTCAAGTATTTTTGCATCTTGGAAATTCAATTCCTCGGCATGTTCCTCCAAGTATTGACACAAAGCCATAGCCTAAAAAATAATTATAACTTTTCATGTGGGCATTGGAACATTGGAAACCAGTAGCAACCCTTTCTGGCACCCAAATTTAAATACTAAAAGACATGTTATTACATATGTTCAGTTTATATTCATAAGAACCCAAATGTACACTCAATGCCATATTTAGACCTCTGAAATAAAGAAGTTATAATAAATTGCATCTCAGGAACTGGGGAAAAAGATTTGTTAAATTGCCTCCTAAATCTCCAAAGAATAGGAAGAACAGTAGATCAGCTTAGCTCTTTCAAATCAGGGCAATGTTGGGCTAAAAGAACAGCAACTCCTTCCACTGGTTTAATCATGTTGGTCTCCAACTGCTTTAGGAATGTTGTTTTATGTTAGAATTCTTTCTTGTAAGAGAGTTTTTTAAATTATAGAAGTAATTTTTTAAAATGTCAATTTATAAACTTGAACACCTCTTTCCTGACTCCTTTACCAAAATTCAGGTTGGCGAGCACTTTGCCGTATTGAGCGACGGGTTAGTGACTTTTTTTAAAGTGGTTCTTCTAAGAAACAGACAGTTCAGAAACTGCTTCTCAGACTTCAGTGTGCAAACAGATTCCCTGGATAGCTTGTTAAAGATGCAGATCCTCATTCAGTAGGTCGAGAGTGGGGCTCAAGATCCTGCACGTCTAAACAAGCCCTGACATGATGCTCATCTGCTGGCCCATGTACCCACTTTGAGTAGTAGCAAGCAGATTTTTTTAAATGTTTTATATATCAACAAATATTGTTAGTTTTTTATACAGGAAATCAAACTTCCCTTTCTTCTTTATTCGTTCTCTTCTCCCTCCACCTTCCTCTAACCTTTCCACAAAGAGTAAAGGGTATTTGATTTGCATTGATTGCTGAGGTGTTTACGTGTATGGCAATGAGGCATCAACTAGCAGTGCCCTTGATTGGAGAGATTAGGAAGAGTTATGAGAAGAAATGACAAAAAGTTACTTAAATTTGAGTATAAATAGCCCAGCGTGAGGAACGTGAACACTGAGATTTAAAAAACAATGAACTCTATAATTTACTTATACATTTAGGCCCTAGCTAAAGATATGCCCCCATCTTCCTCTGGACTCTACTTTCTATTTGGGGCCCAGTTTGGAGTGGGGGCAGCCAGGATGATTGGAGACGTGTCACTCTTAGGATTACCAGTGGTAGGTTTGGTAGCCAACCTGACCCTGTACGTCACTCCATTTCATCCTCATCTGTTCATATTGAACTGCCACGGGCAAAGATGAATATGACGCAGTCACCTCTACTGTCTGGGAACTCAGTGGTGGGGCTTAGGGGCCATGTCAGCCAATTACAAACTGAATTCTGGGGAGGTAAGTGCTGTAGAGGAGGCAGACAGCTGGTTGAAGGGAGAGGGGTCACCACAGAGCCGCCGAGGAGTCTGGGCCGACTTCATGGGGCCGGGGAGAAGCCAGCTGGTGTGGAAGGCCAGGGCGGTGGGTAAAATAGCAACATGGTGTGACATAAATAGCACCAACTGCAGCACGCTGCAGGGAGCTCCAGAGCTTAGAAGGGAAGTTTTGAAGAAAGGAGTTCTTTGGTCCTTAAGGAGAGAAGAGAAGTATTTGCTGTGGGGGCTGGGAGGAGGGGGTCAATGTCAGGAAAAGAGTGTCACCTAGAGCCATTCAGAGGGCAGCTCTGAGGAACTTCCTGGAGATGGCTGCAGGGGTCCTTCCTGGTGCCCTGCCCTGTGAGGGGCTGGCCGCAGGGTGTCATGCGGAGACAAAGCTTTTCTCAGGGACAGCTGTGTCTTTTGACATTGCAAACATTCCCCCGCCAGCCCCTTGTCCTGTTAGCAAACTCTGAAGAGATCTTTTCACAGAGTTGCACCTGAAGTCGCACAGGAAAAGGGCGCCTTCCCACTCTAGATGCCCTTCTTGTGCAGCTTTCAGGAAGCAGGTTTCATGAGAGGCTAGTGTTTGGTGCATGAGTGATACCTTGTTCAGAATAAAACAGGGGGACAAATATTCTTTTTTCAATTTCTGATCTTTTTTTTAAAATTATTATTTTTAAAAGGGAGATGGGGTCTCACTATGTTGCCCAGGCTGGTCTCAAACTCCTGAGCTCAAGCGATCCTCTTGCCTCGGCTTCTGAAAGTGCTGGGATTACAGGCATAAGCCACATGCCCGGCCTCTGATCTCTTACTATACCACTTTCTCGCTACACCACTGCTGTCGTCTATTTGCTGAATGTGTTACAATAGGAAGCTGTGAGTAGTTTGGTGATTTTCAAACTCGTTTTTAAGGCAAAGAAAAGCCTTTAGTTGAAGGAAATTATATGCATAAGGTGTAAAAATAGAGCTCCCTGTTTGGGAGTGAGTGAAGGTCGACACCTAAGAGCCTGAAGCCCTTTGGCTACCCTTCTCCCCATCCTGTGCCATCGCCAGATGACCTGAGGGAGCCCCGTGGAACCACTAACCAGGAATACTCAATGTGGGCACCCTGGCCCAGCAGATAGGCATCACCCCGGAATGTGTAAGACCTCCTGAATCAGAATCCGCATTTTAACAAGACTGCAGATTGAGAACTTCTGATCTGGAGCCTTTCTAATCACTGACAACATCCGCAGTGGGAAAAGCAACCACACTGGCTCTGAGGGCCACTGTCTATCTTGGCTCTGCCCTGCACCCCAGTCGGGAGCTTTACCACGCCAGCAGACTGGCCTGCGTTCCCATTTCCTCAGCTGAAAGGTGGAAAGAATATTACATTAATGAGGACAGTTCATGTGAGCTTACGCTAGGACTTCATTTAATCTCACAATCTGAAATTAATTCTCACAATTCTGACAACCACGTCAGGAGCACTGTAGACATTACGACCACCCTAGGTTTTAAATATGGAAATGAAGGCAAACGGAGGTGAGGTGAACATTTGTGACTACCCAGCCCTGAAATGGCAGCTTTTCTGACTAAAAATCCAGAGGACTGCCCCCATTTCAGCGCCATCCTCTCAGGGCTGTGGCAGGGGTGACATGCCACAAAGTCATGCTTCCTAAACATCCCTACCGACACAGCCCCCATGGAAAAGAGATGAATGGCTGGCCGGCCGGGCGTGGTGGTTCACGCTTGTAATCCCAGCACTTTGGGAGGCCGAGGTGGGCAGATCACTTGAGGTCAGGAGTTCAAGACCAGCCTGGCCAATATGGTGAAACCCTATCTCTACTAAAAATACAAAAATTAGCCAGGCATGGTGGCGCGCACCTGTAGTCCCAGCTACTCGGGAGGCTGAGGCAGGAGAATTGCATGAACCCAGGAGGTGGAGGTTGCAGTGAGCCAAGATCGTGTCACTGCACTCCAGCCTGGGTAACAGAGTGAGACTCCATCTCAAAAGAAAAAAAAAAAAAAGAGAGAGATGAATGGCTGAGGGTCGATGGGCGTGGCTCGGAGATGCCCACTGCAAAATCTAAACTCTAAATCCCTGGGTTTATTCTTAACAATTTATACAAGTTTTGCATTCACTTCCTCATATAGCTGAGTTTATTTAATATAAAAATAATGTTTCGAGAAACAGAGCTTGAAGCAAAACCAGTGTTTCTGAAAGAAACACTGTTTTTGCTGATCCCAAGCACTCCACCAACACCCTCCAGGGGGCAAGCAACTGAACCTCAAATTGAGAAGCAGGATATGAAGGAACTTGACAAATTGTCCAAGGCAACTCTGAAGTACGGAATTGTTATCTCCAGAAATCCTGACATCACAAATATGACAGTTCTCTCACCCCTGGCCACACCACCGCTCCGTAACTCTCTATGGATTCCTGGATGACAATCTCCTTTCCTGCAAACCGATAATGCTCCTGAGTGTAGCTGGCGTAATCTGTAGGAACAAATTTCTGGAGGCTATGAAGAGATGGTTCTATCTTGTTGGATTCTGTGAAGCAGAAAAATAAAATGGAGTTCATGATTTGTTCAAATCCAGTGCAAAGACACACTTGGTATAATTGCTAAGATGGCATTAGATTGAATGACCTTTACATAAAGAGAAGGGATGATGCTATCAAGGAGAACGGCTGCAAATTGGCACAAAATTGAATTATATGGGGTGATGGGGACATGAAATTTGGATGTGACAGTTTTATCAGATGACAAAATGCCAAAGAATGCTCTGGGCCTTTTCTTTATTTAGGGGAGGACAGAAGATGTGTGGATCGGTCCCCACCCTAAATTTTGCTGATGGAAAAATGGCGAACTTACCAGCAAAATTGCACGAATGAGCTGTCTGGATACAGAGGAACTAGGTAAACACAAACCTGCCTTTTTTTTTTTTTCTTTTTGAGACAGAGTCTCACTCTGTTGCCCAGGCTAGAGTGCAGTGGTGTAATCTCAGCTCACCGCAACCTCTGCTTCCCGGGTTCAAGTGATTCTCCTGCCTCAGCCTCCTGAGTAACTGGGATTACAGGCGTGCGCCACCACGCCCAGCTAATTTTTGTATTTTTAGTAGACACGGGGTTTCACCATGTTGGTCAGGCTGGTCTCAAACTCCTGACCTCGTGATCCACTCGTCCTGGCCTCCCAAAGTGCTGGGATTACAGGCGTGAGCCACCACGCCCCGCCAGACCTGCCTATTTTTAGGTCTTGAAGTGAAGTAACATTCCCACGTGTTGGCTGGAGCATGTTCCTTCAATCTTTCCTACAATTGCTGTTCAAAAGGTAGAGGCCCAGCCAGCCCCACAGCCCTGGGGGAGGATGTCAGCTGAGCTCTGGCTATTAAGTTACTATTGCTTTAAATACTCCTTTAAACCCATGACCCATCTAGCAGCTCTCAGATGGCATATAAAATGAGAGGAAAAGAGCACCTGATCGGGCTGACATCAAGAGATCACAAGTGTTTGCAGGTTTTCCAGAGTGTTTAGGAATAAAAGAGCAGTGAGTCAAAGTGTGTGGAAGAAGGAGCAGGAGCAGAGGAAAAGGTGTTGGTCCCAGCGGGTGGGAAAGAATTAACAGTGCGGAGAGTAGGGGGGAGGAAGGTCAGTTTTGTTTGCACGAAACCTGCCTTTGTGGCCTGGGATATGACTGTAAAATGTTTAACCGGGGGTCAAATATGGGCTTTGGACAAAGGTAGAAGGGGGCAGCCGGTGAACATTGGAAGTGTTTTAATCTGAAATAGCCTCTCAAGGTGGAAGGCAGGAGGAGGTGAATACGAGGCAAAGGGAAGTGGGTCTTGGGAGAAACCTGGTCAGCAGGGCATCCCTCAGGTCGGGGGCAGGGCCTCCGGGTGTTTCAGGTCTCACTCATTCCATACACACTGGAACAGTTCCCTGCCACTGCTCTGCAAATGCTGATAACAGCTCCACAGTAAGTAGAGGGATTTGGAGTGAGCCTTTAGAAACAGTCACAACCATTTGACGATGCCTGTTGAATCTAACTACAAACAAAACCCGGAGCTTGTATTTTATATGTCTGTATATATTTTCATTTAATTTCTCTAGAAATTCATTTTTGTTGTATATTACAAAAGTATCAGTGTGCAGCACACTAAAAAAAAAATGTGAATGAAGTGACTCATTTGTAAATTAGCATCATGGGTGCCTTCAGTTCTTCAGAGTGTTGTTTTAGCCTGTGACTTTGATTTAGTATGTTCTACCACTTTGAAGGAGAATTCTCTGCCCTGACAAAAAAGGTGAGCTTCCAGAAACCTGGGACCTCAGTGAACTTGCAAGACGCCTCTAATAAAGGTAACCAATTCAGTCCTGAGACCTTGTCCTTTGCGGTCACCTGCCCTGGTAGGAGGCTGTAGGGAGATTGTAGGGAAAGGAGGGAGCCCTGTAGCTTTCCCCACCTCTTTTGGGAAGCCACTGACATCTAGCAGAACCCCAGCTCCCAACACAGGGCTGAGAGGCTGGCTCTGAATTCTGGTTTAGAGGCAGGAGGAAGGCCGAAAAATAGGGTGATTAATGTTTAATAACTAGTTCAGCAAGAGGGGAAGAAGCGGTGATTGACAGCGTTTGACGATTGCTCTGGAGTAAATACTCCCACCGTGCCGTTTTCAGAGAAGCAGCATGACTTCGCTGGGGAAAGACGTGCAGTACCTCGCCACTGTGTAGTGTTCCTACCGTACAGACACCACAGACACGATTAACCTCGAGAGCATAGATATTAGGAAGAGGTAATAGAATAATTGATGATGAGTTTTGAGTGTTTATCAACTTTGCTTTTAATATACCTTTGTCTTTAATATAATCTATTTAATCATAAGATTCTAACTTAAATTTAAATGATGGTTATATATAACAATCAGCTACAAAAAATGCTGAAATTCAGGTGCCAGTACAAGCCGTCGCCAGCACACCACTGGGTGGTGGCTCAGAGCATCAGGGACCTGTACCAGCCCCTGCCGGCTTCCCTGCCCTGCCCCACTCTCATCCAGGCCATGCCTGTCCCTCCTTCCAAATGTCACCATCTGGGGACTTATTTTTCTCTAGAGACTAGGAAGAGTAAGTAGGCTGATTTTGAATGGCTCATCATTTCACAGGTAAATAAACTGACAAATATTAAGCTTGACAGCTGCACTTTTCCAATCAACATTGTAAGGAAACATAGACATACACGTATTCTCTCATAAGACCCTGTGAGGTTCTACAACGATAAAGAAACATATGTTTTTGTGCCTGAAATATTTTCATTTATTCTCTGTGCTATTCTGATAGTTTTAGAGAGATCAGATTTTCAGATAAGGTAGAGTTGCATTTTTACGTAAACAATGCAGTAAAAATAGACAACATTCTCATTTATTGGAGTTGGGATACATTTTTTACCACCTTTAATTATGAACACTGTAAATGCTGCATCTTGGCTTTTATTAGATCATTTGTTATGTCTATTATTTATTTACAACTGAATCCATGCCCAGAAATGTAACCCTAAACTGTTACATTGTCCTAACGGGGAAATACAGTTTGATTTATAAAGATTCACTGTATGACAAAGCTACCAAGAATGTATTTTGGTGAAAAGCAGAAATGAACCTAGATTTTTTGTTCTTCTTTTAAGTTCTTGTTACAAAAATACAGCAAGCTTAGATCTATACATAGAAAAAAAACAAATGTGCAAACTTTGATAAGTAATGAAAAACCAGGAATTACTTTTAATAAGTAAATAATGAAAAAACAGGAATTATGTTTATACTTGCAAAACATTTTTCTGCTAAGCTTCATTATAGCAAAAAATCTAATGTTAAAAGGAAATGGAAATTCTTGTCACTGAAATTTACTTGAAGATGTCATCGCCAGGAAAACAACTGAGGAAAACTGTTGAAGTGATGAAGAAGGAGGTTACCTTCTAGGACTCCCCCGGTGCTGTCTTTCTGCGGAGCCCCCTTCTTCTCAGCCTCTAACCAGCCACCCGGGGAGCTGAGTCCTTCCCCCCGGCGCCCAGGCTGCTGCGCGGAGCTCAGACACACGTCCATAGCCGGCTGTCCCAAAGACAGCTGTGCATTGAAAAGCAATCTACAAAAGAACGACTATAATCTACTGACTGACTGTTACTAGTTCAGCACATCTATGATCTACATCGCATGTTCGTAATTAATACAGAATTGGAAATGACTCCTTGTTAGTATGCCCAAAATAATTTTGAATTGTTACACGTATCTTTACCTTATGCAGCAGAAGAGATGTGAGGCTTCTGTGCACTCTTTAATCCCCAGTGTTTTATATAGGTCTACACCTGAAAGGATTAGCATTTGATGAACAAAATCCAGCCAGTGGAAGCCCAAGTTATTTAGGGTAGCATTATCTACCAGTCCTCATAGACACATTACTTTGCTAGAATTCTCTCTCTTTCTCTCTCTCTCTCTCTCTCTCTCTCTCACACACACACACACACACACACACACACGCACAGTCCTAGCAACATTCAATGGAATTCCCTTCAAAAGTTTCAGGAATATCACTGGAACAGAACAGAGGCTGCCCCTGTGGCATCCAGTTGCTGCGATGTGGTTCGAAACGTTAGACTTCCAGTTCACTTTTCAAAGAAGTGGGTGTTGGACAGTTGCACAGACTTGCAAATTTTGTGCTCATTTGCCAAACTCCAGTAGCCACAGGGAGGACATGCCCACCCAGCCTCTGCCTAGGACCCGTATCCAGGCAGCCAGAAAGAACACAAGGATCTACCAAGAGGAAGGGAATGCTTTGGGGAGGAAGAAAGGAGAGCATCTATCCATGAGAAGGGACGGGAGTCAAAGGCTTAACGTTGAATCTGGGGGATTTAGAGCAGAGGGAAGAGGAAATCAGAAAAACTCTTCCAAGAAAAAGTAAGCCATTGTGATTTATTTAACTGAAATAAGGGATAGTCAAAAGGGAAGGAGAAAAATCATGTGCTCATTTGTGAAGCTCAGAAACCCTTAAAATAGAATATAGGTCACACAAAGTAAAGCCTCAGACAAATGGGAATTAAAGAATCACTTGTGATAGGCTACATTCAACCAGGGAGTTGGATGAATGGTGTTTTAACCTGAGTAGATATAAAAGCCCATTTTTGTTTTTGTACCCACCCTCGGTACTCGTTTCTCTGGTGTCACTATTTTGTGTTCTTTATGTCAGTTTCTTTTCACTCAGGATGTTCATCTAGATGTGCTGTGGTCCCATGTAAATCACCTTTCCCACTTTCTTAAATGACTGGGGATAAGCCGGCATTTGTTCCAGCTCTATCGTTCTAATGCTTTCTTATTCCCCAAATGCATCTAGTTCTATGATTGCATTCTGCATCTCTGCAACTTATTTCTTCCAGGTGTCATCAGTCCCTATGAGAAATAGCAAAAAGATAGTCATCAGTACAATTCTACAAAAACCTTTTAAAAACTGATTGCAATGTACGTGAATATATGTGTGTATATTTATATGCATGTAGACACACACATAGACAAACATATGCGTTCATTCTACAAGCTTTAAAATGAAGCAAAGGACGAAGGAAAAAATGTTGATCTCCTTTAATTCTACTATCTAGAGAAAGAAACCTCACCAACTTTTTTTTTTGTATCAACTTCTAGGCTTATTTTTTTTGTATAAACTTTTTTAAAGCTATTTTACTGAAAATGTGACTTGATAGAAACATGTACCTCTTTAACCTAGCATCCTATTAAGAGTTCCTTTTTAGGATGAGTTCATGTCCTTTGCAGGGACATGGATGAAGCTGGAAACCATCATTCTCAGCAAACTAACACAGGAACAGAAAACCAAACACCACATGTTCTCACTCATAAGTGGGAGTCGAACAATGAGAACACATGGACACAGGGAGGGGAACATCACACACCTGGGCCTGTCAGGGGGTGGGGGACTTAGGGGACGGAGAGCATTAGGAGAAATACCTAATGTAGATGATGGGTTGATGGGTGCAACAAACCACCATGGCACGTGTATACCTATGTAACAAACCTGCACATTCTGCATGTGTACCCCAGAAATTAAAGTATAATAAAAATAAATAAATAAATAATTTAAAAAACAGTTCCTTTTTAATACTTTCTTCAAAGCCATCTTTTAGATAGCTGCTTTAAGATATACATCAGAGCTCTATTGCCTGGAGCTAGACCACGGTAGATCAAAGGCTCTTAAATGCTGGACTTACCTGTAGGCAGAGGCTATGTCCAAATCACCCGGAAGCTTTAACATGCGTCAACTCCAGGCTCTGGCAATTCTTGTTTGCAGGTGTGAGAAGGAACCAAGAAGTCTGAATTCCCTGTCTGAGAATTGTTCTCTGACATATGGTAGCTCCTGGCACATAGTAGGTGTTGTAATTGCTGAATTTGTTATTGAGCGAAACTCTGAGTGCCCAAGCAGCCACGGGAAGACTCCAAAGGTTCAGGAAGGGATTGACGGGGGGCAGGGCAGGGAGGGAACAGGGCAGGGACACACAAGTTGTTTTCAAATAGTTGAAGTGCAGCCGGTGAAAAGGATTAGTCCTCCTGCATGGCTTCGGAGGGCACGCTGATGAAGTCAGTTACTGGGAAGCAGATTTGGGCTCAACAGGAAAGAACTTTCTAACAAGTAGAACAATGGAACAATTGATCCCAAGAAGCCTACATAATGGAAAGTGGGCCAGATTTGGAGTCAGAAGATACAAGATTGGATCAAAGGCTCAATAAGGAGGCTATTCATGTGCTGTCACTCGCCTCTCTCTGTCAGGATGGGCACTGCCTTTTTTCCTATGAAATCTGGCTCTCTTGGGCTGTGGTTCTCAAGGGGGAGTCCTCCCCTCTTGCCAAGGGGACATTCAGCAATTTGGGGGAGACATTATTAGTTATCGCAATAGGGGGTGGGATGCTCCTGGCATCTAGTGCACGGAGGATGCTGCAAAACCTCCTACAATGCACAGGACAGCCCCGCACAGCAAAGAATTACCCAGCTCAGAATGTCCACAGTGCAAAGGTCAAGCCACCCTGGGCCAGGCAAAGGATCAGCATTGCCATGAAGGGTAAACCACAATTACCAGCCTAGGTGTCTACTGACTGAGTGATGTCAGGTGAGTTGTTCCCGCCTCCCCTGTGTCTCAGTGTTCTCGTCTATACGGTGGAGGTGGATTTGCATTGATAGAGGGATTAACACAGGACCAACCCTGAGCTGCATCTTCCAAGCATCCCAGAAGCCCCCATCTTACTTAGTCTGGTTTCTCGATGAAGCAGACTCCAAGGCAGGGATTTGAGTGAAAGTATTTTATTTGGGGAGTGTGAATAACACAGCAAGGAAAGTGGACGCAACCCAGGGAAAGGGTGACATCCTGCCACGTGTGTGCCACAAGACCAGCAACAGGAGCAGGCGACCAGAGCTTAACCCCATGGGGAGACACTGGGAAAGGAGGCAAAACACACACTTCAGAATTATTCCACTCCAGCTGCAGAGAGCTCCGGTGGTATTTTTCCAGCAGGACCTCAGCTACACATGCAGAGCAGCAGCCAGGGCACTCCAACACATCTGACACACATGAGCGAGGCCAGGACAGTATCTGCTACAGCTTCATAAGATGCCGTTGCTCCTTTCCAGAATCAACAGGAGCAAGTGAAATTTTATATATCTGAAAGAATCTGGCACAGTGCCAGGTGCTCAGAGGGTCCTCGATAAATAAATGTCTCATATTATCTTGTATGTTGTTCAAACAGAGGGTTGAGTCCACAGGGTTCTTTGGAAGGGTTCTGGATCACTCACCTAATCATATGGAAAAGCTGAGCATCTGAAACCATCCCAATAAACTTTATTCATCAGGGAAGAAGGGAGGGAGAGAAATGAGACTAAAATGAGCTTGCAGCACACGCAGCATGGATCATGAGGTCGGCCTGTTCTCTGACGCACTTCCTTGTTGTTGTTTGTCTGTTGTCTTAGAATCAGATAGACCCTGTTACAAGATTATAGATCCCCTTATCTGCTCTAGAGATAACAACTAGAACCTTATGAAATGTTGTTTTCCTTTGAGATATTCTTTCACGTCCTACATGCCACTAAAACCACCCACATCAGCAGGTCTGAAGGACCCCCCAAGAAGCTGACTCACCAAAGCACACAGGCTCCACATCCTGATAATTTCATCCTCCTCACCCTGACCAATCAATGACCCCAATTTTCCAGCCCCTCATCCTCCAAGATCCCCTTTAAAACCCCAACTCAGAACTCTCGGGGAGATGGATTTGAGGGTCTTCTCCCATCTCCTCACTAGGAGCCCTGCAATCATTAAACTCTTTCTCTGCTGCCTCCTGGCTGTCTCAGTGCATTGGCCTGTTACTACACAGTGGGCATATGAACCTGTTGGTCCTATAACACATCGGCCTTGAGATATAAAGGGTCCAGGGCTGCTCTGGTTCCAGAGATATCAGCAGCAGGAGTTCATGGACCTTCTGTTTAAACATTGCCATTGAAGGTCACAACTGCAGTCACCATCCATCACTGTGTATCTATGGTCAAGATTCAATGTCTAGGGAAAAAGATTCCGAGTGCTCTTAGTCTTAAGTTCACCCCTATAGTCAGGGCTGGGTTGTGGGAAGCCTTGCACCAAACCACGAAGAGCAGGCTGGCAACTCAAAGAAGGGATGCAGGGCCATAACCCATAAAAAGCAAGGGTTATAATAGCCCTCCTACCCTTCTTCTCACCCAGTGCATACATACTTCCTTATTTGCATAAATACAACTTCACAGTGGAGACCCACCCTTTCTACAGTGGAAAATAACCTGAAGTCTCCTCCAGCTATTGCAACTAAAGGCAATGGAGTTGCACTTCCCAAGTCCAAACCTCTAGATGATGTCCATTTCTTCCCTGGCTCCGTTGCTTCTTCCATAACAGGCACATGATCCCAGGGGACCACTGACAATAACTTGATTGGCTGTTTCACCACAGCTCGCCCTGGGCTGCTATTCCTGTTCCCATCCCAGAATATGAATAGGAGACTCATTGATTTCCACATTGATCTTTCCTAAAAGGTCCACAAAGGATGAGATACTGATCAGGCAAATGCAAGACATACCCACCATGCCTACTTATAAGGGAGACTCAGTGGGAATTCCCTCCCAGAGAAGTGAGGGTTTCATTGGAGACACAGACCTTCTTCAAGAACCCTGGAACCACCGACATTCAATGTGTGTGATTTCCAGTGAGTAATGGAGAAAAGGTCAAAGTGAAATCATGCAATTTCATAACTTCTGGTCCCTCAATTAGCTGGTAACACAGTGGCCCAAATGTCAGAATCCTGTCTGTCAAATGGTCCAGGGCTGCTGCAATACCCCCCCGACCCAGCCCTGCACTGGCCAGACTTCTGGGGGAGTCCCCTGAGAGCAGCCGCTGTGACTGCCAGCTGCTTCTATATGGGATGCAAAGACTGAGGCCACTTAGAACACCTGTGCTTCAGGATTTTAAGACAGGATTCTTCCTGCTTTGGATTTGGCTCTGGTAACAATTAAATCCTATACCCACTCAGGTACAGTGTCAAATCTCCACCTGCAGAGAAAGGAATTTTGTAAACTAAAATTTGTCAGACTTGCGAACATGGAAAATATTACTTCTGTTTCATCTTAGATGACCAACATTACCAGTGAAGAAGGAAATAAAGCATAGCAGTAAAATAATCCAATAGGTTTGGAAACAGCAGTGAAGTTATAGTCTTTTTATTTTAAAAATAGCACATGCCTGTCCCTAAGCATTCGAGCCCCAGGCTTCACTGCAGGGGATGGCCTGGCTGTCCATAAATCACCTGCCTTGTAAAGTGGCTCTGATCAAAGGCCAGTGTGTTGCCTTGATAGACTTATATGCACTTTGGAGAATAGACATACTTAGTTGTTCGCTTCTATTTTTTATTTTCTTTCCCCAATCCAGTCCTTAAAACAGATTTCCCCTCAAAGAAATTTTATTGTAATTTTAGAAAAATCTCCAACTGCAACTATGTGTAAATCACAACGGGTAACTGCCAGGTTTCATGTTATCAAAATAGCCAAGAATGCTTTGCAGCTGAGCTATAAGCATGTGATATTAATTACACGGAGGAACGCTGTGCTTGGGAAACAAGTTTGGATGAGAAAGTCTGACACTGAAAATGTGCTTGAAATAAGGGATACTCTGGCAACGACATTTATTCTATTTTCCACTTTAATAAATGATACCTTTCTGCAGCTCACTTTAATCCTCAGATAAATGAAGTGAAATAAATGTATCAGTGTGGAAACACCATATCTTCACAGTGATTCAGCTTTGAAGCTGAGGAGGGGCAAGGATGCCTCGGTTCCTGTTTTACTGTGAGGCCTGGGAAGCAGCAGGAGAGGCTGCCCCATGACTCTGACACCCTACGACTCCCAGCCAGGAGCAGATGCCTCCAACGCTGTCCGTTCTTTCCATAGCGCCGTCCGCTGCTTGGACATGACACTTTTGAGAGGGGACTTAGTTGTCACTAATCATGCTCCGATTTTAGCAACAGCAGTTGACCACTGTTCAGAAAGATCATTTTTTCCCAACAGATTTCTATTAGGAAAGAATGTGTTTACCTGATGGAACTATTCTGGGATGTGCCACAACGCGGAATTCCTTTCATTCCTTCCCCTGTTCTAGGGGAAGGAATGGACTCCATTGGAGAGACGTTCTCCCATGAGGCCATGCTGTCAAGGTTTGGGGGGAAATACTCTGAATTATTTAAATATCTATCCAGGTGAAAAGCAACAGAGAGCCTGTTCCTTGGAAGCTGAGCCCTCCCCCTTTCCAAATAAGTGGCCTAGATGCGCCTCTTCAGCTCTGGGGTTCTGTTTCCTTCGTCTCTGAGAGACATAGCACCTTTCACATACCAACTCCACCAGGTTCTGGAAGGAAATGCCTCTGGGAACTTCTCCAATCTGCTTCTACCCCATTCTCTAGTAAAAAGCAAAGTATTTGGGTGGAGAAATAATGAAGCCATTCAAGGAAGCTGCCTCCATAGCTGCACCTTCTCACGGACAACCACTGCCCCTTGCGTGCAAATCTTATATGACCAAGACAAACGTTTAGGGGACAAACCACTGAGATGCTGGAGGTTTGTTATCACACATACTTCTAGTCTAGCCTGATTGTGTGTGTGTGTGTGTATGTGCGTGTGTGTGCATGCATGTGTGGCTGTGTGCATACTCTTGTCAAATGATTATTCTACGAGCATGAAGAAAAGTACAAGGCACATGCTGCAATATTAGTGGGAGCTGATAAAAGGGGAATTTGTGTGTAATTCCTCCCTTTAACAGACTAAAGAAGAAAAACTATATGATCATCTTGAAAGATATATAAAAAAGTTTGGTACAAGTCAACATCATTCATGGTCTTTTAAAACCAACATAAATATTAGGGGACTTCGGCAGGGCCCAGTGGCTCATGCTATGATTCCAGCACTTTGGGAGGCTGAGGCGGGCAAATCACTTGAGATCAGGAGTTTGAGACCAGCCTAAACAACATGGTGAAACTCGTCTCTACTAACAATACAAAAATTAGTCTGGTGTGGTGGCGGGTGCCTGTAGTCCCAGCTCCTCTGGAGGCTGAGGCTGGAGAATCACTTGAACCTGGGAAGTGGAGGTTGTAGTGAGCTGAGATCGTGCCCTTGCATTCCAGTCTAGGTGACAGAGCAAGACTCTGCCTCAAAAAAAAAAAGTGTGTGTGTATATATATACATATATATATATGTAGAGAGAGAGAGAGAGAGACAGAAAGAGAGAGAGAGACTTCATAAACCTGACAACATGTGTCCACTGAAAGCCCACATTAAATATATTCATTATTTATACATAATACACACATTAAATGGAGGAAAATTACAAAGACAGGAAAAAGACAACAATATCCACTGTCACTGTTCCTATTTAGCATTGTGTAGAAGTCTGGACAGTATGATAAAAGCAAGGAAATGAAATAAGAGCTGTAACAATTGGAAAGGAATAAACGAAGTTTCATGTTTGTAGATGACATGATTTTCCATATAGAATATGCAATAAATTCTATAGACAAACTATTTGGAACTAATGAAGGAGTTTATCAACTGCGTGTAAGATCCTGTACAAAAACAGGATTTTTTTTTTTTTTTGAGACGGAGTCTCGCTCTTGTTGCCCAGGCTGGAGTGCAATGGCGCAATCTCCACTCACTGCAGCAACCTCCGCTTCCTGGGTTCAAGTGATTCTCCTGCCTCAGCCTCCCAAGTAGCTGGGATTACAGGCATGTGCCAACATGCCAGGCTAATTTTTGTATTTTTAGTAGAGACAGGGTTTCACCATGTTAGCCAGCCTGGCCTCGAACTCCTGACCTCAGGTGATCCACCCACCTCGGCCTCCCAAAGTGCTAGGATTACAGCCGTGAGCCACTGCAACCAACCCCAAAAACAGCATTCTTATATACGAACAACAAAAATTTAGAAAGGGTAATTTTTAAAATATGCCATTTGCTATATAACAATAATTCCAAAGTACCATGGAATAAAATATATTGAAAGATGTTACATGAAACTGTCTTTTTCTCAAGATCTTTCCCTGTAATTGATGGAGAGACAGCTTCAAATAAATACTCTCATTGCAGTGGGATAGAGGTAACATGAGCTATCATAAACCACCTGGTTATGACATTTACCAATGACACCTTTCTTTCTATAGCTGATGACTAGATCTTCAGCAAAATAAATCAGAAGCTTTTAGAGCTTCACGTGCTGCCCTTCTCCTTTCCCCTCCCTGCTCTCTTCTGCTCCTTCCTCTCCTTTCCTAGAGCTTAGTCAATGGGCAGCTGGAACTTCTAGCCCTGAGGGTTCTAGGTGCCCCGTAGCCAGGCCTGCAGGCCAGAAAACATCAAATCTCAAGGTGCTGCCACAGTTAATTCATTGGTGTTCTTTTTCTCTCTCTGTCTCCAGCTCTGTTTGCTTTTTGTTGTCTTTCATTACTCAGTTAAAGTTAACTGCCAGTTTCATTTAGTTTTGTCAAAATAAATGGAAAGAAAACCCTGAAGCAGGAGATGAATGTAAACTGGGAAAATCTTGCAAAATCGCAAAGATAGTTCTTGGCGCTTCTGTTAAAGGAAACATTATTCAGCGACGCTCGTTACAGCACAGTGAAGCAGATGTTATTCAGGATCATCAGGGTTGGTGGAGGAACCACGGCAGTGAGGTTTTGTGGTGGGGGAGATGGGGCTTGTGAAAATATATAATTCAAAATCTAAGCTGTTGGAACTTTAAATTATTTTGACCCTTAAAGGAATGTGATTATGGGGCCTGAGTCAGGCAAGCAGGCAGACATAACCCAGGCAACTGAAACCTGTGTTTCTCTGATTAGAGATTAAACTTCTTCCTTCCCTACATTGTTCTATTAAATGTAAATGACTTAAGGGCCTCAGGGAAGACCTCTTCCCTATTCACTGTGGATCTTCATTATAGATTAACTTTCTCCCTACCTTTCTCACACAAAGACTTTATGGCTATCACATTGTCTTAAGATGCAATACTAAATATACTGTTTTAAATTGGAAAGAAAATGAAAACAAGCAGCAAACAAACTGTCACCATTTAAATTGCCGTAACTCATAAACCAGCTTTGTATAGAAAATGTTACAATCCAACTAAACTTCTCTGTTTTCTGCCTATATAAGCAAAAGCTTAATTTTTAACGTCAGAGCGCTCACCTCATTTCTCTGGAGTCTGTGTTTCCCAGATGGATATTCTCAGCTTTTCAAAGCTTAAATAACTTCTTTCAAGCTAGGTTCTAATTCTTTCGATTATTTCAAGTTGACAGGGTCAAGTTCTACCACAGCAGGGGCAAGTAAGAACTTATAGTCAAGGAGCAGGGAGGGGGTCAGTGGATAGAAAATTACTATGAGGTAACATCTGGGTAAGGAGGATTCTGGCTAAACCGACCTAACAGGATTCTTGCTGAAGACAGGTCGGGGTATGAGACATCACCTAGGGGATGGTGGAGGATGAGGAATCTTACCCTGAAGATGAGGAAGATGGAAGATGATCAGATATCAAGGGTTCTGGCTAAACTGACTTAGCAAGCTTCTTGCTAAAACTAGATTTCACAAGGAAGTGCACAGCTAGATCAAGAAGTGGCATGAGGAACCTGGGTCATGCAAGAATTTTTGTCCCTTCCAGAGACAGAGGGCACTGAAATAGATACACTTCTCCCTGAGACAGAGAAAGGTAACCTTCTAAAAGCTCTGGAATGAAAGATGACATTTACAGCTTCTTATCTCTTAGATTTCAAATGCTATTGTCAACTGTAATACAAAAAAAAAAAAAAAAATGGTCTCTCTCTGTCTTCTCTCTTTTTAACAGGTTGGGATTTTGCTTGCGCTGTTGCCCAGCCTGGTTTGCAGTGGCGCAATCATGGCTCATTGCAGCCTTGATCTCCTGGGCTGAAATGATTCTTCCGCCTCAACCTCCCAAGTCTTTGGGATTATAGATGTGACTACTGCACCTGACTAAAAATTGGTCTCTTTATTACATTTTTCCTTTTTTTTTAAAAAAAAGAATGATGGTCTCTTTTTAATTGGTATAATGAATACAATCCACTGGCCAAAGAAGAAAGAAATAAAAGCATGTGGATATATATGTGCATGTGGTGTGTGTGTGTGTGTGTGTGTGTGTGTGTGTGTACTGTCAATAGACTAGTAATGTCACCTGATAGGTGTACTGCTGCTTTTCAGTTTAAAAACCCCATCTATAAACACCATCTCATTTGATGCCCATGGCAATTGTGTAGGATCCATAGAAATGGCATAATGAATACTGGGGCACAGAAAGTGGAGGAGAGGTCCCTATTAGTCATCAAGGGCAGTGAGAAGGAAAACAATGAGTCAAATAAAAACAAACCAGCCATGAAAGAAAACATTGATATCCTGGACTTCATTAAAGCTTAAACTTCTGCTCTGCAAAAGACACCACCAAGAGAATAAGACACATCACAGACTGGGAGAATATATTTGCAAAAGACATATCTGATAAAGGATTTTTATCCAAAATATGCAAAAAAAACCTCTTAAAACCCAACGATAAGCAAATGAATAACTCAATCAAAAATGGACAAAAGATCTGAACAGAAACCTCCCCAAACAAGATACACAGATGGCAAATAAGCAGATGAAAAGATGCTCAACATCATATGTCATCAGGAAAATGCAAATTAAAACAAGACACCACTATATACCTATTAGAATGGCCAAAAGCCAGAACACTGACAATACCAAATGCTGGTGAGGATACAAAGCAATAGGAAGTCTCTTTCATTGCTGGTGAGAATGCAAAAATGGTTATAGCAACTTTGGAAGACAGTTTGGCGATTTCTTCTTTTTTTTTTTTTTTGAGACAGAGTTTTGCTCTTGTTGCCCAGGCTGGAGTGCAATGGTGTGATCTCAACTCACTGCAACCTCCACCTCCCGGGTTCAAGCGATTCTCCTGTCTCAGCCTCCTGAGTAGCTGGGATTACAGGTGCCCACCACCACACCTGGCTAATTTTTGGTGTTTTTAGTAGAGACGGGGTTTCACCATGTTGGCCAGGATGGTCTCAATCTCCTGACCTTGTGATCCACCCTCCTCGGCCTCCCAAAGTGCTGGGATTACAGGCGAGAGCCACTGCGCCCGACCCAGCTCAGTGGTTTCTTACCAAACTAAATAAACGTACTCTTATTATACAATCCAGCAAACAAGGTTTTTGATACTTACCTAAATGAGCTGAAAACTTATGGAACCCTAAGTTTATGTCCACAAAAACCCTGCACATGGATATTTATAGTAACTTTATTTTAAAATTTTTTTTATTTTACTTTAAGTTCCAGGATACATGTGCAGAATGTGCATGTTTGTTACCTAGATATATATGTGCCATGGTGGTTTGCTGCACCCATCAACCAGTCATCTAGGTTTTAAACCCCACATGCATTAGGTATTTGTCCTGGTCTCCCTAGTCCCCCACCCCTGACAGGCCCTGGTGTGTATTGTTTGCCTCCCCGTGTCCATGTGTCCTCATTGTTCAGCTCCCACTTATGAGTGAGAACAGGCAGTGTTTGGTTTTCTGTTCCTGTGTTAGTTTGCTTAGAATGATGGTTTCCAGCTTCATCCATGTTCCCTGAAAAGAACATGATCTCATCTCATTCCTTTTATGGCTGCATAGTATTCTATGGTGTATACGTGCCACATTTTCTTTATCCAGTCTATCACTGATGGGCATTTGGGTTGGTTCCAAAGCAACTTTATTTGTAATTGCCAAAACTTCGAAGAAACCCTGATGTCTTTCAATAGGTGAATGGATAAGTAAACTGTAGAACATCCAGGCAATGGATTATTATTCAGCACTAAAAAGAAATGACCAAGCCATGGAGAGACATGGAGGAATCTTAAATACATATTACTAAGTGAAAAAAGCTAGTCTGGAAAGGCTGCATGCTGTATGATTCCAACTATATGGCACTCTGGGGAGTGCAAAACAATGGAGACAGTAAAAGGATCAGTGGTTTCCAGGAGGTGGGGTTGAGGGGGATGAATAGGTAGAGCCCAGAGGACTTTGAGGGTGGTGTAACTACTCCATATGAGAGGATAATGGTGAGTACATGTCATACATTTGTCTTAATGTGCATTAAGAGTGAACCCTAATGTAAACTATAGACTTTGGGTGATAAGTGTCCATGTAGGTTGATCAATTGTGACAAATGTACCGCTCTGGTGTGAGATACTGATAGAGGGGGAGGCTGGGGAGAGATGAGTGGCATATGGGGTGTATGGGAATTCTCTGTGTTTTCTGCTTAATTTTGCTGTGAGCCTAAAACTACTCTAAAGACGTCTTTTAAATAACTGCACACATAATAAAAGTAAATAGCAACGATATTCAAGATTCAACGTTTTAGTTAAGAGACTTTATTTGCAATAACAGGTTAGCTTCTGTTTTAGTTCTCCCAGAACAAAATTCCATAAGTCAATATTTTACTAATCCTTTCTCACAATGTTAATAGAAAACCCTGAGTGGAAATCAGAATTCAATCGTCAAGTCTGTGCAAGTGGAAACCCTGAATTGCAGGGTAGCTTAAGTGCTTTACACACATTGAAGATCAGCTGATTTAGTTACTAGTCTTGGATCTCTTCCCAGCACAGCAATAACGATGGCATTATCAGTGGCTTCAATATGGGATCGTCTTGTCATTCCAGACATATGAATCACTCTAGATACTGGAATAATAACACAGGGATTTCTCCCAAAAGAAAGAATTGCAGCATGCCTTAATACAGAGACAATAAAATCAGAAATACTCAGTTACACGTGCATAGAAAACCTCAAGTTTATCTTGCAGTATCTCTTTAAGAAGCCCAGGATGAATAGAAGAGAGCAAGGAAATGTCACACTCCTCTCACTTTAGAGAAGATGAATGTGATAAAAGGCTCATCTCATGAAAGCTGTCTATGTCACCTGTCCCAGAATGTGTTGATTCTAGTCTGAAATGCATGCCAAGTTATCCCAACCACTTAAAACCATCAACATTAGAAGATAGCCAGGAAACGGACTGAGGCCCAAATAGAACCTCTTTTTTTAGCTTTCCTGGCAAAATAGGAGCTGTAGGTTCATAGATCATTTATAAAAACTTTGACTCCATCAAACTTACTAATCATTTTATTTAAAATAGAGCTCATCTCTACAGACATTCCTTATTTAGAGTATAACATTTTCCATTCTCTTGGTTTAATTATTTTATAAGTGACAAGCTGGGCTAGACGTTTTCCTTCCCAGACATTTATTTTGTTCTCTGGAAAATATTTCCTGCCTCTCTTTACCTAGATAATTCTTACTATTTCCTGCCTCACAACTAGGCATCACCTGCATCAGGTCCACTTTAATTATCTGAGAATCTGCCTCTGCCTCCTACCCACTGGACTGTAAGGAACATGAGGGTTGAGACCTTGTACCTGGTCTGGTTACTGGCA
This sequence comes from Homo sapiens, assembly GCF_000001405.40. Taxonomy (NCBI): domain Eukaryota; kingdom Metazoa; phylum Chordata; class Mammalia; order Primates; family Hominidae; genus Homo; species Homo sapiens. Next base: position 102,708,465 of record NC_000013.11, read on the forward strand.
TGGAAAAAATGCTCATTAAATGTTTAAAGAATGAATGAATGTACGAATGAACACTGGGAACAACTTCTTTTTATTTCTTCAACAGAATTTAGGTCACACAAGTTTTAAAAATTCATGCAGATCAGTTTCTTTTTAAGTAGAGAGATGCTTAATACTCTTATACTCACTCCTTTAGAAAAGATTGAACTGCTATATACCGATCACTTTTTCTCACCAAGATTTTTCTTCGCTAAATTTAAAACATATAGAAAGTTATAAAACTAATATAATAAATACCAAAATTCCCACCACATAGAATTTTAACTTAATATTTTCTCCTATTTGCTTCCAGTTATTTTTTAAAGATATAGATACAAGTAGAGGTCCCTTCCAACAGATACACTGTGTCAGTCATGCACTTACCACCTTTCAGCTCCAAATTCACCCTTTTTTGCCTGCTCTATGCAAACAGATGTGGGCCCTTTCAATACTTTGCCAGCTGGAACAATGCTAAACTTTGTCAGTAGACTAGACAGAAGGAGAGGGTTTTGCCCCTTGGTTCAGGTGTGCTCCTGCAGACTGGCAGCTTCCCCAGTGTCCAGCTCCTTTAGAGCACATGGTTTCCCCAGGACCCAGCTCCTGCAGAGCTCATAACCTCTCTAGTTCTCAGCCTCTGCAAGGCATGGCAGCCAGCAGCACCCAGCAGCAGCAACTCACCTCCCTACCAGCATCCTTGAGTAGTTTCGTAGCTCAGCCCTTCCCTACAAGCAGCTTTCCCAGAACCGTCTGGGGCAGATTTCTGACTAATGTGACTAGCACAGCACCACAGGGACTTCTCCACAATCCAGTGAGCCATGGCCACATCCTCTCAATAGGCTCTGGATCTCAGCCCTTTTGAGGGGACAGGCAACTTCTATCTCAGACTTAAGCATAGAGGCTGCTGCTTATATTTGTTATTTCCACACTTTTTAGGGTTCTTGTTTTACTAGTCAATGCCTCATTATTCCAATCCCTTGTTATACCTAATTCTTTTATATTCAACTTTCCCTGTTTAAATTACTGTCTGGTTTCTTTCTCCTGATTGGACCCAAGCAGAAATAGATACAAAGGGTCCTTTCAATAGGAATATAAAATTTATATTTTTCTTGTAAGGTATAAAATTAATCAGTATAGCTGCTGTAGCTTCTTCTACATCTAGAGGTATGATAGGAACTGATATGCCTGTACTCTCTGTCCTGCAAGTGCCAGAGGGGATGATTCTGATTGGGAAAAGCCACATGTAGAGACATGCTAGCACCCTTGGAGATTCACACACTCCTGGTTCCTTTGAGCTTCAGGTCATGGTGACCAATGATTATGCCAAATGGGGTCCCTGGCAATGGGAGACACCCTCCACCCAAACACATGCCCAGAAGTGTTGAACTTGTCACTTCCCTGTTGTGACTACCAGGCATACTCCTTCTGAAAATCAGCTATCAGCTTGGTCTTGTCCTCTAATTGAAACTGCACACCTGACCTATAAAGGCCTTGTGACTCTCTGGTCTGTTTAAACTCAGACTCAATCGCTAACATGGTGAGAAGGGTCCAACAAGCCTAGGCTGGAAAATGGAATTTGGACAGCCTGGCCCCAGCAGCATCTCGGCTGTACACAAAACAGTGGGCACAAGCCCTCTGAGGGAAATTTTATCTCCTATTCACCACCTGAGGCGAAGCTGTGGCTCCATGGGGCCCTCACTTTACAGAGGTTCCCCTAAATGCATGGGCCTGGGTCACTGATGGTTTTTCCAAGCTGAACCCCAGTGGTGTCCCCTGAGCTGCTGTGACTACACAGATCCAAAAACAGATGTGAGCTGTCTGCTCAGAAGGCAGAATGCATGGCTGTTCTTGCAGGTCTGGCCAAGACTGCCCTTGATGCAACTTGCCCTATTTTTAGTCATTCTTGGGCTGTTGTCAACGGCTAAGCATTTGGTCAGCCACTTGGAAAACTACAGATTCCAGATGAACAGCATCCCGTTTGCAGGTCACAAACTGTGGAAACAAATCGTGACTGCTGAGAGAAACATCTGGGTCACTCACATAGATGGAAATGATCAAGGCCCCTTCTCTGATGAGACCGATTAGAGCCAAGCTGCCGGTGGAGCCTGCACTAAGCAGATGGCCACGTTGCTCTCTGGACCCATCGCTGTGCTGGATGTGGGAACGCACCCACCACTGTGGATGGCACAACGTGCAGGACTCCATGTTTATGATGCGGGGGCTCCCACTGGAGCTCCTGCCACAAGTTGACCTACTTGTCTCACAATGGTGTGGCCTCGTGGCAGGGATGCTTTCCCTGCTGCCGCCCACAGCCTGACCTTTGGGCCCTTCATGGGACTATGGTGGTGCCCTGCTACTCTTGACACCTTTTCAGGTGGTGGTGTTATTGTTCTAGTTCCATTAACCAACTCTGGCCACATCATTGTGGCCCTTGAAGATAATCTTTGCCATATTTTCAGCTCTGTGAACCACCAGCAAATAGCTACTTGATGGCCCTTTCTCTCCTTACCACCCACAGGCATCTGATGTTGTTGATCATTGGAGCAGCCTCCTAAAAACTTGATTTAAAAGATTTCTGACCGTATTCCTGGTCCACACTCCTTAGCCAGGTAGTTTGGTCATGTACGTGGCTCATTATTGACTGAAATGCCATTATAGGCCACACTAATAAAAGACACAAAGTTGACTTAAACAATTGGAAAAACATAATACGTTCTTGATAGGAGGACTTAATTCCTTAAGATGTAATTTCCCCCTTACTATATAAATTTGATGCAATTCCATTAAAAACGCTGATTTTGCCCTCTGGAGCTAGATTATAGGGTTTGTATTTTAAAAAAAATTAATAGGCTAGGCAAGGTGGCTCATGTTTATAATCCCAGCACTTTGGGAGGCCAAGGCAGGTGGATCACTTGAAGTCAGGAGTTCAAGATCAGCCTGGCCAACATGGCTAAACCTTGTCCCTACTGAAAATACAAAAATTAGCTGGGCGTGGTGGTGCACGCCTATAACCCCAGACACTTGGGAGGCTGAGGCAGGAGAATCGCTTGAGCCTGGGAGGCAGAGCCTGCAGTGAGCCAGGATCATGCCACTGCACTCCATCCTAGACGACAGAACGAGACTCTGTCTCAAAAAATAAATGAATAAATAAGTAAAATTAATAAACAAGACTATCAAAGAAAATTTTGGAAAAAGCGCAATGTGGGAGGCTAATCCCATCAGTTATTTAAAACATTATAAAACTTCTATATTCAAAGCTTCATGGTATTGATATGTGATAGAAAAACAGGCCAAAGTTCGCATTTGAATAGCACAACTGGAAACAGACATATATGGTTATGGAAGTTTAATAAATAGTGAAGGTATTATCTCAAGTCATGGGGAAGTTTTGAATTATTTCATAAATAATATTGAGCTATGTGGGAAAAAATACACAGGAATAAATTCCAAATGGATGAAATCTAAATGTAAATAATGTAGCTATAAGTACTAGAAGGCATGTGTTAATTTCTTTATGACTTGAGAATTAAGAAAACTTTTTAAACCATCATTAAAAATCCAAAACCAATGTCTAAAAGATGTACAAATTTTGGCTGAGCATGGTGGCTTACACCTGTAATCCGAACACTTTTGGAGACCAAGGCAGGAGAATCCACTGAGCCCAGAAGCTGGAGACCAGCCTGGGCAACATGGCAAGACCTTATCTCTACTAAAAATTATAAAATTAGCCAGGAGTGGTGGCATGCACCCATAGTCCCAGCTACTCAGGAGGCTGACACAAGAGGATTGCTTGAGCCGAGGAGTTTGAAGTTGCAGTGAGCTATGATTTACCCCACTGCACTCCAGTCTAGGTAATGGAGCAAGACTCTGTCTCAAAAACAGGTATAAATTTGACCACATAAAATTTAAATAATACTGTATGACAAAAAATTCAGATGCAAGGCTGGGTGCAGTGGCTCACGCCTGTAATTGCAGCACTTTGGGAGGCCGAGGAGGGTGGATCACCTGAGGTCAGGAGTTCAAGACCAGCCTGGCCAACACGGTGAAACCCCATCTCTACTCAAAATACAAAAATTAGCCGGGTGTGGTGGCACACACCTGTAATCCCGGCTACTCAGCAGTCTGAGACAGAAGAATGGCTTAAACCCAGGAGGTGGAGATTGCAGTGAGCCAAGATCGTGCCACCGCACTCCTGCCTGGGTGACAGAGTGAGATTCCATCTAAAAAAAATTCAGATGCAAGATCACAAGATAAATTAACAAACTAGGAAAAGATATTTGCAATTTAAGTCTCTGATAAAGGGCTAGATCTCTGTTCAAGGTGAGATTTGGGTGGGGACACAGAGCCAAACCATATCAGTCTCTGAAAAGTTGTTTAAAAAATGTACATCAAGACCATCCTGGCTAACACGGTGAAACCCCGTCTCTACTAAAAATACAAAAAATTAGCCAGGCGTGGTGGCGGGTGCCTGTAGTCCCAGCTACTCGGGAGGCTGAGGCAGGAGAATGGCGTGAACCCAGGAGGTGGAGGTTGCAGTGAGCCCAGATCGCACCACTGCACTCCAGCCTGGGTGACAGAACGAGACTCAGTCTCAAAAAAAAAAAAAAAAAGTACAAATTAACTTACAGTAAACAATGTACAAAAATATAGAGTTCAAAGAAAAATAAAAATGGCCTTAAACATATGAAAAAATGCTCAATTGCATGCATGTAAAATAAATGTAAGTCAAATTACATTGAGATTTCATTTTAATCTGTTTTTTTTTTTTTTTTCCAAGACGGAGTTTCGCCCTTTCACCCAGGCTGGAATGCAGTGGTGTGATCTCGGCTCACTGCAACCTCTGCCTTCCAGTTTCAAGCGATTCTCTTGCATCAGCCTCTCGAGTAACTGGGATTACAGGTGCCTGCCACCACGCCCGGCTAATTTTTGTGTTTTTAGTGAAGACGGAGTGTCACTATGTTGGCCAGGCTGGTCTTGAACTCCTGACCTCGTGATCTGCCAGCCTTGGCCTCCCAGAGTGCTGGGATTGCAGGCATGAGCCACCGCACCCAACTTTAATCTGTCATAGTAACAAAAATTGACAATAAGTTTTATTGATAAGACACTGGAGAAACAGACACTCTAAAACTGGTAGCAATGCAAAATGGAGAATAATTTGTCAATGTCTACAAAAAAAGTATATGCATTTATACTTTGACCCAGCAATTCAATTTCCCAAAGGCACACTAGCAAAAATATAAAATGATTTATGCATCTAATTAGGGGACTGGTTACATAAACTATGACGCATTTTCCCAATGTAATGCCATGTAGCAGTAAAAGAGGCAAGAGGAGGGCCACCACATGCTGCTGTGGAGTGAATGGTGGATATATTGCTAAATGAAGAAAGTACACTGAAAATAGTATATATAGTATGCAACAAGCTGGGCACAGTGGCCACGCCTATAATCCCAGCACTTTGGGAGGCTGAGGCAGGTGGATCAATTGGGCTTAGGAATTGGAGACCAGCCTGGACAACATGGCAAAACCCCATCTCTACCAAAAATACAAAAATTAGCCGGGCGTAGTGGTGCACACCTGTGGTCCCAGCTACTTGCAAAACTGAGGGGAGGATTGCTGGAGCCCGGGAGGTCGAGGCTGCAGTGAGCTGTGATCGTGCCACTGCACTCCAGCCTGGGTGATGGAGTGAGACCCTGTCTCAATATAAATAAGTAAATAAAAAATATATAGTATGCAACCCAGTGTGCAAGCAAGCAAGGAGAATGCAGGTACAGTTTATATTTGTTAAAAGAAAGGCTAGAAAGATAAAATTAAAGCTAATAAAAATAGCTGCTTTTATGGAGAGGGAGGAAGTAGAATGAAGGGGACAGGAATATAAGCAGGTCTCTCTTGAGAGTCATTTGCTATATAGCTTTGATTTCAGAGACAATTCAAAAATAAAATGTTTAAAAACTAAGCCAGGTTTGGTGGCTCACGCCTGTAATCCCAGCACTTTGGGAGGCAGAGGCGGGTGGATCACAAGGTCAGGAGATCGAGACCATCCTGGCTAGCATGGTGAAACCACTTCTCTACTAAAAATACAAAAAATTAGGCGGGTGTGGTGGTGGGCGCCTGTAGTCCCAGCTACTTGGGAGGCTGAGGCAGGAGAATAGTGTGCACCCGGGAGGCGGAGCTTGCAGCAAGCCGAGATCGTGCCACTGCACTCCAGCCTGGGTGACAGAGTGAGACTCCGTCTCAAAAAGAAAAAAAGTTTAAAAACTAAAAATTAAATTCAAACAACAATAAATGAGTCAATGTGTATGACATACTGACAAAAGAGTTGTTTCAAGTGATTTTAGAACATAATATTTTGACTATGTGTGCTTATAGAGATATATTCTAAGGGCAAATAGAAGTGCAAGTAAATGTTAGAGTTGACTGGGTAGTTTAATTTTAAGCAGGTATACTGTATTACTAGTATTTTGAAATTTTTACATAGTGTAGGATAATAAAAATAGATAATTAGGCTGATGTTATTAATAACCAAAATTTTCAGTATGACAAAAGAGAAACAAGTATAAAGTCATAGCCAAAAGTGCACAATTTGGGCATTAATAAGAAAAATATATTCATTCAATTAAATGAGCAAATTGAACATATGAGAGAAAGAGAGCTCCAGCTCATTGGACACCATTGCAAATACCAGGGCACCAATTCCTTACTCTGAAAATTTACAATTAAAAGAGATGAATTAAGCACTCATCTTGTCTTTCAGGATAATTAAATAGCTCTAATTGGAGAGAGAAAATTATTATTTACTGAGGAATTCCAGCTAATAGATGAATAAGGAATGACAGAATCAGAAAACCATCACTTTGCCACCCCTGGTGAAACAATTGAGTCACACAGCAATCACCAGAGGATAACATTACTTCGTGATGGGTTGGTGGGGAAGGAGAATGGAGGGGTCAGGCTGTCACTACTTGAATTCTTTGATCAATCTCAGCATCACTGAAAATGGAAACTGATCATTTGGTGCCTCCTGATGTAATGTGATATGAAGCACACAGCACCAACTGTAATGTATTCTTGCCAAAAAAAAAAAAAAAAGTTAAGCCTGAATCTAACTAAGCCTCTAGGGAAACACAAGGGATAAAGAAGGAAGTGAAAACCACAAGGAAACAAAAAAGAAATCAAAATATGGGACATTCTATAGGACAGCTTGTCTGGTTTCTTAAATAAGCCAACATCAGAAAGCAAGGGAGAGAGGGAGGAATCAATTTGATTAAAAGAGACTTAGAAATTACAATATGCAAATGAAATGAATGGACTTTGATTTGATCTGAATTCGAATAAACAGTCTGTACAAGTTTTTTTTTTTTTTTTTTTTTAAGATGGAGTTTCACTCTCATTGCACAGGCTGGAGTGCAATGGTGCCATCTTGGCTCACTGCAAACTCTGCCTCCCAGGTTCAAGCAAATCTCCTGCCTCAGCCTCCCAAGTAGCTGGGATTATAGGCATGTGCCACCATGCCTGGATTATAGGCATGAGCCACTGCGCCAGACCATGTACAAGTATTTTTGAGACAACTGGAAGAATCTAATCATGGTCTGATTATAAAATGTCTCTGAAGAATTATCGTTAATTGTATTAGGTGTGATAACATTGGGATTAAGGAAGATAATGCTGTTATACTTTAGGGGCTAATGTATGCAGGAGAGAAAGGACATGTTGTCTAGGATTTTCTTTAAAATACTTTTAACAAAGAAAAAGAAAATAGACGTGGGTAGGTAAGTATGGAAAACTCGAGAACTGTTGAATCTGGGGAGCGGTGTGCAAGAGTTCTTGTGCTATTCTCTGTAATTTTGTGCATGTTTAAAATTTGTATAATAAAATAACTTAAAGCCTTTTATATAACAGATTAAATAATAGACCAAAAGAGAAATTATAAATTATTGATTTATCAGCTGAAAAGCTGAAAATCTTCTGCACTGAAAATAAGAAACTTACTAAAGCGAAAGATTTGGAGTGATGTTGAATGCCTTGTCTGTCATCACTGGAAGCTAGGAAACAGTTGGACTGCATATATTAACTAGTGCTAGAAAAAGACTACAAGCTAAGGTTTCCATACCCAGCCGAAGTATCCTTCATCCAGGTAGCGACAGAAACATATGCGTGGATATATATGGTTTGGGAGAGTATAGCTCTCATATGCTATGTGATGAAAGAGAAATTATAAACCATTGATTTATAATTTCTATTTTGGTTTATTATATAATCTGTTATGTTATTTTCTTTTCCCCTCACAAAAAATGTATTGAGTTGGACACGTATAATCTATACATTTTCATGTATGTGTATTATCCCTCAATAAAAGTTTTACTTCCATCAATGCAAATGATTCCTTTAAAATATTCAGTAGATTAACTGAAGAGAGGTTATTTATTGTTGAGACACAAATTTGTGACCTAGGAAATCAAATGAAAGCTAATTTCAAAACACACAAATTGTGAGGGGAAAGATGAGGAATTTGGAAGACAGATCTAAGAAACTTCACATGCAAATAATAGAAGTTCCAGGAGGAAAAAACCAACAGAGGGGCAAACACTGGTAATAGATGAGGAGACCCCTAAGTAGGAGAGAGACACTTATTTGTAAATGGAGAGGGTGCATGCCTCTTCAGAAAAGACTATGAAGGCCCACACCTAGGCATATCCTGGTAAAATAGCTGAACTCTAAGCATAAAGATGAAACTGAAAAGCTTCCGGACTGAAAATAAGAAACTTACTAAAGCAAAAGAATTGGAGTGATGTTGAATGCCTCGTCTGTCATCACTGGAAACTAGGAAACAGTTGGATTGTATATATTAACTAGTGCTAGAAAAAGATTACAAGCTAAGGTTTCCATACCCAGTCAAAGTATCCTTCATCCAGGTAGCAACAGAAACATACATGTGGATATACGTGGTTTCGGAGAGTATAGCTCTCATATTCTATGTGATGAATATGCTGGAGAAATCTATTTACAGTAAACCACAAATGAATTAAAAGATTGACTTAAAGATGAAGAAACACTAAGTGAAGAAATGCTTTATAGCTATGACCCTTGTGATAGTTAAATCTAAATGGTTGATTATTGATTGTTTAGGTTTCTAGAACTCTATATAAATGCTAAATAAAGATTCTTGTAACAGAAAAGGCATTCTGCAGAGGAAAACCTGTCAATAGCCTGAAAGTAAAATATTCAATTATTTATTGTTATGGACTGAATGTGCACTTCCCCCTCCAAATTTATGTGTTGAAATCTCTTGTTAGGATGGTATAATGAGGCGGGACCTTTAGGAAGTGATTAGGTCATGAGGGTGAAGTCCTCATGAATGGGATTAATGCCCTTAGAGGGGAGATCCCAGGCAGCTCTCCTGCCCTGTTTCCACCATGTGAGGATACAATGAGAAGACCACAGTTTGCAACCCAGAAGAGGGCCCTCACCAGACCCCCAACCATGCTGGCACCCTGATCTTGGACTTCCAGCCCCCAGAACTGTGAGAAGGAAACGTCTATTGTTTACAAACCACCCAGTCTGTGGTATTTTGTTAAAGCAGCCTGAACTGATTAAGACAATTATCCATCCCTGATAGTTAGGGAAAGGCTGGGACTCATAGGAAGCAGAGCTTTCTCAAGATCGTATCTGACAAGAGGAAAGTAGGTGAGGTAAAGGTAAGAAAGGATGAAAGTCGTGTCAGGAAGTTAGTGCTGCCTTCACACTCCAACAACAGGGTCCCTTGCTCTTCACATATGTCTTCAAGAGCCTGGCTTTTCTTCCATCCAAAGGCCACCTTCCAAGAAAGGAGTGCATGGTGTGTGCGAGAGGGGCGAGGGGAGGCAGGAAGTAAGGGGCCACCCACCTTCTTCTGGACCCTGCTCCGTGCTCCTGGGATTGCAGAATACCCAGTCTAAAAAGTCCTGAGCCAACTCTAAGCCACATCCGGGAAGAGTCACAACTCCTGAATGTGCCTCTTTTCGGATCTGTTCTCCAAGGAACCCAGTGGTAGGCAAGAGACAGCTGTGTGTGTGTGTGTGTGTGTGTGTGTGTGAAGGTTGATGGCATGTGTGTGTGTACTGGTGTGTCCACACCTGGGACCCCCCTTCTTGCTGTGGAAACAGAGCCAGGTTGGAGATAAAGCTGGGAGGGCTGCAGGCCAGAGTCCTAGACCAAGAGTGGCTGTGTTCATATACATTTCCAGAACAGGCTTCCAGGAGCTCTGAGGATTCTAAACTCAAGCCTGGGCTTTCAGTGCATTCTGAAGATGATTTTGACAGGGTAGAAGAATAGAGCATATATGACAGCTTATTAGTTTGATTTATACATTTTACATATTTAGATAAATGGTACATGGTTCTCCCTTTATATTCTTGTCCCAGCCCTGCTAAATGTTGGGGCAGCATTTTATATGGCAAGGGTGAGTCATGAATTCAGAGCAGAAAGAGATCACAGTGGGCTGGGTGAGCTATGAAGGAAGGCTTCGTGAGAAATCACTGCAAACTATGGCATTTTAGGGTAGAAAGAGACTGTTGAGATTAAGCTAACTAAAAAGCCAGGCGTCTTTTATTTGGGTTTGGATATAGCACAGCTGAAATCAAGGATCTAGTACTATCCTCTTACTTTGCTCTAAAAGAAAGCCCAGGAAGCTCTGGCTGATAGTAACAGAGCTGAGCCTGACCCTACGCCTCTTGGTTGCCATCTCAGGGTCCTGCCGCTTCCCCATGTGCTTCTGCTGACCTGAGAGGAGCAACAGCTCTGGAAAAGCAGGAGTGTGTTCAAGGACAGGCAAAGAACCTGGAGCTCCTGAAACTTTTCGGATGGGAAGCGAGTGATTGGCTCTTCTCTACATCTGGAAGCACAGCCTGAAGTAACTGCCTTTGAAATCTCACCCCGATCTTTAGAGGTGATGTGAATTGTACATTCTGTTCTCTAGTGAGGCTTTGGAATTAGACCAAGGGTAGAACTGAGATGCTGCCCCTTAATTGGTAAATTTGGGAAAGTTATTTGACCTTTGAGCCTCAGTCTCCATGTCTATAAAATGGGAGTAGTAATAGCAGGGCTGCTGTAAGTATTAGATGATGTTATGTATATCAAGAGTTCTTTGGTGTCAGCTCACACCTGTAATCCCGGCGCTTTGGGAGGCCAAGGAAGGGGGATCCCTTGAGCCTAGGAGTTCGATACCAGCCTGGGCAACATAGTAAGACTCTGTCCCTACAGAAAATAAAAAATTGGCCAGGTGTGGTGACATGCACCTGCAGTCCCAGCTACTTAATAGGCTGAGGTGGAAGAATTGTTTGAACCCCAGAGTTTGAGGCTACAGTGAGCTATGACTGCACCACTGTACTCCAGCCTGGGCAACAGAGTAAGACCCTGTCTGGAAAAAGGAAAAAAGAAGAGTGCCTTGTGCTCAACACATGTGGGCTGATGAGCCTCCCAGCTGTGTGGGTGGGCAGATTTCCCTAATGAATGGTCACTCTTGGTATGTTTACTTAGCTTTGCTATGTACATCGAGATGGTATTATTTAGTGTTTAGAATGGATGTTGCAACTTATCTTCTCCGTTTGGAAAATGATATGCCAGCAACAGCTGAGTTTTGAAGAATTGATGACACGTTAACTTAGAACGGACACAGGGTAATGCTGAGGCCTGGTAAATTTCCTGTGCAGCAGCTCATAATCAGTGCAGATTCTTGGATCAAGGGGAAGCTTCTCTTTCCAGAGTTCCAGTCTATTTTTGTCAGCAAGGAGAGGTGATATGGCTTATTTTGTAATAATTCTTGCAATCCTATGATGATATGCATGATCTAAATAGACTAATGAGCCAGTCGCAGTGGCTCACGCCTGTAATCCCAGCACTTTGGGAGGCCAAGGCAGGTGGATTGCTTGAGCCCAGAAGTTCAAGAACAGCCTGGGCAACATGGTGAGACATTGTCTCTATAAAAATTAAAATTAGCTGGGCATGGTGGTGTGCATCTGTAGTCCCAGCTACTTGGGAGGCTGAAGTGGGAGGATCACTTGAGCCCGGAAGGTGGAGGCTGCAGTGAGCTGAGATTGTGCCACTGTACTCCAGCCTGGGTGACAGGGCGAGACCTGTCATAGTATTATGCTTTTATACATATTTAGGGGGAACATTTAAGTTGCTAGAAAAGTCATGGATATGTCCAAGTGGTACACAAAAGGAACCAGGAATACATATTTGACAGTGTTTTAGTAAAACAAGTAATAATCTTAAATATGAAATGTATATGAGTCTCAAAATGAACTTAGAAAAAATGGCTTTGGTAGTATGTTCTCCCTGTGGGGAACTGTGAATTCTAGGAAGAAACTGAATGTTAAATTGTGTAGATCTATCACTAGTTTGCTGCAAAGTAACAGAATTGCTCTCCTCCTATGTTTCACCCACTTTGGATTTTAAGATGGGACTGGGACTGGCCCACCAATAAGGTAAGGATGAACACACACACACACACACACACACAAACACAGACACACACAGAGACACACACAGAGACAATACTTACATACAAGTAGCCCATAAACCAATACTTCTGACCCTCTCTCCACTCTAACCGTTAAGTCAAATTGGGAGAGTTGGTTGGATGATGAGACCAAAGTACCTCTCACTTCGAAAATGATGTGATTCTTTGGCAAGTCAGTGACTTGCCTGTCTTCGTGTCAGAACATTAATTCTAGGATTTTACTAGGATTCTTCCAAGTATAACATAAAGAATAGGGTCTTCAGTCCCAGGCTCCCCCAACCCCACATGTACTCGATGGCCTTGGTTTTCTGATCGTCCCTGAGACTGCTTTGGTTTCAAGATGCCACTGATAAATTGGTAACAAGAACCAAATTCTGGCTTGTCTGACTCCAAAGCTGTGTTAATTTCATTGCACTAGTATTACAAGTTTTCCAAATCTTTCCTTTGAGTATTTTATCTATGATATATTGCTCATATTTTAAATGTTCTATTAAAATACTATGGTATCTGGTACAAGAGGATAAGTACTCTTTATCATCTTGGATAAAAAAGATAAATAATTATTGGGGAAATAATTAAAGAGAGAATTTTGCACCTATCAAATTTACTCAGAGGTTATCTACCCCTGTTTAAGTTTTTTTTTTTTTTTTTTACTAAAGAAAGGGAGATAGTAATAGCTTCCACCCCTTGAAGACTCTGAGTTGGCCTAATAGAATATTTTAAACAACCCTTTATTTCAAAGTTGACTTTTCAATATTGATACAAGGCTCAGTGTTTTCAAAATATTTTAAAAGTTGAGATTCTTATTTAAAGGTATATTGAGATCCTTTTGTGGTTCATACATGTGGTGATTGGGTTTTCACACTCACATGTGAGATGTGCCTCCCTCCAACCTTGTTATGATGTCAGCACATTACCCATCTGACAGGAAGGAGAAAAAAAAGGAAAAAAATTCAACATTATGCAATCAAGTCATGTCCTGTCAATGGGCAAGCAAAATTTGTTTCCATGTGCTGGTCAGCTCTGCTAACCTCTCTGCTCAGTTGGCCGGTTGCCTTTCAGAGCTTTGCCATTGTGTTTGCTCATCCTGCTCCAAAATATCCAAGTGTTTATGTACCAGATGTCTGGGCACAGTGATGACTGTATCATCCACATTTAGCCTGAGACACTGGTCTATAATACATTCTTTTCAGCACCATTAATTTGGGATGCAGTTAACATTTCAGTTCTATTTGTAAGGATCCATTATTTATGTTGGTTGTGGATGGAACAGCACATTCTTTGAGCTCCATCTATTTCTGCCACTATTTGGTGTTTTTCAAAGTGCTCTGAGGAGCTCTGTAGCTTCAGTGCAGAAAGAAGAGAGGGTAGAGAGCCAAGTCACCAGGGGCTCATGCCACTTTCCCTTTACCAAGAGCAGTTCTTCTACTCATGTGCTTGGAGAATATCTTGAGAGGTTCATTTCTAGGATTTTTCTTCTTTTCCATGTAATTTCCTCTTTTCCTTCCACCACTCAAGGAAGTATCCAGCTTAATTTTACTCCTTCCATAGAAGTGTGTTTTAGGGCTAAAAAGCAAATTCACCTGTAAAACTTTCTGAATTTTGTTTCAAAAGATTATGTCCATGGGAGATCATAAGAGGCTGGTGGTGGAGGCTGATAGCAGAGAAGGATTTTCTGATAGAGGTAGAATGTCCAGAAGATGCAGAAGGGACCATGAGGATCTCCCCTCTGATTAAAAAGAATGCTTTTTAATCAAATCTTGTGGTTTGGCTAAAAAGAGCAGTCTTTTCTTGGGACATTTCTTTTGTCAGCTATTTGCATGGTGTTTCCAGATTCTGAGATTCTCCAGTCCAGAATATATAAGTGAAAAAGTTAAATAGGAAACTAACCTCCATATCCTTTTTTGAATCCTAAAGTATCTAGCTAATTTTCCATATTTTCTCCACCTTTCAGTCTTCTGATATTTATTTTATGTGTTTTGTCCAGGGTTTTTAGCTGTAGCTGAAGGAAGAGATATGGTAGAATGTGTTTACTCCTACTTGTGTGGAACACACACACCCTTGGGTTTTTGACCTGAACTACTGGAAGGATGGATTTACCATCAACCGAGATAGGAAAGACTATGGGTAGAACAGGTTTCCTCACAAAGATCAGCACTCCAGTTTGATTATGTTAAGTTTGAAATATCTACTACTCAAATGAGGGGGGATATGAGTAGGGCAATCATACATGTCTAGATTTTAGGAGAGAATTTTGGGGATGGGGATGTAAATTTGGTTGTAATCCAGTAGATAGAATGCCTTTAAAACCATGGTATTGAATGAGATCACCAAAGGTGGAGGAAGAAAAAGAAAAAAACCCAGCACATGCAACTGAGACGTAGGAGCCAATGATGGAGGTCTGTGGTATCCTGGAAGCCAACTGAAAAAAATATTTCAAGAAAAAGACAGCAATCACCTGTGTCAAATACTGCTAATCAAAAACAGTATTTTTGAATTAGATCTAGCATTGAATTTCACAACGTAGAGTCTACTGGAGACTTTGATAAGAAAAGTTTAAGTGGAATGGTGTGAGAAAGAAAGATTGGTGTGGATTTATGGGACAACGGGAATAGAGGAATTGGACTGTGAGTACAGATAATTCTTTTGAGGACTTTTGTTGCAAAGAGGAGAAAATAAATGGGGAAGTCATTGGCAGGGGAAGAAGGGTTAATGGATGATTTTAATTTTATTTATTTATTTTTTAGATGAAGGAAATAACAGCATGTATGCTCTTGGAAATGATCTGGTAGAGGGTGAAAAAATGCTAATGTAGCAGAGAGAGAGGAGAAATGTTGAAGTGATTCCATGAGTGTATGAGTGCTCTGGTTTGAATGTTTGTGTCCCTCCAAAATTCATGTTGAAATGTAATCCCCAATGCAAGAGTATTAAGTGGTGGGGCCTTTAGGAAGCTACTAGGTGAATGGGATTAGTACCCTGAAAAAATAAAATGGCTTGAGGGAGCGTTTTTGGCCCTTTCTACCCTTCCACCGTGTGAGCACACAGCAAGAATCTGTGAGTGAGGAACAGGCCCTCACCAGACACTGAATCTGCTGGTGCCTAGATCTTGGACTTCCCAGCCTCCAGATCTGTAAGAAATAAATTCTTGTTCTTTAGTAATTATCCGGTCTAAGGCAGTTTGTTATAGCAGCCCTAGTGAACTAAGACAATGAGAAAGGATGAGATTTGGCATGCAAATGGAGGCATTGACTTGAGATGGTTCTGTTCATCTGTGGTAATAGGTGAAGAGGCAAGTTATGTAGGTGGAGATGTGATGAAGAGAGTCTGTGAAGTCTCTTCTCAGTGAAGTATGAAGCAAGATCATCTGCTTTTGAGTGTGGGTACAAAGTGTTCAAAGTTTGAGAAGAGTAGCAAAGGTATAAAATAGCTAAGAGGGCCAAGTTCTGTGGCTCATGCCTGTAATCCCAGCAATTTGGGAGGCCGAGGCGGACAGGATCATTTGAGATCAGGAGTTCAAAACCAGCCTAGCCAACATGGCAAAACCCTGTCTCTACTAAAAATACAAAAAAAAAAAAAAAAAAAAAAAATTAGCTAGCCATGATGGCAGGCACCTGTAGTCCCAACTACTCGGGAGGCTAAAGCAGGAGAATCACTTGAGCCTGGGAGGCAGAGGTTGCAGTGAGCTGAGATCATGCCATTGCACTCCAGCCTGGGCAACAGAGCAAGACTCTGTCTCAAAATAAATAAATAAATAAAATAGTTAAGAGGGTTGGGGAGAGAATGGACTATGGGAATGTACTAAGGCCCACCAGAGTTTCGTCACGAATGTAGTGATTCCAATTAGAGTGGCTGTGTGTATGTGGGGTAACCTGGTGGCAGAATGCCATAAATCCAGCTTGAGTCTCTCACTGCTTTCAATTGTCCCCTTCTCTCACTCATATCACCTCTCATCATCCCATTGTTCTTGAACAAGCTACAGAAAACAAAGCATGGCAACAAATTTGAGACAGCAGTTCCAAACATGCGCTCTGCAGTGACATGGAGTATTTTTGAGCTGTGAACATAGCGGCATCTGTTGGACACTGTATGAATTATTAGCTCAAGGGAGTTCACAGTTTTATTATTGCATGGTGCTACATTCCTTTCCATTACATACTTTCTTTGTCGACCTGAGTTTTCAGCCGTTGCTGAAATAAAAGCAAGTATTGCACAAGAATCAGTTTGGTGTTCCATCCAATTCCAAAGTTTGAGTTGTGTCATGCCCAACAGGCAAACACACCTCACTCAGTAATTGTGGTTAAGAATGAAATAGGCGCAGTGGCTCACGCCTGTAATCCCAACACTTTGGGAGGCTGAGGTGGGCAGATCACGAGGTCAAGCAATTGCGACCATCCTGGCCAACATGGTGAAACCCTCTCTCTACTAAAAATACAAAAATTGGCTGTGTGTGGTGGCATGTGCCTGTAGTCCCAGCTACTTGGGAGGCTGAGGCAGGGGAATCACTTGAACCTGGAAGGCAGAGGTTGCAGTGAGCAGAGATCAAGCCACTACACTCCAGCCTGGCGACAGAGCGAAACTCAGTCTCAAAAAAAAAAAAAAAAAGAAAAAGAAAAGAAATAGAAATAAAAAATATTTTTATTTCAATTTATATGTACTATTATTTAAGCAACAACTAAGTTGTTAAGATATGAGTAAGGCCGGGCACAGTGGCTCATGCCTGTAAACCCAGCACTTTGGCAAGCCGAGGTGAGTGGTTTGTCTGAGGTCAGGAGTTTGAGACCAGTAGAGCCAACATGGTGAAACCCCATCTCTACCAAAAATACAAAAAAATTAGCCAGGCATGGTGGTGTGTGCCTGTAATCCCAGCTACTCGGAAGGCTGAGGCAGGGGAATTGCTTGAACCAGGGAGGTGGAGGTTGTAGTGAGCCGAGATTGCGCCACTGCACTCCAGACTGGGCAACAGAGCGAGACTCCGTCTCAAAAAAAAAAAAAAAAGTAAAAAAGAAAAAAAAAAGGTATGAGTAATAATTGTTTAGACCTAAGCTACTTTTAGTGCTATTGTTAGCAATTTATTTTGACCTAGAGGTGCAGTGGAAAAATTAGAGATGCTAAGGGCACCTAATTGACTGAGAAAATGTGGGAACCTCTGACTTAAAAATGAATTCCTGTTGCTTTCTCTATTTCTTCCACGTACTGGGTCAAGGCCTCGTAAAGTGCAGTTGTGTGCAGTAGAACTAAGAAATTCTCATGCCAAAGTCAAAATCTTGCAGGGAAATCGCTTATGACAAACGCTCTCTCCACCCCACTCCACCAAGTTCCCTCATTACCTTAAAACTTGAGCCTAAATATCTCTCCCTAGTTTTAATGGCGTATGGCTGCACCATGACCATCTGTTATAATACGGGAATTTAAAGCCAAGAGCAAACATGTGCCTTTTAGCTCCCCTAAGGACTTACATCTCTAAAAGAAGCCAGAACATGTGGGTCACCAGAAGACTTGGCTTGGAGGTTTATCGTTTTGTCAACATCTACTTCCAAATAGGTAATTCTTGATAGATGACTTAGGCTGAATAATTGTGGCCTCAGGACTGCTTTCTTTTTGCCAACAGAGATACCAGTAATATACGCATGTGTGTTGGGGAAATGAGATGCCACCAGGTGGTGTTTGTTCATATGTCTATGTGTCTATGTGTGTTATGGCCCTTTCAAGAGACTGTCTCTCTTCCCTGACCTGACACTGTGAGTTTTGCAAGTCAAGATTGTGCTTTGCAGCAAAAGAAACTCTCAGCAGAGTAAACAAACAATCTACAGAAAGAGAAAATATTTGCAACTCATGCATCCAACAGAGGATTAATATCCAGAATTTATAAGGAACCTAAATAAACCCAGAAGAAAAAGCAACTCCATTAAAAAGTGGGCAAAGGACATAAACAGACACTTTTCAAAAAGAGACAGACAAGCAGCCAACAAACATAAGAAAAAATACTCAACATCAGTAATCATCAGAGAAATGCACAATGAGATACTACTATCTCACACCAGTCAGAATGGCTATTATCAAAAAGTCAAAAAATAATAGATGTTGGTGAGGTTGTAGAGAAAAAGGAACACTTATACACTGTTAGCGGGAATGCAAATTAGTTCAGCCACTATGAAAAGCAGTTTGAAGATCTCTCAAAGAACCAAAAACTGAACGACCATTTGACCCAGCAATTCCATTACTGGGTATATACCCAAAAGAAAATAAATCATTCTTCCAAAAAGACATGTACTCGTGTGTTCATCACAGCACTATTCACAGTAGCAGAAATGGAATCAACATAGATGTCCATTAACAGTGGATTGGATAAAGAAAAATGTGGTACATATACACCATGGAATACTATGCAGCCATAAAAAAGAACAAAATCATGTCCTTTGTTGTAACATGGACGCAGACAGAAGCAGTTATCCTAAATGAACCAATGGAGAAACAGGCAACCAAATATCACATGTTCTCCTTGATAAGTGGGAGCTAAATCTTGGGTTCACTTGGACCTGAAGATGGGAACAATAGACACTGGGGACCCCAAAAGAAAGAAGGGAGGGAGGGAGGGATGGAGGAAGGGCTGAAAAACTTCCTATCGTGTACTATGTTTACTATCTGGGTGATGGGAGCAATAGAAGCCCAAATTTCAGCACCACGCAATATACTCTTGTAAAAAACCTGCACGTATACCCCCTGAATGTAAAATAAAAATGGAAATTAAAAAATAGATTGTGCTGGCCATGCATGATGGCTCATGCCTGTAATCCCAGTGCTTCGAAAGCCTGAGGTGGGTAGATCACGACGTCAAGAGATTGAGACCATCCTGGCCAACACGGTGAAATCCCATCTCTACTAAAAGTACAAAAATTAGCTGGGCATGGTGGTGTGTGCCTGTGGTCCCAGCTACTCAGGAGGCTGAGGCAGGAGAATCTCTTGAACCTGGGAGGCAGAGGTTGCAGTGAGCCGATATCACACCACTGCACTCCAGCCTGGTGACAGATCGGGACTCTATCTCAAAAAATAAATAAATAAATAAATAAATAAGTAAAAGAGTATGCTTTGTTAATCCAGGTGTGGTGTCACGCACCTATAATCCCAGTTACTTGGCTTGAGCCCAGGAGTTCAAGACCAGCCTGGGCAACATAGTGAGACCTAGTCTCAAAAAAGATAGTTTAAAAAATAATAAATGCTTGAGGTAACAGATACCCTAATTACCCTGATTTGATCATTACACATTGTATGCTTGTATCATAATATCACATCAACCTCATAAATATGTACAGCCAATATGTACTCATAATAATTAAAATTTAAAAAAAAATTTTAAGATTGTGCTTTGTTAATTTTTGTTCTGTTCAGTACCCAGGACAAGGCGTGGTATATGGTTGACTGAATTTGTTGCTTACAATATGGAAAATAATTGATGTTATCTGCATAAGCAGATATACTATAAAAGCTGAAAAAGCTTGAGCTTCAGGGCCCCAAAGATTTGTAAAAATAAGACAGGTTTACTGCAATTAGTTAAAAATGTTATTTCCACTTTGACTTACCCTCCATTACATCTGACTTCAAGTCAGTGAGATTGGATAGGTTACCAATATTTTGGGGACTGGATTTAGGGGAAGTTGAGTTAGGGTGCATTTAGACTGGGTTGTATATTTTTGTGATTGACATTCGCTTTGATATATATTTCTGTCAAAGTGTAGGAATAACTTTCAGGAATCCTTCTGCCCACTTTAAAGGACATATCCTAGGTGGTGAAATAAGGGTGCAAAGTCAGGGGCTACATCCCAACATGAAAGCCTCCTACAGTGTCCAGGACCAAAGGATTGTGCAAAGAGAGGAGAAACAGGGCTTGAAATGTACAGTATGAGAAACTGGTAGGCAGAAAAAGGCTTCTTTTCATCAGGTGTGTACAATTATAAGCAGGTAACTCTTTCTGTACAGCATCTAGTCAAAAAGGATGTTCCTTCTGTCAAGAATATACTCAAAAGAGCAGAGCATGAACTATCCATTTACTAGTCTTTCTTTTTTGATGGGAATTGCATGACATAAGGTTCACCAGAATTTTTGTGTTTGCGCAGTATAAACCCATACCAATACCACAAACAGCAAGGACATCTGTATGTGAAGTCACACATTTTATGCATCCCAACCTATTGGTTTGCACCTTACCATATCTGATGTATCCCTTTCTGATGAAGTCTGGTGGTTCCTGATGAAATGGTATGCAAAATTGCCAGAATCAGTAAAAGTGCCTGAACTTTCTAAATTGCTAATGATAAATAACAAATTTCAATCTATCATTGGAAGATTGGATTACTTTCTATCTTTATATAAAAACACTTCACGAGGAAGCCATTGGATGTTATATGATTGTATTTTTCACAGAATATCACAATAGCGACCAGCTGTCCACTTCAGAGGAGTTTAGCTATGGTAATGTCAGCTATGAAAAACGGTAGTAAGGGACCCCGAGAGCGACCCCAACAACTTTTTGGAGGAACTCCATATATTCCAAGAACTTGAAATCTTTGCCACTAGGGGAATTCTGAAGTTTCTTTTCCTTAAGGTTTCAGGGGGAATAGTCCAGCGAATGGTTTTGGGTATAACCTCCAGTGAGTCTGCCGGTACACAGGCAAAAAAAAAGGGCCGGTTTTGTTTTCTTTCAGAATAGAAGTTGATATCGTCATGATGAGGTTTTGATGCTGATTTATGTTTGCTTTGGAAACAATCCAATCTTTCTGACTCATAATCATACACTCTCTTCTTTCTGTCACGTTTCCCTTTGCTGTGTGTACAACTGTAATCGTGGTCCCAATGACTGCTGTTCTTCCTAAATAAATCAGATCTGGCCTTCTTTCTTTCTTGGCTTTCTGGGTGCCTGTGAGACTTGCCTTGGTTTTTTGCAAGATGTGATTTAATATTTGATTCAGTTAAGGGAGCTGAAGAGTAACTTGTTCTGCTCTTGGTAGTCCATGAAATCTTCTCTTCACTGAATGATACACTAGATGACCTAGACTGAATTTCCGCAGTATTTGATGAACTATGACACAACCAGTCAGGAGATTTCATTTTGGAAGATGATCTATATTTCCTGCTTTTGTGGGACTTACAGGAAGGTGGTGTAATAATTAAGGTTTCCTTTCTGCACTCTCTAGTACAATGGGAACCTGAATCTTCACTGTAAAATGATTTCAAATCAGTCGTGATTTTGTAGACATTTTCCAAAGGAATGCCTGTCTGTAATTCAAATAGAATGTTTTCTGATTCCTGACTTAAATAAGAGTTGGCTTCCAGAAACACACATTCCTCACTCTCACTTACTTCAAGACATGAACACTCGTCCAAGTCAGCTGGACTCTCAATATCTGTCTGAATATCAACAAAATCTTCAGAAATCTGAGTTTCACATGAAACAGCTGAACCAGTAGCATTTCTCTGGGTCCTTAAATCAACAGATTCACATGTATTTCTTTCTTGAAACCATACATGATATTGTTTGTTTTTTTCTGGAGTCACATGGAATTCTGACTCTGAAAGAACTTGAGTATCTTTCTTCCTCGGGCTGTGCAGATCACGGTCAGAAGCACACACAAGGGTTGGCTGTGGGAATTTTCTGATGAGTGATGAGTTTTCATGGGGACTTTGCTTTTTGAAAGAAATATGTTGTTCTAACAGTTCTGTATCAATGGAAAGACTACCACTTTGTCCACCAGCATTTACGTTTTTACACACTGCAATTGTGTTTAACTTACTATGTTTGGGAAGTACATTTGGCTTAGGGAACGTACTTCCAACAGGAAGCCCCAGGAGAAAACGAAGGTATTTGTATTGTAAATCAAGATCTATTTGATGGAGAGATTTCTCCTCAGAAAGTAACAAAATTCTGTTTTGTCGTTTTGGTCCTGTGAAACCAGGATGAATACAGTTAGATAAGGGTTTCTTTCTCTCATGAGCACTGGTCATTGCATAAGATTCTCTTACAATTCTGGGAAAGGCTTTCATTTGTATCTCCAATGTTTTCACAGAAAAGTGCATGAGGAGTTTGCCTTTTTCTTTTACTGAGTGGTTTTGGAGGGTATGAGGCAATAGCATCTCACTAGCAGAAGTCACTGCAGATGTTCCATTTTCTAGCTTATTAATACTCTGTAGCTTTGTGATTGTCTCCTCACTGTCACTTGAAACATCAACAATCAGTGTCTTCATATTGCTGGCAAGAGGTGAATCCTTTTGGTGTTTATGTTTTGAGTTAGGTTCTATGGTATCAGTCCCTTCTAGAGACATAAAGTTCATTGTTTTATGTCTAGAATAGAACCTCCAACTGTTATCTTTTGAAATAGTCCCTTTTGGATAAAAGTTGAACATTTGTAAAGATTTCCTTGCCATCTCTGGTATCAGATTCAGTTGTATTTCAAGTGCTTTTGACTCTAAATGACTAGTAAGCTTATTTTTTTCTTTGGGAGTAAACTGTTCTAAAAGGGATTTGTGCTGCGTTTTGGGATATATTGCTGTTGATATTGTATCTGGACCCTCTGGAAAAGGTGGTGACTTCAAGTCGTCAGGCTTATAGGCTTGTATGTTATCTAGTTTATCAGAAGAAACTTTGTCTTGGATCATATTTTTAACCTGGGACTCAGAGATAGCTTTGGTTGCTTCACAAATGGGAAGTAAATGTTCTGCATTTGTACTGTCTGCAACTATTTTGACTTCGCTACTTTTAACTTGAGGCGGTATGGGCACAGTTCCTGGGAAAGCTTTTTGCTGCTGAACCTTTTGTGTGGTCATGTCCCATACTGGTTCACTCTGATCCCTTTGCTTGGGTAACTTTGGATCTTCAAGCATAGATGGACACTCTGTGGGTGTCAGAATGCGTTTTAGAATCTTTTCTTCCTGCTCGATGATACGTAAGTCTGGTTTTTTAATGATCCTTGAGACATCATGCTCTGGAACAATCCGTTCTTTTGTTTGTGCCTTTAAGTATTTTTTATTCATTTCACTTCTGAGGTTTGCTTCTGATTTGACATTAGGAAGTTTCTGCATTTGTTGTTTGTCCACTGCAAAGGGCTGGGGATCTTGTGGAACTGTGTTTGTAAAATTCTGTTCCCCTTTTACAATTGTTAAAGTGTCTCTCTTAGACATTTCACTAGTGTTTGGTGATTTTTCCTGGAATTTAGGAAGACAGATTCTCTTTTCTCTTTCTAGGTTTGTCTTAGGGTCAGTGTGAGGTGAACGCATGATGGAAATAGAAAGACTTCTGATAAATATTCCTGAGACATCTTTACTCCACGAAGCTATGTTCTTTAACTTAACATCATACTCTAATTTCTTTCTATTGCTTGGTGTACCACGCCCCGTGATATTAAGCATCTGTGGAATTGGGTGATTCTGGATTTTCATAGTTAAATATTTGGTGCTCAATTCTCTTTTCAGATCTCTTATTGTTAATCTGCCTTTCTGATCTTTACGTTTGGGAGAAAGAGGAACATATGAATAAAATGAATCCAGAACATTTCTTTGAAATAATTTTTGTAGTTGAATGCTTTGTTTTGCATTAGATGCTTCTAGTTCTTTTTTCTGCTTTTGCATGATTAGGCGGCTGTTCTCCCTATGAGTGATGACTTGAGTCTTCATTTGAGATTCCTCTGCCTTTAGAGATAGAAGATGCGGGTGTGCACTACTGCTTGTGTCCATTCTTCCTCTCTCCTTCTCCAGATTGGCAGTCCTGGCCTTGTGCATCTCTGTTTTCTCTTCTTGCAGATGTAAAGCTCTGTTTGTGCCTATTTTTAATTTCCCTTCTTTCTGATTCACAGTACTATCATTGTCCATTTCTAATTTTTTCTGCTCTAGATTTATATTGGTGTTTGCGTCTGTTTGATGTTTTTCCTCCAGATCCCCTGATTGAAATTGAAAAGTCCAGGGAGGGAATAGGGACTTCGGAAGAAATTCCAGAACACCTTCCTCTTGTTCTGAAATGAGCAATGCCTGCTTCCTTCCCCCTTTTGCAGGGTCAATCTCTGTCATATCCATGTGTATTCCTGGTAGCATCTGTAGGCTGAGGTGCGCTGTTGTTTTCTTGTCCACATCTGTTTCCGATGGTGTCTTCTGCTTTCCACTTTGAAGGGGAAACTTAGAAAGGATAGTGTTCGTCCTGGTCTTGTGCCCATGTTCACACCGTCGGATCACTTGCTTTTTCATGACAATATCTTGTTCTTCTATATTTTGGGGGGCATTCCAGTTGGTGACGATACTTATTTTTTTGAGTGATCCCTTTGTCTGTGGTGCTAACACTTTGGGAGAAAACATTTTGCTGATTCTATCATTACTTTGTCCATCTTCCTTTGGCTTATCAAATTTACATGAACCTGCAAGTTCTGGAGATACTTTCGATGAAGTTTCTTGCTGGTGAGCGTATCTCTCTGAAACAGAAAATCCTTTTGAATTTGCAGGGGTGCCAAGTGTGACATACAGTTCCTTAGATATTTTCCTTATCAGTGAAACTGAAGCCTTAGGACTGATTTTATGGTTTAAGTTATCCATTATTTCAGTGTCTTCTTCCAGACCTCCCATTTTAGTTGCATCCATTGTGGGATAGGAAAGAAACGCAGTTAAAGTTTCTGTTTTGTATTTTACAGGCTGAGCCTTTTTCCCTGTAAAGAGCCATTCCGGCCTTTTCCCACTTCTTATGGTACCAAACCCTGTGAAATAAATGTCCTCATCCCGTGAGTTTAAAACTAACTGATTCAAATCTTCTTCTGACCTGACTCGTGAAGGTTGGTTCCTTTGCTGGACGCTGATCATGAAGTTTGAGGTCAACTGTTGCTCTGCCTCTGGGCGGGGCACATACTGTTCTGCTTGCTTAACAACGTTTTTATCAACGCCTTCAACTGAGTCTCTATTTGTTATTTTCTGGGTATTTGAGGGTACATGGAGAGTTCGCTGTGGACAAGATGATCCTGTAATTCCTGGAGTGTCTTTGTCTGTTTTGTTCCCTGAATCCAGATAAAGAGGAGGTGCTGACGGTATAGAAAGAAAAGTCCTTGACAGAACCACACATGCTTCATCTTTATCTTTGTGTACTTTTTTCTCCAGTTTGTTAATATTCAACACTAATTCCTTTGCATTAAGGATATGTGACATTGGTGAAATCCTTGCCTCTTGGCAGTGTATCCTGAACCTCATATCTATCGTTTTCACTTCATGCCTGTTTTCTTTCTGTGACCTATGTGGTTTTCCTTTTCTTACATCACCACTCCTTGCCTCTGCATCTGCTGTTTTCTCTGTATCTGGTAATGCTGATGGCATTAGTGGAAGTACAAAGGATGTCTTACCTCCAAGCCTTTCTTCATCTGCATGCGTAGCTCTCTCCAGTTTAAGGTTAGATGGCAAAGGTTTGGAAAAGAGTATGCACATTTTTCTTTGAATCATACCTGGTGGTTTATCTTGACCTTCATGTTCCTTTCGTCCTTGCCCTCCAATGTTCACATGCAGTTCTGTTCTGTGGAGCATACAGGAACGAGGTGACTTCTTTGACTTCAAAGTTATATCTGTGCCTCTCATATCGATTATTTTTTTTTGGTTCCTCTCTTCTTTTTGAGGGATATGTTGCTTTTCATTTTTAACATCTTTTGGGATATCACCAACGACGGACTCTCTATGTACAGTCTCCCCTATGTGTGATATTCTCCGCAAAATAGGTCTTTTAAGTCTTAGCATTTCATTACCTAAATGTGTTTCTTTATCCAATTCTAGTTGAGATAGAGATGGCAATGAAGTAGATTTGGTCAGAACCACACCTGGTTCACCTTCACATTCCTGCACCTTCTCTTCCTGATGTTTGGGGAATATTAAGATGCTTACTATTTGCACGTCATCCTCTTCCTTGTTCTGTGACACATGTTTTCCTTTTTGTAGATAGATTAAAATATCACCAGCAATTGGCCTTATACATGTGCCTCCCTCAGTATCTGGTGATACCTGGAGTTTTACTAGGGGAAAAGAGGGTCTTGTTAATATTGGTATGCTTTCCTCCTGAAACCCTGTATTCACATTAAGGTGAAGTGGGGAGGATCTAGAAGGACTCTTAGACAACATGACACCTGGCCCACTTTTAACTTTCTGGACCTTTTCCTCCTCTTGCTCTCTAGTTTTCCACTGAAGATCACTGAAACTGTGCGTATGTAAGACAGGCGATTTCTTTGCCTTCAAATACATTTTGTTGGGATCCAGTACACTGGTCATATCCGCAACTTTTTCTCTATCCTTCTCTTCTTTCTGTAGCAGGTGTGCTTTTAATTGCTTTACATCACTTGAAAGTTCTCCATGGGTTGCTTCTGGACATGCTATTCTCCCTGCATCTGATGATTCCTTGGACCGTGACTGTGGGAGAGACACTTTTGCAATTCTTATCACGTTCTCCTGTCCTTCTGTTGTATCAAACTTAAGATATGGTGGAGTAAGTAAAGAAGTATTAATGCTTGGCAGTCCTTTAACTTGTTTATTTTTATCTTCCTGAATCTTTCTCTTTTGTTCTTTACTTTTCCACTGCAATTTTTTGGTATTGAGTATATCTGAGAGTAGTAATTGCTTTGCTTTCAGGTCTGTACATTTGGGGAGCATTTTGTCTTCCATATCTATTCTGAGTCCACCTTTCTCTTCTCCCTGTGCTGTGGGTTGCACTGGTCCTTTTGAGTTGCTTAATGTGTAACCATGCAGTGACTCAGTATATGCTTTTTTGCCTGAATCTGATGAATCCTGAATCTTTAGTGGTGGAAAACTGAATTGTGTTTTTCCTAATGTGCCTTCCTTTTCATTCCTTCTAGTGTCACAATTCAGGTAAAATGGAGGAGGAGGGAATGAAGCAGATTTCCTCGGAACCACTCCAGGTTCCTTTTTGCTTTCCTGTACTCCTTCCCCTTGCTCTTCAATGTGCAAAGAGTAGTTCTTTCCATTGCATAGAAGTGCAAGTGGGAGTGCCTCTGCCCTCAAATGTATCCTTTTGGGGAGTATTCTACCTTCCCTGCCTTCTATTTTTACTCTGTCCTTTGCCTCTTTATATGGCATTTGTTGGTTTGCTTTTAGTATTACTTTATGTGAGCTAATACCTTCATTTGAATTTGCAAGTCTGCTTTTTCCTGCACCTGATGATATAGGAAGCTTTGGTTGTGAAGGAGAGAATCTATGGTGAGAGAGAGAAGGCATGAATGGATGAGTTTTTGTCAGAATCACATGAGGACGTCCTGTCCTGTCCTGCTTCTGTCCTGCTCTCTCTTTCATGCCCCACTGTGGCTCCTTTCTCTTACTCAGAGGACTGTGCTCAGTGATGCTGAACACTTGTGGAGGTGCTGATGTCTTTGCCTTGAAAACGGCACCATTGGGGTGCATCAGGCCATGCATGGATACTGTTTGTACTCTGTCTTCTTTCTGTGGAAGGAGTTGTTTCTCTTTCTTTACAAGGCTCTCTGTTGGCTTTGTAGGTGCTGTTTGCCTTGAAGGCAATGATTCCTGGATCTCAAGATGTGGCATAAAGCTTCTTGTTATTCGTGGTTCACCTTCCTCTTCTTTTATTGAGTCTAACTCAAGGAAAGCTGAAGAAGTGACAAAAGGACAAGTTTTGCTCAGAAGTACAACTATTTCCACCTCACCTTCTTGTGCCTTTTCCCCTTGTTGACTGATGTTCACCTGCAGTTCCTTTGTTTTTAGTATATGGGAAAGGGGTGATTTCTCTGCCTTTACAGCTATGTACTCGGGATGCATTACACTTTTCTCTGAAATATTTGCTTTATCCTTTTGGATCTGGGCCATGTATTTTGTTCTGTTTGAATCACCTGTGATATCATTCAAATATGACAATGTATATTTTAATTTCCCTGTATCTGATGATTCCATGTGCCATGAGGGTGGAAGAAAAGATCTTGTTACTCCTTGTTCCTCTTTTTTGCCTGCTGTTCGTTTGTCTAATTTACAGTGAGATAGAGAAGGTATTGTCAGAAACACATCCAGTTCACTTTTTCTTTCCTGTACATGTCTCAATTTTTCTTTTATGTTTGTTAGTACTTCTCTAGTTTTTGAGCCACTGCTGCCAGGGATATTGAGTGTATGTGGAAGTGATAATTGCTCTGCCTCAAAAATTGTGCCTTCAGGTTGCATTATATAATCCACACTTACTGTTTTTCCTCTATCTACTTCTTTCTGTGGCTTGTATTCTTGTACTGTTTTTACATCATTTGAGCTATCCACCCCAAAAGACTTTGTATGTGCTATTTTCCCTGCATCAAATGATTTCTGCTGCCTTAGTTGCAAAGTAGCAGATTTTATTATTCCTTGTAAGTCTTCCTCTCCTTCTTTTCTTGTGTTCAATTCATAACAAGTTAGAGAAGACTCAGAAGGCAAATGTAGGAAGAGAACTGTTTCCTGTTTACTCTTGTGTCCATCCCTTTTCTCTTGCTCTGTGCCTACTCCATCTGCTTGCTGTTGCTCTTCAGTTTCTCCATCCCTGTTCCCTTGCTCCTCACCTTCTCCGTCCTCTTTCCCTTGCTCCTGGCCTTCTCCATCCCTTTTCCCTGGCTCTTTAGGATTCAGTGGTAGGTTCTGTGAAAGTGCCTTCTTTCCTTTCAGATCTTTGTCTTCTGGATGCATTAAGTCTTTCTCAGCTGATATTTTTACTTCATCCTCTTCTTTCTGTTGCATGTAATCTTTTGCTTTTTGTACTTCACTTGCGCTATCACCCTCACTGGGCACCCCATTTGCTTTTTTCCCTGTCTCTGATGATTTCTGGTGCCTTGGTTGTAAAATACCAGGTCTGATTATTCCTTGTTGGTCTTCCTCTCCTTCTATTCTTGTGTCCAATATATAATGGGTTAGAGAAGAATTGGAAGGCAAATATAGGAACAGAACTCTTTCCTGTTCATTCTTGTCTCCATCCATTTTCCCTTGCTCTATGCCTACTCCATCTGCTTTCTGTTGCTCTTCAACTTCGTGATCCATTTTCCCTTGCTCTTTGTCTTCTCTATCAACCTTTTCTTGTCCTGCACCTCTTCTGTCCTCTTTCCCTTGCTCCTCACCTTCTCTGTCCTCTTTCCCTTGCTCCTGAGCTTCTTGATCCATTTTCCCTGGCTCTTTAGTATTCAATGGTAGGTCCTGTGAAAGTGCCTTCTTTGCTTTCAGACCTTTGTCTTCTGGATGCATTATGTCTTTCTTAGCTGATATTTTTACTTCATCGTCTTCTTTCTGTTGCATGTAATCTTTTGCTTTTTGTACTTTGATTGTGATATCACCCTTACTGGCCACTCCATCTGCTTTTTCCCCTGCCTCTGATGATTTTTGGTGTGATAGTTCTGGAAGATAGTATCTTGTTATTTCAGTGACATACTCTGCTTTTTCTCTCCTTGTATCCAGTTGTAAATGAGAAGGAGAAGGAATGGAAGCGCAGGCATTTGTCAGAAGCACACTTGGTTCACCTTTAATATGTTCTATCCTTTTCTCTTGCTCTTTAATGTCCAACTGAATTCCCTGTGAAATTGATGATTTCATTTTCTTCAAAGCCCTAATTTTTTCCATTTTTTGCCTCTGTTCTTTTTGCAATATAGATTCTAGGGCCTTTTTTACACTGTTTGAGATATTATCAGAAATACACTTTTCATATGCTGTTTTCTCTGTATCTGATGACTCTTGGAGATTTGGTTGTGAAAAAGAGGATCTCATTTTTATTCTCATGGCTTCCTCTCCTTCTATTGTGCCCACTTTAGAGTAAGGTAGAAAAGAGATGGAAGCAAAAGGTTTGCTCCAAATCTCAACTTCTTTATCTTCCTGAATCTTTCCTCCTTTTTCTTTGATGTTCAACTCTAATTCTTGGAATATTGAAGGCTGCTTCACCTCCAAAGCTATTCTTTTGGAATGCATGATTTTTTCCAAAGCCTTTTCCACTCTGTCTTTGTCTTTCTGCGGCATATGTTTTGCTTTTTCAATACTGCTTAAACTATCATCAATTGGCTGCTCACATTTTTCCATTGTATCTGATAATTCCTGCTGTGTTGATGATGAAAGACAGAATCTTGTTATTCCTCTCATGTATACCTCTTTTATTCTAGGATTCCATTCCAAGTGAGGTGGAGAAAGAATAGAAGCACAGAGTTTATTCTGAACTACATTTAGATTACTTTCATCTTCCTGCGTCATTTTCTCTAGTTTTTTATTGCTCCGTTGTGGTTCTTTTCCATGCAGTAAATGTCTAAAAAGTGATTTCTTTCCTTTCAAAGTGATACATTTGAGGCCCATTACATCTTTCACATCTACTATATTTTCTCTATCTTCCTTCTTTTTCTGTGGAAAACACTTTGATTCTATTACATTACTTAAACTGTCTCTATTAATTGACTCTGCAGATGATACTCTTCTGGCATTTGATGATGCCTGGAGCTTTAGTGGTGGAAGGCAGCCCTTTAGAGTTCCTGACTTATCTTTACCTGCTTTTGTTCTTGAATTTGAATTACTATGTGATAGAGATGGTAAAGAAGTACACAAGTTTGTCAGTTTCATACTTGATTTACCTTTACCTTCTTGCATCTTGCCCTCTTGTTTTATAATGTCTAACAGCAAAGGAAATTCCTTTATACTGAGTATATGTGACAGTGATGACTTCCTTGGCTTCAAAATGATGTTAGGGCTTTTTATTCTTTTCATATCCATTGCTTTTACTCTATCATTCTTTCCCTGTGATATGTGTTGTTTTGTACTTTTAACATTACTTGAGATCACCCCATCAATTGTTTCTTTATTCAATTTGAAGTGAGGTAAAGAAAGAATAGACTCACATATTTTTGCTGCAACCAAATCTATTTCACTCATTCTATGTTTCACATTGACCATTTTGTCTGTCATGTTCCACTGCATTTCTAGTCTGTTACTTGAGGCACCACAGTCACTGGTATTGAGTATATGTGAAAATACTGATTTCTTCCATTTCGAAGTTCTCCTTTTGTGGCATATCACGCCTTTCCTAATAACTTGTTCTACGCTATCCTTCTGTCCTTTACTTTCTTGCAAAATAGGCATGGATGCAGAAAGAGAATGTAATGTTATAGGCAGACATACTTCTTTTTGTACCTTTTCATTTGCCTTTTGTGTTTCTATCTTCTTCCCAAGTCTTAACTTGGGTGAGCTATTATTTGATATTAAATCAAAGACCTGTACCCCATCTGATGATTTCATTCCTTTTGGAAATAAGAGACTTGCATATTTTATAGTTTTATGGTATGATCCTAAAGGCAGCATTGAATCTTGTTTTTTCATCTGCCTTGGAGAAATCAAGGGCACAATCCATTCTAGTCTATTCTTAGTTATAGTGCTTAGCTGATCTGCAGAAAACAAGTCTAGTCCTGGTGTCCGGCTTGATAAATTACCTCCTTCTGATAATGCTTCCTTTTCCTGAGGCATTAAATGTTGCAGGAGACAGGGATACTTTTGAGGGCAAGATATATGCTCCCAAAAGTTCTCATAGGAAATTGGTAGGTACTGCCATTTTTGGCCTGTTTTGAGTAAGTCTTGTCTTTTTTTACTGTTTTGAGTATATCCAACTATGACATCCATTTGTTTCACTGCTTCTCTTGTCTGTGAAGTTAAATAGTCATAATGTGGAATATCCATAGCATCTAATTTCTCTTGTTGCATAGATGCATTGAACTGAAATAGATCTGTTTTGGAGTGAGATGCAGGCTTTGGAAGAGCCTTGTATGTATATTTTTCTTCCTTTTCTGCCTGTCTTGGAAAAAGCAAGCCAATTCCTTTTGTATTTGAAGTGAGGTACCCTAAACTATTGATTGCCTTTAATGCTTTCTTTACCTTTGGTGACTTAATCTGAAGTACGTCCATTAAAGAGTGAGAAACAGATGCTGGAAAAGCCTCGTGTGTACTTTCTTGTGGATGTTCTTTTCTTCCTTTAATATTCAAATGTATTCCTTCTGAACATGGAGGTTGATCCACCGGAATACCTACTTCATGTGATGCTTTCTCTACCATTGGGCTTAGAACTTTTGAACTCATGATTTCTTCTGCTGAGCCTTCTTTCTTGGGATTTTCAATATAAAGTTGATGCAATATGCAAGGGAGAACAGATTCCAGAATATTCTCTTTATTCTGATAATAATTACTTAGATG
This sequence comes from Homo sapiens, assembly GCF_000001405.40. NCBI lineage: Eukaryota > Metazoa > Chordata > Mammalia > Primates > Hominidae > Homo > Homo sapiens. Next base: position 102,741,160 of record NC_000013.11, read on the forward strand.
CTTCATCCTCAATTTTTTTGAAAAGTCCATTTTCTGTCTATTTGATTTTAATGTAATATCCAACTTTGATTGCTCTTTTCCCCAAAGATTTTCATTGAAACTTTCAGAGATGGTAACATTTTCTTTTCTTGCTGTATTCACTGCCTGTTTTAAGTGAAGAGGGTCCTTACTGAGGAAAGATTCAGAATCCAGAATACTTTCGGGAACATGATCTGGATTCACCTGTTCTTTCTGCTCTGCAGGCACTTTGTGCTGTACCTCTGAATTTGTACAAAGAAATTTCTGTCCTTTAGAACCTACAAATATATCAGTTTCCTTTAATCCTTCTTTTCCCAATACATGTGAACTAATTTTTCTGTTAATGTACACATCTTCTTCCTCAGTTACCTTTCCTGTGTTTTCCAAATGAAGAGGTTCCATAATGGGGCAGGCCATAGACCCCAGGTTTGTCATAGAAATATCTTCTTGTTTCAGCAATTCTTGCTCCTGGCAAGTCTTCTGTTGAGAAGTATCCAACTCTGTAAAAAATATATTCTGTCCTTTTGAGTTTAGTGGAATATCTAGTCTCTTCGATCCTTCTCTCTCCCACGGAATTGAAACTGAATGTTTGGCAATGCCCACATCTTTTTCCTTTGCTCTTTGTGCAATGAGGAATTCAAGTTCTTCATCTGTTCTAATTCGTGGGGCATCGAAACTACTGTAATTGATTTGTTGTGAACTAATCCTTAACGGTCCAATATAGTATTGGGATATGTCTTCTGAAATGCTTTGGTGTTTTTGTTCCTTTTCTCTAATATCTTGTTCCTGTTTTCTAAGAATGCTGGACATATCAGTACAACCTGACAATGACCTTTGCATTTCTTTTAGTGGTTTCTCCAGCTTTGGCTGTGGAAGAATGCATGTCCTGTCTTTTGGCTTGTCTTTCTCCATTTTTACTTCTGTAAGCTTTTTAATGCTAGACACACAGTATCCAGAGTCATAAACAGCCTTTAGAACTCGATGTACTGCATTTTTACTCAGCTGGAATGACTTCTGCTGCTGGATGTTACCTCTCAGTTCTTTTTTATTGCTTGCAGTACCATACTCAAGCAGCTGGGAAACTGTTATTCTTTTTGCCTTCAATTTTATCTGTTTGGTATGCATAGTACTTTCCACATCTGCTGTCTTTGCCTTATCTTTATGTCTTATGATTTTAGGAGAAATAGATGTGTAGGGATTAGGATAACTCCAGATAGTTCCTGAGACACACAGCTCTTGCTGTTTCTTTGGCAGGGCAAATGTCTTGGGATCTGCCCTTGTTTTCCAGTCTGCAGTTTTAAATTCTTTCTTGTTTTCAATTTGAAGTGGATGTATCTTAGAGAAAAAAACAGATTCTGGATTAAACTCTTCTGCAACATTTATCTTTGCTTCTTGATCTATTAAATCAACTTCTGCTTCTGTCTTCTGGGCTTTAAAGTTCTGTTTCTGCTCCTTATTATTGCTTACAACAGCATAACCTGCAGTATCAGGTGATTGTGAAACTGCTGATTGCTTTGCCTGCAAAGGTCTACCTTGGGGACTTGACCTGTCAGCCATTTTAAGTCTGCCATTCTGTCTTTTCATTTCTTCTGAAGCAGGTGAATGCCTGCCAACAGAATCTGGGACAATTGCTGCCAAATTACAGAAAGCATTTTCTTTTAAAACAGAATGGCCAATGTTCTGTTTATCATATTTGTTTGATATGGCATCATCTGTTGCCTCACTCAGTTCTGCACAATTATCTGATTTCTCCATCCTTGCGAGCCCAACTTTGAGACTTTCTTTTCCATTTTTGTTTTTTTCTATTTTTACATTTTTTTCTGAATTCCCTTTGTAAATCTGACTTTTTGAGAAAAAAGTTTCTCCCAAAAGCACATCCTCTGATTTACCAAGATGACGATCCTTTCTAAGATATGTGTTTGCCATGAAGTTTTCTGCATAGAATGGATCCATTTCTGTAAGATGTTCTTGCTTCTCTTCCCCACTTTCTCTATCATGTAGTTTTGCTCCCTTTACCAAGTTGGAAGTTCTTCTCTTGTCAATGGGATCAGAATACCTTGCTATCCCTTCAGCTAGTGACTCTATTTGTGTTGGTTGTGTATGACTTAACCCTGATATTCTCATGTCTATCTCTGTTTGGAATCCACTTTGCCTTTTAATGTCAGAGGAATCTGGAGTGAAGGAAGTTGTATTTGGAAATGTATCAGCCACATTTTCACCTTGCCACATTGCTTTCAGTTTGGTTTTTAAATTGGATTCAAGTTTCTTCCTATGTTTTGTAGTAAACTGCCCACTGATTTTATGTATCTGTGAAATTGGTGGTTTCTTTTCCTTCATAGTTAAACATTTGGGATTCAATATAATTTTCCTTTCTGATAACTGTATTGTGTTTATCTGGTTTTTAGAGTCAGATAAAACAGGCATGAAGAAATCTAAAGGACCCAGGAAAGTTGCAGGTGAGTTTTCTTGTACTTCTTCCTCTTCCTCTGTAATATGACCATGATTTTCTTGGCACTTTCTGTTGGATACAGTTTTTAAATAGGATTTACATTTCTTCCTATGTTTTCTGGTAGACTCTCTATTGATTTTATGTATCTGTGAAATTGACGACTTCTTTTCCTTCATAGTTAAACATTTGGCATTGAATATAATTTCTTTTTCTGATAACTGTGCTGTGTTCCTCTGGTTTTTAGAGTCAGATAAAACAGGCATGAAGAAATCTAAAAGACCCAAGAAAATTGCAGCTACATTTTCTTGTACCTCTTCCTTTTCCTCTGTAATATGACCATCCAGATTTTGTCGGCGTGTTCTGTTAGATAGAATGCACCTCGCTGCTGTATTGTATAAGAGTTTATCAATCATTGATTTGGATGTTGTACTCTTAGCATATTCAGTGGCACTGAGTAATGCCTCTCCTATACTTGTGTACCATTGCTTCCCTTTCATCTTGTACTTAAAACGGTGTTGCTTTTTCTTTCTGTGGTTTTCTGTAGAATATCTTATGATATTAAACAACTGCAAAATTCGTAGTTGCTTTGCCTTCAAAGTTACACATTTGGGACTCATACTTTTCTTGCCTATAAACTCTAATGTATAGCTCCGGCTTTCATATTCAGATGACATGAGGCTGGAGAAATCTAAAGGTTTTAAGACTGTTTGTAAGTTTTTTTGATTCCATGCAGTTTTCTCAGAAATAGAACTATCCCATTTCCTTCTAGGATTTTCATCCCAAGGGGTATCACGTGGTATTGAACCAATCTTTGATTTCCCTGTTTTGGGAAATGAAGTCTTTAGACCTTCCATACATTTTATTCCTTCTTGCATATGAGGACTTTGTTTCATCATGTATCCAGAAATAGGCTCTAAAACAGTTTCTCTAAAGTGTGTTTCTTGCTTTGTTTTTTGCACTATGTGAGACAAATTCCAAGATCTGCCTTCGGGACTCTTCGGTTCAGATCCTGATTTGCAAGGGTCAGGATCTTTCATTTGATGTGTACTGAAACGGAGGTGTTGACTATAGCATGGAACTGATTCTGTTAACATTTTTTGAATATTTTTATCTTCCCTTTCATGTTGTACATTCATGTTCATTGCATTACTAGATCCACTTTCCATGTCAGTCAAATTGGCCTTCTGTGCCTCCCCACCATGTGGTGATTTCTGTAACTCCAGGACAGTTGCTTGTAGATCTTTATTAAACTCTGCCTTTTCCCCTTTACCTGAATTGTGCTGTTCCCCCATACATTTCCTATCAGTTGGTACACCACGTTTTATTGCACCAGTTAAAACTTCACCATTTACTGAGTCCTCTGATTTTAGAGGAAGAAGTTTTGAATTTACTGTACATATTGTGCCATTTTGGGTCTGGAGGCATTTCTTTGTCTCCTCTCTTTGTATTGGCTCTGCAGGCTGAAGTTGCTGTGGGACATCTTGTTTGGTAACAAACAGAATTTTCCTACTTCCTTGGTTTTCTAATTTGTGAAAGTCAAGATCCTTCCCCTGACCTGAACGGAACATGAAATGTTGCAGGTGCTGTGGAATTACTTTTAACAATGCCTCCTGTTTCCTTTCTTCTTGCTCTTCATCTTGAAGAAGGGTTTCTTTAATGTCACGTGAAGTAATACTATCTTCATGTGGAGATGTATCTTGCTTTACTTGAGTAGAACTGAGTCTTTTTTCTCTTAGCGTGTCTTTTTCTGTTTCTACCTTGCTATACTTGTTAATGTCAGGTGTCATAGTCAGGAAAGCATATGTTTCATCTACCCCCTTTTTGCCTTGATGCAGTTCTTTCATTTTGGTTGTCAAGTTACAGCTCAGTTCTTTTCTACGTTTCGGACCAGCACCAGCCCTGATATTGAGCATGTATGAAATTGATGGCTTCTTTGCCTTTATAATTCCACATTTGGGATTCACTAAAGTTTTCATGTCTGAAAATTGTTTTAAGTTTCTCGTCGTTTTAGGTGTAGATAAAGCAGGCATGCAGGAACCAAAAATCGCTGTCTCTTTCTTTTCAGTACCACCAGCCTGTTCCTTTTGATGGCTAGAATCAGATGAGATACCACCTTCTCTTGCATAAAATATGATTTCATCAACCTTTGCTTCCCCAGACTTTAGAGGTGAAAACCTAACATGACTCTCTACCTTTTCAAATGGAAATTGATCCAGTGTAGGGCATGAAGTAGACTTCAAAATAGTTTGTGTAAAATGTGTTTGTGGTTGTACCTGAATATTTGTACTTCCTGGTTGGTTCAGTTCCTCATCTGATTTGACAAGCTCATTATCCTTCTGATATGCATTGAGTATTAAGCCATCGCTGTTCTCCAGAGCCTGTAAAGCTTTGGGAGGTGGAATCTTAGGACCTCCAAGGACTTTTATGTCATTTTCTGTTTCGTTGGCTTTTTGTAGTTCTTCAGCTTCTAAAGGACCCATTTGGAGACTAGTCTCTAAAGTAGTTTGTTCAAAACCTGTTTGGTGCTGCAAACGTTGTCCATTAATATGTAGCTCCAGTGTTAAACAGTTCAGCACTGGGTCTGATTCAAGATGGATTTCCTTCATTTGACCCGCCTCAGACCCCAGGTGCTGGCTCAGCTGTGGCGCTGCTTCTAATAAAACTTTATGTTCCTCTTCCTTTCCATCTTGCAATTTTTCCTCTCTGTCATGGGATATGCTATTCTTAGCAAAGACATCAGTGTATGTCTTATCTGCTGTTTCTCCTTGCTTTAATTGAGACGCAGGGAGACAGAACTCTCTCTGCAATCTGCTATGCATTGGAGAGCAAAGGGTATTTAGACATTCAGGTACCAATCCTTTAGTTTGGTTTATCTTTTTAAACTTAGTCTTAAAGTCTAATTCTGATTTCTTTCTGTGGCTTGTGACACTGACTGTCTCTGAGATTGATGGCTTCACAGCCTTTGTATTTACACATTTGGGCTTCGCTGTACTTGTTGTGAGTGCAAATGTTACTCTCTTTTTCATCACTTTAGAACAAGATAAAACAGGAGTGCAATAATTGAAAGTCTCTGGCGAAGTTGCTGGTAAATCTTTTGGTATTTCTGTCTTTTCTTCTGCAAAACAGTAACCCATTTCTCTTGTATCACTTCCATTACTTGGAATATAACTTTCTCTTGTTTGGTTTAAAGGGTCTCCAATCAGTGATTTTCCTGATATTGGAGAAGGCGTCTCTGAATCTGCAGTGCATTTGCAGTCTGTTTGTGTTTTTTGAGTACTCTTCACATTCTCAGCATGAGATAGTTCCATTATGGGAGAAACAACAGACTCAATAATAGTTTCTGTGAATGGGATTGGTTGATGCATTTCTTTCTCTGTTTTAATCTCCTTCTCTAGATGTGCATCAAGTCCAAGGTTGCAGCTATCATGCAGGACTGCTTTTGGTAGAGTTTCTTTGACGCCTTTTACTTCATCTTGCAATTTAGCATCTAGTGTGTTTTGGGATTCATTTCCCTCATTAATGAAATATGGATACTTTTCTTCCCTTTCAATTTGGGATTCCTCTTGGACTAGCTTGATATGACTGTGATTCTCTGCATTTAATCTGCTATACATTCTAGTATTAGGCAAAATAGACATGGGAGGGTAAATAACATTCAGAAGCATACCTGCTGCAATTTTATCTTGCAGTATCTGTTTAATTATAATTTCAAAATTGCCTCCCATTTTTTTCCTGTGGTTTGAAGTACCACATATATTAATATAAGGCATCAGTGAGATTGCTGGCTTCTTTACTTTCATAATTACATATTTGACACTGAGTACACTTTTTGTTTCTGATAATTTTTTTTTAATTTCCTGCCTTTTAAAATATGGTAAAGTAAGCAAGTGGTTATTGAAAGACCCCAGGGCAACTGCAGGTAAATATCTTTTTACATCTTCCTTTTCTTCTGCAATATGACTATCCGTTGTCTTTTGGAGGTTTCCACCAAATGGGACACTATACTCTGTTGTTTCAATTAAAAGTTCACCAACTGGCAAGTTCTCTGGCATTGTAAGTGGATTCTTTGGATCTCCGGCACTCTCTCTGTCTGTAGGTCTATCTGTGCTTTGCTTCACCTTCTCAACTTGAAATGGATCCATCATGGGGCATGGACTATTCTCCAAAATAGTTTGTGTAGAAAGAGTTTGTGGTTGGACTTCTTGCTCTTTATTTGGGGCTTTACTACTTCCTGAACTGATCTGTTCCATTTGGAATTTGACATACTTGGGCTTTTGCTTTAGATGTATGCTGAACCTGAAGCCTTGTGTCAGCTCTGAATTTGCCTCTTTCTCCTGTTCCTTTCTATCACATTGTTGTGGCTTTTTAAATGTACAGCTCTTATCAATGTATTCTGCGTTCTGTGTTTCCTTCTCATCTGGTAATTTCTCTTGCTTTGATGCTGAATGACTGAGCCTTATTATTCTTAATGTGTCTGCCTTGGCTTTTGATATGCTATGTGTTTCTGTATCAGGTAGTTGAGAAATGGTAGTGTAAGTGGCACTGTGAAATGCATCAGACGTTTCTTTATCTTGATGCATATTTGTTATGTTACTTCCAGTGTTGCATTCCAGTTCCTCACTTTCACGTAGGTCACTGTCTTCTGTAACATTAAGTATCAATGGTTTACTTTCCTTCAGATTTACACTTTCTGTATTCACTTGAATTTTTATGGCTTCTAATTCTTCACTGCTTTTATGCATTTTGCTTCCTGGGGAAATGAGCAAACCGACATTTGACAACTCCAGAACAAGTTCCAAAAAATCTTTTTGTTTCTGTGTATTTTCCCTTGGAAAGCACCTTTGCGTTTTTGGTGTACTGGTTGGTAACTCCTCTCCATTTGAAAGTTGAAGATGGGAATTTTCTGAACTTTGTAGGTCCTCCTGTATTTTCATTCTATTGTTCGATTCCATTTCAGGAGAGGAAACAAGTTTCTGCATAGGTTTTGATATAGCTTCTTCTAAAGATGTCTTGTGCTTTGGAATATGGAGATCAAATGGTTTTTTACTATTTAGAACATGAAATTCTGTAATACCAATTCCCTTTGCTTGTGTAATTGAGTCTTTAAGAGATTCTTTACTCTTCCCATTTGTTTCTACTAGTAAACAAGGTGCTTTTAGTTGAACAGTGTTGACCATGAAGGATTGTTCTAGCTGAGGTAACATTTTTGGTGAAATGTTTTTTAGTCTTTTGTTTTCTTTGTCATACTCCTTTTCCTTTTTAGTAATATCTGAGATTCCTGTCTCCTCAAGAGGACCTGCATAATTGATTTTCTCTGTATCTGGTGACTTATTTTGCTTCTGCAGAAAATGTCCACATTTTATTAAACCCGGCATGACTTTCACTAGTTGTTTTCTGGAATAATTTTTAACATAAGGCAGAATAAGCTTGGAAACAGAAATAAGATGCAAAGCTATATCTGATATATCTTTCCTTTCATGTAATTCTTTCTTCTCAGTGTTATTCTTGCATCCTAACTCATTCCTATTTTTTAAAGTGTGACATACTGTGATTTGAAATACTTGTGAAGTTGGTGTTTTTTTGGCTTTTAGAGATGGAACATTAAGACTGAGTTTGCTTTTACTGTCTGGTGTTTTTCTTCTATTTTTCTGCCCTTTAATGGTAGACAAAAGAGGCACTGAGCTATATACAGAATCCTGGTTCAATTCTGATGAAACAATTTGTTGCTGGCCTTGTGCTTTTACACTCCTTAGTTGTGGCATATCTTCAGTGACTAAATTTGGATTCAGAGTTAAAACGAGAAATTCAGCATTCTTAAAAATAGTGTCTTGCCCCTTAATTGAATATTTAACCTTGTTTGAATCTATAAACCAAACACAATGTTGGTCCTCACCTAAGTGTTCATCAGACTCCAGGCCCTTTACTGAATATTTTGCCTCAACAATTGATGGAACTTCAACAAAATGTTGGTTCCTATCCAGATCTTGGGACTGGAAGGAGTCTTGTGTGCTGCTAGAAAATGGCTTCTTCATCACATCTTCAGGCTGGGCAAAGTTGCTGGCTTTGCTCTCAGGCTGGCTCTTAATTGATTCTTGGTTATGATTTATATATTGGGCTTGACTAGTAAATTGGACTTCATAAAGACCTTGATTCTGAAAAGCATTTTGTCCTGGAAAAGAATCCTGTGCTTGGACAGAAATAACCATTCCAACAGAAGGTTGATTCTGATTCAAGGACTCTTGAGATCTTGAGCATTGATAAGTAGTTCTGCTCCCTAACTTAGTTTTGGGTTTTGAAGGAATTTGATTCCTCACATTTTCTTCCAGAAGTCTAACTTGATCTCTAGAAAGAAATAAGTGGGCAAGAGGGCAAGGTGCCACATCTAGATCTTCATTTTCTACAGTGAATCTAGATGCTGAAAAGCTAAGATCAGAAGAAAATCCTGAATTTTTGTTTTTGTTGGTTTTCATCATTGAAAATAATTTCTTGGAGGAAAATTGTATTGTTTCATATTCTCTGTCTGGATGCTCTGTATGGCTTAGACACGTTTCCTCTACTTCTGAATAAAACAATGGCAAAGATGAGCTGATTCCATTTGAAGATGGCACATGACTTTCACTAGAGGGACTTACTTGATCTTCACTTTCACTAGTACCTGACCATAGTATTTCACGTGAGAATAAAATTCTATCTTCAAAGTTACATTCCTTTTCTTCAGATGTAAGTGATGAAGTAATTCTTTTTTCTAAAAAGGTGCCAACTCTGAAATATAAGAAAACAGTGTACAAATGAATATTAGAATATATTTCGTATAAGAATTACCTTTAGATTTAAGAAAATGCAGCATAGTATATGAAAACAGATCAGCATAGAGATAAATTGGAAAATCATTATCCATATTACAAAACAATTCATTACCTAGTTCTTCTCACTTAATAAACTAATCGACGGAAAAAGTGAAGTAAATCAATTATATATCTCAGAGACTATACCTCAGCATCTCTAAAAGTCTATTTTTGACAAGATTGGGTCAAAGTTGCTGGATTAAGATTATATTATTTTACAAGGAATATCTTTTCTGTTCTCTATATGAAAGTTTTCACTAAAAGAAAACATTCTTATGGAAATGTAATAGGTACAACAGAAGAATACCAATAGTATAAACTAGCTGTCTATAGATAAATCCAGATTATGTTAACAGTTCTTTGAGATCAAAAGAAAAGCCTACATTTTAGGGAAGCACGTCTCAGTACAATTTTGGGCCGGAGTACTGATCATGGATGATGTGAACTTGCCAACACCCATGTACCTCAAATGATTAGTCTCAGTCTAAGAAGTGCTCAGACCAACAGCATCAGCATCTTCTGGTGTGATGGTTAATTTTATTTGTCAGTTTGGCTGGGCAGTGATGCCCAGAGATATGGTCAAACATTATTCTGGATGTTTCTCCCAGGGTGTTTTGGATGAGATTAACATTTGTATCAGTGAACTGTGAGAAAAGCAGATTGTTCTTCCTAATGTGGGTGGGCATGATCCAATCAGTTAAAGGCCTGGATAGAACAAAAGACTCATACCTCAACCCCCTGACATACTCCAGCAAGAGGAAATTCTGTCAGCAGACAGCCTTTTGACTTAAACTGCACACTTTAGGCTTGCAAGTCACCACAATTGCTTAAGCCAATTATTTAAAATAACTGTCTTACTCTCTCTCTTTATACACACACACACACACACACACACACACACACACACACACACACACATATCCTACTGGTTCCGTTTCTCTGGAGAACCCTAACAATACACCTGGAAACTTATTTGAAATGCATATTCTTTGGTCCCATCCCAGCACTGTGGAATCTGACGTTTTGAAGGTGGGGTCAAAAAATCTGAGCTTTAATAAACTCTCCAGCTGATTCTGATACATGATAAATTTCGATAGTCACTGTTTGATGCATGAGCAAGCCTAAAATCAAAAACTGAAATGCATATAAAATAGGTCAGATAATTCTAGTAGCTATTTGTTTGGAGAACACAGATTATCTCTTACTTTACTGTAAGTGTGACTTTACTTTTAAATAACCCTCAATCAAAATAGTGAAGGCAGTATATGAAATCCATCATGATCTACCCAACCACAAAAATTATTTGTGCTAAATGATTACTTGTAGAACTGAGAAATAAAAATGAAATGCTAAGTCCCACAAATGACTGAATGGACATCCTCTTGACCAAGGGGACCCCAAAGGAATCTTGAAAAATGAATTCCTGACCATGATGGGATGGGAGGTCAGACAGGCCTTATTATACCACCTCCCTGCCTCGCTACCATTAGGCTTTCTTTCCTAAGGGTAAACAGAACAGCCCTTTGGAAAGGCTTGCACCACCCTTGATATCAACCAATGACCAGATGCTGCCCCTCCCTTTCGCCTTCAACAAAGCAACCAGCCAGCATTCCTTCCTGATAAGAGACTACCAACCACAGAGTGGTTCTGCCCAGTCTAGGAAGGATGTGCAGTGGGGGTTTTCATGTCCCCTGCTTCACCTTTTGATGTCAGAGGACCAAAAACTCCACCCTCGGATCATGCTAAAGCTGCCATTTTTTGAACATGAGTTCCATGGAGAGGAATGAAGCTCAATTGCTCATGCACACATTTCTCCTTTCATAAATATTCATGACTCCTCCTACAGCTTATTGACTATGAGTATTATCCACCTCGTTCAGCATGATTTCCTGTCTTATTCTTCCTGCCCTCCAATGGCCTGTTTCTGGCTTCTGACAGGAGGCTACACTTCCCAGTCTGTCAGAATGGCTACCCTGCAGGCTGCAACCTTTTATGAGCGCCATCATTCTTTTCAAAACACCATCATTCTTCAGTTGACACAATGAAATCTCATTAATCTGGATTTGGTTAATTAGAATTTGGGGTATTTTAGGCTACACTAATGATTTTGTTTTTTCATCGATAACACAAAAATATTAGGTAAATATTTAAAATATGTTAGTTTTCAAGTTCTCTCAAATTTTAGAGCACTTATTAACCTCTAATATATAGGCTATTTTATGGGCTGAATTGTGTTTCTCTAAAATTCATATGTTGAAGTCCTAACCGTAGTACCTCAGAATGTGACCATATTTGTAGACGTGGCCTTTAAATAGGCTATTAAAGTTAAATGAGGTCATATGGGTAGGCCTTAATCCATATTTGGAGATAAGGCCATCAAAAGATGATTAAATTAACTGATGTTAGTTAACTTATTTATAACTGATTAAATTAACTTATTTAGAGTGGGGCCCTAATCCAATATGACTGGTGCCCTTGTAAGAAGAGGAAATTTGGACACAGAGACACCATGGACATGCATATACAGAGAAAAGAGCATGTGATGCACATGCGTGTTTATTGCAGCAATATTTACAATAGCAAAGACATGGAATCAACCCAAACGCCCATCAATGATAGACTGGATAAAGAAAATGTGGCACATATACACCATGGAATACTATGCAGCCATAAAAAAGAATGAGTTAATGCCCTTTGCAGGGACATGGATGAAGCTGGAAACCATCATTCTCACCAAACTAACATAGGAACAGAAAATCAAACACTGCATGTTCTCACTCCTAAGTGGGAGTCTAACAATGAGAACACATGGACACAAGGAGGGGAACATCACACACTGGGTCCTGTCAGGGAGGTGAGGGGCACAGGGACGGAGAGCATTAGGACAGACAAATACCTAAAGCATGCTGGGCTTAAAACCTAGATGACGGGTTGATAGGTGCAGCAAACCACCATGGCACATGTATACCTATGTAACAAACCTGCACATACTGCATATGTATCCCAGAACTTAAAGTAAAATTAAAAAAAAAAAAAAGAAAAGAAAAAAAAAAGAAAAGAGCATGTGAGGACACAGCAAGAAAGTGGCCATCTGCGAGTCAAGGAGAAACACCTCAGGAGAAACCAAGCCTTTCAGCCTCCAGAACCATGAGAAAATAAATTTCTGTTCTTTAATGCCACCTAATTTGTGATACGTTGTTATGGCAGCCCCAGCAATCTACTACAGACTGTATACACATCTTTGTTATCTGCCCATTACTTTTAGTATATAGTCTTTGGTAGTAAAGTCTATTCTTCAACTAAGACAAAATTTTGCGTTGGATGATCATGATGTCTACTCTCCAACACCTGTTCTACCTCAGATTATTAGGCTCAGTCTAATATAGTAATCCCATTTCTGAGTGATTAGTTTAGGAATGGGCATGATCTAATCCTAATATAAGAAAATGCTGAAGCAGGCTGGGCGGGGTGGCTCACGCCTGTAATCCCAGGTCTCTGGGAGGCCGAAGCAGGTGGATCACTTGACATCGGAGTTTGAAACCTAGCCAACATGGTGAAACCCCAACTCTACTAAAAATACAAAAAGTAGCTGGGCATGGTGGCATGCACCTGTAGACCCAGCTACTCGGGAGGCTGAGGCAGGAGAGTTGTTGAACCCAGGAGATGAAGGTTGCAGTGAGCCGAGATTGTGCCATTGCACTCCAGCCTGGGCAACAGAATGAGACTCCATCTCCAAAAAAAAAAAAAAAAAAAAAACCCTGAAGCAAACCATTTCCCAAAATCCAATAATCCAATGTAAGATCAGCAGTTTGCTTTGCTCACTGAGACTATGCCTGGTCAGCACAGTTCTCTCTAATTTCTCATGTCACCTCCTGACATATAATTTATTTATTATGTTGTCATTTATTGTCTGACCCTGTCTCACCCCCACACCCTGTTTTGTTTGCTGATGAGTCTCAAGGGCCTACAGCAATGCCTGACACAGAGTAGGCAATCAATAAGTATTTGCTGAATGACCATCTCCACCTCCAGGCTTCTGATTGCTAACAACAAACTGACCCAACTCTTTCCTCAATTTCAGTGAGAAAAAAATCCCTCATACACAAACCACTCATATATGTTTAAAATCATGTGACTGATTTTAGTGAAGACTTGGAAGCAGAAGCAGGAGAGAGTTGACTACAGCCATGCATAGGGTTCCCATTTAAACATTAGGTACGTCTCCCCATTTGTGAGATGTCCTTTGGCCTCTCCCCACCAAGGAATCTTAATTGGCCTTTGAGATTTTAAAAACAACTCCTCATTCTCTAGGAAAAGAGTAACAGTTCTAGAGCCATGGTAACCAATAGCAGAACCAGTTGTAAATCAATCAATGGCAATCCTATAGTCATAGTAACAAATAAACAGAGTCTTCTTTTAAACTGTTTTATCTATCAACGATAACTCCCTTCAGGAAATGCACTTCTGAAACCAACCAGTCAGTGACAAGTTTAAGCTTTGAAAGTCAGGTGGTTGGTGGCAGACTCTCACTCAAGCATGCATCTATGGGTAAGGCCAACCCTAAAACAAACCATACCCCAAAATCTGATATAAGGTCAGCCATTTGCTTTGCTTACTGAGACGATACCTGGTCAGCTCGGGTCCCCGGATTTCAGATACTGAGTGGTGGTCTCATCCTTTATGCCACTCAGTCCTAAGCCTCACACCACTACACCTGCAACTCCCTCTGTTCTGCTCCTCTCTGCCCCCCCAGCTACCCCCTTTCTCCTTTGTCTCATTTCATAAGCAAGATAAAATCCACTCCATCTCTAATGCAGTAGATTTTAACCATTCTGATGCTTAGCTTCGGCCAATATACCCTTCTATTTCAAAATAATTTATTAAGATGCTGTCCCACTATTTCCAATAGCAAAGACATGGAACCAACCCAAATGCTCATCAATGATAGACTGGATAAAAAAAATGTGGTACATATACATCATGTAATGCCATGCAACCATAAAAAGAATGAGATCATGGCCTTTGCAGGGACATGGATGAAGCTGGAAGCCACCATTCTCAGCAAACTAACACAGGAACAGAAAACCAAACACCGCATGTTCTCACTCCTAAGTGGGAGCTGAACAATGAGAACACATGGACACAGGGAGGGGAACAACATATACCAAGGCCTTTTCGGGGATGGGGGACGAGGGGAGGAAACTTAGAGGACAGGTCAATAGGTGCAGTAAACCACCATGGCACACGTATCCCTATGTAACAAACCTACACGTTCTGCATATGTATCCTGGTTTTTTTTTTTAGAAGGAATTTTAAAAAATTAAATGAAATAAAATTATTTGAAGGTGTCAATGGTTAAAAATAAAAAAATACTATGTTCATAGTTCTTTTCCCAAAAAAAGTTTATATATATATGTATACACATATATATGTGTGTGTGTGTGTGTGTGTGTGTGTGTGTATATATATACATATATATATATATATATATTTTTTTTTTTTCCTTTTGAGCTGGAGTCGCTTCGTCTCCCAGGCTGGAGTGCAGTGGTGCAATCTCGTCTCACTGCAACCTCTGCCTCCCAAGTTCAAGCCATTCTCAGCCTCCCAAGTCATTGGGATTACAGGCGCATGCCACCACAGCCGGTTAATTTTTGTATTTTTAGTAGAGATGGGGTTTCACCATGTTGTCCAGGCTGGTTTCGAACTCCTGACCTCAGTGATCCGCCCACCTCAGCTTCCCAAAATGCTGGGATTACAGGCGTGAGCCACCGTGTTACACATACTATTTCAACTATTCTTCATGATATTCCTAAGAGGTAATTCTTCTAATCCTTAGTTCGAAAAAAAAAAAAAAATGGAGGTATAGTGAGTTAAGTCATTAGCCCAAGGCCATGCCATCATTAAGAGGTAGAACTACAGGGCCAGGTGCAGTGGCTCACGACTGTAATCCCAGCACTTTGAGAGGCCCAGGTAGGTGGATCACCTGAGGTCAGGGGTTCGAGACCAGCCTGGCCAACATGGTGAAACCGCATCTCTACTAGAAACACAAAAAATTAGCCAGGTGTGATGGTGGGTGCCTGTAATCCCAGCTTCTATGGAGGCTGAGGCAGGAGAATCACTTGAACCCAGGAGGCGGAGGTTGCAGTGAGCTGAGGTCATGCCATTGCTCTCCAGCCTGGGCAAAAAGAGCAAAACTCTGTCTAAAAAAAAAAAAAAAAAAAAAACAAAAAAACAAAAAGAGGCAGAACTATGATATAAAGCTAGACCTTTTTTAACTTCAAAATTTATGTTTTTTCACCATAATATGCTGCTGCCACAGGAGCCATATCTTTTCTCTAATCCTTTTTCTTCAACACCACCCCCTAACCTCTTCTTCTCCATGAATTTCCCTTAACGCCCCCTAGAAAGATGCCACCCGAGGATTAACTTCTGTCTAGGCAGGAAGGGAATAATAGGACACGGGGATGGAAAATCTTTAAAGTGTCCTTGATTCTGAAGCTAAAAATCCTTTTTTTCTCCATGTCTTCTTGTGAATTCCTCTTGCCTGTTAATCCTCTGGTTTTGAATTACATGTGAACCTTGGGTCACCATGCACACCTAAGCCCTCTAATATCTCAAATGCTGAATCTTGGTCTGTCCATTTGGACTTATTCTGATTGCACTACTGACATGCTGTAGCTTGTGCTGGCATTCCTGTTTCCAACTGGCCCTCACAAGGGTTCTACCTACTCACACCTCCAGATATTGTTACAGCTTCCCAAGACACTCACCTGAGAACTAGTGTTGCTAGTACCCAATACAACAATATAGCAACCAGATTAAATGAATAAAGCCCTTTTATACCTGACAAATGAAAGAAATTAGACGAACATCAAGTAATCCTCTGATTCACACAGTGACTAGTGATCTAGCTGAAACACAAAACTGCCACTCTTATGTGTAACCACCAGTAGTGGTTATTATCTACAGAATTGAATCCAGGTCTTAACATGGTATAGAAAGCCGTTTATGACCTGACTCCTACCTACCTCTTCACATTCATCTTCCACTACTTCCTGACTCAACCTCAACATTCCAGCAACTCTGAAATAATAGTAATTTCTTGCACATTGCTGCTGTTTCTGTTCATGTCCTGGAATGTCTTTCTTATCCTCCTAAACCTCTGTCCTTTTCGGGCTAATGTTCATTCATCCTTTAAAATTCAGCTCCAGGATAACATTCTTCGTGAAGCCATTCCCAATGCCCTAGGCTGGCTTAGGTATCTCCTAAATATATTAATATTTCTGTCACTGTGTCACCATACCACAGGGCAACTTTCCTGTATGTATACATCTTCTCCACAAGAATATAAGCTTCTTGAGAACAGAGACTATATTATGGTTTGAATCCCAGTGTTGGCGTCCACTATATTGTAGATATCTAATAATTGTTGAATGGATTTCAATTAAAACAATTAAAATATTGATAGCATCAAGAGTTGTGATTATGTCAGTATTTAATCCCTAGCACGGAGATAACTTTACAATTCTGATAAATTCTGATTTTACAAACTCCTTTCATGTCACTCATGCAGCACCTAGCTCAGTGTTTGCTTGGTCCACAGTAAGTGCTAAATAAATATCTTTTCAGTTGAAATATAAGAACTGGTGTGTTGGAGAGAGAGTTAGAGTAGGAAAGCAAGTCACTTATCCTCTTCAAGCTTTATTTTCCTCATCTGTAAGAAACTACCTGCCTCGAAGGATAATTTCAATAATATACGAAAAGTCCTTAACACAGCTTGGAGCATAGCAACAATTTAAAGTAAATGTTAGATTGAATCATGATATTGAACAGCTAGGAAAACCCTTCTCTGAAATTCAGAAGTAAAGGCAATTTTGAATAGAACACAACCAACCTATTTCATTTAGCTTCAAAATATTTTTGTGATATATCACATACCTTTCTCCTGAAGATGAATTAATAACTGACCAATTCTCTGGAGCTGAATAGGAATAAAAAAGTCACAGTATCAATGAGAAAAGCTCAGGATGAACAAGTTTTATATTAAAATGTGAAATTGTATAATACTTACCAAGTTTCCTGCTTTTGGGGCAACTGTCTTCCGTCTATTTTAATGGAAAAAAAATTGTTAGAGGAGTAATCGGAGTATCAAAATTCAAAAATTTTACAAATTATTCTTATGTCTGATTTTGAAAACTAGGAAAAGGGGAAATCAACCATTTATTCTTACCTCCTGGACATCTGAACTACCCTTTTCAGGAAGTGTGGGCTTCTTCCAAAAGGATGCACAAGCTTTCATGAGTATTATCTCAAAAATAATTCCTAGTAAAATTATAAAGAAAATTGCCACCCAATCATTTTGAATAATCCAGGACTCTAGAAAGTCCCATAATGTCATGAATGTATTATCTTCCAGTCCACTCCCTACCCCTTTTTTAAAGGAATAATATTGCTTTGACATTTTAATGTCATATGTGAAAGAGACTGGTGTCTCATTCAGAAGTCCTTGATTTCAGAGGCCCTGAAATATAAAACCTCGGTATGCCCAACTCATAACCATGTGCAACATTTGGCCAGTGCTGCTGGTATCTTATCAAGTGCAGCAGTGATTGCTCTGGGCCTAAGTTAAGTGAGGTACGTGTCATAGTGGGTATTTAACTGAGCTCATATTAGCTTTAGCAATAATGGAAGTTCATAGGTAAGATATGTACACTGTATAAGTAGTTTTTTACTAAAATTCAAAAAATTACCTTCTCTTAACTTCATAGATAGCAACATAATTCTATCATGGATTGTTGCTGCCCTATTATAAATATAGAATAAATTTGGATTGGTAGAAAGCATTTGACATAACCATTTCTATTAACACCAGGAACAATGTATTTTATGCTTCTTTGTGGTAAGGAAAATATAGTCCTTTCTTAGAATGAATATAGATAGAGTTGACAGGTTTAGCAAATAAAAACATTAGATGCCCAATTTAATTTGAATTTCAGAGAAATGTCGAATAATTTTTTTGGTCTAAGTATGTCCCATTACAACTATGTAGAATGTATGATGACTTGTCTTTTATGAGTCTGATTTTTTTCTTAAAATAGAACACATTTTATATTTCTTTTTGCTAGCAGGGTCTGTTGGCACCATTTCCCTTCAACAATCTATTGACATGCTGAAAACTAAAGTGTCTTTGGAATAACCTCCTGGTGAATTTCCTTTTCACCCTGTCTACAGTGATTTCAGGGAGCTACTTGTGATGTCCTTTCCGATGTCAGAATTAAGGGTAGGGCAGAGGCAGATGTAAGTACAGTACTGCCCACTCCCCTTCAAAGTCTAGTGGGTAGGCCTGGAAGCTTATTGAGCAAATATGATTTTAGTCACAAGTAGACAGGATAGTCTGGACTAATAATGAAAAATGTTAACACTACCTTGGATTTAGAGTACTCTTCCTTTGAAGGTGTAATTAATTAATACTTCCTTTGCAGATGTAATTCATTAATGCTTCACTTTGGTTTTGTTTTAGTACTTCACTTATCCAAGGTAGGTTAAGCAAAGAAGTATTATTCATTACACTGAAGTATTATTCATTACACTGAAGTGAACAGTTCAGGCCTCTTCTGTCACATCAGTTTAAATAAGTACAACAAAGATTTATGACTTCAGCTGGGCGAAGTGGCTCATGCCCGTAATCCCAGCACTTTGGAAAGCTGAGGTGGGTGGATGGCTTGAGCCCAGGAGTTTGAGACCAGTACTAGGCAACATAGGTGGACCTCCGTCTTTACCAAAAATTTAAAAATTAACTAGGCATAGTGGTGTGCACCTGTAGTTAGTCTCAGCTACTTGGGAGTCTGAGGTGGGAGGATTGCCTGAGCCTGGGAGTTGAAGGCTGCAGTGAGCCATGATCCTGCCACTGCACTCCCATCCTGGACAACAAAGCAAGACACTGTTGCAAAAAAAAAAAAAAGAAAAGAAAAAGAAAAAAGAATTATCAACTCTTACTGTCCCTGAACATTGAAGATCAAGAGATCAATGACATTCTAAATGTTGGAATTTACAGTCTTCCAGTCTCCTGGACCACAATGTACAGGTATTTCTAATCTTTATTTAAGTATAATTCTTATCTTGAATTTTGTCTTCGCAAAGAATCGCCCTTTAGAATGCTTGGTAGGTCTTCATTGGCTCTGAAAGAAACTTCAGCAATTCCTCTTGATTTTTCTAGAACTATGGTAAAGTACACCTTCCCCGTACTCCCCTGCCCACAAAGACAATTGAGGTGATTTTAGTCTCCTGGGTTTCCCCATAAAATTCAAGCAGCTGGGCCAGGCGCAGTGGCTCATGCCTATAATCCCAGCACTTTGGGAGCCCGAGGCAGGTGGATCACCTGAGGTGAGGAATTCAAGACCAGCCTGGCCAACATGGTGAAACCCCGTCTCTACCTAAAAATACAAAAATTAGCTGGGCATGGTGGCAGGTGCCTGTAATCCCAGCTACTCAGGAGGCTGAGGCTGGAGAATTGCTTGAACCCGGGGAGGCGGAGGTTGCAGTGAACCGAGATCACGCCATTGCCCTCCAGCCTGGGCAACAACAGCAAAATTCCATCTCAGGGGGGAAAAGAAAAATTAAGCAGCTGGAAAAATACTGTTACTCTCACCTACTTGCAGAAACTCTCTAAATCATTTAATGGTAACTATCTTAAAAGGGATTCATTGTTTCAACATTTTCTTCTCTCTAGTTAATAGATCTTTCCAAGCTTTATGGTACTGAATCCCTAATTAGCATTCCACTGAAGAGCTCTTAAGGAACTGAAAAGGAACTGCTGCGTACCACTCCTGCTGATGGGTAGGTTTACATAGGGGTAAGTATTATCCCTCTCCAGGGCTTTGTCATGTTTGTTACTTATGTACTTGCTACTAACAAAAGTATAATTATCTATTTTTCAGCATAAATGCTTCTGTCTCTTGGACTAGAAACCTCTCAGACCAATGTCAAGTGAACAGCATCAAAAGTAAATGCTAAGCAAGATTTACTTGCTTACAGAGTAAAAAGAAAAAGAGTATCAGAGAAAGCCTATTACAGTAGTAAAACATAGACACTACGAGAAAACACAATGAAAATTCTATTAAAGTTTTTTTTAAAACTTCCTATTATATTTACCAATGTTACCATCTTTGAACTATCTTGACATTATGAACTTGGTTTTTGTTCTTTACTTAACAGGAAAAAGTCCCAATATTAGATATATAAAACAGCAACATAAAGCCAGATATTGTTCAAAATTGTTAGAAATTCTTTCTGTAAATATCTTAGTTTAATACATGTGTTGAATAATAAATGTGTAAAGCACTGAACAAGGAACAAAAACGTGCTTTAACACATTTTGTTAACGTTTTGTTAACATCTTTGTTAACATTTAACAATGATGAGGAAAAAAAATCCCAAACTTGAAGGAATTTGTAATGTAAGTGAGATGGAGATATTAATAACTTAATGAGAAGGTAGAGTTCGGTTAACACAGAAAGGACGAAGATATTACAGGGGTTTGAGGTGAGATGCTTGGTTTGGGGTAATTTCAAGGAAATCTGCAAAGAGGGGAAAAAAATCCCCCCTACTCATTTGGATTTGGTAGCAGGCAAAGATGAACAAACAAAGTAGGAAGAAGAGTAAGAAATACTTCTTCCATTTTATAAACATTTATATAGTCCATGTTAGCTATAGCACGGTTACAGGTGTGAAGTCTGGGAAAAGAAGGCTAAAATGTTGACAGAGCCCTACTGTGGAGCCATCTTCGGAGATCTAACAGTTTTTGAGTTGGAAGTACCAGCTGGTGTATCAAAGCAAGGTGACAATAAAATTGGAAAATCAATTAGGCTACTGCACTGATAGATGAGAATTGATAAGGGTCTGAATTAGAGTAAAAGACTGAAACCCAGGATTTAGCAACTAAAAGAAAGCAAGTGGCTGGGTGTGGTGGCTCATGCCTGTAATCCCAGCACTTTGGGAGGCTGAGTTAGATTGCTTGAGCCCTGGAGTTCGAGACCAGCCTCGGCAACAAAGCAGGACCCTGTTCTCTACAAAAATATTTGAGACCCCGTCTCTCTAAAAAAAGATAATTTTAAAAAGTAGCCAGGTGCAGTGGCAGGCGCCTGTAGTCCCAGCTACTTGGGAGGCTGAGGCAGGAGGATCCCTTGAGCCCAGGAGTTCAAGGTTGCAGTGAAGTATGATAATGCCATTGCATTCCAGTCTGGGTGACAGAGTGAAATTCTGTCTCAGAAAAATAAAACTAGGCCAGCGCGGTGGCTTTTGCCTGTAATCCCAGCATTTTGGGAGGCCGAGGCGGTCGGATCACTTGAGATTAGGAGTTCGAGACCAGCCTGGCCAACATGACGAAACCTGTCTCTACTAAAAATACAAAAATTAGCCAAGTATGGTGGCACACACCTGTAATCCCGGCTACTCAGGAGGCTGAGGCACGAGAATCGCTTGAACCCGGGAGGCGGAGATCGCGCCACTGCACTCCAGTCTCAAA
Organism: Homo sapiens; assembly: GCF_000001405.40. Lineage (NCBI taxonomy): Eukaryota > Metazoa > Chordata > Mammalia > Primates > Hominidae > Homo > Homo sapiens. The sequence continues at coordinate 102,762,995 of NC_000013.11, forward strand.
AAAAAACACAAAAAAAACAAAAAACAAAAAAAAAACCTAACATAATAAAAAAAAGCAAATGGATCAAGGTGGGGGATGGAAGAGTTCATGGTGAGGGAGAAAGGACTTACAGATAATCCCAAATCTGGTTTGTCTAAGATGAGGTTTCCCAACGTGGGCACTAATTGACATTTTGGACAGGACATTTCTTTGTTGTGGCTGCAGTACTGTGTATTGTAGGATGCTTAGCAACATCCCTATCTTCTACCTACAGAATGCCAGTAGCACCCCAACCCTAGTCGTGACAAAAATATTTCCAGACATTGCCAAATATCCCCTAAGACAGGGGTCCCCAACCCCCGGGCTGCAGACCAGTACTGGTCCGTGGCCCACTATGAACCAACAGTAGGCAAGCCAGCATTACTGCCTGAGCTCTGCCTCCTGTCACATCAGCTGTGACATTAGATTCTTATAGCAGCAGGGAACCTTATTTTGAACTGTGCACATGGGGGATCTATAGGTTGTGCGCTTATGAGACTCTAATGACTGATGATCTGGGATGGCACAGTTTCATCCAGAAAACATCCCTACCCCCGCCACTCCCAACCCAGTCAGGTGGAAAAATTGTCTTCCATGAAATGGGTCCCTGGTGCCAAAAAGGTTGGGGACCACTGCCCTAAGGGGTAAAGGTCCCCCCTGGGTGGGGAGCATTAGTCTAGGTGAGTGTTTATGAGGCAGGAGAACAGGGTCTGGAGGCAGAGAACCTAAGACCAATTCACCCTGACTTCCTACAACTAAGTTGATAGGAAAACCCCAACTTTCCATGCCTAAGTAACAAAAAGACCAGAGGCTACTCCCTTTGCAAACCCACACCTTATCTGTGCAGCAGATAGAAAATTGAAAGTTGGTTGCAAAATTGGTTGCTTTCTGCAAACAGACATTTGCATGGGAGTGTAACTTTGTAACTTCACTTCAGCCTCTGACTGGTTGCTTTCTGCAACCAATCAGACTGACTGTGGGCCACCACTTCATTTACATGGGGTGAACACCCAGGTAGACAATGGGAAACCTCTAGAGGGTGTTTGGGCCCCAGAAGATTCCTTTTCCAGGGTCCTTGAGCCGCTGCTTGGGCCCACTCCCACACTGTGGAGTGTACTATCATTTTCAACAAATCTATGCTTTCTTTGCTTCACTCTTTCCTTGCTTTGCTGTGCATTTTGTCCAATTCTTTATCCAAAACGTCAAGAACCTGGACAACTTGCAGTCAAGACCCCCTCAATAACAGCTATGCCATTAATTAGGGCCTACCAGAAGAGGTGCCAGAATGGCTCTTTGATTATAATCTCAAACTTGAAGGGGCTGAACATTTTCCTGCAAGGCGTGGTAAATCTATGGAGGAGAGCAGATGTGACCTTTTCCTAAATGTTCGTTTCTGCTGTGGATACATCATTCATCTTTCTCTAGGAGTTCTATGTTCCCCAAATATGGCTAGCTATACAGTCCTCAAATGTCAAGCCATTACATCAATAAGGAACAGTAGTTTCTTATAGAAAACTCAGGGGAAAATCAACTTTAAATGATCATCTACCTACATTACCCCTATATTTGATGTAGTATCTTTGGTCATCATATTATGCCTATAGTTTAATTTTGCAAACGCAAATATTGTAAATTGTATAGCCTGGTCAGTAGCCTTTTAAATGTTTTGTTGTACTCTAACATTATGTAATAAGTTGTCTTTTGTGTTTTCCTTGTCCTGTTAGCTTTACTTCTGGTTCACAATACTTATGTTCTTCAATGACTTATAGTGGTTAATAGACCAGTGATTCTATCTTCTTGATAGCTTTGGATATTTTTTATGTTTATCATCTTTTGATATTAGTAGTGTTTTAAAATTTCAAATGTTAATTATTGTTTACTTATACAACATTCTTAAAAATTTAGGTTCAGGAAATGACTTTTAGTCAAGAATATCTATTATAAATAGTCACAGGAATTTTAAATTTATAGTTATGCATCACTTTACAATGTGAAAGATTTGGACATTATTACCTACGTTTTCATTCTCTTTGTCATATTTAGAAAACTAATATTTTGAATCTACTGATTCCATCAGGGCAGAGGAATAAAGGGCCTCAAAAATCTGCAAGCTGCCCAGGCCACTTGAGGCTATTTTAATGGCCTAACATTAAGAGTAGTAGGGAGGATATGCAAAAGATTAAAGAAACATTTCTTACTACAAACTTCTATTTAAATTTAACATCAGCCTCATCACCTTTTGTGAATTTTACAGGAAATACAGAAACTATGTTCTTTATATATAACTCAATACCATTCAAGCTCGAGATCAGGTGATAGCTGAACTTTCCAAGGCAAAATTAAGTGCCCCAACTGCATAGATATAGCAAAGATGTTAGTACTACAATTTAGCAATTATTTCTCTCTTTAATCAGAGTAGTCTATTGATTTTACACACTATGTTGTGTTTTTGAGACACAGTCTCACTCTGTTGCCCAGGCTGGAGTCTAGTGGTGTGCTCTGGGCTCACTACAGCCCCCACTTCCTGGGTTCAAGCAATTCTTCCACCTCATCCTTCGAGTAGATGGGACTATAGATGTGTGCCACCATACTTGGCTAATTTTCGTATTTTTAGTAGAGACAGGGTTTTGCCATGTTGGCCAGGATGGTCTCGTAGAGACAGGGTTTTGCCATGTTGGCCAGGATGGTCTCAAACTCCTGGCCTCAAGTGATCCTGGCCTCAAGTGATCCGCCTGCCTCAGCCTCCCAAAATGCTTGGATTACTGATGTGAGCCACCGTGCCCAGCCTCACACACTATGTTGTAAGCTCCAAGTTTTTATTCATCTTTGCAAACCCAATGAGGTTTGCCTGTAATAAGCCTTCAGTGAACACTTCTTGAATTAAAGATCTTTATTTCATTCTAAAAAATCTTCAGGGTCCCCATATTTGAAACATATGTCCACTCCTATCCTTTCATTGTGATTTATTAAAAGATAAGGTGAAGAGATGTGTGCATTCTATAAATCTCTGACTAGATTAACCATAATGTTTTCCTTTTCTGAAGATAACGCTGCTCTGCAAAATTTCTCAGTTGCCTATCAATAAGACAAAAGCACCTTTTTGTAACAAAATTCAGATGTTTAATTTTTTTCAAAACTTAACTATACTAATGAAAATAAATTATATGTAGACCACCTTCAATATTTTTACATCATCTTTATACAACTGTAACAGTGCTTTCAAAAGACATTTTGTGAAGGACATTAATTTCACATTTAAAACGTGTTTCAAAAATAAGGGAACATTAAAGAACATCAAATTAGTCTGAAATATATCTCACAATGCTGAGAGGCATACTCTTCTTTATCAAATTAACTGTATGTGTACTCAAGATAACATGGCTTTTAACTAATGACATTTCTTGTCCATTTCAGTAATTTCTTGGATCCAAAACAAAATCTGTGTATTTATTTCTTTGAAAACATCATTTGTCGACCGTCCTTTCACTGCCATGGAATGATTTGCCTTCTCAATCCAGTGGATTTTATGGGGAGCTTGCATTTTCTGTGCCACTTTCTCCAACAAGTTCTAAAGAGAAAAAGAAGAGGATACTAGACTAATGTTCTGTTGATATTTAATAAAAGGTCCTCTCTCCCCTGCCTATACTGGCATTCATTCCCAAGTATTCATTAAATGCTTTCTCAGACAACTTTCTAGGTAATAGAATGTGTGAGGAAATGTCCGTAAAAGTGGCAGTCCACTTCTCTCAGCTGTAGCAGTATCAGATCAAGCATTTATTACTAATAAAATGTAAAATAAATTGGAATAAAAAAATTTCTTCCCCCAAAAATCTTTTTCCCAAGCAAATTATATGCCCTGGGGAATATAAAGTTGTTTCATAATATTGGGCTAATATTTAGTAATGTGTAGACATTGCCAACCCTTTCTCAAGAATCAATTTTATAACAAATACTCTGCCTGAATGTTGAAATGATTAAAAAAATCTATAGTGTAGTAATCCCAAAATCAGATGATTCAGATATTAATCCTTCATTTTCCAAGTAAGGGTCATATTTACCAACTCTATTTCCAGGGATACAAATTTTGTCACTATACTTATATTTTTAGGTTCTCAAAAGCAACAGAGTAACCAGGACACAAAACTAGCATTAGTCAAATTAGCAATTTTTAAAAGACACTGTTGCCAGAAGTATCTTGCTCCCAAGATATGTCTGCCTTTCATTCTCTTTCATTGACACAAACATTGAGTTATAATTCACCTTTTCACACATTTCATCTGCTGAGCCTGACACAAACAGTACAGGCTCTTTTAAACGAAAGAGGTCTTCATCTCTGAGTTTATGCTGCTGCTTTGGATGGTGCAGTGGGTAAGAAATACAAATGAGACCCCGAACAAAATCATCACCATCATCTGGCTCAATGTGACACATTACAGAAGCAGCTGCTCTTGAGCCCATTGAACGACCTAAAATCAATTAAAATTAAGTTCAGTTTGAAATATAAACTTTCACATAAAGTAGCAGTGATGGTGTGGCAAATTGGATCTTTTACTGTTCATCATATCTGTTTACCAACAAATTAACTCCAAAAGGCAGCAATTAACAAGTTGCAATACCAGGCCAGGCACGGTGGCTCACACCTGTAATCCCAGCACTTTGGGAGGCCTAGGTGGGCAGACTGCCTGAGGTCAAGAGTTTGAGACCAGCCTGACCAACATGGCAAAACCCTATCTCTACTAAAAACACAAAAATTAGCCAGGCATGGTGGTGCACACCTATAGTCCCAGCTACTTGGGAGGCTGAGGCAGGAGAATCACTTGAATCCCAGAGGTGGAGGCTGCAGTGAGCCGAGATGGCGCCACTGCACTCCAGCCTGGGTGACAGAGCAAGACTCTGTCTCAAAAAAAAAGCTAAAAATTGATCTTAAATGCTAAAAAAATAAAAGGCAATTATTTTTCTAAAGAACACTTAAAAGGACAAGGACAATCATTGTAAAGGAATCATCATATGCAGGATGATGATTCAGGGATATGAATAAAAGGAGAGAGGCTCAGATTATAATACATATACATGAGGTTCAAGTTTGCTCTAAGTATATAAAGTGCTTTAACATTAAAAAGGTGACTTACCAAAACAACAAAAAAAATCCTTAAATTAGCTTCCTATGATCAACTAATTTTAATTCTCCATTACCTATTCCTATATTAAAACAGGTAATTAACAAGTATTCACAAGTATTGCACTTACCTCCAAGAAAAACACCTGCAAGTTTGTATTCTCCTGATGTCTTCAGGTAATTCTAGAAAAATAAAAAAATCATCAGTTCTTCACCTATAAAATATTCCACTGGAAAGGCAAGATATATTGTTTCTCATCATTACTGAAATGTATGAAAATCTATGCAAAGATAACCAGAAAATCTTAAGGGATTTTTCTTAAAAGAAGTAAGCAGTCCTTCCTCTTCTGGTCATGCCTTCACTATTAAATCACATGTTAGGTAATACAGGCAAATATGTGAGAAAAAAAGTCAATCTACCTTTACTAAAATATTTAAGCACTAAACTATTTTTTAGAGAATTATTTTTTAAAAAGGCCAGCAAAGGCTTCCAACTAATACCAAATTTGATAATGTTAACATCTAAAGTTCTAAAAAACTTATTAGTAAGCTTGAAATTATTTAGATCAGGGGTGTTCAATCTTTTGGTTTCTCTGGGCCACAGTGGAAGAACTGTGTTGTGCCACACATAAAATACACTAACACTCATGACACCTGATAAGCTTAAAAAAAAATTGCAAAAAAAATCTCATAATGTTTTAAGTAAGTTTACAAACTTGTGTTGGGCCACGTTCAAAGCTGTCCTGGGCCATATGTGGCCCATGGGTTGGACAAGCTTGATTTAGAGAAACTTTAGTGTTATCCAGGATTTTAAGCAAGGTTTCTAAATAACATATACAGAAAACAGTATCATATTTATACATGCATAGTATGGTAGATGAAATATTCTAGAATGCCAAAATGATGTGCTAAAGTTACATAATTCCAGGGAGAAAAATCATAAGTAGCTTCCTTGGCAATATCACGGAGGAACATTTATGATGTAAGCATTCATCTCCATGGAAACTGATGACAAGGGAAATCTGACGACTAAAAAGCTTTCATGTACTGCTGAGTTTTCTAAGAATACACTCATTCAAAGATTTTTTAAATTAAACCAGATGACTAATAAAATTTATCTTACATTTATTAAGGATTTCAAACAGAATTCTGTTATAAGTAAATATAAAGAAATTTTCTTACCAAAACTGATTTATACGCCTTAATTCTATGTACAATATTAAGGCCTTTACAGGTAAATCTCAGGCAGAAAAACCCATGAGATGCAAGATGGGATGCCAGTGACATCAAATGAGGAAGATTCATATCTCCTGATGCTCCATGTGTAAGAATTATTCCATATGTTAAGCTCTTGTTAGGTACCAAACAAACAGCATCTAGTAATTTATTTCCAAAAGGTATTTTTAATTTAACCTGGAATTCAAGAGAATAAAGGGATCAAAAATTACTTTCTTGCCTATTAAGACAACTGAACAGCTATATATATGTTTGCTCTGTGAGGCTCATAATTCAAGTCATAGCCTCCAAATAAAAAGTAGTGATATTAATAATAGTAGTTAAGTGCTTACTGTGTCGGGTATTATTATAAGTGCTTTATATGTATTAACTTATTTCACTTTTCTAACAATTCTGTGAGGCAAGCACTATCATTATCCCCATTTTATAGATAAGGCACAGCAGATTAAGTAACTTGCCCAAGGTTATATAGCCGCTAGCTAGGATTTAAACTCAGGGTAGTCTGCTCTAGATTCCTCGCTCTTAACCACTTATGCTATACTGCCTCCCACAGTGAAAGTTGAAAATAAAATTACTCTGAAGCCACATAATTACAAACAAACAAAAAACCAGGAACCCTGAAGATGCAGAACATACGAAAATATTACCTCTGTATGACTCATTTTCACTGTTGAATAACAAACTTAAAGTGCATTTACATCTGAGAAGCAAAGGACATCTCCCTGAAAAGAAGATTCTGTTGTGAAAGGTGAGTTGGCAGACATGGATATGACACAAAAACTATGAATGAACACATTCAGTAGCTAAAATAAACATTTAGAATTACTTCCCTAAAATCTGGTGTCTTTACATGTACATTTTTCTACGGGCACTCAGAATTGGTTAGAGGGCCAGGTGCAGGGTTGGTAGATGTTATAGAAGATAAAACAAAGGTGATACTTTGACATGGAAACTGTAAGGTAATTCATATCAAAGTAGGATGCTGTATCTTGTCAAAATATGGTAATGTAAAATGTATAAATACACATTTTTGTAAGAATCTTCATTCTAAACCAACTATCCTAAACTTAATTTTTCAGCATCTTTCCATTAACCCATTTTCTTCATCATTATAGTTCCCAAGCCTACCCATCCACATCTTGTCATGGAACTTCACAGTGCTGCTAGAAGGCAGAGTATATATGTCTTCACCCTGTTTACTTTGGACTTGGCTACGTAACTTGTTTTAACTAATGGAATGTAGGTAGACATTTCAATGTGTGACTTCTGAGCTGAGGCATGGCAAACTTCCAGAAGCCCTTTTGAACTTTCACCCTCAGCCATGAGAAAAACATGCTCTAGGTGGTTTTGCATTTTCAGCCTGGGTCTCAAAATGAAGACACACGGAACAGAACTGAACCCAAAACTGAAGTCTGGAGTCCAGACTAGTCTAACCAACATCTGACCAACAGCTGATCTGAAGATCCATGAGCATAAAATGTAAGCCACTGAAATTTTGGGGTTGTTATGCAGCATTCCTTCCTATGTTAAGAGCTCTTGTATTGTTTAAGACATTACCAACATCAGGATCTCCATTACTCACCCATTTTTCCCATTAACATTTATTTATTCATTCATTCAATAGGTAACAATAACATGGTTTAAAGTTCAAAAGGTACCAAGAATATGTAGTGAAAAAGTCTCACTCATTCCACTCTTGACTTGACATCAGATTCCCCTCTCCAAAGGTAACCAATATTATCTGCTTCTTACTTATCCTTCCACATAGCACTGTACTTATTTTCACACGATGTAAGTGTATTTATAAGATAAATTCCTGGGGAAGGAATCGCTGTGTCAAAGGGTTTGTTCATAATTTTTTACAGAATTTTTTCATAGAACTTCCCAAGGTGAATACATTTCATTTTTGAATAGGTATCATGTGCACACGGTACATTAAAAAAATGTAAACAGAAGTCAAAGTATTTGTTCATAATTTACAGAATATGTTTTTCATAGATCTTCCTGAGGTGAAGAATACATTTCATTTTTGAATAGGTATCGTGTGTACATGGTACATTTTAAAAGACAATGTAAACAGAAGTTTCCACACACTCTTCCCCCAACCACCAAGTTCCTTTCACTTCCTAGAAACCACCATAAGCAACTTATTATGTACCTTTCCCCATCTGTGTGTGTGAGCGTGTAGAATTCTCTTATTTCAGCCTGGAGAGCATTAGTCTGATCTGACTGCAAAAGTTTTGGAAGTTGAGTGAGACAAAGGAGATGAAAGACTTCAAGCTTCAGTGTCCCTATCTTCATACATGCAGCCCCACAATTATGCCTGGGTTTCTCAGTTCAAAGATCCTCTGTTTTACTTTCTCAAGAGAATAAGCCTCCATCCAGTCTTCTAACAAGGGGAAAGGCAGTCACCCAACAGGTGAAATGGGGAAGGGGATCTGGATATCCAATTGCTTCTCAGATTTCACCTAAATCATCTTTCTTTAAGCTCCTTACACCCACCTTCTGCACCACACCACCTTCATTCCCAGTACCACCGCTGTCCAGTGCTGCCAGTTTCCGTGCAGTTTGAAGATTCTGTGGTTAATACAGGGTTTGCTAAGCCATACATGTTTTGGAGCCCGCTATTTGATTGCCAGCGTTTCCTTTCCTATTCTCCCATTGCTGGAGGTTCATGTTTGTTTTTAAATAGCCTTAATGTAAGTTTAGTGAAACTTCATGAAGGAGTAAATTTAGATGCATGTAAACAACCACTATCTTAATTTAGAATGCTTCCCTATTTTTTTTTTTTTTGAGACAGGTTCTCGCTCCGGCGGACAGGCCGGAAAATTGAGTGGCGCAATCATAAGCTCACTGAATCCTCGAACTCCTGAGCTCAAGCGATCCTCTCGCCTCAGCCTCTTGAGTAGGTGGGACTACAGACGCTCACCACCACGCCCGCTTATTATTTTTAAATGTTTTTGTAGAGACGAGGGTCTCCCTATGTTTCGCAGGCTGGTCTTGAACTCCCGGGCTCAAGCGATACCCCCTGCCTTGGCCTCCCAAACCGTTGGGATCCCAAGGCGTTTGCCACCTCTCCCGGTCTGCTTTACTTCTTTTCAGACTTCACGATGCACAGTGTGTTCTTCACGGCAGCTGCACACATGCTGGTTTTCTTCAGAAACACGGAAAATGCCCCATAATGCAATCCCCAAGCAACCTGCTCTAGGTCATCTGGGTTTGTTTTTTTGAGACAGAGTCTTGCTCTGTCCCCCAGGCAGGAGTGCAGCGGCGCGATCTCGGCTCACTGCAGCCTCTGCCTCCCGGGTTCAAGAGATTCTCCAGCCTCAGCCTCCCGAGTAGCTGAGATTACAGGCGTCCGCCACCGCGCCCAGCTAATTTTAGTAGAGACGGGGTTTCACCATGTTGGCCAGGCTGGTTTTGAACTCCTGACCTCAGGTGATCCACCCGCCTCGGCCTCCCATGGTGCTGGGGTCAGGCGTGAGCCACCGTGCCAGGCCACTGTCGTCTGGGTTTTCATCTCTGGCTTCAGGTTCAGAGAGGGCAGGGTTTGAAGCCTGGCCCGGCCTCAGTGCCCTCAATGGCGATGGTGAAGATGACCGGCTAGAGGTGCTGCGCCCACGAAACGCCAGCTCTAGTGGCGTCCGGAGCGCCGGCTCCACCGGCTAGGCGGTCGGCGGAGTTCTAGGACGACAACTACTCACAAGGGCTGGGCGATCACCTCCCACGCCACGGGACGGAGACGCCACAGCCCCTTCAACTTTCAGTTACAAACGTTCGTGCCCTGTTACGTCCACAGCATTAAGCTGGCTGTCGTGGGGCAAACAAAAACGTTGAGTCCGAGTCTTACGGGGGGTCGGGTCAACAACCCCAGCAAACATGGAGAGAAAATTCAAAGCGGGTCTCACGGGCGTGCGGGGCTCGGCGGCGCTCGGGGCACGGGATCCGTTCTCTCCGCAAATGCGCGCTGCCGGGGCTGCGCCGCGGGCTGCCCCGGTCGACCCCTCTCAACTCCGAGGCTACTTCGAGCCAGTCACCCGGGACTGGCTGACGTGGTCCAGGTTGGCCCCGTCCGGCTCTCCCCGCCCGTACCAACCCCACATTCCGCCCTCCTACCCGGCAAAGCGGACGAAGCCCCCACCGGCTGGTGCCCGCGGGCACCGAACTTAGCGGAACGCCTCCCGGCTCGGACCAGACGCCCCTGAGGAGTGACGCCCGCGAGCCTCAAACGTCTCAGGCGGGCCTGCCGGGTGCTCTCCCCGTCTCCCAGGAAGCCGCCCGTCAGCCGGCGGCGCCAACCGCCACCGCCGCACTTACCCGGGAAGGCAAAAGTGGCCGCGGGCACCCAACCGCCGTCACTCCCTTCAGGGAGCTGACTAGCGCGCTCGAAGCGACCGCCTCGCCTGCCCCGCCACAGCGTTCGGCTACGACGCACGCGCGCGCAGGCCACGCCCCCCGGGTGCGCGGGCCGGGCCGCAGAGCACGCCGGGAGCGTGGGTCTCCCAGCCCGCCACATCCCAGGGCTGTACGCGCGGACTAGCGGAGCTAGGGGAAGGTGCCAGGGTGGCCGCCGCCTCAGTAGCACGCGGACGGCTGGAAAGTCAGCCCCCGTTTCCGCCTCACCCAGGATTGCTCCACTCGGGGCCTTTCCGCATCCCAGCCACCACTCCATTCCGAGGCGCGATCAGCTCTGACCAGTCTTCCTCACACCCATAGTCGATTCGTTACTCCCGTTAAGGTCAAACGCTGACAGAAACCAGCCGCTTCGCACACTTCTACATGGGGTCAAGCCCCCTGTTATCTTTGCGGGGATGATTGTAACAATCACTTAAATGGTCGCTTCGTACCATCTTGCCCCCGCCTGGGCCTTGTCGGCGACGCCGCAGCCACGTGGATGCTGTGGAAGCCTGTCCCCTGGATCTTCCAAAGGCTCCGCGCTCATTGCCACAGCCAGCGGCCGGCAGTGGCCTAGGCTGTTGCACGCGATCGGTCCCCCACATCTCCCCTCTCCATCTGGCTCCTTTCCCTGGAAGCCCAGGGCAGCCCACACTTCGCTGTCCTCACCCCCACTCACCAGGCGGGACCCCACGACGACCGGCTTTTGTCCTGGCTGCTCCCTCCCAGCGTGGGCCGCGTCTCCTCGGGGTCGACAGGGCGCGTGGTTTTCACAGCGAGGCCTCCCCTGATCACCTCCCCGCTCTTCCTGTCCTTCCCCGGTCACCTCACGAGCTATGGATGTATCTGTGTCTCCTCACTGCGCTATAAGCTCCCAGGTGAAGAAAGGGTTGCTTTTTGTAAATTTTTGTTTTAACCGTGAACCTCTTGTGTATGAATAATGCTCAGAAAAAAAAAAATTTCTTAAATGAATGAATCTTCCCCAAGCCCAGTGCAGTTGGCACCTGCCCTCTTTTCTGTCACGGTACATACAAGGAAATACATTCCACAAAACCACATAGTCGCTGTCATTTATCACAAGTGTTTCCCCAAATTACAAAGTCTTAATACTTCTTTGTCTCCTAATTTTTTAGCTGTGTTTTTAAAAAACATTTCTTTACATGCCATAAAATTCACTCATTTGAAGTGTACCATTCAATCATTTTCAGTAATTTTAAAACCATTTGCAACCATCACTATAATTTAAGAACATTTCCATTATCCCCCTGAAAAGTATTTGCACAGTTATAGTTGAGGTAGGAGATCAGCAGGACTTTCCAAGCACTGATCACCACCTGCTGAGCAAAACAGGATCTGGTCAGAACAGGATGCCCTAAAAAAACGGCCAAAACTGCCCTAAAGAAACAGGCCCAAGCCAGCTAAAACCAGGATGGTGACCAAAGTGACCTCTAGTGCCCTCACTGCTCATTATACACTAATTATAATACATGAACATGCTACAACACTTCCACCAGCACTCTGACAGTTTACGAATGCCATGGCAATGCCCAGACCTTACCTTATATGGTTTAAAAACGGAAGAATTCTCAGTTCCGGGGAACTCCCCACCCCTTTTCTAGAAAATTCGTGAATAACCCACCCCTTATTTAGCGTACGATGAAGGAGTAGGTATAAATATAGCTAGCCAGTGGCCGGGTGCCCTGGCGCATGCCTGTAATCCCAGCACTTTGGGAGACCAAGGCGGGTGGATCACCTGAGGTCAGGAGTTGGAGACCAGCCTGGCCAACACGGTGAAACCCGGCATCTACCAAAAACACAAAAATTACTCAGGCGTAGTGGCAGGCACCTGTAGTCCCAGCTACTCGGGAGCTGAGGCAGGAGAATTGCTTGAACCCTGGAGGCAGAGGTTGCAAAGCCGAGAAGAGCGCACCACTGCACTCCAGGCTGGGCAACAGAGCGAGACTCCGTCTCTCTCTCTCTCTCTCTCTATATATATATATATATACATACACACACACACATATACATATGTGTATATATACACACATATAATATATATCCGTACTATATATAGTATAAATACTATGTATACATATATAGTATAAATATTATATATAGTATTTATGTGTGTATGTATATACTATATACATATAGTCATATAGTATAAATACTATATACATATAGTCATATAGTATAAATACTATATATGTATATATGTGTATATATACACATATGTATATATAACATGTATATGTTTATATACGTATGTATATATTATATGTATGTATATATTATATATGTGTATATATGTGTGTATATACATATATATGTATATACACACATATGTATGTATATACATATATATGTATATGTAGATACATATATATGATATGTATGTATATACATATATATGTATATGTAGATACATATATATATATAGCTAGCCAGCAATCCATGAGTGTTACTCTGCCTGTGGGGTAGCCCTGCTCAGTTTACCAGAAGCAATTTTCCTGTGCTTTGTTGCTCTAATGTACTTGCTTTGCTTTCATTTTACTGTCAGTTTGCTCTTGAATCCTTTCCTGTGCAAAGTCAAGAACCCTCTCAGGCTGAGCTCCAATTTTGGGATTCACTGGCATTACAGCCATTCTCTGTTCCTACCCCTAACCCCGGGCAACCACTAACATACTTTCTGTCTCTCTGGATTTGCCTTTTCTGGACAGTTCATATAAATGGAGTCCTACACTGTATGGTCGTATGCCTCTAGCCTCTTGCACTTAGGATAATGTTTTCAAGGTTTATCCATGCTGTGACATGCATCAGAACTTTGCACCTTGTTACAACTCATATATTTTTATTGCCAAATAGTATTCAGCATTTTTGAGTATCCATTCACCAGTTGGTGGACATTTGAATTGTTTATACTTTTTGGTTATTATGAATAATTCTGCTGTGCCATTCAGAGAAACAAAAGGCGATGTGACGACAGAAGCGGAGAGATTTGAAGATGCCAAGATGCTGGCTGAGAAGATGGAAGAGGGGCCTCAAGACAAGAAATATAAGGACTGCAGCTCTAGAAGCTGGAAATAGCAAGGAAAAGTTTTCCCCTCTCAGAGACTCCAGAAGGAATCAGCCCTGCCAATACCTTGACATGAGCTCTGTGAAACTGGTTTCGGACTCTGACCTCCAAAACTGTGAAAGAATAATTTATGTTGTTTTCAACCACATAAGTTTGTGGTAATTTATCATAGCAACAATAGGAAACTAATACAAAAGCTTTATTTATGAACCAAAAATTGAATTTCATATATGCTTCTCATGTAATGAGATACTCTTCTTTTTATGTTTTTCAGCCACTTAGCAATGTTGAGATTATTCTTAGTTTGCAGGCTGTACAAACACTGGTGGTGGCTCAGATTTGGCCTGTGGGCTATAGTTTGAAATATCCTAAATTAAATATTAGTGCAATTAATTCAGCCATGTATTAAAATAATAATATGTAATAACCCTGGGTTTGTTTTTTTTTTAAACCCTGGGGTTTTATAATGTTTCAAAAATTAGAATGCTATTAATGTAATCCATTACAGATTAATGCAGCAAAAACAAAGCCAAATAAAACATGAGCATTTCAATAGATGACTTAAAAACATTTAATAAAATTTAATGCCTTTCCTATTGAAAAAGGAAATAAGTCAGTATTAGATTGGAAATGTATTGTTTTAATAGTGGTTGTTTATCATAAACTATACCAAACATTTTACTCGACATTGAAAAATCTGTAGCATCTTTGATGATCCAATCTAAAGTAGCCACCACTATCTACCCCACTTTTCTCTATAATACCCTATTTTTATTTATGACAATCCATAATTATCTTGTTTAGTTTTTACTTGTTAATTTCATTCTTTTTCAGAATAGACAGCAGTTGTTCACTTCTGTATCCTTAGAGCACAGTACAATGTCTGGCACATATTAGGTGCTCAACAGTTGTTGAACGAATTCCCATTTGTAATGCTAACTTTATGTGTCAAGTTGGCTGATCCAGGGTGCCTAGATAAGTGGTCACACATTATTCTGCATGTTTTGATGAGGGTGTTTTGGGATAAGATTACCATTTAAATCAGTGAACTGTGAGTAAAGCAGATTGCCCTCTGTAACGTGGCAGGGGGGGGGCCTCATCCAGTTAACTGAAGGAGTAAGTAGAACAAAAGACTAGCCTCCCTTGAGCAAGAGGGAATTCTGTCAGCAGACCGCCTTCAGGCTTGAACTGCAATACTAATCTCTCCTGGGTCTCCAGCCTAATGGTCTTTGGACTTTAACTGCAGATTTTGGACTTGCTAGCCTCTATAATTGTGTGAACCAATTTCTTAAAATAAATCCTTATGAACACACACACACACACACACACACACTCACACCCTTCTATTGGTCATATTTATCTGGAGAATCCTGACTAATGATATACCACTGAAGTCTGAAAGACAATAAGAATGCTTGTTGTCACCACAATCATTCAACATTATGCTAGAAGTTCCAGCCAATGCAATAAGGACAGAAAATAAATAAGATTATAAATATGGTAAAGAAGATACACTGTCAGTTTCAAATATGACTGTGTTTGAGAAAAAACAAGTGAAATGTATTAGAGCTAATAAAATCGTTCGTTAAGGGGTTGGGTACAGAACATATATAAAAATCTATAGTTTTCTTAGCTACATTAAATAACCAGCTAGTGAGACCCTGTCTCTACAAAAAAAAACACCCAAAAAACAAAAAACATAATCTTTTGAGCATTAAAAGACAATGAAATGAGAGTCTAAGATATACCATAAAGTAGGATGTATGCAGCATATACCACAAAGTACTAACTCCAAAATATATGTCTATGAATCCAGCAGGAAGTTGAACAACTTAGTAGGAAAATAAGTAAAAATTTAAAAAGATTAAAAATTTTACAGGAAAGGCAACACAAATGGCTCATAACCACAAAATGGTCAACCTCATTAATAATCAGAGAAATGAAAATTAAAACATAATGTGTTACCATTGTGTACTAATCAGATTGGCAAAAAATTTGTAAGTCTGATAATATCAACTGTTAGCAAGAAAGTAAAACAACTGCAAATTCTGTACAGCCCTGGAAAGAGCATAAACTGGGACAACCAATTTGGAATCATTTAACATTATCGAGTGAAATAACAGGTGTACATTCCTTATAACCCAGTAATTCCACTTCTAATCAAATGTGGCCAAGAAACATGAATAAGAATGTTTGCTGTAGCACTGATTGACATTCCCCCCAAATGAGAGGAATCCAAATGTCCATCTGCAATGGACGGTAAAATAAAGTGATCATATTTATATGGTGAAGTACTGTCCACATATAAAAAATGAATAAGGCTGGGTGTGGTGGCTCATGCCTGTAATCCTAGCACTTTGGGAGGCCGAGGCTGGCATAGCACTTGAGTTCAGGAGTTTGAGACAACCTTGGGCAACATGCTGAAACCCTGTCTCTACTAAAAATACAAAACATTAGCCGGGCAAGGCAGGCACCTATAATCCCAGCTACTCAGGAAACTGAGGCAGGAGAATCGCTTGAACCTGGGAGGTGGAGGTTGAAGTGAGCCAAGATTGTGCCATTGCACTCCAGCCTGAGTGACAGAGTGTGACTCTGTCTAAAAAAAAAATAGGCAAGTAACAACAACAAAAATTTGATATGATTCCATTTATATCAATTTCAAAATAGGCAAGAGTAAACTCTACTGCTTAGGGAAGTGTATGTAGGTGGTAAAACTAAAAAGCAAGAAAAAGATTATCACAGCCATCATGTTTGTGGTTACCTGGGAGCAGAGAGGAAATGTGATAAGAGGAGGCACTGTGGTCACCTCTAAGCAATGTTCTATTTCTGAACCCGAGTGGAAATGTCGAAGAAAAACCAGAGCTGGACGATAGTTAAAGTGGTAAAAAAACAGATGTTATTCAGGACTATTGCAACAGGGGAAAAGACACTTCAGTATAGGATTGGACTCAATTCTGAATACAGCATGGTTAAATGGGCATTTATAGCCAAGGAGCAGGGTAGGGAGTCAGTGGATGGAAAATTACTAAGAGGAAATGCATCAGGGTGACAGAGATTCTGGTTAAATAGACCAAATGGGATTCTAGCTGAAAACAGGCCAGCACGATCAGACATGACCTGGGGGATGGTAGAGGATGAGGAAGCAGATTAGATATAAAGTGTGGTCACATATGGAGGGTGGGGGATTTTTGTGAAACTGACTTAGCAGGGTTCTTGCTAAAATTGAATTTTATAAGGCAGTGCACAGATAGGCCTACGACAAGGTTCAGGAGGCTGATGAAAGGATGGTGATATGGTCTGGCTGTGTCCCTACCCAAATCTCATCTTGTGGCAGGCCAGGTCTCACTAACGCAGGCCTCCATACAACAGTTTCAGTACTGACTGAGTGGTTAAATTAAATGTTAAAAGCCAGCGTCCTTATACAAAGGCTGGAATGTAACAACAGCCCAACAAGAGTTTTGCCTAGGCCTTTCCTGAACCTTAAAGCATGATAAAACAAGTTTTACTGGGGGCCTGAAGAAACTCCCAAGGCCTCCATAAACTAATTTATTGGGAGTCTGAAGGAAATCCCTAAACCTTCGTGATTTAGTAGGAGACAAGATAAGGGTAATCACCCCAGCACCTGGACTCATTTAGATTAAGTACATTTACTGAGGCTCCAGAGAAAGGTCTTCAAGACTCAGACCTTAGTTACAGATTAAAAGAAGTTAATCACTTATGTGTTTAGATGAATGCATACTTAAATATAGACATATAGCTTGGAAGGTATATAGGCTCTGGAAAACTTTGTAATTTTCAGTTGGTCTGGTGATAATTTCCAGGCCTTCTCCCTGTAGCTGGTTACAGAAATAAAAACTCTCTTCCTCCCCAGTTCATCTGCATCTTCTTATTGGGCCACGAGAAATAGTAGCCTGACTCTCAGTTTGGTCTGGGAACAATCTTGAATTGTAGTTCCCGTAATCCCCATGTGTCATGGGATGGATCCAGTGGGAGGTAATTGAATCACGGGGGCAGTTACCCCCATGCTGCTGTTCTCAAGATAGCGAGTGAGTTCTCACAAGATCTGATGGTTTTATAAGGGGCTTTTCTCCCTTTGTTCAGCACTTCTTCCAGCTGGCATGTGAAGAAGGATGTATTCACTTCCCCTTCCACCATGATTGTAAATTTCCTGAGGCCTCCCAGCCCTGTGGAACTGTGAGTCAATTAAACCTCTTTCCCTTATAAATTACCCAGTTGTGGGTATGTCTTTTATTAGCAGCGTGAGAATGGACTAATACAGTAAATTGGTACTGCAGAGAGTGAGGTGCTGCTGTAAAGATACCCAAAGAATGTGGAAGTGACTTTGGAACTGGGTAACAGGCAGAGGCTAGAACAGTTTGGAGGGCTCAGAAGAAGACAGGAAAATGTGGAAAAGTTTGGAACTTCCTAGAGACTTGGAGGGCTTAGAAGACAGAAAGACATGGGAAAGTCTGGAACTTCCTAGAGACTTGTGGAATGGCTTTGACCAAAATGCTGATTGTGATATGGACAATGAAGTCCAGGCTGAGGTGGTGTCAGATGGAGATGAGAAACTTGTTGGGAACTGGAATAAAGATGATGCTCGATATACTTTACCAAAGAGGCTGGCAGCATTTGGCCCCTGCCTTAGAGATCTGTGGAACTTTGAACTTGAGAGAGATGATTTAAGGTATCTGGCAGAAGAAATCTCTACATGGCAAAGCGTTCAAGAGGAAGCAGAGCATAAAAGTTTGGAAAATTTTCAGTTTGACAATGTAACAGAAAAGAAAAACCCATTTTCTGGGGAGAAATCCAAGCTTGCTACAGAAATTTGCATAAACAAAAAGCCCAATGTTAATCATTAAGACAATGGGGAAATGTCTCCAGGGCATGTCAGAGACTTTCAAGGCAGCCTCTCCTATCACAGGCCCAGAGGCCTAGGAGGGAAAAATGGTTTTGGGGCCAGGCCCAGGGCCCCCTGCTGTGTGCAGCCTAGGGACTTGGTGGCTTGTGTCCTAGCCACTCTAGCTGTGGCTGAAAGGAACCAAGGTACAGCTTGGGCCATGGCTTCAGAGGGTGCAAGCCCCAAGCCTTGGCAGCTTACATATGGTGTTGAGCCTGCGGGTATGCAGAAGTCAATAATTGAAGTTTGGGAACCTCTGCTTAGATTTTAGAGGATGTACGGAAACACCTGGATGTTCAGGCTGGTTTGCTGCGGGGGCACAGCCCTCACTGCTAGGGCAGTGTGGAAGGGAAATGTGGGGTTGGGCCCCACACAAGAGTCCCCACTGGGGTAGTGCCAAGTGGAGCTGAAGAGGGGCACTGTCCTCCAGATCCAGAATGAGAGATCCACCAACAGCTTGCAGCTTGCACCTAGAAAAGCCGCAGACACTCAATGCCAGCTGTGGAAGCAGCTGGGGTGAGGGGCTGTGGCCTGCAAAGCCACAGGGGTAGAGCTGCCCAAGGCTGTCGGAGCCCACCTCTTGCATCAGTGTGACCTGGATGTGAGATATGGAGTCAAAGATTATTTTGGAGCTTTAAGATTTGATTACTGCCTTGTTGGATTTGGGGCTTGCATGAGGCTTATAGCCCCTTTGTTTTGGCCAATTTCTCCCATTTAGAACAGGTATATTTACCCAATGCCTGTACCTCCATTGTATCTAGGAAGTAACTAACTTGTGTTTGATTTTACAGGCTCATAGGTGGAAGAGACTTGCCTTGTCTCAGATGAAACTGTGGACTTGGACTTTTGGGTTAATGATGAAATAAGACTTTGGGGAACTGTTGGGAAGGCATGATTGTGTTTTGAAATGTGAGATGTGAGATTTGGGAGGGGCCGGGGTGGAATGATATGGTTTGGCTGTGTCCCCACCCAAATCTCATCTTGAATTGTAGTTCCCATAATCCCCACATGTTGTGGGAGAGACCTGGTGGGAGGTAATTGATTTATGGGGACAGTTACCTTCATGCTGTTCTTATGATAGTGAGTGAGCTCTCACGAGATCTGATGGTTTTATAAGAGGCTTTTTTCCCTTTGCTTGGTGCTTTCTCCTTGCTGCCATGTGAGAAAAGACTTGTTTTCTTCCGCTTCTGCCATGATTGCAAGTTTCCTGAGGTCTCCTGAGCCCTGTGGAACTGTGAGTCAATTAAACCTCTTTTCTTTATAAATTACCCAGTCTCAGGTATGTCTTTATTAGCAGCGAGAGAATGGACTAATACAGGTGGTCAAGCAAAGAATCTTTGTCAGTGATTACATGGATGTTTTCTTATAATTAAATTGCAGATATATGTTTAAATTGCAGATATATGTTTTATATTCTTCTGTATGTCTATTTCAAAATTCAAAATAATTTAGAAAAAATTATTTGACTGGAAGATGAATGGAAGAGAGAATATTAGGTAAAGGAATTTGTAGAATATGATATATGGTTCAGTGTTCAGATTTTTAGTTCTTTTTAAATTCTTTTAACTGCATTTCAAAGTGATTTTCATTCATTCATTTACTCATTGTGTTAATGCCATTTTTGTGTTGCTATAAAGAAATACCTGAGGCTGGGTAATTTCTAAAGAAAAGAGATTTATTTTGGTTCATCGTTCTGCAGGCTGTATAGGAAGTGTGGTGCCAGCATCTGCTTCTGGAGAGGGCTTCAGGAAGCTTCCAATCATGGTGGAAGGCAAAGTGGAGCCAGGGTATCAGGTGGCAAGAGAGGGAGCAACACAGAGAGAGGGGGAGGTGCCACACCTTTTAAAACCACCAGATCATGTGAACTCACAGTGAGAACTCACTTGTCACTGCAAGGATGGTGCCAGGCCATTCATGAGGGATCCACCCCTAAGATACAAACATCTCCCACCGGGCCCCACCTCCACCACTCAGAATTACATTTCAACATAAGATTTGGAAGGGACAAACATCAAAACCATATCACCCATTAGATATTTATTCAGTCTTTCTAGTTGCTGGCACTCTATTAGACGTTAGGACTACCCAGAAGAAAGGCCTGGTCTCTGAGGTCATGGCACTTAAAATCTAGTAAGGATAAAATATGTGCTGAAGGATGTGTAAGCCGGTTGAAGAAAAGAGGGCCAAGACATTCCAGGACAAGGGAAAGGCAAGAGCCAGGAAGGTAAGGACACAGGCATTGACAGAACTGGGAGAGGACTCGTTCTTCCAGAGGACAGTATTGATACTAGAAAGTGCTGAGAGATTTGACTAAAGATGCAGGTAGAGGCCATCTAATGACTGGCCTTGTACGAAGTATTAGCTAGAATTAAGTTTGGCTGAATACCCACAATAATATGGGCTTAAAAGGAGACAGGGGTTCATTGCTTTGTCATTTAAAACCAGTCTGGGCAGGTGGTCTGGGCTGCTGTGCATTAAGGACCCAGATTCTCTCTGTTTTTACTGCTCTCTGTTCCAAACACGGCTAATAATTAGCACAACGTAGTCCTTTAAAATAAAGGTGGTTTTATTATAAAATTCTAAAAATGTACTTTAAAGTACAGTCATGAGAATACTGCATAAGTAGAAATGTGTCTTCATACTGCAAACAATCACACAGATTTTATATTGTCCATGGAATTAATACTTAAAAAAATTCTTCTTTTTAGTTAAGAAGAGTCTTCAGAGCACCATTATTCTAATAGAAGTTATTTTGCATATCAGAGTTCATCTTTGGTCTGCAATTAAGAAGCAAAATATTTAGAGCTATCAAGAAGTCTTACACAAGTGAAGAAGACTTACATTCGTTAATTATTTTCCTGTAAAGATGAGAGGGAGCCAAGCTGCTGCTAGAGGCTTTTAGGGCTTGGGACTATTTCCAGAGGCCCAGAGTCAGCTAAGGGTAAAATCACATTGTGTTTCATAGCCTACTGATAAGGAACCCAAACATCCATGGGCTGTACTACTGTAAAGGCCTCATGTTATGAACAGTAGTGGTGAAAGACTAGGATAGACAATGAGCAAAAAATAAACGAAGCTATCATTCTGGCCCCTAACTTCTACTACTCAGTGGAAGAAACTGGCTGGGTACCTCCTCTCAATCACGTAGATGAAGATAAATAACTGAGCAGGAGTGGAGCAAGGAAGCTGCCAGTCTCACTTAGAGCCAAAGTGAGAAGTGTTCTGATACCAAATCACGGATTGGTGAGGGGGAACCTTTCGATTTGGCAATTCTTGTTTTATCATTGGTTTTAACTGATTTTTATGGCCTTGGAGCACTGACAGAGTTCACAATGATGACGAACCACCTCTGAGGGCCAGTTGGTTAGTGGTTAATGAGTTCTATAAAAAACAAAGACAAAAATAAAACAGCCAAAATTCTGATTTGTAGCATGTGCTGATTGTCATGGTGTAAATACTCCTATCAGGATGATTCCAAGCTACCAAAAATTTAACTAGTATGCAAAATTCCTGAATATTTATCAGTGAGCTCATATAAGCTGGTTCTGTCACATCACTGGGGCCAGCCTCACCTTAATTCCTTTTACACCTCCTTGAGAGGTAGACATAATAATTGCCAAATCTGCCTTCTTGTCTTTGGTTATAATACCACAATTTTGAACTTGTCCATTCAGAAACCTAATTATGTTGCCTAAAATGTTAAGTCAGCATATGTTACACACACACACACACACACACACACACACACACACACACTCTAGTTTATGCAATTTACATTCCTTCAAACAAACAAAAATCATAATCAAAGCAACAGTCCCCTGCCACACTATAGCTTTATATACAAGCACACACAATCACAATCTGATGATGAGAGATTGGTTTTTGCTTTGCTATAATCCAGCTAGATGATTTTGAGCACAATTCCTTTTTGGGCTCAGTTTTGTTAACCATAAAATGAAGGCATTTACTGGATGACTTCTAAGGTCCTTTCTACCTTAAAAGTCCAGATGTGAATCTGACTTTCATTTTTATCAATGAGATCCTTATGTAGTGGTATCAACTGAGATGACTTTCAAATGAAGAATTGGAAAACATTAATAATCGTGGTTACATATTTTTCCTTCTCTAAACTGGGATGATGAACTTTGCCAAACTTATCTCATGAGGAGATGAGGGCATCAGATGATACACATGAAAATATTTTTCAGACTGTAAGCATCCATTCAAATAGGGTGTGAGCTGGATTCTCACATTATAAAAGACTTCCCCCCACTTTGCCAGGGAGCTACCATGTCTTCTCAATTAACTGCATTGTAGCATCCTTTCTTGAGCACTGCTATCTTTTATACCTATCTCTCTGGCAGACTGAATTGCTTGGAGACCTCGAGAGGAACTCAAATATTTGCTGCCTGATTGAATGACTATAGGAATAAAAGCAAGTTTGGATCAATGTTAGTTTTTACTCTGACACCGGCCATAAGCTCAGTTCTGGTTACCTTTTTCCTATGGCAAGTACAAGGGAAGAGGTCGTCCTCAGTCTGTGGTTCTACCCTTTTCATGCCCTCTCGGATTTGGGGCTCACTCACTTGTAAATTGGCATATTCCTGTTTAAGCAACAATATAAAAGCATTCCTTATAAAACACTTTATATCCACCCAATGAGAGAGGCTAGAATATATGAAGACTATGATTCATTTAACTCATGTGTGTCAAACTGTGATCTGCATAGTCCGTCATATATACCAGTTCTGAACATCAACAGTAGAGCATCTGAGAGGAGGCCATCCTTTGAACACTGGCTGCCTATTCCTAACAGACACCTCTTTATGCTATCCTAAATTTCCATGACTTTTTTTTTTAACCGTCTTCTGCCTCACAGTAAAAATAATTTTGCACACAATCTTCCCTAGACTGAGAATGTGAAGACAGAGACTATTCTGCTTTCCTTATCATGGCTTGCACAAGCCTCCATCATCATCTTCATTTATCATGTGCTTACTCTGAGTGAAGCACTGTGCTAAGTACCTATGCTAAATGAATGAACACTGCCCCATGGATCCTTAGAAATTCACATGGTAAATCCCCCCAGTTTATTCATTTTACACGGTTTGTCCTCTGCTTCCCTCTATCAAGGGAAGGTTACAAAATCGGGAGGAGCCAGTACAGGCCAGAAATACACCAACTTTGATCTGTAGCAGAGCCTCAGATATGGGGCTCAGTATCTGCAACTGTGAGATAAAACTCTTACTCTAGATCTAGTACTGTTATTAGCCAAGAACTTGTTTACTACCTGATTTTGTTTTTTTTTTTTTGTTTGTTTATTTTTTTGAGACAGAATCTCACTCTTGTCACCCAGGCTGGAGTGCAGGGGTACGATCTCGGCTCACTGTAACTTCCACCTCCCGGGTTCAAGTGATTCTCCTGCCTCAGCCTCCCGAATAGCTGGGATTATAGGTGTGCACCACCACACCCGGCTAATTTTTGTATTTTTAGTAGAGACGGGGTTTCACCATGTTGGCCAGGCTGGTATCAAACTCCTCACCTCAGGTGATCTGTCTGCCTCAGCCTCCCAAAGTGCTGGGATTACAGGTGTGAGCCACCGCACCCGGCCTACTACCACATTTTTAAAAGAGTCCTTTAAATCGTCGGATATGCTTGATTACAATCTCTAAATGCTTAGGTCCATGGAAATAATTTCCAAGGGAAGTCATGGCTCATACAGAGTCAAGACAAGAGGCCCAAACACACCTGGCACTGTTTAGACAAAGAAATGGTAAGGCAGCAGCAATGTAACACAAAGAGAACATACAAATCCATGCACTGTAACTTTGTAGGATCAGAGGCCAATTTCTTAGTCAGACATCACATAGTTCTAATATTAATAGTTTTCGCTTAATATTGTAACATTTTCCATTAGCTAATCTTTGGTTTTCAACTATTTTTTTATGATTACTTAATATTTGTCTCTGATTTTCATCCACAGAAGTATATATATCTCCCTATAGTAACATATGTTTAGAAATTGTTAAGTAAAATATTATTTGTTCTTAACATGTCTACTTATAAGTTACGTGATGATTTTCTTGGAAAATACTGACCTGGAAAAGTTTGAAATAATAACAGAATATGTCATCGCCCATGAGATTATTTCTTGCAAATTCTTGTCCTGCTTTTGCTATCTTTTTGGCCTACAGGAAGAACAACGACAAAATCCTGTAATAGAATCCATTTTTCCCATGCAGGCATCTGCAAACTGCTCTTCAGAGTATGTATACATTGGGGCAACTGTGGGAAATAATATCTTTGGGGGTAGTCTCATGGTAAAACAGAACATTTAACAGAGTATGTTTGTTTAAATCAGAGGGAGGTTTCTAAGACTTAAAAGTTTGAAAAGTCATATTGGACCTTCTAGAACTAAGCCTCTCCTGGAGAGACAAGGTTGTACACCAAGCAAACTGATGACTTTGTAAACGCAAGATGAAGCTTAGCCAGCTGCCTTCACAAATTTCAGGAGACAATTAGCTTAAAGTTTATTGCATTCCATCCCTCTTTATTTCTGTATTTATGGCTGCATCTACTTCTGAATCAATCCCTCATTTTAACCTGGAGCCTGTTAGTGACTTCTGCCAGACTGGCCATCTTACAATTTTCACATTGCTAGCGGAGGCAATGCTTGTGGCTCAGAGCAACGCTACTTGAAAGAGAAAGTGTAATCAAGGCCACAGTTTAGCTTTTTGTTGTTGTTGTTGTTGTTTGTTGTTGTTGTTTGAGACGGAGTTTTGCTCTTGTTGCCCAGGCTGGAGTGCAATGGTGTGGTCTCGGCTCACTGCAACCTCCGCCTCCCAGGTTCAAGTGATTCTCCTGCCTCAGCCTCCCCAGTAGCTGGGATTACAGGCACCCATCACCACGCCAGCTTATTTTTGTATTTTTAGTAGAGATGGGGTTTGACCATGTTAGCCAGGCTGGTCTTGAACTCCTGACCTCAGGTGATCTGCCTGCCTCAGCCTTCCAAAGTGCTGGGATTACAGGCACGAGCCACCGCACCCAGCCTAGCTTTTTGTTTCACATGCAGAGTGGAGAGTTAATGTAAGATGCAGTGCCCGCTGTGTTCAGCCTAGGGGAACTGCCGTGCCATCTATGGGCAGGCAGCTTCCCATTTACAGGCCAAAGTCTATTACGTGAACATCCTGGATGCTCTCCAGGTACAATACATTTCAAAAGGACCCATGATATTGGGAAACAAGTGGAAATAAGCCTTCAAGGGGACTAACCTTACCTCTTCATCGTGATCTTTCGCCCATTTAAGTTTTTCTAGCAGATCGCTCAGGTTGCTCTTAACTGGAATGTAGTGTTTCCAGGGCTGCAGCTCATTGTAAAAATGTTCATAGTAGATGGAATCCTGCTTCAGCACAACACTGTCACCAACTAGCAAATATGGCAGGCGATAAGCTGCTACAGTGCCATCGATATTTATTTGATACTTATGCTGCAAAACAATGGTAAAGTCTAAGAACCTCTATTAAATCTCCTTTTCTCCACTCTATTCTCCTTCCCATCCCACACATAAACCTTTGCAATCCTCAGACACAATTTGGTCAGCTTCCACGCTCTGCCTTTGCCGTTTAGTAAGTGTTATTAAACAACAGGTTGATCTAGAGCTAAATGCTCATTTTGATGTGCTTCTCAATTTTACAAAGGATACAAATCTAGTGTTGAAGCAGCGAATACAATCATACTGCTGTCCTAAGGCTGCAACATAAGGAAGGATGGATTCATTTGTGACTTTTTGTAATTCTCCTGCTACTTTATTGATTGCAAATGTGCCCCTAATGATGGCATATTCTGAGCCATGTTAACCGTATTATTTATGTATTTATTTTGAGACAGAGTCTTGCTCTGTCACTCAGGCTGGAGTGTAGTGGCGTGATCTCAGCTCACTGCAACTTCCACCTCCTGGGATCAAGTGATTCTTGTGCCTCAGCATCCCCAGTCGCTGGCATTAGAGGCACGCACCACCACGCCCAGCTAATTTTTGTATTTTTAGTAGAGATGCGGTTTCACCATGTTGGCCAGGCTGGTCTCGAACCCTGGAACTCAGGTGATCTGCCTGCCTCAGCCTCCCAAAGTGCTAGGATTACAGGCGTGAGCCATCACGCCTGGCTAACCGTATTTTTTAAACACCCAGACATATGTCTTAAAGAAATTAGCAAGCTCTGGAGCAAGAACACCTATGAATAAAAATATTCATAGAACTGTGGTAATCTATCATCTTTAGTTGCAGAAAATTCAACAGGCAGGAATAAAGCCAAGGCAGGATGGAGCACCCCTCCACTGAGGAAGGTTGGCTAGTATCCTTTCACTTTGGTTATAATCATTTCTTTCAAAAATCTTTGGGATATGCATATAGAAAAATACTGACAATTCAACTTTAACATTGAACAAGGTTAACATTTAGGTCAACCTGCCTCAACAAAACCCATCAAAAGAAAATTTGGTCATCTACAGGGCAGACAGAACTCGTTAATCACTTGTCTTCCCACATACAGAGGACAGATGATGACCTTTTTCCCACCTCTCTCTCTACCATGGGGGACTTCAGAAACAACTCCATGGTCTAAAGAGCAGGGTGGTGCCCACTGCCTTATAAAAGGAGTTGTTAGAAAAAGGACTACTCCCCAGGAACCATGCGGAATCCACATTCTAGACAGAGAAAGCAAACCCTAATTCCCAGACAGAACATTTGGATGAGTTTCACGTCATTCCCCACCAGAAGGCCTGGTAAGAAACAAGTAGTTTATATCTTCCTTATTCTGTTGTGATAACATGGCTCTGGGAAAAAGTATTTGTAAAATGACTTACATGTAAGTATTAATAAAAACATATTTGGAGGTGACATGTGCTTATCTCAAGGGTTAGCTGGAAAAAAATTATAGCTCTATCCAGGCTCCAAACTCCCTTGATGCGCATTTAATATCAAGACTGGGCAGTGAGGGCAGACCCTGGTTGCCAAAACAGTCCCCAGCACCCCCATGTCTCAATATTCGCTCAATTTTGTGCTAACTTCTCCCACCTCTTGAAATTTGCAGGCCTTAATTTCCCTTCCCAAAGCACTATGTACAAATACATTAGAAAAACAAAAAAGATTAGCTACTGATTAAGTCATACCTTGAAGAAATCAAAAAATGAAATATGTTTCACAATGGGACCATACAGGTTTTCATCGTGTTTAAAGAAGAAAAAGTTGGTGAAAGCAGCGTCTATGAGTTCTGGGTGTTTTCTACTGAGTTTAACCAGCTCGAGTCTCTCTTTGCGGCTGTCTCGCCCTCTCCAGACGGCAGTGGAATTTTTGCTTTCCCAGGGAGGACCCGTGTTAGCTTGCACGGACATCATATCCAGACTTACCCTAGAAGACAAAGTGCAACAGATTTTCCTCCCAAATCATCATATCACAAAGGTTGTTGCAAAAGAACTCACCAAAGAAAGAAAACCAAGGCTCTGGGCCAACCCTGACTTATCTCTCACCGGCCCATGGTTTCCAGAACAGAATCAGTCAAATCGTACGTAGGCATCACGATATCCTTGGAATCTGTGGAGCCACACCAGGAAAAGATCGGATGGATGTTTGAATTGGATTTCTTTTTTTCC
Organism: Homo sapiens; assembly: GCF_000001405.40. Taxonomy (NCBI): domain Eukaryota; kingdom Metazoa; phylum Chordata; class Mammalia; order Primates; family Hominidae; genus Homo; species Homo sapiens. The sequence continues at coordinate 102,791,381 of NC_000013.11, forward strand.
AAAGGCCAGTCTCCCAAATTAACAAAGAGCTCCACATCTGGCATCTTCACCTAGAAAAAACAAAACGAGGAGCTTATTCACATTTCCTGCATTGGATAATACATTGTATTTATCAATTTAAATTTGAAATTGCATTAATGAAAGGCCAATGTTACATGTTTCAGGTAATAATAATTACCTTGGTTTGAATAGTGGGCAATGTTTCAGAATATGGTCACATGTATAAGTATTCTATGCTCCCTATGAAAGGGATGAAACTGCAAAAGTAATCTCTGTTCTAATACTGCGAACAGCCTCTAAGATGATCAAAGAGAAGGAGAATTATTGGAAAATAATTTAAAAAATAGCACTTGGGACTCTAACCCTAGTTTCCTGCTAGTGAGCCAGATGGTTCCATTTTAAAAAACATACACCAGGTAGGTGGTGGGACCAGGATTTGAACTCAGGAAGCCCAACACCAACAGCAACGTAGTAAGTTTCAAGCTATGCTTCCTTCCTCTACTGGCAAATGGCATGAATATGTAAAGAGGATATGTTTTATCTAGTCACAGAAAATGTTTAGAGTATTTACAAAACAACAGATATACATTTTTAAGGCCAGAAAAGCACTGACCAGTCTGAGAAGCATCTTGAGAAACCGAAGTCCTGAAGAACATTCTCATTTTCCCATGGATTGACAAAGAGGAGCAAGAGAAGTATGACGGTACTCTGATGTCTTAGTTTAAAGGAGGCTTAATATTGATGCTATATAACTACCTACATTCAGAATTAACAGACTGTAAGTGCTTTGAAATCTTGAAAAAAAGGCATTATGATTTTCCATGAGTAGTTTAATCAAGATATACATGCAAATTATTCAACAAATAAATATAATAGATTACAAATAAATATACATTTGGTAAAAATGTTGGTAGAGTCTTTCACATCCACCATTTTAACATTACTTTCAAACCATTCCACTAGAACCCAACAAAAGCCCATTATCCCAAGGAATGGGATTCAGTACAAGGCAAGTCATCTTTGGACTCAGAGTTAGTTTAGTACCAAAATAATTTTATGATAAGGCATTTTTCTTTCCTCTATAAAATATTGTGTCCCTGCAAAAGATATGCTGAAGTCTTAAATCCCAGTGTCTCAGAATGACCTTATTTGGAAATAGGGTTGTTGCAGATATTAGTTAGCATGAGGTCATACTGGAGTAGGCTGGGCCATTAATCCACTATGCTGTGTCCTTATAAGAAGAGACCCAGAGACATGAGGGGAGAAGCCCACGTGATGACAGAGGCAGAGATGGGAGGATGCAGCTGCAAACCAAGGAACACCAAAGATGGAGGGCCACTGACAGCAGCCAGGAAGAGGCAGGAAAGGAAAGGAAAGGATCATCTCAGAGGGAGCTGGCCTCCTGACACTTTAATTTTTTTTGGGGGGGGACAGGATCTCACTCTTGTCACCCAGGCCTTGGGAGTGCAGTGGCGTGATCTCGGCTCATGCAGCCTCGACCTCCTAGGTTCAAGCGATCTTCCTGCCTCAGCTCCCCATTAGCTGAAACTACTACAGGCTAATTTTTGTATTTTTTGTAGAGACAGGTCTTCACCATGTTGCCCAGCCTGGTCTCAAGCTCCTGGGCTCAAGTGATCCACCCGCTTTGACCTCCTAAAGTGCTAGGATTACAGGCGTGAGCCATGGCACCTAGCTGACACTTTGATTTTGGACATCTGGCCTCCATAACTGCCAGAGAATACATTTCTGTTATTTTAAGGCTTCCAGTTTGTAGCACTTTGTTACGGCAGCCCTAGGAAACAAACGCAGGTACCTGAAATAACAGAAAGCTTCAGAATAGTATTATCATAAGGCTCCAGAAGAGAATACCCTGATAGTGTATAATTTGTATTTTGAAAAATTATCCTGTAAAATCTGGGCTTAAATTATCTATTACAGCTAAGAGAAAATATATACTTACCTTTCTAGTCAAAGAAAGTAGTATGGCATCCATGAAAATTCTAAAACCTACATGTTCACCATGAGTCTTGATATAAACCTAAAAGAGAATTTACCATTTATTATGTTAGTCTAAAGACGCTGGCAGACTTCACTGAGGAAAAGCTTGTCACAGTGCTCATTCGAATGATGTTTATAAAATGATTTAGCTAATTGTAGCCAAATGTTCAAAACAAGAAAAAAAATCACTAAAACAAACAAGCAAAAAATCATGTGTTGTACCTTGTTATCCTTTAAGGTGTAGTGACATAGGCTCTGCCTCTGTCCAAATCTTTTTGGGATTTCTACTGCAATCTTTTCTGGATCCACAGCAGGGAAATGTGCCAGATCTCTCTGAATCTGAGCAATGGTTTCAGGGCAGTTCATCTCCCGTAGCCAGGCTGCACTATCTTGCAGAGGACAGTCACAGTTCTCATGGTAAACCGGCCCTATTTACATAAGAATAACAAAGTACAACAGTGATCATTTCACTCAGCATTCGAAACTTGTAATAAACATCTATAATGTGGCTTCATGAATTTTGCTTAGTTACATAGGAAGAGCATTTTCATTGAAAACACATTTTAAGAGAATTACAGGCCAGCAAGGTTGGCTCATGTCGGTAATCCCAGCACTTTGGGAGGCTGAGGCAGGAAGACAGCCTGAGCCCAGGAGTTCGGGAGCAGCCTGGGCAACACAGGGAGACCATGTCTCTACAAAAAATAAAAAATTAGCTGGGTGCGTTGGCATGCACCTGTGGTTTCAGCTACTTGGGAGGCTGACGTGGGAGGATCACTTGAGCCCAGGAGGTTGAAGCTGCAGTGAGCCATGTTTGCGCCACTCCATCCTGGGCAAGACAGTGAGAGCCCGTTTCAAAGAAAAAAAAAGTAATACATTTTTACTATACTGGGGCATTGCAAGTAAGTCAGCCTTCTACTCTGACAGCTCTTCACAGTGAAGTTTTGTGATATTTTCATAATAATAAGGTCTACTTTGCATGAGTTCAAAAGAAAGGAAATAGAGGCTGGGTGCAGTGGCTCACGTCTGTAATACCAGCACTTTGGGAGGCTGAGGTGGGTGGATAACTTGAGGTCAGGAGTTTGAGACCAGCCTGGCCAACATGTTGAAACCCCATCTCTACTAAAAATACAAAAAAGTTTAGCTGGGTATGGTGGTGTGTGCCTGAAATCTCAGCTACTCAGGAGGCTGAGGCATGACAATAGCTTGAATCTGGGAGGTGAAGGTTGCAGTGAGCGGAGATTGTGCCACTGTGCTCCAGCTTGGGGGACAGAGTGAGACTCTTGTTTCAAAAAATAAAAGAAAGACAACAGATACTTGGTTTATGTCTATGGTAATATTACAGCTCATTATTCCTTATGTTTTGCAGACTGAAGAATAACCAAATACTGGTAAAAGGGTATCAGAGGAGCATACCTATTTTAATGAAAGACAAAAGTGATATGATTTACTATTTTGATGGTCTGTTATACAAACAGGTTCTTAAAGTGTCTAAGGTACTTTTCTCAATAAGTAAATCATCAATAACAGCAAAAATAAACAAGGAACTGCTATTCTTTTTTTTTTTTTTTTTAAGAATTATTAAGGAGGAAAAGTAGGCTGGGTTCTTGGCTCATGCCTGTAATCCCAGCACTTTGGGAGGCTGAGGCGGGCGGATCACGAGGTCAGGAGATCGAGACCATCCTGGTCAACATGGTGAAACCCCGTCTCTACTAAAAATACAAAAATTAGCCAGGTGTTGTGGCGCGTCCCTGTAGTCTCAGCTATTTGGGTGGCTGAGGCAGCAGAATCGCTTGAACCCGGGAGGCAGAGCTTGCAGTGAGCCGAGATTGCACCACTGCACTCTAGGCTAGTGACAGAGCGAGACATCGTCTCAAAAAAAAAAAAAAAAAAAAAAGCAAAAGTAGCTGGGTACAGTGGCTCACGCCTGTAATCCTAGCACTTTGGGAGACTGAGGTGGGCAGATCACTTGAGCTCCAGGGTTCGGGACCAGTCTGAGCAACATGGCAAAACCCTGTTTCTACAAAAAATACAAAAATTAGTGGGGCATGGTGGTGAGTGCCTGTAGTCCCAGCTACTCATGCAGCTGAGGTGGGAGGATTGCTTGAACCCAGGAGGTCGAGGCTGCAGTAAGCAGTGATTGCACCACTGCACTCCAGCCTGGGCAACAGAGCGAGACCCTGTCTCAACAACAACGGCAACAAAAAGAAGCAAAAGTAATTCTCAAAACAGTCCACTTCACTAATTTTATAACAAATTAATTACAGTCTGCACTGAGGTTTTTACTGTTATTCCTTTTTATAATTCTCAGATCCCACCTAACCCAGGCAGTGGCTGACAATGGAATATCTTTTTAAGGTTTAGTGGGTGATACTGTACCAGGCTGTACTGGCAGAATGTAGGAAAGGAACCTAGACACTCTTGAAAAGTGTTTACCTTTTCTTACTTCTCTGCAGAGTTCACAAAAATAAAAAAAAAAAAGTTTACTTTTCTTGGGGTTGTTAAGGGGGGGACAAGATTTCTGCCTTTGTATATACACTGCTTCCCTACTGTCTTGTGGTACTGTCGCCTGTAAGAGGGAAGGAGATGGCTCTAGGTAATAAAACTGTACTCTCATCCTATATAAGAAACATCAGAATGGCCGAGCATGGTGGCTCACACCTGTAATCCCAGCACTTTGGGAGACTGAGGCAGGCAGATCATGAGGTCAAGAGATCGAAACCATCCTGGTCAACATGGTGAAATCCTGTCTCTACTAAAAATACAAAAATTAGCCTGGCATGGTGGTGCGTGCCTGTAATCCCAGCTACATGGGAGGCTAAGGCAGGATAATCGCTTGAACCCGGAAGGCGGAGCTTGCAGTGAGCCAAGACTGCGCCATTGCACTCCAGCCTTGTGACAGAGCGAGACTCTGCCTCAAAAAAAAAAAAAAAAAAATAAATAAATAAATAAATAAATAAATGTCAGAGAATTTCTCTGGGAAAATGGCATTGGAACAAAGACAAAAAAACAACCACCAGTGCGCTCCTTGTCTTTCGAGCTATCTCCCTTCCTGAAGTGATCTACCTAATTTCAATAACACTTATCAGTTACTTAAGTCATATATTTCCAATTAAGAAAGTATCATATATGAGCATGAACACAGCTTGATTATTCTTGCTAATGTATGTCTTCGCGGAGTAAATTCTCTACTAATATGTTCCTTGCTCTTTAGCAAATCAGAATTTCCGTTCAAATCTTGAATGTCTTTTTACCAGGACTCATAACTTAGCTTTCAAGTAGAAAGCCTTTATTTTTCTTCTTTCAGTAAAAAAAAAAAAAAAAATATATATATATATATATATATCATGCCAAGTTGTTTTTGTTGATGGAATAACATATATTATTTTATTCAAATACTGCTGTTATAAAATTATATTCCAAATTACCTTTTAAAATATATGGGGATTTGGCCACATGTTGCCCTTGGAATTTAATTTCCACCTTCAGATTTTTGTAGCTTGCATACATTCTGTATCTTACTATGAAGGACCCATCTTTTCGGTCTAAAACCTGGACTCCAACTCTAGTGAATTGCTCCTCTGGTGCTGAGACTTTCACCTGGAAGACCTTTTCGCCTGGAGAAGATGTGAATCTGTGATGAAAAGGCAATGGGGGAGATAAACAGATTTTAACGAACAAACACACAAAGGTTATGCTCTTCAGTCTGGAAACTTGATTATTCTCCTCCACATTCTTCCTCTAACATATGATTGCTTCTTCTTCTCTTATGCTTTTAGTACCAGAATGAATATGATGGATCAGAGATTTAAAAAAATGAGGATGACAATGGCCAAGATAACATGAAACAGTTTCATTAAACAGTCACAATGGAGTATGTTAAGACTATTAATCTATATAAGCACAGAACATACTCATGCATTCCATATGGAAAAATATTCTTACTAACTTATTTCATGCTATCACATCTGGATATTTGTGATCAAATGATGCTCCCAAAGATAATGATCTTATTTTGAAAAATCTCTGCCAATGAATCTTTACAATATCAGTATTATAAATCACGCTCAGGCCTGGCACTGTGGCCCATGCCTACTATCTCAACATCTTGGGAGGCCAAGGAGGGAAGACTGCTTGAGGCCAGGAGTTCGAGATCAGCCTGGGCAACAAGGTGAGATCCTGTCTCTACAAATAATAATAATAATAATAAAAAACAAATAGCCAGGCGAGGTGGCACACGCCTGTAGTCCCAACTACTAGGGAGGCTGAGGTGGGAGGATAGCTTCAGCCTGGGAGGTTGAGGGTACAGTGAGCTGTGATTGCACCACTGCACTCCAGACTAGGCTAGGAAGTGAAACCCTGTCTTAAAAAAAAAAAACTCACGCTCAGCCATGGGCAAAAGCAAAGTAGTAGGTAGTGTATCATCTTTTGCCAAATAACAAAATTTACAACCTGCCTTTTACTTGACAACCTTTTATTCCAGTATTTTTTTCTGTATGAAATACACACAGTCAGCATCCACCAATAATAGAGACAATCATTTCAGAAGTATAGGAATTATAAAAATAAGTTTTAAGTATGATGTTAAAGTATTAAATTCATTGGAACAAAATATTTGTTACAATCATATAGGAGATTAATACTTCGATACTTTCCTTCCGAACTCTGAAGTTTCAAATAGTACTTCATTTTTCTTTTTCAGTTTCAAAACATGCTTACCTGCAGATGTCTCCTTGAAAATTGAGGGCCGCACCAGAGAAAGATGAAGCCCATCAAGTCTCTAACAACTAGGTTTAAATCCCTTATAATAGCTTATGCGAAAAGTAGTTAGAAACAGTATTTCCAGCAAAGTGGAGGGACTTTGTCTTGCCCTGATAATGTGGGAATCTGAATCAAAATTGCTAGGAGATTATTTTATATGTTATATACAATACATTATATTGCATATATTATAATTCGGAACAATTTCTACAGCTACAGAGAAAAATGGGTAACCAAATATCCTGGAATATAAACTGCTGTGGAGAAACGAGTTCTTGGAAAGAAAAATCTTAAAGGGAGAAACAGATTTAACCGCCATCCAAAATAGGTAAGGAGCCGTTTCTCGACTTACTTATTCCCTGATGTATCCACTGCCTGAATATAGAAATAGCGGGCGGGAAGGACGACGTCTGCTTTTAGCCCGGGTCCCCATATTTCGCTCTTCTCCGGGCTCAGCTGCCTTTCTCCGCCGGTCTCGGCGAGTGCTGGAACTGTCGCCAGAAAGAAGCAATAAAGTAGCAAAGTGCCAAACATTTACAAGACGGACTCTCGAAATGATCCACCGATAAATGAAGAAGTGTAAGAGGTGGACAGAAGCAGCCGAGCCTTCGGCAGGGACCCGCCGGCCGATCGCAGCAGCCAACGCGACTGCAAAGGTTGCCGCCCGGCGTGCAGGGCAGGCGCGCGGGTCTCCGCGACCCCAGGACAATCAAAGCCCGTGCCCCGGCGCGCCCAGGTGAGGGTCCCCTGGCGTTCTGCTGTCCCGGCCGAGAACCGCGCTGCTCCTCTCTCTCAGGACAATGATGAACTTGAGTTGCTCCTGCCACTGGAGCATCATTTGGGAGCGAATCCGTCTCAGGTTCCAGCCAAGGTGTAGGGCGAGGGGATTGGCCCGTGCGTCGGGCCAGGCTCAGTAACGCCTTCTCCAAGTGGATGGCGGGGTGGACACGCGTCCCGGCGCCCCGGGCTCCCTGGGATATGTAGTTCGCGACAGGACGAGCGGAAATACTGCCAGGATTTTACCACCTCTCGCCCATTTATTTACTTCTCGGTCACCGCTTTCGGGGGACAGATAAACACCACAGATGCCCATCAAAGGGGCGCACGGGTCTGGAGGCGCAGCTCAGGTTTTTGCGTTGGTCACCCTGCCCTCCGCACGTGGAGAGGGCAGGCATAAAGCACCTTGAAAGGAAGGTGCTGTCAATGCTATCCGACGACCTGTCGCCGGGCACCGCAGCATCCTCGCTCGCTCCGATGGGACGAGGGACGCCGGCCCCAGGGTAACAGGAGGCGCCTCGCCGGCCGCGCGCTGGATGCTGTGATCCAGGTCCGGAGCCGGGTTCCGCCGCGGCCGCAGCGACCCGACCCCACCCGACAGGCCAGAGGTACCCCGGGGCGGGGGGCAGGGGCCGAGGTGGCGGCCGGCTGTGCGCTCTGAGCGCCTGGCCCTCCGCTGGGCACCTGGGCGCCGCCAGCCCGGCCTGCTGCCGCTCTACGCGCAGCCACCTGGGCATTCAAAATTTTTACTTAATTCGATACCGGCCTGGGCTGCCAGGGGTCATCGCCTCTCCGAGCCCCGTGGCGTCCAGATGGAGGCCACTGCATGGGTGCGCGCTCTCCCGGGAAGGAGTAGGGGGAAGAGCTGTGTCGCGGGGGGAAGAGAAGCGCCAGGGAAAGAAGGGCCTAGCCCTCTGGTGAACAAAGCTCGATTAGGAGGTGTCCATGTGGATACCGGTGACCCCTGTGCGGCCGTCGGTCTCCACGCCACGCTGGGCAGGGTCCGGGAACCAGCGCGCAGCGGCCGTCGCCTTCCCCTGCACGCCAGCACCCGGGTCTGGGCCGCCGCCAGGAGTCACGGGCTCACCGCCCTGGTCAGCTTGGCAGTCGGACCCGGAGCCGCCTCCTCTGCCTGCCTCCCTCTTGCCAGCTGCCCCGAAAACCCAGAAGAGCCGGTGGCTCCGAGCCAAGGCGGGCCTGGTTCGGCGCCAGGAAAGGGGGTTTCTTTCCTATTTTCTTTTGTGCAATTGTCATTATTAATGATACCGACTCGTTTACTCAAACAGTCGAATCGGAGCCCCAGCTCTTAGCCCGGATGCAGCAATTGCCCGTGGGCCCCCTTTAACACCAACAGCGTCCCCGGGGCCCGGGGCAAGCATGTTCGAGGCGGTCACCCCCGGGCCTCGGCGCGCTCCCCCTGGCGGAGAGCCTCGTCTTCCGGCCGGTGAGGGAAGGTAGAGGAGGGAGTAGGGGCGAGGAGGCCTCGGCGGCCCTTGGGCTCTGCGGGCTGGGGACTCGGGGTGCCCGCGACACGCGCGGAGGCGCGGGCTGGGTTGGCCACGGGCAGGGAGCGCAGCCGCGCTCCTTCCTCTCTGCCCGCGTCGCCTCCGCGCGCACTGGTTCTGCGCGGCGGGGCTTGGCCTGCGCGACTGTCTACTCCGTCCCGGCGGCCTCGGAGCCCGGCCGAGCGGCGAGCTTGTCAGAGGACGGTGGTGGAAACGCTCCCGGCCTCCCCAGGGGCGCGGGCTGGAGGCTGGCGCCAGGCGCGGAGGACTCCCGGTATCTTTTGACAGGCTGGCGCCTCGGCTCTGGGGACCCGCAGGTCTGAAGGGGAGGAAGGGGCCTGGAGGGCGCGGGAGGACACCGGGTGGGAAGGGTGGCATTAGCTCGGCCGGGGGCTATGCGCCTCTGGTTTCGCCCTCCCGCGCATATTCGACCCTTACGAGGTCACCGGAATGCCCCTGCTCCTCAGTTGCCTTCTATACAGGATATCGATCAGGGTATTTTGTTATACGAAAAGGCTTTACTGAAGAGGTTTTTAGAGATGTTTGGTTCTCTCATAAACTTGATACTTGAGAATACAGACAAAATATAACCTGAAAAGACTACAACCTAGGCGATGAAGATTGGCTTTACAAATGGACGTTTATTTTACAGAACACTTCGTTCAGTGACTTTGAACAATCATGACTCTGGCGGTGCTTTTTAAACTTGCCATTTTATAAATTTTTGCTTTGCATACGAGCAAACCATATTTCTATTGCTTATGACATGATTTTATGAGTAAGCTATTAGTTGAGCCTGAGGTCCTGCAGTCATTCTTAGTAGTAAATTTTTTTTTTTTTTTTTTTGAGACGGAGTTTTGCTCTGATCGCCCAGGCTGGAGTGCAATGGTGCAACTGTAACCTCCACCTCTGGTGTTCAGCGATTCTCCAGCCTTGCCTCCTGAGTAGCTGGGCCTACACGCATGCGCCACCATGCACGGCTAATTTTGTATTTTTTTATTTTTTATTTTTTTTTAGTAGAAACGGGTCTCACCATGTTGGCCAGGCTGGCCTCAAACTCCTGACCTCAGATGATCCACCCGCCTCAGCCTCCCAAAGTGCTGGGATTACAGGTGTGAGCCACCACGCCGGCTTAGTAAATCTTAATATAGCAACACCTCACTTGCCTGGAAGAGGGAACCGCAATCAATCAAAATGAGGGCCTACAGTAATGCCTGGCATGATGCAAACACTTAAAAATTATCTGTTGAATGAGACGTCTACAAATCCTAGGCCCTGGGGATACAATAATCTGGAAAACCAGACTTGCAGGATGCAGACGTTGATCATATGAACAGATATGCACAGAAGTAAGTGTAAAATTGCCACCTGGTAAGACCTGTGTGAGGAAGGTACTAGAGTCTGTACCGGGTCACCTGGCCTAGTTTGAGAAGCCAAGAAGGTTTCCCCCAGAAAGTGACATTTGAGCTGACATTGGAAAGATGAATGGGAATGAGCTAAGTAAGGGAGACAGTATTGGGAGAACCAAAAAGTAATGTGGAGCTTGGGGGGTGGGGGAAAGGAATGAGATGGAGCTAACCAGATAGATCTAGGGACCATCAGGAGTTGGCCTTTTGTTCTAAGAGCAGAGGCTTTCAGGCAGAGGAGTTCTGTGATCATATATATGTAGCAAACTTTATTTTCTAATATCTCTGCACAGGTCAGGTTAGAAGTGTCAACTCACTGGGAATAGTTTATAAATAGAGAAACAAAAGGAGATAAAAGATGAGTCAAAACAGTGACAGCTGCAGCCTATTAAGTGGAGGGACAAACTGCCTCTCTATAGCTCAGTATTGTCTATAATGATTCTGTTATTAGTATTATCAGTAATAAATTGTGCTTAGTGTACTTTAAGAAAGCTAGAATCTGAGCATGCAATAATAGAAGCCCCCTTGGCCTCTTGGGGCTCTCACTATAGTGGAGAGAATAGACGTGAGACAGTGTGGAAAGAAAGTAAACACTAGCAGTGTTTGGGTCGTGGGATTTGGGTAATTTCCATTTTCCTGTAATATCTTTTGGTACTTTGCATTTTTTTGTAATGTTTTACTTATAAAATCTATGAATATTACATTTTCAAAGAGAAATTTACATATAGTTTCCAATGAGAATGTTTCATGCCCTTGGATTTTAGTGACAGTCAATATAAAATGCATCCTTATATTGATGATCTTCATTTTTTTTTTGCTAAAACTTCGACCAAATAAATCATCTTGTTCCGTGACCATTATTTAAAAGCAAACAAACTAAAAACACAAACAAACCAGACTGTTACTTTTTTCTCTCTTTCCTTTTTTTTTTTTTTTTTTGAGACAGAGTCTTGCTTTGTTGCCCAGGCTAGAGTGCAGTGGTGTGATCATAGCTCACTGCAGCCTCAAACTCCTGGCCTCAAGTGATTCTTTTGCCTCAGCCTCCCAAAGCATAGATATTACAGGTATGAGCCACTGTGCCTGGCTCACACTGTTACTCTTTTTATTAATCTAGTGCTGTGTTCTATCTTTAGCGTCCAGGAAGCTTACCCCCAACTTTTGTGCTTAAATGCAGTCATTTCCCTTTGCCTATGTTTTTGATAAGAATATTCTCCATGGCTGGGCATGGTGGCTTGTGCCTGTAATGCCAGCAATTTGGGAGGCTGAGGCGGGAGGATTGCTTGAAGCCAAGAGGTCAAGACCAGCCTAGGCAACATAGCAAGACCCTGTTTCTTAAAAAAAAAAAAAAAAAAGGTTATTCTATATATGTTCCAAATGAGCATACTTTTACAATCCCTGCCAGGTGCAGTGGCTCATTCCTATAATCCCAGCACTTTGGGGGGCCGAGGCCAGCAGATCACCTGAGGTCAGGAGTTCCAGACCAGCCTGGCCAACGTGGTGAAACCCCATCTCTACTAAAAATACAAAAATTAGCCAGGCATGGTGGCACCTGCCTGTAATTCCAGCTACTCCAGAGGCTGAGGCAGGAGAATCTCTTGAATCCAGGAGACAGAGGTTGCAGTGAGCTGAGATCCGGCCATTGCACTCCAGCCTGGGCAACAGAGTGAGATTCCATTTAAAAAAATCAAATCAAATCCCTACACTGTCACACAGAGAGCTGGTCCCACAGGCAAAATTCCATTCAGTGTGAGGAAGGAAGCCCTGGGAAAGTGGAAGCCAAGTCTGAGATGAGGATATAAAAGGGGCAGGGCCTGGAACATTTCCGTCTCGCCACCAAACTCACTCTAATAACCTTTGTCTATTGCCTCTCACCGAGACTATATGCTCTTTCATTCCTCACCTCGCACAGCCCACCCCCACGACCCCAATACCACAAATACCTACCTCTCTGTCCACCACACTGATGTAGAGAAAGGCATGAAGGTCACAGATGAGAAGTAGAAAATGCTATGTTAGGACATCTGCTGAGAATCAGAGCAACTCTGTCTTCCAAAAAGACAAGAGTTTGGTCTGAACAACGCCAGGTACTGAGCTTCCCTCTGCCATCACCGTTGCACCACCAGATGAATAAGGAGAGAGCACCACTTCCACTTGAGGACCCACTACAACTACTCCAAGAATTTTTTTTACCAAAAGAAAGTGAAAGTTTTCAAAGTGAAACCACAGGAGGTTCCACCTTTCGTGGTAATATTCCTATCCAACTGACCCTCTTGCAAACAACTATAAACTCTGCACAAATTATTTTAAAACTGAAGAGTTTTTTGTTTGTTTGTTCGTTTCGAGACAAGATGGAGTGCAGGTCACCCAGGCTGGAGTGCAGTGGCGCGATCTTGGCTCAACGCAACCTCCACCTTCGAGCCTCAAGCAATTCTGCCTCAGCCTCCCGAGTAGCTGGGATTACAGGCATGCGTCACTACCGCCTGGCTAATTTTTATCTTTTTTTTGAGATGGAGTTTCACTCTGTCACCCAGGCTGGAGTGCAATGGCAGGATCTCAGCTCACTGCAACCTCCACCTCCTGGGTTCAGGCCGTTCTCCTGCCTCAGCCTCGCAAGTAGCTGTGATTACAGGTGCGCGCCATCATGCCCAGCTAATTTTTTTGTGTTTTTTAGTAGAGACAGGGTTTCACCCTGTGTGCCAGGCTGGTCTCGAACTCTGACCTCATGATCCACCCGCCTCGGCCTCCTACAGTGCTGGGATTACAGGTGTGAGCCACTGCACCCGGCCCTTACTGTCTGGCTAATTTTTAAATTTTCAGTCGAGATGGGGTTTCACCATATTGGCCAGGCTAGTCTTGAACTCCTGACCTCAAATGATCCACCCGCCTCAGCCTCCCAAAGTGCTGGGATTACAGGCATGAGCCACCACACCAGGCCTAAAAACTGAAGGTTTGAATAGAGAAAAAGCATGCTTTAAAAGTAAAGAAAATGGAATTTTGCCTAGCATATGTGGAGTCCTAATATGCAGCTCTGTTTCCTTAAATTCCATGAAAGCCATGCAGTACCTTTGCTAGTTTCTCCTCACAGATCAGGATAACCTAGGGGGCTCTTGTGTGAATCGTCTTCTATTTCTTGCAGCCTAACTCATAGGCTTTCGTTGTTCAATATTTGTATGATGGTTTTGATACTATTTTTGGTAACCCATGACAGTTATTTTTATTTCTAATTTTTTAAGTAAGCAAATGGGCAGAGATATTAACTGGTAAAAGTCCAACTGATCACCCAGGGTGGACTGAATCTCTCAACTGATGCTCTGTTGCTGGAGCCCTGAGAAACCCGCATACCCTGCCCGGGCACCTGCCTGGGGTTGTCTGCTGCGTGTCCTGGGATGGTTCAATTCACCAAGGACTTCCTCTGGTATAAATCTTCAGCTTCCTTGCATGCCCTCAGTTGCTATTTAAGCTTTCTGTTTTCTTCCCTAAAGGAATCAGTTTAGACTTGAAATTCAGTTTTTCCTGAAACTGATCAGAAGTTAGTGACACCTTGATTGGATCCGTTTTTCTGTCAGGTGATGAATCTTTGGAAAATTTACTTTCTGTATTCTGTGTTTATTTAAATCTGTGGCCGTTATTCATCATGTATCCTTTATGCCTATGTACGTAAAAAATCTTGCTAATACATTATTTTTTAGACAACTTTATGGAGGTATAATTCACACACCATATAATTTACCCATTAAGTTATGCAATTCATTGGCTTTTAGGGTATTTACAAGTTGTGTGTTCATTGCCACAATCATTTATAGAATATTATCATTATTACAAAAAGAAACTCCATCACCCCCAAACCCCAAGCCCTAGGAAACCATGAATCTACTTTCTGTCTGCATAGATTTGCCTGTTCTGGACATGTTATATAAATAGAATAATACACTATCTGGTCCTTTGTGACGATCTTCTTTTACTCACTATAATGTTTTCGGGGTTCATCCATGTTGTAGCATGGGTCAGTACTTCATTTCTTTTTATTGCCAAATAATATTCCATTGTATGGATATACCACATTTTATTTATACATTCCTCAGTTGGTGGACATTTGGGTTGTTTCCATTTTTTGGCCATTATGAATAATGCTGCTATTAACATTTGTGTGAAGATGTATTTTCATCTGTCACGGATATATACCTTGGCATGAAATTGCTGGACCATATGGTAACTCTGTTTAATTGTTGGAAGAACTGTTTTCCAAAGCAACTGGACCATTTTACATTTCCATTAGCAATGTATGAGGGTTATGATTTCTCCACGTCCTCACCAACATTTTTGATTATAGCCATTCTAGCGTGTGTGAGGTGTTAATCTCATTGTGGTTTTGATTTGTATTTCCATGATGGCTAATGATACTGAGCATCTTTTCATGTGCTTATTGGCCATTTATTTTTATTTTTGATACAGTCTCGCTCTGTTGCCCAGGCTAGAGTGTAGTGGCGCGATCTCGGCTCACTGCAACCTCTACCTCCCAGGTTCAAGTGAGTCTTATGTCTCAGCCTCCTGAGTAGCTGGGACTACAGGCATGTGCCACCATGCCTGGCTAATTTTTGTATTTTTAGAAGGGACGGGGTTTCACCATGTTGGCCAGGCTGGTCTCGAACTCCTGACCCCAAGTGATCCACCTGCCTTGGCCTCCCAAAGTGCTGGATTACAGGTGTGAGTGACTGCGCCTGGCCTTATTGGCAATTTCTGTACTGATTTTGGAGAAGACACTATTCAGATACTTTGCCCATTTTTAAAAATTGGGCTATTTGCTGGCCGGGCATGGTGGCTCACATCTGTAATTCCAGCACTTTGGGAGGCAGAGGTGGGCAGATCACTTGAGGTCGGGATTTTGAGACCAGCCTGACCAAGATGGAGAAACCCCATCTCTACTAAAAATACAAAATTAGCCGGGCGTGGTGGCGCATGCCTGTAATCCCAGCTACTTGGGAGGCTGAGGCAGGAGAATCACTTGAACCCGGGAGGCGGAGGTTGCGGTGAGCCGAGATTGTGCCATTGCACTCCAGCCTGGGCAACAAGAGTGAAACTCCATCTCAAAAAAAAAAAAATTGGGCTATTTGCTTTTTAATTATTTTTTAATTATTTGAAAATAATTTAATGCATATTTTAGACTAATTTAAAAAATAAGATAGTGATTGTGACTCCAGTCATATAGTAGTTGTAAAATTAATATAGAATGAAGGCATATGTATGCATAAAACTTGCTATGCTTTTTAGTGGCTCTTTGTGTATCTGGTGGATTGTTGATCATTCTTTTTCCTTCCTCTTAGGAGCTCATTTTGCAGCTCTCAAGCTTTTATAGCATGCTGTAAACAATTGTCAAAGTTGTTTATCAAGAAACAGATAGAGTTGCAACTTGTTTCTAGTAATAGAAACTTTTACACTGCATTCAATGCCTAACGTTGCAGAAACAGAAAGGTCAAATGATTCTGGAAATGGTGAGCACAAATCTGAGAGAAAGTCACCTGAAGAGAATCTACAAGGTGCTGTAAAATCTTTCTGCACAAGTGCCTCAGGAGCACCCTTGGGTCCCAAAGGAGATGGTCATTATCCATGGAGTTGTCCAGTGACTCATACACGGGAAAAAATTTATGCCATCTGTTCGGACTATGCCTTTCTCAACCAGGCGACCTCAATCTATAAAACTCCAAATCCATCCCGCTCTCCTTGCCTCCCTGATAGTACCTCTTTATCTGCTGGAAATAATTCATCAAGATACATTGGTATCCCGACTAGTACATCGGAAATTATCTACAATGAAGAAAATAGCTTGGAAAACTTATCCAACAGCCTGGGCAAGCTACCTCTCGCATGGGAAATTGATAAATCTGAATTTGATGGGGTGACCACAAATTCGAAACACAAATCAGGTAAGGAGGGAGCCATGAAGTTCATATGTGAAAATAATGAGAAAACAAACACTATGTCTTGTTTAATCTTGCCATTACACATAGTTTCCTTGTATAATACTAGATAAGGAACATGGCTATCATCTTGTCTGTCAATGTAGTTTTAGGAAAGTAACCTTGACGTAGGGCATGTAGTTCATTGCGGGGCTTCCACTGGAAACTTCAAGCATAAGCTTTGTATCAAATATTTTGAGAGATTTGAAAATCTAATAATGTAAAATATTATAAACAGATGGTAGCTTAGAAAATGAAATGTTAATAACATGGCTAGAATAACTTACTACTGTTTCATAGTTTTATAGGCACATGAAGTTGTATTTCCTGACCAAACATCTTTTTTTCCTGCTATATAATGTTTTAGCTTTTTTTGTTGTTAAAATTTTTTAGGCACCCAGCAAAGCCTCCATGTACCACCAAGTGGGTTGTGTACTGCTCAATTTAAGAGGATGCTGTTTACCGAGGTTGTGCATAACTTTCACAGTTGCAATGGGGTGGTCCTATGGCAGATAGAAATACTTTACACTTCTTTCTTTTGAATTCAAAGTAATACAGGAATTTTATGAGGCAGGTACTGTTAGCCCCATTTGTAGGTGAAGAAATTGAGGCTTAGAAGGGATAAATCTCTAGACCGAAGTTGCAGAGTTAATAAGAGGAGGTCAAACTAGGATTTGTATTTACTTCTAGTCTTCTCTGATGATTTTATAAAACCTTAATGCTTCTGCTTGTTTATCTGCAAAATCAATTTGTTTCATAGAATTTTAGGTAAATTTGTAATTCTTAAGGGTAGGAGGGGGATTTTGCTTTTTTTGTCTAAATTTGTAGGTAATGAGTCTGCAATTTTCTTTTTGTCTAATGCCTTTGGCCAGTTTTGGAATTAGGGCTATGCAAATCTTCTAAGAAAAGTTGGGAAGTGTTTTTTCCTCCTGTTTTCTGAGGATTTTCAGAGAGATATTAAAATCTGTATTTATAATTATGGAGTTGTCTTGATTTCTGTTAATTTCTGACAAATTTTAATTTGTCCATGTCATTTAAGTTGTCAAATTTGGGGGCTTAAAGTTAATGTTATCCCTCTAACATCTAAGGAATCTTTGTTGACAACTCCTTTTGCATCCTAATACTGGTAATTAATTTATTTTCTCTATTTTTTTTAAAACTGATCAATCTAGCTAGGAGTTTATCAATTTTGTTAATCTTTTCAAATAACTAGCTTTTGTTAATTTTCTCAATTGTTTGTTTTCTATTTCATTGGTTTCTGCTCTTTATTATTTGCTTCCTCTGACTTACTTTGGGTTTATTTTGTTCTTCATTTTCTGACTTCTTAAGATGGAAGCTTAGATCATTGATTTTAGACTTTTCTACCATAAGCATAGAATACTCCAAATTGCTAAGTACTGCTTTAGCTGCAGCTCACAAATTTTGATATGCTTATTATTATTACTTAATTGGAAATATTTTCTAATTTCCTTTGCAATTTATTCTTTGATACATGTATTACTTAGATGTATGCTGTTTAATTTCTAGATATTAATAGTTTTTCTAAATATTGATTTCTAGTTTAGTTCCATTGTGGACAGAGGGCATATGCTCTCAGTCTTTTTAAATTTACTGAGACTTGTTTTATGACCCAACATATGGTCTATCTTGGTGAATGTGCCATGTGCACTTGAAAAGAATGTGCATTCTGCAGTCATTGGGAGTATCTATAAATATTAATTATGTCGAAGTGTTTGAAAGTGTCATTCACATCTTTTGTGTCTCCGCTTAACTTGTGTCTTGTTCTATCAATTACCAAAAGAAGGGTGTTAAAAATCTTCAACTATGATTGTGAAGTTGTCTTTTCTCCATTTAATTTCTTTTTTAAAAACTAATACATGTCTAATAACAGAAAATTTACTGTCTTAACCATTTTTACGTGTACAGTTTAGTGGCATTAAGTACATTTACGTTGTTGTGCAACCATCATCACTATTCATCTCCAAATCTCTTTCCTTTTCTTTTCTTTCTTTTTTTTTTTTTTCTGAGACAGAGTCTCGCTCTGTCGCCCAGGCTGGAGTGCAGTGGCGCGATCTCGGCTCACTGCAAGCTCCGCCTCCCGGGTTCACACCATTCTCCTGCCTCAGCCTCCCGAGTACCTGGGACTACAGGCGCCTGTCACCGTGCCCGGCTACTTTTTTGTATTTTTAGTAGGGTCGGGGTTTCACCGTGGTCTCGACCTCCTGACCTCGTGATCCGCCCGCCTCGGCCTCCCAAAGTGCTGGGATTACAGGCGTGAGCCACCCCGCCCAGCCCTTCTTTTCATCTTACAAAATAAACTTTGTACCCATTAAACAATAAATCCTCATTCCTTCTCCTCACAGTCCCTGGAAACCACAATTTTACTTTTTGTCACTGTGAATTTGACTATTCTAGGTACCTTATGTAAGTGAAATCATATAGTATTTGTCTTTTTATGACTGGTTTATTTATAGCCACCCCTGCTCTCTTCTGGGTGCTATTTGCTTTGGAATACTTATTTCCATCCTTTTACTTTCAGCCTATTTGTATCTCTAGATCTAAAGTGAGTGTTTCAGAGACAGCATATAGTTAGCTAATTTTTTCTGTTTCTGTTTTTGTGTGTGAACCCACGTATACAAAAACATATTTTTAAAAAAATGCATTCTGCCAGTCTCTATGTTTTGAGTGGAGAATTTAATCCATTTACATTTGAAGTAATCACTGATAAGGAGAGACTTGTCATTTTAGTACTTGTTATTTATATGTAAACACTCTGTTCCTATACTGCTTCGTCCACACTTAACTTTCAGTTATTGATGTTATCAAATTACAAATTTATATATTGTGTGTCTGAAAACATAAACTAATAATTTTTATGTATTAATCTCTTAAATAATGTGGAAAACAAAATGTGGAGTTACAAACCAAAGTTATTATAATAATAGCTTTTTTATTTTTATTTTTTATTTTGAAATAGGGTCTTGCTCTCTTGCCCAGGCTGGAGTGCAGTGGCACGACCATGGCTTACTGCAGCCTTGACCTCAGGCTTAAGCAATCCTCCCACTTCAGCCTTCTGAGTAGCTGGGACTACAGGTGCACATCACCACGACTGGCTAATTTTTAATATTTTTTTGTAGAGATAGAGTCTCACTATGTTGCCAGGGGTGGTCTTGAACTCCTGGGCTCAAGCAATCCTCCTGCCTCGGCCTTCCAAAGTGCTGGGAATACAGGCATGAGCCACTGCTCCTGGCCTACTACTAGCTTTTAAGCTAATAATAATTTCTCAAAAATGTATTAGTCTCATAAATCATATAGAATACAAAAACTGGAGTTGCAAACTAACAAAATAACACTGGCTTTTATAATTGTTCGTGTATTACCTTCACTGAGGTAAATTTATTTCTTCCTATGGCTTTGAGGTACTAGCTAATGTCCTTTCATTTCAACCAGCAGGAATCCTTTTAGCATTCCTTACAGGGCAAGTCTAGTGGTAATAAACTCCTTCAGTTTTTGTTTGTCTGGGAATGTCTGAGTTTCTTCTTCACTTTTGAAGGACAGTTTTGCTGGATTTAGAATTCTTGTTTGAATTTTTTTTTTATTTCAGCACTTTGAATATATCAGCCCACTTCCTTCTGGCTTCCAAAGTTTCTGATGAGAAATCTGTTGATATTCTTATTAACAGTCCATTGTATGTGATGAGTTGCTTCTCTTGTGTTGCTTTTAAGAGTCTTTGTCTTTTTGCAATTTTTAAATTTTTTATTTGATACGGAGTTTTGTTCTTGTTGCCCAGGTTGGAGTGCAATGGCACGATCTTGGCTCACCACAACCTCCACCTTCTGGGTTCAAGCAATTCTCCTGCCTCAGCCTCCCAAGTAGCTGGGATTACAGGCGTGCGCCACCATGCCTGGCTAATTTTGTATTTTTAGTAGAGACGGAGTTTCTCCATGTTGGTCAGGCTGGTCTTGAACTCCTGACCTCAGGTCATCCGCCTGCCTCAGCCTCCCAAAGTGCTGGGATTACAGGCGTGAGCCACCGTGCCCAGCCTTGCAATTTTATTATAACATATATTGGTGTGGGTCTTTCTAAGTTCATCCTATTTGGAATTTGTTGAGTTTCTTGGATGTTTATATTCATGTTTTTTAAATCAAATTTGGAAAGTTTTTAGGCATTATTTGTTTGGATAATCTCCTACCCCTTTTTCAGTGTCTTCTCCTTCTGGAACTTCTGCAATGTATAGGTTGGTCCACTCGATGGTGTCCCCAGGTCCCTTAAGGTCTGTTTACTTTTCTTCAGACCTTTTTTTTTCTGTTCCTCATACTCAATTATTTCAGTTTTCCCATCTTCAAGGTCACTAATTTTTCTGCCTGCTCAAAACTGCCTTTGAATCACTCTAGTGAGTTTTTCATTTCAGTTATTATATTTTTCAGCCCAAGAATTTATTTTTGGTTTTAAGTTTTCTATCTCTTCATTGATATTTCCATGTTCTTCATACATACATCTTTCGTTAGTTCTTTTGGCATCTTTAAGATAGTGGTTTTAAAGTCCTTGTCTAGCAAGTCTGCCATTTGGTCTTTCCAGGATGGTTTCTGTTGGTTTATATATTTTTTTGTTTCTTTGAATGGGCCTTATTCTGTTTCTTGTGATTTTTTGTTGTTGTTGTTGTTGGAAACTAGACATTCAAATATTATTTAATAATGCAGTAACTCTGGAAATCAATACCCATCTTTCCCAGAGTTTGTTGATTTTAGTTTTTGTTTTTTGATTGCTATAGGCTGTTTCTATGCTGGTAATCAACCTGAGGTATACATTTAAGGGCTTCTCAGGGAAAAGCCCCTGCCTTTCTCTGAGTGTGTACAGTGATTTTCTACATTTCCCTGTATAAGTGATTGCTTTTGAATATACTGTTTTTGAAATGTCTGGCTCCCCAAACAGAAAATGGAGAGGAAAAAAAACAGAACAAAAAAACCACACCAAAGGTGCTGGCCCCTTAAGTCCTCTGGAAGTTGCTTCTGTTGTAGTGGGAGGGGCTTGCAACATTGGAGGGAGAGTTGCAACAATGGCTGCCCCCCTGTATCTGTGCTTTCAAGATCAGAAGCAGCAGTCAGCAATCAGAACACAGATTTCCAATTTTCATAGGACATGGACCTTTTTGCCCACCATGGTTCCCACAAACTGCCTGAAGCTTCTCCAGGAGCATATGCACAGTTTCTTGGACTTGGGGATAGGTAGTTGTACCTTGCTATGTGCTGAAATTGACCAAAATTTGCATTTACTGTTCAGGACTTCCTCTGAAAGTTGCAATCCTTTGAATAGACTCTGGAATTCCAAAATAATTACATCAGACAGATTCTGCCAGTGCAGTTGTCTAGGTGGGGAGACAGATTCCTGGTGCCTCCTACACTGCACTTAATTCTGTTAATTTTTTTAAAAATGTAATTTGAAGCTCTGTTATTAAGTTCACATACATTTATGAGATTTAGGCCTTCTTCCTGAATTGACCCTTTTATCATTATGAAATATATTTCGTTATTCCTGGAAGTATTTCTTGTTCTGAAAGTTACTTTGTTTGATATTAATAAAGCTCCTCAGCTTTATTTTGATTATATTTGCATGGTATATATTTTTCCATCTATTTATTTTAGTTCTAGAATTTACATTTTTATAGCTTCTATTTCTCATCTGAGATTTGCTATATTTTTCATTTATTACAAGAGCATTTTATCTATGTCATAATGCAGAGTTATAATATCTACTTTAATTTCTTATCTGCAAATTTCAAAATCTGGCTAATCTCACAGTAGGCCTTATCTTTTTTCTTGAGAATGAGTCATATTTTTCACTTTCCTTATATGTTCTATAATTTTGCATTGTATCCTAGAGAGTGGGACTATTATGTTATGGCAACTCTGGTATATTCCTTCAAAGTGTTGATTTTTTTTTGGTTTTGGGAGGCAGTTAATTTGGTTGAACTAAAACTGTAAATTCTGTCTCCTTGGTACAGCTCCAACCATCTCAGTTCAGCTCTTTTAGCTGTGTTGCTTGAATTTGCTCCTTACATGCATGGTCCAGGGGTCAGTCCAAGGTTTGGGCCAAATTTATACACAGAATTTGGGCCCCCTCTTCTCTGTGGCTCTCTTCTTTCTGGGTTTCCTCTCACCTCACTTTCAGTGATGGTGATTGCACAGGACTCTGTCCTTTGGTTCTTCCAGTAAAAAAAGACAGTGGATTTTCTGCTTTTGTTTGCTCTTCTCATACCTTTTTCTAAAAGTCAGTGTGGTGAATACATATATTTGTGTGTGTATGTGTCTGTGTGTGTCTGTCTGTCTGTGTGTGTGTTTGGTGTTGAGGCTGTGTGTGTGTGCTGTGGGTAGGGTGAGGAATGGAAGAAGGAACTCAGTAATGAGAAGGAGCAGTGGGCGAAGGTTCTTGAAGCTGATGTGATGGAAGGCAGAAGGTGCAGGTGTTGCTCTTCTATGTTCCCATCTCAAACGGCGCTTTCACTTTGATGTGGCTTCTTTCCCTCAAGTCAAATGAACTTTTGCCTGTGGGACCAGCTCTTTCTGTGGCAGTGCGGGCATTTTATGAAGTACGCTCATTTGGGCCGTATATGCTAATTGATCCCAGGGGCAATCCGAGATTCAACAAAAAGAGAATAGGGGGCAAGGTCATGGAACCCTAGAGGAAAGTGTGAGTACAGACTGTTGGCAGAGCCTATCAAGGTCACACATTTCTATGTTTCATTAGCTTTAACATTTTAAGTGGCTGGGAAAACTACTTAGGGAATTAAGTCATTATTAGGCAGTGAAGACATCTCAAGAAATGTTAGAAACTAATTCTTCTGTTATCTGACTCTGTAAGAGTCATTTTACCAGTCAAGGAAATTTGGCACAATGAGATTTGGCACAGTTGCTCACCTTTGCCAGTGATGTTCAGCTCTGTGAAAAGTGTGTTCTCTGTAAAAACTTAGAAAAAATAATTAAAAGGGTCACGCATGATGGCTCACACTTGTAATCCCAGCATTTTGTGAGGCTGAGGCAGGTGGATTGCTTGAGCTCAGGAGTTTGAGACCAACCTGGGCAACATAGTGAGACCCTGACTTTGTTAAAAATACAAAAATTAGCTGGGCATGGTCGCACGCACTTGTGGTCCCAGGTACTCCTGAGGCTGATGTAGGAGGATTGCTTGAGCCCCGGAGGCAGAGGTTGCAATGAGTGGAGATTGCGTCACTGCACTCTTGTCTGGGCAACAAAGCAAGACCTTGTCTCAAAACAAACAAACAAACAAACAAACAAAAAGAATAATTAAAAGGAAGGCGAAACATTGTTTCTTGACTTTATAGTCTTCATTATTATTACATTTTTACAGAAATTCCCTGTGTAATAATAGTTCCTGAGTTCCAGCTGTTCGTAGGTGTCAAATGGTTTCTCTGTATAGTATCTTGAAGGAATAAAACTGATCTCTTTCCATGTTTGCTTACTAGGCATATATGTATATAATCTATTTTATAATTTATGAATGACTCATAAAAATGAAATATTAGCCTTCAGTTAATTTTTATAACAGAACTGTTTTAAAATAGAATATGTGTGAAATATTAAAGTATTTGAGCATAGCTATCTGAAATCTTAATAGTATTTTAATGAAATGAGGCTTGGATGTTATTTATTGATATTTTACTTTATATAATTTTTTACTAGATACTTCACTAACGATTTAGAAATAAAACTTATAAAAATAAAAAGTATAGGGATGGATACCCCATTCTCCATGATGTGGTTATTTCACATTGCATGCTTGTATCAAAACATCTTATGTACCCCTAAGCATGTACACCTACTATGTACTCTCAAAAATTAAAAAAAATTAAAAAGTACAAATTCTCACTCTTACTTTTGGCTTCCTTTTGTCTAGCTCCCAATTCTCCCTTCCCCAGTAGTAACCACTGTTGTTTGCCTTGAGGGTCTTTTGGAGAATGTTTGTATGTGTGTGCATGTATGAGTGTGTGTGCACATGCATACATAGATGCATACATGCACACAGGAGGCTTGCTTTTCATTCTAGTTTCTGTGCTAGAGTTGCATTTTAGTAATGTATATGTGTGCATCATTCTTCATTCATTCTGTCGTCTCTGTCGGTCCAGAGATATTTTTAAACATCACATCATCACATTAATGGATCTGGTGCTTTTACTTTCTTAACAGAGTTGCTTTAATTTGGTTTTATTGTTTTATAGAAAGCCTTCATTTTCTGGAAAGTGGTCTAGTTAAATTTTTTTACTGTCGATAATTTGATTTTCCGGATGTGGCTAAAGATTTAGTGATTGACTGTTCCACCAGCTAAGTGACTAGCTCTGGAATTGGAGTATAAGAACCTGACACGAAATAGGATTCATGGTTGTTTAAATTTGTTTTTATTATTTCTCTTTAAGGTAGGGGACTATTATTGAAAATACATGTATTACTTCATTGTGTTTGCAAATATCACTTTTAGAACCTGTGGCAGTTATTTATTTGTTATTATTTTTTCTTTGCACTTTCTCAGCAGAATTATTAAGGCAGTTACTTCTTAATTTTGGTGCATAATTAATTTTTGTCATTTCAGTTTACTTCATCTTAAGCATTTTGCTTATTTTATACTCTTGTATTCTAGGCAATGCAAAGAAACAAGTTTCCAAGAGAAAAACTTCAGATAAAAAGGGAAGATATCAGAAGGAATGTCCTCAGCATTCTCCTCTTGAAGATATTAAACAGCGGAAAGTATTAGACCTCAGACGATGGTGATGTTATCAGTTTTTATTTTTTTCATTTTTGAAATATGTAATATATGTTGGCAATAACGTAGCAGTTTACAAATTAATACATTATATGTATCATAAATATTTTTATTTCTAAAATTATTACCAGGATTTCTGAATATTTAAAGTCACCACAAATGTTTGAAGTAGATTAATAATGAGTTATGCTGGTCTTTCCCAAACTCGGCTTATTATTAGAGTCATCTGTGTGACTCCACGTAACTGCCATGTAGATTTAACAATGATTAACCTTTTGATGTAGTTAAATACTTAGCTTTTCATTGCTGAAGAATTTTCAAGTAAGTGACTGATTTTTATTATATTTCATCTCAAGTTACCTAAGTATGCATCTCTAAAAAATGACTTTTTTCTACTTAACCACAATACTTTTGTCATACTTAATAAGATTAACGATATTTCCCTAGTGTCTAATTCCCAGGCTAAATTCACGTTTCCCAGATTGTTCTGAAAAGGTCTTCACATCTGTTTGTTCAAAGTGGGACCCAGTTGTGAACCACATGTTTGCTTGTCATGACCCATAATTCTCTCAATCTAGGTCAGTCTCCACCCCACTTTCCCCCTTGTCTTTTAAAAATTCTATTATTTTAATCGACAAATGAGAATAATAAAGATTGACTTATTGAAGAGACTTGGCCAGATATTTTATAGAATGTCCTACATTCCAGATTTGTATTTTCCTTTTAGTTTCCTAAATTATGCATCTAACCTCAATATTTCCTGTAAACTGGAAGTTGAATACAAAGACTTGATTAAATTCCAGTACAACATTTTATGCAAGAACACTGCTTAAGTGGGCCCTCATACTTCAAAGGTTTCACATCAGAAGGCACATGGTATCTGATTATCCAGTATTAGCAATTCTAAGTGATTACTGGGTTAAGGTGGTGACAGCTGTATTCTACATTGACGAGTTCTTTCTTTCTCCTCTGGTACCCTCAAGTAATCAGTAGAGTGACAGAGTGGCATTAGGTAATAGCCAGGTTCCATCAGCTTTTTACCTTATGGTTTTAGCCAAATGTATTGACAACCCAAACCCATTGATGATCCTTGTCTGAATATTTGTTGCAAAATGGTTATATTTCAAAATTCCAATTTTTTTTTTTTTTTACTTTTATTACCCAGCCTTCTTCTGTAGCTTTCACTGATCAACTGGGGCTATTTGGTTATCTTAAAATACAGTTCCTAGTCTAATGAAAACAAGTTTAATTCATGACAACTTTTATGTATTACTGACCCTGATTTGGGTTTTTAAAATTCCTTTGTATGACATTTTAGAAATATATTTTTATCACTTATTTAATAAATATTGGACCCTTTGCTGTAGGCTGAGAAACAGAGATGCACACAACATTGTCTTTGTTTTCCCAAGGTTTACAATCCAGTTGAGGTGAGGGGACTAAACAGAAAAATGTTAAATATCTTAGGCAGTTTGTCATGTGATGGGTATGAATCACTAATTAACCATGAAAGGAGGTAATGATCACCAGAATGCTTTACTAAGGTCCTGGGTCTTAAGGGAGGAAATATGAAGGGTTGGAGGGTGAAGGGTCTTTGAAAGAATTACAGCAAAGTGTCTCTGGAATGTGGGTAATGAAGAGTAGAGTAGCTTGTCTAAAGTGAGGCTCAGAGAGGCCAAGAAACCTGCCAGTGTCACATGGCTAATAAGTAGAAGATCTTGTATTGAAGCTGAAGAGTCAGACTCAACATTCATGCTGTTTGCGTATAATACATGTCATGATCTGTTTCTTAGATATCAGGCTCAATATTTAGATTTTTTTTCTGAGTTAAAGATAAGCCATGGACGATTTCTTAACAAAAGGAACTTTTATCAAGATAAATTTGGAATAGTTAGTATGTAGGGAATAATGGAGAAGAGACATTAAAGTCACAAACATTCATTTTAGTTTCTTTGAAAAGAAGGTTTTGCTCGTTTGTGCTTCTAATCACTTAGATTTAAGCTTTGTTTCAACAACAAATCTGTGTAACTACATATTAATAGTATAACATGTGAGGCCATGAAGGCTAGGACTAGGAAGGATAGATGGGAGAAATGCCCTGAGGGGAAAACATCACCAGGACTATAAGCCTGTTTTCCACTGAGAATATTACAAGATTAGGTTAGAATGGAAAGTCCCGTAGAAGATAGTAGAATGTTGGTAAGCATTTTAACCTGGTCATAAACAAGACTAGGAAACAAGTTTAGATTGATGAAAAAGTATGAAAAATCTTAAGAGAAATTCCCCTTTCCCTCTCCTTTTTAAAAATTCTTTCAGGCCAAATTTAGTGTTATGAGAAAAACTATATACATGCATGCAATACTTTGTTAGTAAATATATGTAAAGATAAATGTTGTAAAATATAAAACACTGTTAGTATTGGACTTGTAAAATAATCCCCAAAATTGAACTCTGGCAAAAATATTCACAGCAGAAAAAAAAAATCAGTAAATGAATGAGTTGCTTGTGTTTTATCAGCAAGGGCCATATAGCTTATGATGACAGAACTGTTAATAATCACTTGTCCACAAAGGTCTCTTAGGTTGGAGTTCACACTCATATTTAAACAACTAGGGCAGATTACTTGAATAAGGACATTAGTAAATTGCTCATGTTTCCAGGGATAGGGGAAAGGGGTAAAAGGGAGTTGTGTTGTTCAGTGGGTAAAGAGTTTCATTTTTGCAAGATGAAAAAGTTCTGTTGCCTAACAATTTGCATATAGTTGACACTACTGACCTGTACACTTAAAAATAGTGTACATGATAAATTTGATGTTGTATGTTTTTATCACAATTAAAGAACAAAGCAAAACTGAGGGAGGACTCAATAGATTTGACAGTAAGGTGTTGAAGACAGCACTTAGTATGTTAAGTGATAGTTATTAGCTTTTGTGTGTCATTTTGTGTAGTCTACAGATTTAGGGCTCGTGGCACACGTTCTCACTGATAAGTGAGAGCCGAACAATGTGAACACATGGACGTAGGGAGGGAACAACACACACTGGGCCCTGTCGCGGGGTGGGAACCGGGGACAGGAGAGTATCAGGAAAAATAGCTAATGCACACAGAGTGTAATACCTAGGTAATGGGTTGATAGATGCAGCAAACCACCATGACACACATTTATCTATGTAATAAAGCTGCACATCCTGCATGTATACCCTGGAACTTAAAAAAAAATATTGAAGGGTCATGGTTAACTTGTATGTGTGCCAATATGCATAGTATATATACATATACAAATGCATATATGTACACATGCATATGTCTAATTTTTCATTTTGTAATTAATTTTTAGACCACACTAAAGTTGCTCTTAGTGATGATAGGGCTTGTTTCTTTGTTTCATTGTGGCTACTTCTTAGCACCTTCTTTAGAAAGCAGTTAGGAGAAGATCATTTGAAGGCCAACGAGTGTTGTGGGTTATTGTTAAGCTGATTTAACATTATCTCCCCCCACAACCACGCTTGACTAGCTTCACATTTGGCCAGGTGCAGTGGCTCACGTCTGTAATCCAGCACTTTGGGAGGCTGAGGTGGAAGATCACAAGGTCAAGAGATTGAGACCATCCTGGCCAACATAGTGAAACCCTGTCTCTACTAAAAATACAAAAATTAGCTGGTTGTGGTGGCGCACGCCTGTCGTCCCAGCTACTCGGGAGGCTGAGGCAGGAGAATTGCTTGAACACGGGAGGTGGAGGTTGCAGTGAGCCAAGATTGCACCACAGCACTCCAGCCTGGGCGACAGAGTGAGACTCTGTCTCAAAAAAAAAAAAAAAAAAAAAAAAGAGAAAGCAAACGTATTTCTTCTTAAAACAGAATAAATAAATAGTCTGTCTCTTTCTCCTTCTGTTCACATTTGCCCCAGTTTCTTCTCTTGAATCATGACAGTTTGGAAAATTGTCTGGATTGCTTAGTGCCACTGAATCATGCCATGGAAGGATTTTGTATTTCACTTTTAAACTTCTCTGTGACAGGAGAAGCACTGCTTCATGGCTTCTTGCCCAAGGATTTTAGATGGACACAGTGGGTAATAAATGGATGAATTTTTGTTTGGGTTGAAGAATCTCTCTGAGAAGTTGACACGTGGGGGCAATGGTTTGTTTCTCTTGTATTTCTGAAGTTGCAAATAATCATGTAAGCAGTTCAACCAGGAGTTTACACCAAACTTTTAATAGGCGATATATCATTATTTTTTTTCCCATTGGTTTGGATAACATCCACTTTAACTGGCAGTTAGTCATACTTAGCTATTTTTGTTAAAGCAGGTGATTTATTGTTATTTTATATTTATGACATGATTAATAAGTGAATATGGAAGATTTTACATTGACTTAGGGGATCAAAGTTTTCATTATATTAACACCTTTAATTGCCATGAGTTTTCTATTTCTAGCATGCATATTTTGTGTTCATTCAAGTGAAGAAAACAGTCTTTTGTGTTCTCAGGTACTGCATAAGCCGACCACAGTATAAGACTTCTTGTGGCATCTCTTCATTAATTTCTTGTTGGAATTTCTTATACAGCACAATGGGAGCTGGAAAGTAAGTATGTCAATTTATCAGTACCCCCAAACTCCAAAGTAATTTGATGTTGCTTTTTCTATAACAGAAAAAAATTTAAGAATAGATTTTTTATAAATTTAACAAAACCCTGCTGTATTTTAGTGTAAGTCTTTTAGCTTAAAATATATACATGTATTATTTTCAGTGAAATAAAAATGGGCTGGGTACAGTGGCCCACACTTGTAATGTCAGCACTTTGGAAGGCCAAGGCGGGAGTATTGCTTGAAGCCAAGGAGTTTGAGACCAGCCTGGGCAACAAAGCAAGACCCCACCTCTACAAAGTAAAAAAATAAAAACAACTAGCCAGGCACAATGGCATGTACTTGTATTTCTAGTCTCTTAGGAGACTGAGGCAAGAGGATCACTTGAGCCCAGGAGTTTAAGGCTGCAGTGAGCTATGATCACGCCACTGCACTCCAGCCTGGGCCACAGAGTGAGAACCTGTCTCTAAAAAAATAAATAAAATAAAATAATGAAAAATATTACTAATATTATTTGCAAATCAGACAAGCATATTAACATTGAGACAGGCTGTATTTGCGTATGACTGGAATTGAAAAATGAAAGGCAATGAATGTTTCTTTTGTAGCCTTCCACCTATTACCCAAGAAGAAGCTTTACATATTCTGGGCTTTCAACCTCCATTTGAAGATATTAGGTTTGGTCCTTTCACGGGGAATACAACACTTATGAGGTATGAAGACCCTCTTAGAGGCAATATCGTGTTTCTAGTTTTGCAAAATAATAATGATGTAGATGTGTGTTGATAGTAAACCATGTATCCAGCTGCTGGGCTTCAACCTCTCATAGGTATACCAACTTTGGGCTATGCCTGAATTTCTTTAGAATTGGAATAATGCCATCTTTGTTGTAGAATTGTTGCCATGAACAAATCTTCTTGTTACTTTCAGGTGGTTTAGACAAATTAATGACCACTTCCATGTAAAAGGATGCTCTTATGTTCTATATAAGCCTCATGGGAAGAATAAAACAGCAGGAGAAACTGGTAGGTAAACATATAGAAGATTTACATACACACATACACACATGCACACACACACATACACACACACGGTTTAGAGTTCGTCTCAAAGACTGCCTGTTTAGCTTCCTGGGACATTATGTAAACCCTCAGCACAGTCTGTTACTTGCATGTAATCTGTAGGGCACTTTTTAATAAGCAGTTTAATATTTTACCTCTTCTAACCTTTTTATGTAGAACCTTTAGAACTTTAAGGTATATCACAAACACTACTCTAACACATTGTATTGTTTGGGTCCGTGGTGTGTGTGTGTGTTTGTGTGTGTATGTATGTGCGTGTGTACGCGCACATGCTAGTAAAACTCTAAGGAAGCAGCATGGAGTTAGCAGTTTTCTTCCTAAGAAGGAATGTAAGGATTTGAGAATATTTGATGTTAGACCTGTGTGGTGACATATAATGGCAGGAAAATAGACTGTTGAAGTGACAAAGTTCTGCTATAAAATAGTCTTGTTTATAACAGAAATATTAATGGAGTTGATCTCAAGGATTATTTTAGTTATGTGCTAATTAAATAATTTGTACTATTTAGCAATTTCCATTTTTAAAATTGTTACAATCTTTTGACTGTGTAAATCAGAAAATTGTAATACATTGTTAAAGAAAAAATTATTCTGACACTTGTTAATAGGGTGAGAAGACTTTATTTTAAACTTGTGAAAGGCCTATTGTAGTAGGAATGAGAGATCAGGCTCAGCTCTGAATACAGCAAAGACAACAAAGACAACTGGGACTTTATAGCCAAGGGACACAGCGAGGGGTTTGGGGGTGGGATATTACTAAGAGGGTCAAGGGTATGGGGATTCTTGCTAAAGCCTAACAGACTTCTTGCTAAAGGCAGGTCAAGGGCTGAGACATCAGGAGTTGGCAGGGGACGTCCGTAAGGAACTTGATTAGATATTAAGGGTTGTGGGTTCTCTCTAAACTGACTTAGCAGGATTCATGCTAAAACTGGACACAGAAGTCTAAGGTCCAGGCCTGTTTGAGAAGAGGACTCAAGGATTAATCAGGAAGAGAATTGTTATCAATAGAGGGTATATGGTTTACCAAGGTAAAAGACTGAGCACAAAGTCAGATATATTTCTGTTGACCTATATTGGGTATATCAGGTTGGTTACTTGGAGGCAGGCTTGGAGATTACATGTTGCTTTCTACACATACTAGTTTTGTGACCTTGAACAAGTCACTTGCTGAGCCTTGATGTAGACCTTTTATCTTTCTATATTTGTATAGGGTCAGTGTGAGGATAAAAGGAGACATACTTGTAATGTACTTAGCACGCTGTGTTACAGAGTAAGGACTCAGTAAGTGCTAGCATTTATTCCTACTGACTAAATTCTATGCATTCACATGGGGCCTGTCTATCCTTCTGGAAAACACAGCTTTAAATGCTGTGTTGCTATTTATTTCTGTTTCTAGTGAGACTGTCACCACACTACTCTCAGTAAGTGATCAGGCAACGAAAAACTAAGAAAGGATATATTATCCTGTTTGGTAATTTTCTCTTCAGCTGTGTCTAGTTTGCTTTTTATACTGCCTATTGAGTTTGAGTTTTTTAAAAGAGGTTTTCAATCATTTTTATTCTAAAATATGTAGTTCTTTTAAAAATCTGCTTTTAAAAATAACCTCATTCCTTACTCATATTTTCAAACCCTTTTATTTTTTAAATCTATTGAAACTTTTTCCTCTGTATTTGGTGTAATGTAGGAAATGTGTATATATCTGATTTTGCTGTCTCTTGTTTCTTCTGGATCTTATTTGAGGTGTCTTCGTGTGCCATGAAAAGAAAATGCATAATTTGGCATTGTCTTTTATAGTTCTTGAATGTTTACTTCCACAGGATGTGCCAAACCTTTTTCTGGTCCAAAAGATTTTTATGGTCATTCTCCAGTTATTAGAAGGTATAATAATGATTCTGTCAGTTGTGTTCATTAAAAGTTTTATAAAATGTCTGCCAATGACATTTTGCACCCTGTAAACTGAATACATAGCAGTTCAGTGAAAGCAAGTGAGAGGGTAAGGGGTGTCAAGGCACAGTAATTAGCAACCTGAGCTGGCACCACCATGTGGAGTTCCTGCCCCTCTCTCAGGATAGCACATGTGTGACCTGGGACCTTTGGATGTAGGGTTGTATAGTGTAGACAGCATCCACACTCAATCCACAGAATAAATACTAGTAAAGCTTAATTTCTTTTTAAAATATGAGGGTCACTATAAATAAATGTTCTAATATTTTGTTTCTGTGCCCACAAAGGGGGTCATCTTGTATAACCACCTGGATGTGTCGGTACTGAAAATCATTAACCTAGAGGAGCAGTAGTTGGCAAATGTTTTTACATAAAAGGCTTGATAGTAAATATTCTTGGCTTTGAGAGACACATGGTTCTGGGGCAGTCACAGCTGCTTGATGCAGCTGCTTGGATCTTGAAGGCAGCCATAGACAACATGTAAACAAATGGATATGGTGGTGTCCTGGGAAAACCTTACTGATGGACCTGAAATTTGAATATCACATAATTTTCACATGTCACAAAATATTATTTTTCTTTTGAACTTTTAAAAATTTTATTATTTATTTTTTAGAGATGAGGGTCTCATTCCGTCCACTAGGCTGGAATGCAGTGGCTGTGATCATGGCTTACTGCAGCCTTGAACTCCTAGGCTCAAGCGATCCTTTCCCCTTAGCCTCCCAAGTAGCTAGGACTACAGGTTCATGCCACTGCACCTGGCTAATTT
The DNA here is from genome assembly GCF_000001405.40 of Homo sapiens. Classification (NCBI taxonomy): domain Eukaryota; kingdom Metazoa; phylum Chordata; class Mammalia; order Primates; family Hominidae; genus Homo; species Homo sapiens. Next base: position 102,824,930 of record NC_000013.11, read on the forward strand.
TTAATTTAATTAATTAATTAATTTTTTTTTTGAGACGGAGTCTCGCTCTGTTGCCCAGGCTGGAGTTCAGTGGCGCGATCTTGGCTCACTGCAAGCTCCACCTGCTGGGTTCACGCTATTCTCCTGCCTCAGCCTCCCGAGTAGCTGGGACTACAGGCGCCCACCACCATGCCCGGCTAATTTTTTGTATTTTTTTTAGTAGAGATGGGGTTTCACCATGTTAGCCAGGATGGTCTCGATCTCCTGACCTTGTGATCCGCCCGCCTCGGCCTCCCAAAGTGCTGGGATTACAGGTGTGAACCACTGTGCCCAGACTAATTTTATTTTTTAATTTTTTTCAATTAAATTTTTAGAGATGGGGGCTCACTATATTGCCCAGGCTAGTCTTGAACTCCTGGCCTTAAGTGATCCTCCTACCTCGGCCTCCCAAAGTGCTGGGATTACAGGCATGAGCTACTGTGCCTGGCCCAATTTTCTTTTGATTTTTAACAATGTAAAAACCATTTTAGCTTGCTGCCCATTTCAACACAGGCTGCAGTCTGGAGACTGGATTTACCTGTTGGTGGGAGTTTGCCAAACCCTAACCTAGAGGATGAAGCCTAAATTCCTGAGCATGGTGTTTGAGGGACTGGCTTTCGAATATCCTGCTTCAGCCTACCTCCCCTGGTGTTCAGCCATGCTGGGCTCCTCGATGTTTCCCTGTTCTTCACAAGATACAGGTCATCCTTAGGCCTATGTGCCTCACTGATGGGATGCCCTGCTGTGGAGCATGTGGAATGTGGGATTTCATATCTTTGTGATTGGTGGATTCCTATTTATTTGTCCATCCTGGACTTCAGCGTAACAAATGGATATGGTGGTGTCCCGTGAAAACCTGGGGGGATGGCTTTTTCTTCTGCTTGCCAGGCAGGATTCAATCCCTTCGTCTCCTGGGTTGTCACAGCACCATGTGTGCCTCTGGTAGAACTTTGATTTCATTGCGAGGTAATTCTTGGTGCACCGTATGGTTTCATGCAGAAAAACTAGAGTTGCCTTTCTTGAGGATTAGGCCAAGTTCTTACTCATTTGTGCATCACAGTGCCTGATACTTAGGTGCTCAGTAGGAGTTAATTTAATGAATTCGCAATTGAGGATATGAGTCAGGAGGAATTCAGGAGATTGGGGTTACGAAACTTCTAAGAGAGAATTTTGTTGTCCATTCCAAAGCTGGCATTCTTCCTTTGCAAGAGCTCTCTCTTGTGATGTGGAAAGGAAAATGTTTTCTCTTTCCCTTTCTGTAGCTCATCTTTCCTTCTGGCTCCTACCTGCTCTCCCCTCCCCACACTCCCAGACACACACTCACCTGCACCTGTGTGCTAGATCTGCCCTGCTTTCCATCAGAACCCAGTGCGTCCTCCTTCTGTCTTCTGGAGTCTCTCAGTTGACAGTTTTTCGTGTGTTCCTAAGGACAGGAAATGAGCCAACTCATTGAATCTGAAGTTTTCAACTTTACATCTTAGCAGTGCCTTGAACATTGCCTTTTACATTATAAATAGTAAGAGATTAAGATTGTCTCAGAATCACTTCCTAACTGATTCATAGGGTGGCTTTATATCTCTTTTAATGGGGTGTGGACCAAAATGCATGTCTGGGAGTATAGAAATAATCACTGGAACGAATGTCATACTTACGTGTCGGATATAATGGAAAGCTATTACAATACAGTTCTCAGTCTTGTGTCCCAAGACTGCATTATGAGTAAGGCCCTGGGAGACACCAGAACAAGTCTCATAATTCCTTTTACTTGTTTTCTTTTTGCCTGCTGATTAGAAGAGGACTTCATTTGAGTAGTTAATGGCTTTTTCTATTAATATCAGCAGTATCTAGATGGAGTGAGAGGATAGATGAAGAGATGGGTCAGTCAAAGTAAAGGAAATTAAGGGAAGCAGGAAGACCCAGAGAAATTAGAATAAGAGAGAAAATCTATCAAAGAAACTCTGGGTATCGAGGAAACATCAGCTATATACATTTAATCAAATTCCCAAAGTAAGAACATATACTTTTATAATTAATGGAATGGAATAAAACACTAAAAGGGCCATGGAGAGAGTTGACTTAGGAATCACTATTCTGGAATTTTAAAAGATTTTTGATCAACTGTCTTGTCCAACTTTAAGATTTTATACTATAATTTTGCTAGAAATTCTCATTTGTAGATCTTTTGAATATCTGTACTTTATTTATTTTATTTTCCAATAGTCTGGTACCTCCCAAGTTCTTTGTGACTTATTTAAATGTAATGATTTGGTGCATGTGTTAACCAGTTCCCTTAATAATCTAGGATGTGTAGCATTGGGTCCCAATGACTTTTTTTTTTTTTTTAACCTATTTGTTTAAATTTCCTCCAGCATACATCCAAACTTTTCATTGAGGAATGGGATAAACTACCTATTTTCCTTAAATTTGTTTTCTTTTGTTAGGGGGTTGAGGTGCTTACTGTAATTTGAGTAAGTTTTAATATATTTTTCAAGTTTTATTCCTACTTTCAATTTTTTTTTTCCAGAATATTCGACTTTTTACTGCTTTTCTGTGTGCATTTCCTGAAGGATAATTAATCTGCGTACGCCTCCTGGAATATTTTTGTCTTTACCTTTGCTAATTGGGGGACCCAGTTAAGCCCTGCTTCATCTCTGATATGTTCCTTGGCCACCTTAGCCCTGGATTCCTCTAAATTCCTCTAGTACTGATTTTTCACACCCATCATTTTCCATTTGCTATGTGCTATGTTTTATTATGTTTCACCTGTTCAATGTGAGTGTCCAGCTCCTTGACCATAGGGACTGTTCTGAGTAGCCCTTACATGCTAGATATGATGCCCACGACATTACACGTTACCCTATGAATTCTGATGGTATTCAGGCGGTAGGGTGGTTCATGTGTAAAGCAGACGTCTCTTCCGTTCTCTCCCATTGTGGAAGAAAGAGTTGCAGAGATAGGCTTTCTGATTTCTCTCTGGGATGTTCACTGGTGAAAACCATTGTCAGTGGCGCTATTTGTTTAAAAACACTTTTAAATCTATCTTCTCTTTGTGCTTAAATTGTTTTTTAAGGACCACTAAGCCTGTTTTTCACAATGGGCTTTACGTTTTCCTGGGGACCACGCTGTTGTGATTCAGGGACTCCCCGGTGCTTATGTCCAGTGGGCTCTTAGTAACTGTAAACTAAGCACACTAATGGAATAAAAGTGAAGTCCAGGGATTTTGATAAGACTTAGCTGTTAATATCAGTATTTTTTTCAGAGATGTCACTAGTCACAATGAAAATTTATTCTAGGAGTTGCCAACATTAGGTCTCTGTTCAGATAACTTCCGAGTATGGGTTCACTTAGCCACCAACATTTGCACCAGGCAAGTCCAGACTCATTTTTTTAATCAGCTAGCTTGAAAATTGCATTTATATTCATGTATTTAGTTTTTTCTAGTGGGTATTGCAGTTCATAACTTTTGCTTAACAGAGAAGACCCGTCTCTGGCCTCATTCCTGTATAACTCACACATCGCTTCACCATGATTGTTGTTACCAGCTTACTGAAGCACCTCAGTACATCTCCGGTGGACAATACATTAGTATTCTGTTTTCCTCATGTACTGGTTTTCTCCAATTAATATTAGACACAAATAATAAATCTCTTGAACATGCAGTGCTAACATACCCCTTTCCTCTTTAGGAGCTGTTTGGTGCTTGCTTACAGCATAAACTGCTTAGTGTCATTCCAAGCTGACACAAATTGGCCTTCCCCTGCTGTCCTCCATGTACCAGTTGTATTTAAGATGTCAGGGGAAGCTGGCATAGTGGCTCACGCCTGTAATCCCAGCAGGTTGGGAGGCCGAGGTGGGTGGATTCCTTGAGGCCAGGAGTTTGAGACTATCCTGGCCAACATAGTGAAACCTTTTCTCTACTAAGAATACAAAAAATTACCTGGGCATGGTGGCGTGCACCTGTAATCCCAGCTACTTGGGAGGCTGAGGCACGAGAATTGCTTGAACCCGGGAGGTGGAGGTTGCAGTGAGCTGAGATTGTGCCATGCACTCCAGCCTGGGCATCTTTTTTTTTTTTTTTAAAATAAAAAAGATGTCAGGGGAATAAGGACCTTGCAGAGTAATGTTAGATTGCTGGATTACCTATCAGAGTTTCAGAAGCTATTCTTGTCTTTGAAGGTGTAAAAATATACTCTATAAGTTCTTATGGAGTTATCTAGCATTCCTCTATAGATGATCAGGGTCTACAGGACAAGCTCATACTAAGCAAACTCAGAATGTCAGAATGTTAACAGAGTAACTTGAAGTAAGAAACATAATCTCAAAGGGACCAGAATTCTCTTATTGGCTGCTCAGAATACCTGCTCTTCTCCATGCAGCAGGCCAGTGGATTCCTGTAGTTTTTTTCTCCTTTCTCTATGCCGTGCAGATCATGGCTCTGCATTTGGTGGTGGTTGCTTTGTTGCTTAAGTTTCAGATTTTAAAGCTATACTGAAGTACAGACTCAACTTCATTCTGAATTTAGCTTCCCTCAGTAATACATTTGTGTCTTCTCATACACAGAATTACTTTCTTGGACAACTACCTTAATGTGTTGAATGCTGTATTTACTGGCTCGGCACAGTGGCTCACACCTGTAATCCCAGCACTTTGGGAGGCTGAGAGGGGCGGGACACTTGATTTTGGGAATTTGAGACCAGCCTGGCCAACATAGTGAAACCCCGTCTCTACTAAAAATACAAAAATTAGCTGGGCGTGGTGGTGAGTGCATGGAATCCCAATTACTTGGGAGGCTGAGGCATGAGGATTGTTTGAACCGGGGAGGTAGAGGTTGCAGTGAGCCGAGATCATGCCACTGCACTCCAGCCTCGGCGACAGAGCAAGGCCCTGTCTCAAAAAATAAAATAAAATAAAATAAATAATTAAATAAATGCTGTATTTACTATCTTTTATTTCAGAGGGTGATCTTTTTCTTATTTTGGCCTGAAATTGTTGGATTGTCCCACAGTAGGCTCCTCTATACCATCCTACCCTGTATTCTATAAACTAGATCACGGGCTGTTCCCTGAGTATATTCCTTTTCCCCAGTGGTTTTGTTTTCTCCTAATGCTCTTTCCTCTGTCTAGATTGTTGAAATCCTGACACTTCATTAAGTTTCATCTTGAATGCTACTTCTTCTTGACTCCTCAAACCTGATGTGCTCTTTCTCCTTTGAATTCTATGCCCCTTTTGTGGCACTATCTTATTCCACCTTATATAAAAGTTACTTGTTCCATCTTCCCTACTAATGCACTTGAGGGACCGTGCATCACTCCTTGGCTCTCTTCTGCGGCCGTGGACCTGCTGCTCTTAGTGGTCTTCAGCTATTTCAGTGGCCAGAAAGTCGATCACTGAAACTATGACTTGCAAGCTTTCATCTGCTTCATCTATTTTTAGGATTTCTAGTTTTAATGGGCTGTTTATGAATAAATAATTTAGCTTCTTCTAGGACATGCCAGTTAATGAAACCTCAGTTAATGGCTTTGAGTACTAAGTGCTGGTGAAAAGTCATTTCTTATGGTAATACTTTTGAAATTGACCACTATTATAGTTATGGCAAATGTCCAGGGAAGAGTGGGCATAAGAGGTTGTGGTGGTACTACCAGCCTGTCTCTGTAGAGATGTTATCTTGTCACTTGGCTTGTGAAGACTACTCCTCTAGCCTCCATAAGTTTTGTGTAAAGATTAAAGTGTGTGTAGAAAAATCTGGGTTCTTATCACACAACAAGGAAAGATTAGGCTCACAGATACTTTGAAGGGTGAAGGGGAACAGAATTTATTGGGTGAAAAGGAAAAAACTCAGCAAAGCGAGAAGGGTTCCTGCTAACAGGCCCCCATCTCACAGATTGAATCCCAGGTTGCCACACAGGGACAGGAGAGGCCAAGGTCCTCCCCTCTGCAAACAGCGGGCACTTCCTGAGGCCCAACCCCATCCTCCCAGCACGCAGGCCAGCTGGAGATTCTCCAGGAAGCCGTTTTTACTTGGCTGTCTCATTAGTAGGAGAAGTTTGCATTTTTAGAACTTGATTATTACCTGGAGTTTATTTTTATTCATATACATCAGTAGTTTTTTAAGTTGGGATGTGTGTACTGCATATATATTAGAACTTCTATATTTTAACCTAATTTTAAATTCCAACTTTTTGTATATCTTTTATAAAGACATATTAGTACAGTGGTATATGTATATACTTTATAAATGCATGTGCTAACATTGGGCATGCTTGTTCAGAATTTTAAGTGACAGCTGTGTACAACCAGAAAAGTTGAAACCATTGCTGAATACACTAGGTAAATTTCATAGACAAGTATGTGTGTTATTAGAAGGTTTTGGTAAGCAAGGACATATTTTAGTTCTTTAGTTTGCTAATGAGCTTACCTGAATTTCAGTTTAAAGAGTAAAACAGAATACATTTATTAACATTTTTTGTACCTATCAATAGCTTCTTGTTTTTCCCCAGCAGTGTCAGTGTATTCCAAGTAATGTCTTTTCTGTCCTTAAGCCCTTAACCGGTCCTTTGTGTAAAGCATGGACACTGCTTTATGGGCTTTCAGTTTGTGTGTTTGTTTGTTTTTAATAGCTTCAGGGGCCCTGTCAAAGTTAACCCGTGGATTGAAAGATGAATCGCTGGCTTATATCTATCATTGCCAAAATCATTATTTTTGTCCAATTGGCTTCGAAGCAACCCCTGTTAAAGCTAATAAAGCATTCAGGTAAGCATTGACGTGTTTTAGAAAGTGCATTTTAAGAAATATTAAAAAATAGATGGGTGCGGTAGCTCACGCCTGTAATCCTAGCACTTTGGGAGGCCGAGGTGGGCGGATCACGAGGTCAGAAGATCGAGACCATCCTGGCTAACACGGTGAAACCCCGTCTCTACTAAAAATACAAAAAAAAAAAAAAAAAAAAAATTAGCCGGGCGTGGTGGCAGGCGCCTGTAGTCCCAGCTACTCGGGAGGCTGAGGGAGGAGAATGGCGTGAACCCGGGAGGCAGAACTTGCAAAAAAAAAATTAAAAAAATTAAAAAATATTCAAAGTCTGTGATATTGGGAGGCTTGGCCATCTGCTTTCCTGACATCAAGTTAGACTATTCTTTAAACATTATGACTTATTCTTCTGCAGAATTGCATTTAGTTAATTGTGCTGTTGAAAATATCCATTTAGATACTGTTGTTCAGTCATTATAGGAAAAAGTCATTTGAAAAGTCACTTGTTTTTCTCTTAGAGACAGGGTCTCACTCTGTCATCCAGGCTGGAGTGCAATGGTGTAATTATAGGTCACTGCTGCCTCAAACTCCTGGCCTCAAGCAATCCTTCTACCTCAGCCTCCTGAGTGGCTAGAACTACAGGCATGCACCACCATGCCCAGCTCATAAAATTTTTTAATTTGTGTTTTCTATAGAGACGGGGTCTTGCTATGTTGTGCAGGCTGGTCTCAAACTCCTGGCCTCAAGTGGTCCTTATTCCTGGGCCTCCCAAAGTGCTGGGATTACAGGTGTGAGCCACCACACCCTTCCTGAAAAGTAATTTTTACATTTATTATAAAACAGTTGCAAAGGATTTTATAGACTATGTCACAGTGCCTCATCCAACGTCCCACATGAACAATATATTACAGAATCTAGTGTCAAGAAGATTGTCACAACTGAGTAAATTAAAAAGCATCTTCTTTTCTTAAAGTGAAGAATATGGAATTTGTCTGGGTTCCCCCTTTGTCCTGATTGCAAGGAAGCTCTGAGCCAATTTTTATTTCCAATGTCAGAAACTACATGACTTTCATGGTTATATTTCTTTTTTGCCTAATCTAGAGTTTCTGTTTTATTAACTATATAACTTTACTGGTAAACTTGCATCTTTGTGGAAGAGATGATCCCTAAGAAAGAGAAGGTGACTAAGTTTTAATGGTTTTTTTCCTGTTTAGCCACTTTTCCTTATGATGGGTTGAGATAATACCAGGATGGTTGAAAGCCAAGGGAGAAGTATCTAGTTAAGAATTGGTGGGTGGGGTGCAGTGGTGTAATCCCAGCATTTTGGGAGGCTGAGGCAGGCAGATTGCTTGCACCCAGGAGTTCAAGACCAGCCTGGGCAACATAGTGAGACCCTGTCTCTTAAAAAAATACAAAAGTTAGCTGAGTGTGTTGGTATGCACCTGTAGTCCCAGCTACTTGGGAGGCTGAGACGGGAGGATCGCCTGAGCTGAGAACATGCCACTGCACTCCAGCCTGGGCAACAGAGCGAGATCCTTTCTGTAAAAAAAGAAAGAAAGAAAGAAAGAATTGGTGAAAACACAAGCCATGAGTACTTTGAGCAAAGGGATTGGCTTGGTCATGGGGATAGGATGGGTTTTTTTTTTTTTTTTTTGAGACAAGGCCTTGCTGTGTTGCCCAGACTGGAGTGCAGTGGTGAGATCATAGCTCACTGCAGCCTCGACCTCCTGGGCTTAAGTGATCCTCCCACCTCAGCCTCCTGAGTAGCTGGAACTACAGGTACACACCACCATACTTGGCTAATTTTGAGATGGGGTTTCAGGGTTTCACCATGTTACCCAGGCTGGTCTTGAACTCCTGGGCTCCAGTGATCTGACCATGTCAGTCTCCCAAAGTGCTTGGATTATAGACGTGAGCCACCACACCCAGCCAGGATGGGTTATTTGGGGCTGGAGGCCATGTGGCTTTGGAGTCCCACTCAAAGGCCCCTCGGGTTTGGGGAAGAGAGGGATTCTGAGACAGGTTGGAATGACCTGGGAGAACCAGGAAGCTGGAAGTTGTGTTTTGTGAATAAGGAGCAAGAGGGAACTCTCTTGTTCTCTCCCAATGCTGAAATGCTTTATTCATCTTTCTGGAGGTGGAATTTCTTGTAAGTGAGGTATACTGTATGTTTCTTTTATGATTTCATCCTGCAGCTTCACCTTATTTCTGACATTTATCAAATATAAATCATGGTTTTAAACCAACTTTGTACCCTTTAAAAGAGAGTCCCTCACTTCTGCCTGTACCTAAGAATCATGTGAGATTTTCTTAAAAAACTATATAAATCCCCAGGCTCTACTCCAGACCTATTTGAATTAGAATGTCCAGGGATGGGTTTAGGACATCAGTGTGTTTAAAGACTTCATTGCTTTAGGGTTTCATTTTTAGGATGCGTTTTGAGATGTCTTGAATTCATAGTGAAAGGAGAAGAGTAGTGGAAAAATGCAGATAGCATTCCAGGATTTTTTTTTCCTCCTAGAATTTTAGAGGTGGTATATTAAAACATTTTATAGCCCTAGATTTTGAATAGAGGATTAAGGCTGAAATTTTAATTTGTGAGTTCTCTTTAATGGCCTGTAGAAATTTGCCCTCACCTAAGCTCTAATGTCTGTTCTTGATGAATGAATGCCAGGTTTGAATACACTCTAGTATGCCTTTTATTAATATATATTTGAAGCAATATACTCAAGGGAGTAACTATTAAACGTACTGTGAATGTATTTTATATTTAGCAGGGGACCTCTCTCACCACAGGAAGTTGAATATTGGATCTTAATTGGAGAATCAAGTAGAAAACATCCTGCCATTCACTGTAAAAAGTATGTTAACTTCCCTTTATTTTCTTTAATTGAGGTAACATTTAGATACAGTGAAATGCACAGATCTTAGTTGTATATAATTAGTTTGATAAATGAATGCACCTGTATAATCACCACCCAAACAGGATATGGTACACATTCATTGCCATGGAAAATACTCTCACTCTCTACTCCTATCAATCTCCATAGAAAGCCCCTCTTCTGATTTCTGTCACTACAGATTTGCTTTGCCTCTTCTTGAATTCCATGTAAAGAGAATCAGACAATATTATTTTTGCATCAATATCTTAAGTAACATTTTTGAGATTCCTCCATTGTGTCATGTGTATCAAGAGTTTATTATTTTTTTATTGCTGAGTAGTATTCTGTTGCATAAGCATGCTGCAATTTGTTTTCCATTTTCCTGTTGATGGGCATTTGGATTGCTTTGAGGTTTGGTCTCTTGTCAATGAAGCTCTTGGGAACATTCATGTACAAGCCTTGAAACAAATTATATAAAAATTTTATTAAAATATAATTCACATACCATAAAGTTCACTGCACCCACCATGCGCGGTGGCTCATGCCTGTAATCCCAGCACTTTGGGAGGCTGAGGTGGGAGGATCGCTTGAGCCCAGGAGTTCAAGGCCAACCTGGGCAACATAGTGAGACCCTGTCTCTACAAAAAAATTAAAAAATGAGGCAAGAGGATTGCTTGAGCCTAGGAGATTGAGGCTGTAATAAGCTGTGATCGTATCGCTGCACTCTCATCTGGGTGACAGAACGAGATCCTGCCTCAAAAAAAGGGAAAAAAGTGTACAATTCCATAGATTTTATTATAGTTACAGGGTTCTGCACCAATCACCACTATATAATTGCAGAACATTTTCATCACTCCAGAAAGAAACCCCATACCCCTTGGCAGTCACTCCGTATTCCCTGAGCCCTGGCAACCACTGATCTACCTTCTGTCTCTAGGGATTTGCCTATTCTTGTTTGTTTGTTTGTTTGGTTTTTTTAAGACAGAGTCTCTTTCTGTCACTTAGGTGGGAGTGCAGTGGTGTGATGTCAGCTCACTGAACCTTCATCTCCCAGGTTCAAGAGATTCTCCTGCCGTAGCCTCCTGAGTAGTTGGGCTTACAGGCGCCCACTATCACGCCCAGCTAATTTTTGTGTTTTTCGTAGAGACGGGGTTTCGCCATGTTGGCCAGGCTGGTCTCAAACTACTGATATCAAGTGATCCACCCTCCTCAGCCTCCCAAAGTGTTGGGATTACAGGCGTGAGCCACCACGCCTGGCTGGGATTTGCCTGTTCTTGACATTTCGTATAAATGGTGTCATACAGTATGTAGCATTTTGTACCTGGCTTCTTTCACTTAATACAGTGTTTTCAATGTCATCCATGTTTTAGCATGGATTAGAACTTCATTCCTTTATATGGCCAAATCATTTCCTTTGTATGGAGAAGTCACTTTTGTTGTACAAGTCTTTTAGAGGACATATGTTTTGTTCTCCTGGAAGACACCTAGGACTAGAATTGCTGATTCATAGTATAGATGTATATTTAAGAAACTGTGAGAAAATTCTCCAAAGTGGTTGTAAACCTTCTGATGAACAGAAGTTCTGATTCTAATTAATCTTAATTAAATTTATTTTATCAATTTTCTTCTTTTATATGTTTTGTGCCTCTATAAGAAATTTTTGCCTACCCCACGACCTCAAAGATGCTTTCCTGTTTTTTTCTAGAAGCTTTATAGATTTTATGTTTAGATTTCTGATCCCTTTCTATTATTGTTTTGAGACAGGGTCTCTCTCTATCACCCAGGCCAGAGAACAGCGGTGTGATCATGGCTCACTAAAGCCTCGACCTCCTGGGTTCAAGTGATCCTCCCATCTCAGTCTCCTGAGTAGCTGAGACCACAGATGTGTGCCCCCATGCCCTACTAATTTTAAAACTTTTTTGTAGAGACAGAGTCTTGCTGTGTTGTCCAGGCTGGTTTCAAACTCCTGGACTCAAGTGATCTTACTTCCTTGGCCTCCCAAAGGGCCGGGATTACAGATGTGAGCCACCATGCCTGGCCTTAATTACCTTTTGTGTGTGGTATGTGGTAGAGCTCAACTTTGATTTTTTCCCCCAGTGTTTATCTAGTTATTCTAGCACTATTTGTTTACAAAGATTTTCCTTTCCGTATTTAACTTCTTTGGTGCCTCTGCTGAAAACTGTATGTGTGGGCTGTTTCTGGACCCTGTCCTACTAATCTGTCTGTCCTTTTACCGATGCCACACTCTCAATTGTTGTTTATACTAAATCCTGAAATTAGATAGCACGAATTCTCTGAATTTTTCTTTTTCTTAAAGATTGTTTTGGCTCTTCTAGGACCTTGGCTTTTCCATAAAAATTTTAGAATTTGTCCTTTTAATTAGAGTTTGTAAAGATTTTGATGAGGATAGAATCTATAGAATTCATAATTTTGGCTGGGCGCGGTGGCTCATGCTTGTAATCCCAGCGCTTAGGTGGGAGGATCACTTCAGCTCAGGAGTTCGAGACCAGCCTTGGCACTATGGCGAAACCCCATCTCTACTAAAACGACAAAAATTAGCCAGGCATGGTGGCATGTGCGTGTAGTTTCAGCTACTCGGGAGGCTGAGGGGGGAGGATCAACTGAGCCTGGGAGGTCGAGGCTGCAGTGAGCTGAGATTGCACCACTGCACTCCTCCCTAAGTGATAAGGTGAGACCCTGTCTCATAAAGAAAGAAAGAATTCATAGTTTAGTTTTGGAAGAATTGACATCATAACAACATGGACTATATCTTTACTTAATTAGAGCTTTAATTTCAACTTTTTAAAAAAATTTTTTCAGTATGGAGTTTTATGTCTTTTATTAAACATTTTTTCTCTATGTGTTCTATTACACTGCTGGTGGGAATGTAAATTAGTACAATCACTATGACAAACAGTATGGAGATTCCTTAAAGAACTAAAAGTAGATCTACCATTTGATCCAGCAATCCCACTACTGAGTATCTGCCCAAAGGAAAATAAGTCATATGAAAAACACACAGGCACACACGTTTATAGTGGTACAATTCGCAGTTGCAAAGATGGAGAATCAACCTAAGTGCCCATCAACCAATGAGTGGATAAAGAAAATGTGGTATGTATATTACCACGGAATACTACTCAGCCATAAAAAGGAATGAAATGATGTCTTTTGCAACAACTTGGGTGGAGCCGGAGGCCGTTATTCTAAGTGAAGTAACTCAGGAATGGAAAGCCAAATATCATATGTTTTCACTTTAAGTGGGAGCTAAGCTATGCGGATGCAAAGGCATAAGAATGATATAATGGACTTTGGGGACTCCTGAGGGCAGTCTGGGAGGCGGGTGAGAGATAAAAGACTACATATTGGATTCAGTGTACACTGCTTGGATGATGGGTGCACTAAAATCTCAGAAATCACCACCGAAGAACTTATTGGTATAACCAAAACCCAGCTGTACCCCAAAAACAATTGAAGTAAAACTTAAAAAAGATATTGCAATAAAAAGGTTTTCCTCAGTGTGTTATACTTTTTGATGCTATTGTAAATTGATTTTTTTAAAATTTCATTTCTTCATTATTTGCTGGTTGAATACAAAAATACAATTGATTTTCCTATGTAGACCTTGAATCTTCCATCTTTACCAAATCCTTTTAGTTCTAGTAGTTGTTTTGTAATTCCCTTGGATTTTCTGCACAATTGTGTTGTCTCCTAATAGAGACATATTAACTTTACATTCTTTTAAAAGTGGACTTGACTGTAATTGAAAAGGAAATATAGCATATTGCTGCTTTAGCATGCAGGATGTCATCTAACATGTTGGTATTTATTTATTCTGTAGGAAGAGTAACCAATTGTACACTGAAAACCTTGGCAACGGTTGGATAAACAGAATTGTCATAAAACTAGAAGTTATTACAGTTTAGTAGATGAAACAATGTTGAGATAAGAGAATTACTGCCAATTATTGCTGTGATAATATTGCAGCAACTTGCTCATGAAAAATTCCATTGCAATGATACTTTAGACCTAAAGAAAATTGTGCTTTATCCTTTCTTCTTAACTATAGATGGGCAGATATTGTTACTGATCTAAACACTCAAAATCCAGAATACCTGGATATCCGGCACTTAGAGAGGGGACTGCAGTATAGAAAAACAAAGAAGGTAAGAAGAACACCATTGTGTTTGAAGGCATTTCCCAGCTGACCAAAATGTGGTGTTTTACTTAGCACTCTTTAGGTTGCAAGTAACAGAAACCTATATTTGATAGAGGAGTGAAAATTATTTTAAGGACACACGGCTGTCTTTAAAACCCAAGGGCAAGGGGTATAACCTGGAGTCATAAAGGAATGGTAGATGGTAGCAGGTATTGGAATGACAGCAAGGGCCAAGTAGCTGGTAGTCTGCTTCACTCTTTTGGGGGCTATATATTGTTCTTAGCTTTCCTTTTGTCTGATTACTTTCTTCGTAAGATCATCATCTTTCCATTTATGTGTCGTTTTTAGATGAACAGTCTAGACTGAGACTGACCTGTCTTGGGTTCAGTTCCGTAGTCTTAGCCCAGCTTGGGCCAGATTAACTGTGGCCTTGTGGCAGAGTCATGTGTACAAACAAGGCTTTGGGAGAGGCTCTCAGGAAATGATATCTTATTGATGCAATCTTACTCATATAACTATATGAAGAATAGGAGAGAGAGGAAAAGGAATGATCTTGGTGTTTGAATTAGGCAGATGGGGAAGTTCTCTAGTATGTGTTGGGAGTGAGTAGTAGAGAGGCATGGGGAGGAAGGTGTTTTGGCTCCGGTGGGCATTGTTATATTTTGTAAAGGCAGCTGTTAGAAAAGGTGCAGGATGAGGTGCTCTGATGATGCCTGGAAGGAAAGTACCATTCTGAGGCCGGTGAAGTAAAAAAAGAAAGAAGGGAGTTCATAGGGACCTACAAATTAGTACAATTAATTTCCCTTTATTTTCTTCAGCCAACATTTTTTTCTTCTCAGGTTGGGGGAAATTTGCATTGCATCATAGCATTCCAGAGACTTAACTGGCAAAGATTTGGCCTTTGGAACTTTCCATTTGGAACCATTAGACAAGAATCACAACCTCCAACACATGCCCAGGGAATTGCCAAATCTGAGAGTGAAGACAATATTTCCAAGAAGCAGCATGGGCGTCTGGGCCGGTCTTTCAGTGCTAGTTTCCATCAGGACTCGGCATGGAAAAAGATGTCTAGTATCCATGAGAGAAGGAACAGTGGTTACCAGGGTTACAGTGATTACGATGGGAATGATTGACTATGCTTGCTACTGAACAGCTGGCATTATATATGAAACTGCTATATACAGGACTGTATAAAGACAGTAGAAGATTTTAGTAAGCCTACATTAAATAGGAGCAGATCTTGTGGTATAAAAAATAACCTTGTAGTTCTCCAGATACTAAGCTTGTATATGATTATGGTGGGTGATTTCAGATATATAAGCAGATAAGCACAGATTATTGTCCTTTCAAGTTAAGAGTATATAATCTGGACAGAAAATTTCACAAAATTCAATAAAATTACAACTGTTGTCTAAATAAGTGAAACACAAATTCACTTAATAGCATCAAGATTTGAAATACTTAAGCATGAAGTGACTTTTATAATGACTCGATCCCTAGACATTTGTTACAGATAGTTTTATGCCTAAGACCAAGATGTAAAGTACCATCTGCCCTTAAAAAAAATTGGGGCTGTCAATTTCTAGTTTTCACTCATGGTTAACACGCATTTAAAATTATTTCATGAGTCTAGTAGTTCTTTGATTTATAGCAGGATCTTGCTTGCCTCATTTGTTTCCTGGTTATGTTCTTAGGATTCTGACTAAGAGGCAAAAGAGAAAAGACTCAAGAAACTGATCCTGGAGATCGAGACCATCCTGGCTAACATGGTGAAACCCCGTCTCTACTAAACATACAAAAAATTAGCCGGGTGTAGTGGTGGGCACCTGTAGTCCTAGCTACTCGAGAGGCTGAGGCAGGAGAATGGCGTGAACCCGGGAGGTGGAGCTTGCAGTGAGCGGAGATCGCGCCACTGCACTCCAGCCTGGGCGACAGGGCAAGACTCTGTCTCAAAAAAAAAAAAAAAAAAAAAGACGGATCCTTTTTTTTGGTGCAAATGGGTGACTTAGTGCATTGATTCAGATTTTTAAAATTTCTTGATGTGGTTTGTAATAATCAAATATTGACAAGAACCTTAGGTCTCGAAAGACTTTTATAAGTCTAGATGACGTTTGCCTTAGGGGTAAAGTAAAAGAACAATTGGCACCTTAAGTTTCTATACCCAAGGTTATCTGTGAAATGAGATCTCCTGATATTTGATTGCTTTCTCAGTATGGAGTCATATGTTGATAACAGTACTGAAGATGCATAAGAAATGCCCAAGTCACTCAGAGGACAACTACCCATATTCCAGACTCTGAGCTGTTTCCTTTTTAAAAATCATATAGACAATTAGCTGTTTGAAGTGAGTATTAAATATTTCAGAAGTGTGAATTTCATGTATTTGAGCTCCTCTAGTTGCTGTTGGTTTTTCTTCTGCTGCCAACCTGTGACTCACAAATGACTAGGATCTCTTGTTCTTTAATTTTAGGGTCTTGTTCCAGGACTCAAATCAGTAACTTGGTGATTACAAGGTGCTGAATGTGTTGGTAACCATATCGCAATACACCTCAAGGAAAAGGTTCAGATTTTTATTTTTAAAATATTTTCATTTTTTTCTTGAATTTTATATCCGTTTGTTCACTCGTACATGCCTAGC
Source organism: Homo sapiens (assembly GCF_000001405.40). Lineage (NCBI taxonomy): Eukaryota > Metazoa > Chordata > Mammalia > Primates > Hominidae > Homo > Homo sapiens. The sequence goes on from NC_000013.11 coordinate 102,841,371, forward strand.
CTACAGAAGGGGATATATATTATGAAATGGTCATTTTTCTGAAGAGAATATTTTGCTTGAAATGCAAAGGACTGAAAGAGATTTGTAGGTTGTTGATTTTGTTACTTCATACTGGAACTTTTAAAAAGATTTCATCAAATAAAGTTTTGTTTTCTACTTTTAATTATATGAATGTTTTTAAACCTTTGTTTTAGGTAGAAGGTACCATTGTGTCTTTGAAGTACATGATAATTTGTCAATTCTGCTCAACTGGTACATTGTAAGAAACCATCTTGAGCCTTTTATAATTAATGAAACAATATGCATTATGATGACTGTAATTTTAGATTTCTAATTTAATAGGAAATAGAAAATTTGATTCTTTTATTAGCTTGAACCAAATGAAGTTGTCATCTTTGTAGGTCAAAAATGGTTGAATATTAGCAATTTCATACAGTTCAACTGAATATTTCAGAGAAGACGTAGGTAGGAAGAACCAAGAGGAAAGGAGAAAAATGCAAAATAAAATAAGAAATTAAAGGATAGGGAGACACCTAGAAAAACAGGATGAGTTATTCAGACTATTGACCATAATCAATTTTTATAAAAGTCTTGATCTGTTCTAAGTTTGGCTTCCAAGTTTGGCTTTCCAGTTATTAAGAGCACAATGAGGTTTGAGTTTAGTGAGATTATCTTTCCCGCAGAAGCTGTAAGCAAGAGTTACTGCATACTTCTCTTAGAAGATTAGTAAAATTCCCTTGATATTTGATTTCTTGGTCAGCTCTTAGGAATCCTATAGATACAGTGAAAGTTCAAATACTGGCTCTGCACTTACAAGCTATATCACCTATAGTGATATAGGCAAGTTAAGGTTAATTTTTTTTCTGTGCCTATTTCCTCATTAGTAAAGTGGGGGTAATAGTATCTACTTTATAAATGAATTTGAAGAATAAGCTAATACATGTAGTGTTTAGAACAGTGCTTTGTAGATAGGAAGTGCTATTTAAGAGCTTGCTATTATTCCAAAAGATGTGAATTTTACTATTCAGAGTCTTTAGAGAGAGCCCTTTAGATAGCATCTTAAGGAGCTAATTCCTTTTAAATCACATATGCACCCCTTAGTTGCTGTTTCTTCAAAAGAATATTTCATATTCAAGAATGTTGCTTTATTTTTTTGAGACAGAGTCTCGCTCTATTGCCAAGGCTGGAGTGCAGTGGTGCTCTCTGCAACCTCCGCCTCCCGGGTTCAAGTGGTTCTCCTGCTTCAGCCTCCCGAGTAGCTGGGATTACAGGCATGCACCACCATGCCCGGCTAATTTTTGTATTTTTAGTAGAGACTGGGTTTCACCATGTTGGCCAGGGTGGTCTCGAGCTCCCGGCCTCAAGTGATCTGCCTGCCTCGGCCTCCCAAAGTGCTGGGATTACAGGCGTGAGCCACCATGCCCAGCCTTTGCTTTGGTTTTAAAAGTACTTACAATACTCAAATGCCTATGTTGGCTATTTATTTTTACCCAGCTCACAGGCAGAAAAAAAAAAGTTTATTTAGATCAAATTCTGCAGCAATTCCTTTCCCTACTGCTATTACTGTTAAAGAACTGTGTGCCATCATTAGGCCAAGTTGGTGCAGCACCCAAAATACTTGCCAACTTGTCTTCTCCCAGACTGGAGGGGCTCAGGCAGCTCTTCTAGGATCCATCACATTCTGCATCTCAACTTTACCAATAACACTCCCACCCCTCCTGTACCAGCGATTCACTCAACAAACTAAATTATACACCATTACCAGGTCAGTTCTTAAATAGCTCAGCAGCAACAAGAACAACAAGATGTTGGTCGCATTCTAATTTTACTGGCAGAAACTGAGGGTTTCATTGGTGAAGAAACCTGCCTAGGATCACAGTGTCTTAGTTTCTCAGGGCTACCATAACAAAACACCACAGACAGGGTGGCGTAAACAACAGAAATTTGTTTTCTCATGGTTCTGGAAACTAGAAGTCCAGGAGCAGGCAGGTTTGGTTTCTTCTGAGGCCTGTCTCCTTCACCTGCAGAGGGCCGCCTTCTCACTGTGTCCTCACAAGGCCTTTCCTCTGTGCCTATCATCCCTGGAGTCTCTCCCTGTGGCCCAATTTCCTCTTTCTACAAAGACACCAGTCAAATTGGATTTAGGGCCTATCCTAATGGCCTCGTTTCAATTTAATCATTTTTAAACGCTGTGTCTTCAGATAGTCACATTCTGAGGTACTCAGGCTTCCACAGATGAATTTTGGAGGACACAATTCAGACCATAACACAAGGCAACATATGGTTCAGATGAGATCTGAATGAATGATCAGCCTAACCTCCAAGCAGATTCTTTCAGCAGACTGCAAGGTGCACTGGAGAGCTTTAGACTAGAGGCTTAAGAGGTCATTTAGGCAATATTTACAGAACTGCTAAGTGCCAGGATTGGGGGATGTAGCAGTCACGAAAATCGTTCTTCGTTTCAGTAAGTTTACAGTTTACCATGGGGAAGAGACAAATACTGAACAGGCAGTTATATTACTCTCAGTAAAATAACAACTGGGAACAGTTTCTGGGGATTACTTTACATATGGAGGAAATGCAAAAAACACTTTGTCAGGATTATTCCTGTAGCAAATTAGATGTGACTAGGTCAACCAAACATGGCCACTGTGAACCATCTTATTGAGCATAGAAGTGGTTTTGCTAAAAATGGATTTCTCCACGGAGCACGGTGGCTCATGTCTGTAACTCCAGCACTTTGGGAGACTGAGGCAGGAGGATTGTTTGAGACCAGTTTGGGCAACAAAGCAAGACCCTGTCTCAAAAAAAAAAAAATCAGGGCGTGGTGGTGGGGGCCTGTAATCTCAACTACTCGGGAGGCTGAGGCAAGAGCATCACTTGAGCCTGAGAGGTGGAAGTTGCAGTAAGCTGAGACTGCACTACTGCACTCTAGCCTGGGCGACAGAGTGAGACCCTGTCAAAAAAATAAAAAATAAAAAAATAAAAAAAATCAATTTCCCGTATACTTCTGTTATAAAGAAGTCTTTAAAAAATTGCCTGCTCCCTTAAGTCAGCCTTTTCACTGAGTTTAAATTTCGTTCCAATTTGAACAAATATGGATGCTAATACTATCCTTTATAGTTACTAGTGCTAAGTGCGTTGCATGTAACACCTTGAATACTTACTGAAGTCTGCAAGGTTGGTTTTATGCCCTGATTACTGATGGAGACACAAATTCTGAACAACTGTGACTTCAGGGATGCTAAACACCATAGTGAGGCACGATGCGGGGATTTGAATCTTGGCCTGAGGGTTCCAGAGCTGTGGCCTTTTCTGGGGTTACTCTGTTAATTGATTTCTAGTCCTTTCTGATCTACAAGCCGCGGCATTATAACTTTTAGATGCTGAAGAAAACTAAACTATATGTCAAGGATTAAGGCTTGTGAACCCCCAAAATTTGGGACAGGTCTCAGTTAATTTAGAAAGTTTATTTTGCCAACGTTAAGGACGCGCAGCTGTGACACAGCCCCAGGAAGTCCAGATGACATGTGCCCAAGGTGGTTGGGGCACAGATTGGTTTTATACATTTTAGGGAGACAGGAGACATCAATCAACATATGTAAGTACACTGGTTCCTTCCAGAAAGGTGGGGACAACTCGGAAGCAGGAAGGGCTTCTAGGTCACAGGTAGATGAGAGACAAAAGGCTGCATACGAGTTTCTGATAAGCCTTTCCAAAGGAGACAATCAGAATATGCATCTATCTCAGTGAGCAGAAGGATGACTGACTAGAATGGGAGGCAGGTTTTGCCCTGAGCAGTTCCCAGCTTGACTTTTCCCTTTTGCTTAGTAATTTTGGGACCCTAACATTTTCACAGGCTTTAAATTTTATTATTCTTTAGTTACTACGTGCTAGCATATAAATAAATAGTACAAAACCAAGAAGGCATCCACCTTTTGGTTGTCTCTTCACGTGTAAAACAACACTTTGTGTTAAGTATCTTCACACACGGCGGCGCAAAGGTAGAAACCGATACTAAAAAAGCGTGTAGAAAATAGTTCCCAGCCTGGGCAACACAGGGAGACCTCATTTCTACAAAAATAATTCGCCAAGCATAGTGGTGCGCACCTGCGGTCCCAGCTACTTGAGAGGCTGAGATGGGAAAGTTGCTTGAGCTCGGGCAGCAGGAGTTCCAGGCTGCAGTGAGCTAAGAATGCGCCACTGGACTCCAGTATGGGCGACAGCGTGAGACCCTGTCTCAAACAAAAACAAAAGCCCGTTACTCCACCAAGAAGGCGCTTTTGCACATTGTTTTAATGCTTAACGCCTTCAGGATGCCAGCGTGACGGAAGCAAGTAACCACCAAGGCATCACCACTGGCGCTAAACTTCTCACTTCCGGAGTGCTGCAAGCGCAGAAAATATACGTCATGTGCGGAGGCGGAGCTTCCGCCCTGCGCGTCGTATTAGACGGAAACCGAGCGGGCCCATTTTTCATGGGTTTGCGGACCCACCAGCGAAGGCGGGAGGTGTCGCAGGGACATCTTCTGGCTGTTTCCGTCGCCTGCGTGGCCCTTGCACCCCGGTCTTCCATTAGCGGCGCAGACGTTTGGGCCTAAGCGCTGGGCGAGGCGAGGCCCTGCCCCTCCCCGCCAACGGCCATTCTCTGGACCTGTCTTTCTTCCGGGAGGCGGTGACAGCTGCTGAGACGTGTTGCAGCCAGAGTCTCTCCGCTTTAATGCGCTCCCATTAGTGCCGTCCCCCACTGGAAAACCGTGGCTTCTGTATTATTTGCCATCTTTGTTGTGTAGGAGCAGGGAGGGCTTCCTCCCGGGGTCCTAGGCGGCGGTGCAGTCCGTCGTAGAAGAATTAGAGTAGAAGTTGTCGGGGTCCGCTCTTAGGACGCAGCCGCCTCATGGGGGTCCAGGGGCTCTGGAAGCTGCTGGAGTGCTCCGGGCGGCAGGTCAGCCCCGAAGCGCTGGAAGGGAAGATCCTGGCTGTTGGTATCCTTAACGCCGCGTTGGGACTTGGGGTGCAGGGATTCGGGGCTGGATTCCTCGCGGGGCTCTGCCTTGGGCACAGTGGCATCTGCAGGATGATGGTCTTGGGTCGGGGTCGGGGTCGCTATAGAATCTCTGTCACTAGGTTTTCTAAGTACAGTCGTCCCTCGGTATCCCCGGGGCTTTGGTTCCAGCCCCTCCTCCGTATACCACGATGTTCAAGTTCCTTCAACTCCCTTATATAATGGCGTGGTATTTGCATATAAACTACCCACTTCCGTAATCTTTTAAATCGTTTCTAGCTTACTTGTAATGCCGAATGCAATGTAAGTGATCTGTAAATAGTTGTTATACTGTATTTTAAAATTTTTTGTAGTTTTTATTGGTATGTTTTATTTATTTATTTTTTTCCATCGCAAATATTTTTGATCCGTGGTAGGTTGATTGCGGAATCGGGTGATGAGGCGGGCCGCCCTGTCTGCTTTCCCCAGCTTTGCAGTCTTAGCGGCCTGTGCATCCTGGTTTGTCACTTTGTGGCAGTGCTTTATGTTCCTCTCTGCCTTAGTTCTCTCATCTGCAAAGTAGAGGTGGTGATAGTATCTACACACAGGATTGGAATGAGGAATAAAGAAATTGCCTACATGAGAGAAGTTTAGTGCGATTAATACAGTAAATCTTAAAGTTATTATCCTGTCCGGGAGGTCAGTAAGGAGAGCAGAGTAGACTTCGACGATTAGTTTTGCTTGAGTCTTGCCCCATTTATGTTTCTTAGAGGAAGGATAGTGTGGACAGGTGTTTTACCCATTTTTTAAATTGACTTTTTAAGGACTATTGTTTCTGTACATGTTTGGCTGGTTTTGTTTGTCATTGGAATTAAATTCTTTTTTCATTAGCAAAACGTGATACTGCTTTTGAAATTTTTATCTTTTTCTTTGTTATGTAGTCATTTTTTTTTTTTTTTTGAGTATCTATTCTGGCTCAGAATCTGGTGATACCTTACACCAATTTCCTAAATGGGGATCTATGAGTCTAGGGGCTCGTGGGCTTGTGGAAAGAGTCCTGTAAATGATTGCGGGGGGATTGGGGACGGGAAATGGAGTGCAAGAGTGTGTGGGCGTTCAGCAAAGGAATCCCTGACTGTGGAGCCCTAATTCTTCAGTAGGTACAAAACTTATAAATAAAACGACATTGATAAGTTTTAAAACATAATGAGATTATCATTTTTTGCAAGTGAATAATCTTTAAATAAATCTGTAATTGATTTTTGGCTTAAAAGTTTTTATACAGGGTACTTTGAATTGGGGAAAGCCAAAGGATTTTTGTTTTGTTTTGTTTTGTTTTTTGTTTTTTAGAGCACATGCGCTGTTGCTGCCCTCAAGCTGTTGCTTAGTATCATTGCAGTCTAAAGATTTTCTCAGAAATAAAGGGTAAAGGTTAGTTTTCAGTGACAAGAACCCTTAAAACTTCAGCAAAGATTTAGATCATTTTATGTAGCAGCCCTTGTGAAGAATTACTAAAGAGGACTGTGGCCAGGCTCAGTGGCTTACGCCTGTCATCCCAGCACTTTGGGAGGTCAAGGCAGGAGGATCATTTGAGCCCAGGAGTTCAAGACCAGCCTGGGCAACATAGTGAACCCCTGTCTACACACAGTCAAAAAATTAGCTGGACGTGGTGGCCTGCACCTTTGGTCCCAGCTACACGGAAGGCTGAGGCAGGAAGATTGCTTGGGCCCAGGCGGTCAAGGCTGCAATGAGCCGTGTTCATGTCTGTCTCTGAATAAATAAATAAAAAGGACTGTGAAAGACATTCTAGTCATGACAACCTCATATATTTATAATAAACTCGTTTATGTCAAAGGAGTATATCTGATTACTTGTTCTACAATCGGTTTTGCTTTATTTCATTTTCACGGGAATTCAGACACCTGAAATTATTTAGATTTTATTGTATTGTTTGTTAATGACAAACTTACCCGTTATTATACTAGTTTCATAATTTACTCTTGTATCTCTATACTAAATTGTTTGGTCTTTAAACCATCTATATAGCTTAGTGTCTTATTTATACAGTCTAAATGTCTGTGTCAAATAATGCAGAAGTAAGTTAAACTTTTGTCTCTTATAGATTTTAATGTTTGTAATATGCGTTTAAGTGTATTAGCAAGATATTACCATCTCTTTAGGCTATGTATACTAATGGAGATTTTTAAGTCACCTAACTAAAGAACTAAAGAAACTTATTTTTTGTATTGAAATGTTATTGGTCTTTGGGTCTTATACCGAAAGTGATTTTTGGCTTTGCTGCAGATTTTAACTTTTCTGTCCGCAGAAATTTAATTTTGCGTATATAAACTTACTGAAATTAGACAAGTCAAATTATACAAATATTTTCAGATTGTCTCATTTTTCATATTTCTTGTCTAACAATTTATGTGAATATTTTCAGGTCGTCTAATTTTACATATTTCATCTCTAAGAATTCAAGCCAAAATTCTCAACCCTAGCTGAGAATTGGCATTACCTGTAGTTAATTGAAAAATAAAAAATAAAAGAAGTCCTACCTCAGTCTCTATGATTTAGAATTTTAGGCCCATGGGGTTTAATAATCCGTATGTTTCAGAAGCTTCATATCCTATTCTAATGGATAGCAGGGATGAGAGCCACTGATCTGAAACTAGATTTCCTCACTGAAGTTAAAGTTTAAAGTAGTGGGCCAAGTAGAAACTAATTTAATCCTATGTAATAGTGAGCTTCATGGCTTTTCCAGACTATACTTGTAGCAAGCAGAAACATCGATCTAATACAAGACAGATGCACATCAACACCAAGTTCTACCTCTGAGATGTATCTTTTATCCGATCTCTTCTCGTGGTCTCCACCACTACTGTCTGCGTTAACTTGGGCTATTGTAACTCATTTTAGAACTGGTTTCCTTATAATCTGTTCTTCACATGTTCATCAAAGTTATCCTTAAATCATGTTCTAGAAACTTCCCAGTGGCCGTATCACCTCCTGCCATTCCTTTTGTCCTGCTGCACTGGCTTCCTGGAGATAGGGACCGTCTCTGTTTTGTTCATGGCTGAATTGTTTGGTGTATATCCCTAGGGTCTTGGATATGCCTGGCCCATGGTATTGCTAAATATTATAGAAATAAGCATAGCAGTAGCTTGCTTTCCACTAGGTATTTTGTTACATAGTGTTTTGTAAATTAATTGTTGATGGACCTACATTTTTTTTTATGTTAGTAAAAGTTAGGCAGTGTACATTCATTTAAATACTAAACTGTTCAACTTATTTAATAGCAGATATTTATTGTGTATAAGAGTCCCTGTGAAAGGGAGTGCAGTGCACAAATTGCCCGGGCAAGCCATGGAGCACACAGGCTGGGTTTTTTCCCTGCTAGATTATAAACTCCATAGGGCCAATACTGTGTTTTGTTCAGTGCACTGGATATGCCAGTGCATAGAAAAAATGCTGCCACATAATAAAAACAGAAATAACGTGATAGGTGGCCCCTTCAATGTTCTTTTCCTATGTTAGAAATTTACCTGCAAATATTAGCATCAGTCCAGGTTTCTCTCTGTTTTTTTTTTCTTTTTGTTTTTTTTTGAGACAGAGTCTCCCTCTGTTACGCAGGCTCGAGTGCAGTGGCGTGATCTTGGCTCACTGCAACCTTCGCCTCCCAGGTTCAATCGATTCTCCTGCCTCAGCCTTATAGGCACACGCCACCATGCCTGGCTAATTTTTGTATTTTTAGTAGAGACAGGATTTCACCATTTTGGCCAGGATGGTCTCGATCTCCTGACCTCAGGTGGTCTGCCCGCCTTGGCCTCCCAAAGTGCTGGGATTACAAGTGTGAGCTACCGCACTCGGCCTCAATATATTTTTTAAATAGGAATGTATACAAGGAGGATGTCTTCATCTAGACTGAGGAGGGGACCCCTGGACTGAGACCTTAGAGTAGGAGAGAACTAGGCGGAGAGAGGGAGAAACTGTTTCAGGCAGAGGAAGCAGCATGTGAGAAGAACCTGGAGGCAGGAAGGAGCTTAGTGATTTCTGGGTTTGAGGAAAGCCCAGTAGCAGGAAGTGAGCAGAGGCCAGATCATTCAAGGCTTCCTAGACCAGGAGAAGAAGTTTTAGATAGTATCTTGAAGGCAGTGGGAAGCTTTGGAGGGTTTTCACCAAAGATACGTTGGTGAAATCTAGTATATACCTTCAAGATACATTAGAAGATAGAATTGATAGACCTGGTAATAGCTATAGGTGGTGATGCCCAGCATTCTGGCTCAGGTGAATGGCAGGGACATTCACTGAGATGGGGGCATGAGCAGCTGAGTGGAGAAGACATGGAGTTCAGTTTTGATCATGTTAAGTTTGAAATGTCTATGAGGTATGGGGTAGAGACGTCATCTGGGCTCTCTGTTCTGGGGTCAGGAGCGTGCTCTGGGCCAGACATATACATGGAGTCAGGGCGTGGTGTATGTGGAGGGGAGTGGAGGTTGATAGTTCAGACAGGAGGAAAGAAGAGGGCCTGAGAAAGATCACTGATGAAGTGAATACTTTAACAGTGTTACAGGAGCTGGCAAAGAGTCTGAGAGCAGGAAAACCAGCAGAGCGCGGTGTCACTCTTTCTTTTGGACAAATATAACATTTTTTGAGAAGCACTTTTTAGAAAAGTTTAAAAATATAAGAAAACTTCAAGATGAAAATATAAGTTATCTTTAGTCTCAGCAGACATAATATCTACTTTAATATTTTGGTATGTGAACTAGTTTTTTATATTTAACATATATACTGTATCAGAAAATGGAGTTATACTTTATATGGTTTTATAGCCTGTTTTACTATCTTTAATAATATTTAATGACTATCTTCCTTATCACACATGCTCCTGCAACTTCCATTTTTAAGGGCTTTTTGGTATTCCAGCAAATAGGTCTGCCATAATTAGTTTTTCTTTTTTGAGACGGAGTCTTGCTCTGTCACCAGGCTGGAGTGCAGTGGCGCGATCTCGGCTCACTGCAACCTCTGCCTCCTGGGTTCAAGCGATTCTCCTGCCTCAGCCTCCTGAGTAGCTGGGACTACAGGTGCGCACCACCATGCCCAGCCAATTTTTGTATTTTTAGTAGAGATGGGGTTTCACCATGTTGGCCAGGATGGTCTCGATCTCTTGATCTCGTGATCCACCTGCCTCGGCCTCCCAAAGTGCTGGGATTACAGGTGTGAGCCACCGCGCCCGGCCTATGATTAGTTTTTTAAAAAGACCTGCTGGAAAACTTTTAAGTTGATTTTTATATTTTCATTATTATAAACAAGCATTCTGTAAATAACTCTCATTATATATCCATGATGATTTTCTGAGGATCAATGTCTGGAAGTGGTAAAATAGACTGCAAAGTTTTAAAAAGTTTTTTTCACTATGAATTGTCAAATTGTCCTCCAGAAAATTTGTGCTAATTCATGAAAATTCTTTAGCAATCACTTATTTTTTTTTAAAGAAGCAATTCTTTGCAATGAGACTTCTTAAAAGGATATGTCTGTCTTTGTATGATTTTAAAATGCAGTATGTGAATAGGGGTAACAAGAGTTCAACTAAAAGTTAACTGACTTTAGGTAGATCCCATGAGAGCTAAATGTTTTTCAATTTTAAATGAATAGTGATAAGTATTTAGTGTTCAACGTTTGGATAATATCAGTTATTAGGAAATTGAAGTTGTGAGGATGAAGAGAAAAATCCCGGAGTTTTTTCCATTAACAATTCTCCCAGATATTAGCATTTGGTTAAACCAAGCACTTAAAGGAGTCCGGGATCGCCATGGGAACTCAATAGAAAATCCTCATCTTCTCACTTTGTTTCATCGGCTCTGCAAACTCTTATTTTTTCGAATTCGTCCTATTTTTGTGTTTGATGGGGATGCTCCACTATTGAAGAAACAGACTTTGGTAAGTGTCGTATAGTTTTTAGTAAGTGTCAAATAATTTTTTTCTTTCTGCATTCTTAGAAAAATTCACATAAAATTTTTGTTTTCTCTTTAGAATTTTAGAAACAGACTTATTTTGACACATACTTAATTACATCTACTTTTTTATCTTGAACAATTAATTTTTCTTTTAAAAAGTTTTATGAGAGTTCATCATGGGTACAATGATAAAATTTAACTTTTAAATAAAACTAACTACTAAAAACCTTGCTGTTGAGAGTTTTCCCTTCAGAGGATCTTGTTAGGTGTTTTATATTTATTTCAAGGATGCGGCCATCACTCAGAACACTGTGGAAACCCTCTTTTGGGAAGTGCCTCCCTGAATCTGAGATCAAGTATCCTCCGTGATAGCAAGCCTTCTTTTAAGGGGAATTGGATTTTAGGAGTAAGCAATGTTATGTGGTGCCAAGTGGTGACTAAAGTGGATTATCTAGGAAGGAAATTGACCATGATATAGAAGAGTCAGAATGAGTTGCTGCTTTATTGTTCTGGAAGTAGTTTTAAAAAATGTTTTTGGAAGGCCGGGGGCAGGAGGATTGCTTGAGCCCAAGTCCAGCCTGGGCAACACAGGGAGACCCCATCTCTAAAAAAATGACATAAAATAATGTTTAAACAGTCCAAATGACAGCACCCATTTGGATATATGACTTTTATTTGTTGAAAATACCAAAGTAATGAAATGATGACTTTGTAATCATACCAGATACTCTCTAAATGAGGATATAGGATAAAAGTAAGGATATAGGATAAAAATAAAAAGCATTTATAAATGCTGGGGGACCTTTGTTGCCTCAGTAAGAGTGTCTAGTCTTGAATGTTGCAGTTTTCAGTTACCCAAGGCATACTGTAAATCAGGTACTTTGTGGAAGGATTAGAAAGGAAAAGAGAATATCTTGGTTATTTTTATCCGATATTCAGCCATAAGCACAGGGACTATCCATTTGTCACTACTTGAACATTTCTTACAAGATATTTCTATACATTTTAGAATTTCTCATGATATATAATCTTGAATATTGAAGGGCAGAATTACATGTAAGTAATGCATGTTTATAAAAAGCAATATTAGAAATTGTTTTTGGTGTCACTGTGACATTTTATAGAATAAATAAATAATTTCTTTTGGGAAGCATTTAAGCTTTCCACTTCTTGGGCATATTAAAAGACATTTAAAAGAAACTGAAAGTAAATTAAGTTTCCCAAATATATTGTGTAGTAGCCCATTAAGTAATAGATGGAAACTCTGGGTGTCCTTTACGTAGCAGCAACCTGAAGATATACACTGATATGGCAATTAGGAGGAAATGCTAAAGCAGCCATAGTCTGAAAACTCAGACAAACCAAATTCTCTGGAAAATAAATCACAGCAATGTTTCTAGTGGTCTAATATCCTGAAGTGAGATCTTACATCCTTTCTTCTCATAGGTGAAGAGAAGGCAGAGAAAGGACTTAGCGTCCAGTGACTCCAGGAAAACGACAGAGAAGCTTCTGAAAACATTTTTGAAAAGACAAGCCATCAAAACTGCCTTCAGAAGCAAAAGGCAAGAGGAAAATTATAGTCGTGTTAGAGATGAAGTTTTAAAAAAGTGATTTTTGTCTTGATTTCCTGCGATTCTCTTTCCCTATCTAATTTTGACTCTCAACAGAAAATAGAGAGTGAAATGAGACAAGTAGGCTGCCATTTTGACCTGGTAATTTGGAGTTGTGGCAATTCTCCGTTCTGTGAGAATCAACTTTGCTAATGAGAAAAAAAAGCTGTCGTGTTGCGTCATGTACACTTTTTACTTTGATTATGGTCTTCTTGACTCTAGGTGAGCAGCCCCGCCAAGGTTCCTTCCTTTCTCTCGGCTGCATTTATTTTCCACAGCAGTGGCCTGAGAGCAGCCAGGTCAGGTCCCTGTTCACCATCCTGAGCAGGGTCTGCATAATCTGTTTAAAGATTTGTGTACTTTCCAGAGATGAAGCACTACCCAGTCTTACCCAAGTTCGAAGAGAAAACGACCTCTATGTTTTGCCTCCTTTACAAGAGGAAGAAAAACACAGGTAAATGTTTAACTATTTAAGAATATTATTTTAGTCATTGCTACATTCAGACACATTTAAACCTTGATGTGTTATCTACATGATAAGGCATGTGAACATTTCTTAATGCATCTGAAATAGGCATGCTCTATACCTTTCAGAATATTTTTCAAAGACTAAATTTTTTATTTACTATTCTTTGTGTTTTGGTGATTCATGATTCTTATTCCTCTTCATTCTAAAGAACTTCTGCCAGGGCTGTGGATTCTAAATTCTCCAAGGCATGAATTTTAGTTTTGCTTACACTTTGCTTACACATGCTGTCTCTAGCTGCTTTTCAATCCAGTATGGTCTCTCTCACCATGATGCTAAAATACCACAACCCATGACATTCTTGTTGCTAAATCTAGCAGACGCTTTGCACGTCTTAGTGTGCTCGACTTCTCTGCACTAAACACCATGCCACACTGCCCCGCTCCCCCGGCATCTCTCTGGCGCTTTCTGCTCAGCCTCTCTGTGGACTCCTCTTCCTCTGTCTCTCTCTTAATGGTTGGTGGTTTCTGTGTTTGAAGTGAAGGTGGAGAACCGGAAGCTTGGCAGTTTGCCTTTGTCCCCTGTCCTTCCCTCCACCTCTTCCTTTCCCAGGAGTTCCCAAGAGACAACTTAGCTTTTGTATCAGCTCAGTTCTATTTGTCTCCATTGCTACCACTGTCATTTTTTCTCCAGGTTACATTATTAGCTTTTAAACTTCTTTCTGTCTTTGTCTTTGATCATACCCTTTTTGTAATAGTTCCTCCCACCAAGCCCAATCTCTGTTTTGTGTTATAGTCTGTTTAAAATCCAAATCTGATATTGTCATTTCCTTACTTAAAACACTTTCTAGCTTCTCCTTCTCATTTTTTTCTTTCTTTTTTTTTTGAGATGGAGTCTCTGTTGCCCAGACTGGAGTGCAGTGGCACAATCTCAGCTCACTGCAACCCCTGCCTCCTGGGTTTAAGCGATTCTCCTGCCTCAGCCTCCGGAGTAGCTGGGATTACAGGCACGTGCCACCACACCTGGCTAATTTTTTGTATTTTTAGTAGAGACGAGGTTTCACCATGTTGTCCAGGCTGGTCTCGAACTCCTGACCTCAAGTGATCCACCTGCCTCGGCCTCCCAAAGTGCTGGGATTGCAGGCGTGAGCCACCACACGCAGCTTAGCTTCTCATTTCTTTAGGATAAAACTTTAACTCCTTAATTACACTTTCCAGTCTTATCCCTGCCTTTCTTCACATCATCCACAGGCAGGCTTTCTTTTCCTTGTTTCTATATGGTCATACAACTTAGTTCTTTTGCCTGGAACACTCTTCTCCATGAACCTTCCCGCTCCCTACAACTACACTCATTAATTCGTGGCTAACTCCAACCAGTGTAATTGCAGGAGATCCTGGAAAGCTTTTGTGACTCCTAAATTGGGTGAGGTGACTCCCTATTGCATCTCTAGTGACCTGCCCTTCCCTTGTGGTGGAAGTTATTAGATCCCACTCTAATTGCTTACTTACACGTGTCCCCCACCAGACCATGAGACCAGTAGTGGCACAGATCTTGCTGTTTTATTCACCACTGTAGCCCGTATAACGAGCAGAGCCTTGCATACAAGTATTTTTGTAAGGGGTCCTTAAAAATCATAGATATCGTAAAAGTATGTTTGACTTTCAGTTCAGAAGAGGAAGATGAAAAAGAATGGCAAGAAAGAATGAATCAAAAACAAGCATTACAGGTATTTAGATCATTTTTGAATTCAGAATGTATTCTGTTATTTGAAATGAATGACATGAAAATGAATATTAATGAGGTATATCAAACTGTGAAAGTTCCTGATAAAAAGTAAAGACAGATGGCTTTTTGGTTGTGCATATATATGTGTACATGTATGTATTTAAAACACACTCACCTACACACGTGTATATATATATATATGGAATTTGCCATTATGCACATCTATATATTCAAAACAAGCTATTTTTCTTTTACAACCAACCAACCAATAGTAATATGTGCTTACATAGAAAATATAGAAAACATATCATTCATAAATAACTTGTAATAACAGTTTGATATATTTTCATCCATTCTTTGCCTGCCCCATATAGTTGAATATCTGTGTGTGTATTTGTATATATGTATCAAATGTGCATGTGTACATATATATGTGTACACATATGTGTGTATGTTCTAGTTATCTGTCGCTGTGTAACTTAGTGGTTAAAACATCATTTGTTATCGTCATCTGTCTGGGTTCCAGGGGTAGATGAGCTCAGACAGGCAGTTCTCTCTGGGGTCTCTTGTGTAGATGCAGCCAGTCTGTAGCTGGGGCTGGAGTGATTAACGAGGTTTCCTTGCTGCCATGGGCGGTGGTTGATGCTGGCTGTCAGCCAGTCTTCCATGCGGCCAGCACCAGAGCACCTACTTGTGGCCTCTCCACGTGGCCTGGGCATTTTCCCAGCATGATGACTGTATTCCCAGTGTGGGCATCCCAAGAGAAAGTTCTAAGCAGAAGCCCTGTTGCCTTTCTGACCTAGCTTTGGAAGTTGTGCAGCATCCTTCCCACTACATCCTGTTCCTCAGAAGCTAGTTACTGCCCTATGGAAGGGGCAGAGAGTTAGACAAGAAGAATGTCCCACACATATTTTCATGAATAACATTTTTACAAATTGAGATTATGCTGTATATATACATTTTTTTCATAAACATTTTTCAAGTTTCTTAGTGTCACAGATAGCATTTTTTGATTCCCAAATTCACTGTTTCTTGTTTGTTCATATGGTTTTGTTCTATCAGGTAGAAACTTTTGAGCTAAAACCTCGAGATCCTTCAGGTTGCGGAGGTGCTGTGCTATTAATGCAGCTAGTGAGAGCAATCTTAGTTAAGACCATGGGCCTCGTGGTCAAAAAGACCTGCGTTTCAGTCCAGGCTCCACTGTTCACTAGCTGTGTGATCTTACACAGATTAAATTCTCCAAGGCTTTATTTTTTTTTGTAAAACGAAATTGATATCAATGCCTTCCTGATGGGGGTGATGGGAGCATTAGTGAGGGAAAGCACAGGAAATGCTGAGCGCAGTGACAGGTCTGTCCTACGTGTTTGCTGGTTGGTACGTACACATGTAACATACAGACATGCAGGACATCAGGTTGTATTAGCTTATCTTTTTTACTAATGAAGGATTTTAAAGTACTTTTGGTAATGAGTTAAAGTTGAGAAAAGTTTTACACTTTTCCATGTCTTCTGTGAATTTCTTTTAATTTCATTTCTTATGTTATAAGCAAAATAAAACTAACTTAATTATGGGAATGATATATATTGCTTGAATTCCTAAGGCACATTCTGTCTTGGGTTCTTGCATTTTCTGTTCTCTCAGCCTGAAATGCTCTATCCTCAGTGAGGCTCTTTGATATCTTCCAAGTCCCTGCTCACACATCCTCTTTTTAGTGGGGTCTTCTTTATCTATCAAATAGATCTTTTTTTCCACGTTCTGTTCATGTAATCACTCTCATATCAGATAAATCTGCTTTATTTTACCATTATCTTGTTCATTTATTTATTTATTTATTGTCTTCTCTCCTCTGCTCCTAAGAGCAGGGACCTTATCTGGCACCTTATCCGATCTCACAGTACCTTAGCACCTAGAACAGTGCCTGGTGCCTTAGAGGTACCTGCTAAGTATTTTTTTCTTTTGAATGAATTAAAGAGTGAATGGCTACATTCCCTAATTTGCCTACTCACTTTGTTGCCTGTCACAGATTATATGCAACTGTGTTTAGCCAATTGTTGATTATGTAGAACTGTGTTTATTATATAAACATAATACATATCCTTAATGTTGAATAGAACTAAGTGTATGAAATGTAAATTTCATGGTGCTGTGATTTTATCTTTACAGGAAGAGTTCTTTCATAATCCTCAAGCGATAGATATTGAGTCTGAGGACTTCAGCAGCCTGCCCCCTGAAGTAAAGCATGAAATCTTGACTGATATGAAAGAGTTCACCAAGCGCAGAAGAACATTATTTGAAGCAATGCCAGAGGTGAAATATGCAACAGTACATTCATGCTTAGAATTAAGAACTTCAGCAAAACTTTTTATTAGAAAGAAGAGAAAATTGATAAGCAATACTTACACGATATCTCAGTTAACAGTAAACAGCATTTCTACATCTCAGATTCTAAGAAGCATCGTATATTTATACGTTTGAGCCTATAGACATTTACTCTAAGAAGTTTTTCTTGACTTTTGACCCGAGACTAGGTCTTTTTTCCTGGTCTTTGTTCTCACAGCACCCTGTAATATCACTTCATAGTTCTTAGTTCCAAAACACGCTTATCTTGCTCACCTCTGTATTTTCAGTGTCTAGCTCAGTATTTTTCACATGGTATGTGTCCAGTAGATGCTTACTGACTCAATTCTTAGGTTAGGTCATAAAAGTTATTGTAACCTATAATATACATTGTCTATAAAAACTAATAGTCATATAGAATCTAATCACAATGGAAAAATAAGTTCTAAATTGAAATTCCAGGTATATCTTCCTCTGCTGCAGCCCTAGAGATGCCATTGGCTCTCCACATTCCCTTGCCCTCTTCCTGGACAGTGCGAATGGGGCTTCTTCACCTTGGAACATCTTGTAGCTTGGCAGGCCCAGAAAGCTAGAGTGGAGGTGGTATGTGCAGTTGGGTGCTAGCAAATGTGTCTCCTGATCATGCTGCCATTGATACTTAATTCATGTTACTATTGATGACTCCCTGTCTTAGTTGCCAGTGAGTGAGTTCTTTTTCTCTTTCTGTTGCTGCTACCTGTTATTTCTACCGTAGTTCTCCATTCACCCACTATAGGACAGAATCGAAATTTTGCAGCATCATCGACCTTAGTGCATAGATGGAGTGTTTTTTTATTTTCTACAATTTTTGAATATTGCTTAAATTGATAGCAGAAATATGAAAAAGGAAGGGTAAATTTCTTTTCTCATCACTCCCTGTTTTTTCCACAAAGAATGTGCAGTAGCACACACTAAGGTGCACAGAAGTGACATTCTTGGGTCTTTGGATATACAAAGGACAGAAGTAAATTGATTTTTATTTCAGGAGAAAAATCCAGGCTCAGTCTGTCTATCAGGCATTTTATTTCTTGAGTATGAAAGGATCTCTGGCTGGCAGTTGAGGAAGTAGAATTTTGGTTGTGTAAACAATAACAGGAAGAAATGGGAGAAAGAGAGACAGTCCCTAATGATTTACTGTTCTTTATTTTCTTTCTGCAACCATGAAGTCTCTGGAAGTGGTGGACTGTAGGGTGGTGTGGAGTAGCAGCTTACTGGATCTGTAATTTTGATAGAGATGTTCTAAGTCATCCATGTTGGGCCTTTGTGTGATCTGTATGTCGTGCAAATGTAATATTGATAATAGTAGTGATGGTAGGTAATAATAGCAGTAGTAATAATCATAATACCATAGTTCCACTTTACTCACGGTTTGCAGTTTTCAGTGACCTGTGGTAAACTGTGGTCTGAAAATATTAAATGGAAACTTTCAGAAATAAACAATTCATAAGTTTTAAGTTGCACACCATTCTGAGTAGAGTGATGAAATCTCACACCCTCCTGCTCCATCTTGCCTGGAACGTGAATCCTCCCTTTGTCTAGCATCTCCGTGCTGTAGATGCTTCCTGCCTGTTAATCACTGAGTAGCTGTCGCGGTGATCAGATCAACTGTCGCGATATTGCAGTGCTTCTCCTCAAGTCACTCTTATTTGACTTAATGATGGCACAACAGTGCAAGAGTATGATGCTGGCAATTTGAATATGCCAAAGAGAAGCTGTAAAGTGCCTCCTTTAAATGAAAAGGTGAAAGTTCTTGAATTAATAAGGAAAGAAAAAAATCGTATTCTGGCTGAGGTTGCTTAGATCTGCATAAAAATGACTTTTCTATCTGTGATATTGTGAAGAAGCGAAAAGAAATTGGTGCTAGTTTTGCTGCCGTACCATAAACTGCAAAAGTCATGACCTCAGCGTGTGATAAGTGCTCAGTTAGGATGGAAAAGCCATTACATTTTGGGGTGGAAGACATGAAGAGAAACATGTTCTGATTGATGACAATCAGGTTTGGTACTTCTGCAGTTTCAGGCATCCTCTGGGGGTCTTGGAACATACCCCAAGGATGAGGGGGCTGTCTACTATGTTAATAGAATCAATTGTAGTAAATTGACATGCTTTTGATCCCAGATCTACCACTTATTAGCCCTGTGACTCTAGGGAGGTTACCTAACCTATTTAAGTCCCAATTTCTTCATTTATAAAATGGAGGTGATATCTGTTTCATAGGATGATTGTGAGAATAAAATGAGGTATTATATGTAAAAGCACTTAGAAAAATGCCCTCCATGGGAAATGCCTTATAATGTTAAGTATTACTGTTAATAACTGTGATTACTGTGATTTATTGTGTCTTTTATGGGATAAGGTTGTGCAGGACACTTCACTTGCATATTTACCTACATTCTAGAAGATTGTTAAGCCATAATCAGATGTCATAGTGACTGCTATGCATTACATGCTCAATACATGTTTATTGAATAATGATTAAATCATAAACAGTATTCATGATTTTTTTTTTTTTTTTTTTGAGGGGAAGTCTCGCTCTTGTCCCTCAGGCTGGAGTGCAATGGCACAATCTCGGCTCACTGCAACCTCTGCCTCCCCGGTTCAAGTGATTCTCCTGCCTCAGTCTCCTGGGTAGCTGGGATTACAGGTGCCTGCCATCACACCCGGCTAATTTTTGTATTTTTAGTAGAGACAGGGTTTCACCACGTTGGCCAGGCTGGTCTCGAACTCCTGACCTCCGGTGGTCCACCCATCTCGGCCTCCCAAAGTGCTAGGATTACAGGCATGAGCCACCGCACCTGGCCATAGTATTCATGATTTTTTTTTGCCCAACTCTTTCGAAGATTATTTTTTTAAAAGGAAGCTGTAGTTTTTCTTGTTATTCACCTTTTATAATATGAAACTACCATCAATGAAAAAAGCCAATTGTTCTTTGTTCCCTGTTGGGGAAAGGGTGGAAATATGGTAATATTATCTGTATTTAATATAAAACAGTAATTTTGTTTGTTTATTTTGCCTTTAGGAGTCTGATGACTTTTCACAGTACCAACTCAAAGGCTTGCTTAAAAAGAACTATCTGAACCAGCATATAGAACATGTCCAAAAGGAAATGAATCAGCAACATTCAGGACACATCCGAAGGCAGTATGAAGATGAAGGGGGCTTTCTGAAGGAGGTAGAGTCAAGGAGAGTGGTCTCTGAAGACACTTCACATTACATCTTGATAAAAGGTATCAGGCACCATCATTTATATATTTACATTAAAAAATCAAAGATATATCATGACTCTGAATTCTATAAACTAGCACCCCTGGATAATATTAATGAAATTCTATTTATGTAATAACTGTATACTGCTATTAATGGATTAACTACTATAGTGCCAAACCACTTTAAAATTAGCTAATGAATTAACTCCTAGTTGCCGATTAAATGAAAATGTATATACTTATTTATGAGAACCAGTGTTCTCTTATCCATCTTACTAGAAGCGTATTGTCACACTGTAAAACTGAATGGTGAGAAGTGTTTTAATTCTTCTTAAGGTATTCAAGCTAAGACAGTTGCAGAAGTGGATTCAGAGTCTCTTCCTTCTTCCAGCAAAATGCACGGCATGTCTTTTGACGTGAAGTCATCTCCATGTGAAAAACTGAAGACAGAGAAAGAGCCTGATGCTACCCCTCCTTCTCCAAGAACTTTACTAGCTATGCAAGCTGCCCTGCTGGGAAGTAGCTCAGAAGAGGAGCTGGAGAGTGAAAATCGAAGGCAGGCCCGTGGGAGGAACGCACCTGCTGCTGTAGACGAAGGCTCCATATCACCCCGGACTCTTTCAGCCATTAAGAGAGCTCTTGACGATGACGAAGATGTAAAAGTGTGTGCTGGGGATGATGTGCAGACGGGAGGGCCAGGAGCAGAAGAAATGCGTATAAACAGCTCCACCGAGAACAGTGATGAAGGACTTAAAGTGAGAGATGGAAAAGGAATACCGTTTACTGCAACACTTGCGTCATCTAGTGTGAACTCTGCAGAGGAGCACGTAGCCAGCACTAATGAGGGGAGAGAGCCCACAGACTCAGTTCCAAAAGAACAAATGTCACTTGTTCACGTGGGGACTGAAGCCTTTCCGATAAGTGATGAGTCTATGATTAAGGACAGAAAAGATCGGCTGCCTCTGGAGAGTGCAGTGGTTAGACATAGTGACGCACCTGGGCTCCCGAATGGAAGGGAACTGACACCGGCATCTCCAACTTGTACAAATTCTGTGTCAAAGAATGAAACACATGCTGAAGTGCTTGAGCAGCAGAACGAACTTTGCCCATATGAGAGTAAATTCGATTCTTCTCTTCTTTCAAGTGATGATGAAACAAAATGTAAACCGAATTCTGCTTCTGAAGTCATTGGCCCTGTCAGTTTGCAAGAAACAAGTAGCATAGTAAGTGTCCCTTCAGAGGCAGTAGATAATGTGGAAAATGTGGTGTCATTTAATGCTAAAGAGCATGAGAATTTTCTGGAAACCATCCAAGAACAGCAGACCACTGAATCTGCAGGCCAGGATTTAATTTCCATTCCAAAGGCCGTGGAACCAATGGAAATTGACTCGGAAGAAAGTGAATCTGATGGTACGTGTCTGTGCTTTTGTAGAAATCTGGAACGGTAGGATTTCCCCTCTGTAGGAATTCAGAGATCGGTTAGTGTAGTCCCGTTTTAACTTTTTACAGATAAGGAACGAGAGACGTAGAAAGAAAGATGAAATGACTTTCCCAGGGAGTCACAGCTGGTCATGGAATCTTGACCTTCCCTGTGTTGCTCTGCTTTTTGTTATCATTTTTAAAGGCATGAAGTGCCCTATTTGGGGAAGGTAAAGTTGAGTTTCCCTCTAGTTTTTAAAAACTTTTTATTTTGAAATAATTATGAACTTTAAAAAGTTGGAAGAATATTATAAAACACTGGTTCCTTCATCCAGTACCTCAGTGGCTAGCATGTTACCACATTAGCTTAGAATTTCTCTTGGTCTCTCTGTGGCCCTCTATATGTATATCATATATCTCCAAATCTGTATACATATGTATACCATTGATCCTCATTATTTGTAGATTCCATATTTGCAAAATTGCCTGATCACTAAAATTTATTTATAACTCCAAAATCAGTACTCACCGCAATGTCTTTGTGGTCATTTGTGGACATTTGCAGAGTTGGGGAAAAGCTTGAGTTGCCACACTGTCCCCTGCTGAGGTTAAGCAAGGTGACACTCTGCCTGGTTCCCGTGTTCTGAGAGAGATGACCAGAGGGTGGGGACAGTAGGGGATTATGCAATGGAGAGAGAGCAAGAAGCTCCGGCCCCAGGCCAGTTGGACCAGATTTGAATCCCTATTCTGGCACCTGTTAGCGTGGCAGCTTCACACAGGTCACTAATTTGTTTCTTGAACTTTGTTTCTTGTTTATAAAATAAATGGAATCTATTAAGATGGTGGTTTTTTAGGATTTAAGATAATATATATGAAATGTGTTCATATATATGTTATATATGCATATGTGTGTATATGCACATAGATATGTTTAGGAGCAATGACTCGGTATTGGCTAATTTAGTGTTCACAGAGACTTCATACGTGATGGCCACTTTGAATAAGAGAATCAACCACACACACACACACACACACACACACACACACACACACAATTTGTTCCTGGTATCTGCTAGTTTTCTTCATTCAAATGTTACTATTTCCCTTTTGTAATTAATAAGTATTTTGTGGAAAAGGAATTTTTGGAGCTATATAAATATGCTGTTCCTGAACAAACTTCCACCCACTTGTTAGCATCCATTGATGTTTACCTGAATAATTTGTTACTACGTTGGTTGCCAAATGATGGTTTTTCTAACTCCATCATTCCTTATATATTATTACTTGACATCCTCCTATGAGGAAGATCTTTTCCTTCTCCCCATTTATTTTTATTATTTTTAATCAGTGTAGACTCCTGTATTCCTATTTAGTGAGTTATAATCCAATACTGTCATAATTTACTTTGTTACTCAAATTATCACAGCTTTGGCCATTGGGGCTCCTTCTAATGGCTTTCAGCAGTTTTTTCATTATATTTTGAGCTTTTCCTTGCTTTCTGGCCAAGCTGTTTCAGGCATATGTTGTACTTTCTCTGCCCTGGTCCTGGAACCAGCCATTTCACCAGGGAGCTCTGGTTCCTTTCAGTGGAGCATGGGGTTTAGACACCACAAGCTGGATGTGAGTGTGCTTATGGATCCTGAGGTATAACTGTCTCAGGCCTTTTCAGCAACAGTGCCAGGAAGTATATTTATGTATACATATACATGCACACACACATCTATATTTATTTCTATGTCTATCTGTACTAAAATCCATGAGTTTATACTGACATCTGCAATTCCATGGGGTTCAGTCTAGCCTCCTGCTTCTTTATAGTTTCCCTAACAATGAGAAACATTGCTCCCCTTATCCTCAATACATTTACATCTGCTTATTCTCCCTGGATATGTAACCATCTCCCCCTCCCACTGGCCTCCTCCTTGGCCCTGCTCTCTTCTTTGCTTCAGCTGTGTCCTTGGTGCCAGCTCCCAGTCCCTGAGAGCCCCCTCCTCTGTTCTGATTGTCTCCTTAAACCCAGCTGGACAGGCCTTGCCAGCCCTCTCCACCTACAGGGAAGGAAGGCAACCATTAAATATATTTTAAGGAGAAGGAAAGACAGTAAGACAGTAAGAGAGGAGAGAAGGGAAGTGGAAGAGGAAGAACTATTTCTTAGTCACAGCTTTATTCTGTGCTGTGTAAATAGCATAAAAACATACTGAGCAACTTCCATGATTGTTTATATACTTTGATAATCCTCCTTTTTGAATTTTTAAAACAATGTCAGTTAACTTAGAACATATTTATATAAAGCGAATATACAAATCTTAAGAGAGTTTCCTACTTTCAAAGACAGTGCCAGTTTACCTAATTGAAAAGGCTTGTTTTGAAGTTACAGGCATTTGTGATTACATTTATTTATTAATAACGCTACTATTACATGTATTCTGTTATAGTCATATCTTTCCTTTTTAGGATGTAGCATTTTTCAGGTTCCTCCAGAAAGCTCTTGATGATTGCAGGATCATTTTAATGTTTTGATTGTAGATGAAGTGACCTTTTAATTTTGGTACAGGAAGTTTCATTGAAGTGCAAAGTGTGATTAGTGATGAGGAACTTCAAGCAGAATTCCCTGAAACTTCCAAACCTCCCTCAGAACAAGGCGAAGAGGAACTGGTAGGAACTAGGGAGGGAGAAGCCCCTGCTGAGTCCGAGAGCCTCCTGAGGGACAACTCTGAGAGGGACGACGTGGATGGTGAGCCACAGGAAGCTGAGAAAGATGCGGAAGATTCGCTCCATGAATGGCAAGATATTAATTTGGTAATACCGTAACATTGTGTTTCGACTTCTTGCTGAGGAAGCCAGGTTAAGTAGGTTTTGAGTTTTAAGGAGTTGGTGGATGAGTATTTAGTAGCTATTTGCAGTACATCTTGTGGTTGCTGATGGCTTCATTTTTGTGTAGGTTACTGGCTGGGATAGACTCCGTTTTCCATGTGGTTTAGTGATGAATCTCTAAAGATATTACAGAGTCTTGGTTAGACATCCAGTGGAGTACTTCCTAAGGAGAAAGAGCTTATTGGTAATTTCAGTCAGACTAAATGCAGGCTTTTTGTAAACAAAACTCATTTGGATTATTAATATAAATCTATAAATGAAAAAACATTTTATAGGAGGAGTTGGAAACTCTGGAGAGCAACCTCTTAGCACAGCAGAATTCACTGAAAGCTCAAAAACAGCAGCAAGAACGGATCGCTGCTACTGTCACCGGACAGATGTTCCTGGAAAGCCAGGTGGGTGCAGGCAGCTTGGGTTTCCTTTACCACCTTCTTCAGACCCCTGGGGGAATGCACTGCATGAAGGGGGTATGCACTGTGCCCCCTGGTGCTCAGGGCCTGGTGATGCCGTTCCCTGGGGGTCACTGTGTGTCCCTAACTCTGCAGGAATGAATGCATTACATGAAGTGGTAGGCACTGCTCCCCCTGTGCTCAGGGCCTGGCGGTGCCCTTCCCTGGGCGTCACTGTGTACCCCTCACTCTGCAGGAACTCCTGCGCCTGTTCGGCATTCCCTACATCCAGGCTCCCATGGAAGCAGAGGCGCAGTGCGCCATCCTGGACCTGACTGATCAGACTTCCGGAACCATCACTGATGACAGTGATATCTGGCTGTTTGGAGCGCGGCATGTCTATAGAAACTTTTTTAATAAAAACAAGTTTGTAGAATATTATCAATATGTGGACTTTCACAATCAATTGGGTAAGACTTCAGAGTCTTTTTGATTACTTTCTGACATTTACCTTCAGAGTTTGTCCTAGGAAGTTTTCTTTCCAAGGAACTAGTTTGATGCATTGATGGAAATTGCAGGTCTATGCAAATTTTTATATGAGTGATCTTTGGCTTATATAGAGGAATAGGATTTTAAACATTTGAATTAAGGAATTAAAGTCCTAGTATGTTTAGGTAGTTAATCAACTGACTTAGTTAAACTTTGACTAGTTACCCGAGATCTCCACAGTGAACAAAAGGTGGTGGAGAGGGGAAGCAGGCCGCGCCTGGGCCTGTATTCGGGTTTCTGGCACTGATCTTCTTCTGTTCATCCAGCAAATATATGTTTGGTGACTCCTATATGCCAGTTGTTCTTAACAAGAGGGAAGGAACAGAGAGTAAAATAGTAGGAGAAACAGATGATAAGCAGATACATAAATCATAATTTGACAGTTGGTGGTAAGTGCCAAATAGAAAAATATAACAGTAAAGGAGAGGAGAGAGTGAACTTCAGGCATCGAGAGTGCAGGTGCTGTTTCAGAGAGTTGTTGGGAAAGGCTTTACTCGTGTAACTTCAAGGCAGGGACCTGCAGGAAATAGGAAGCAAGCACTGTAGATAGATACCTCGGGACTAGTGAGTGAAAGGGGCTGAGGCAGAAGCTTGTGGGCTGTGTTCTAGGGAAGCAAGGAGGCCAGTGTGAGAGGAGGAGGGAGGAAATGGCAAGGGTTAATCTTAGAGAATAGGAAGAAGCTGAAACCCACCAGGGTCTGGTGTGCTAGGGTATGCAGGCAGATTGAATGTGGGGTGGGAGAAGAATGAAGTCGAGGAGGATTCCAGATACTGAGCAGCTGGTCGAGTGGACCTGCCTTCAGTAAGACAAGGAGGGAGCACAGTGGAGGAGGAGAAACGAAGTGTTCAGGTTTGGATATGATAAATTGGGGATGCTCATTGGATACCCAGTGGAGGTGTTGAGTTGATAGTTGAATATATGTGACTGTGGTTCAGAGAGACTCAGGCTAGATAGCTAACTTTGGGGGTCAGCGTATAGAGGGTATTTAAAGCTATGAGAATGGATGAAACTTTAAAAATATTAACAGAATGCCATTGAATAAAATAATTTATTTTCAAATAATAAGATATTTTTGGTGGTTGGATATAGATATAGATATACACACGTACATGATTTATATAATAAAATGTTTATAAATGTCATATAAGAAATCTTGATAAAAATTAAAAAATATTGTTACTCTTTAGGATTGGACCGGAATAAGTTAATAAATTTGGCTTATTTGCTTGGAAGTGATTATACCGAAGGAATACCAACTGTGGGTTGTGTAACCGCCATGGAAATTCTCAATGAATTCCCTGGGCATGGCCTGGAACCTCTCCTAAAATTCTCGTAAGGTCTTTTATTTCTTTAATTTGGATAATTGTGTAAATACCCAAATAAGCAAATAGAACTATTATTTACAGCATGAACTGTCATGCTGTAACATGTGAACAATGGTTCACTGAGAAAGCAGCAGAAAGTATTGGTTGTTTTCCATTTTCTAGAGATGATGAAATCAGAGTCAGTTCTTAGTGGTGCTGGGCTTATCCTAGTTCAAGGGTACAAAGCCAGTCCTGTGGATTTCACAGGAATGTAGAAGTTGCCTTTTCATCCATTGACATACTTATAGAGCAGCTATGATGTGTCAGACACTGTGCTGGCCCTGGGGAAAGGAGAGATGAGTAAGGCATAGGCCATACCCTCAAGGACTCCCCCCATATACTTGGAGGTGATGGAGAAGCAAAGCAAATTGTACTTGTCTGTGTGTTTGGTGTCCTGAGAGAGGTCAGCCAGGAAGCGACTTGGAAATATAATGCCAGGAATGTTACATCCAGCACTCCTGTCCTGTTTCTCACCATGTGAATCCCGTGACGTGTTCAGTGGTGAAGTCTTGCTCCATCCAGAACCCAGAGTCGTGCTATACTCGGGGTACATTTATCATTTTGAAGATTCTGAGATGGTAGGAGTTATGAGTATGTCTGGGAAAGTAGTTTTTTCTTTGTCCTTGATGGCATCTTTTTAAAAAATTGAAATATAGTCACATACCACAGAGTTCACCGATTTAAAGTGTACAGTTCATTGGTTTTTAGTGTATTCACAAGATTGTGGTGGCATCTTTTAACCGTCACTATGTCGTGAGATGCTGTTTGGTGGTGGCTGATTTAATGATCCTTGAGTGTTCTCTCCAGTTACATATCCTGTGTTTGAAAGATGCTAGGATGCTCTGACCTGAAGAGTCAGTGACTGGAATCACTGAAATGAACGGCGAAACTGTTGTAGTGATCATGGTCTTCCAGTCATAGCACACTCACCAATGTGTTGTATTTTATACTTTCTTCATTTATCTTTTTCTGATTTTCTTATTGTTGAGGAAATTTATATACCGGGAATGAGTTATGAGGTAGACATACGTCATGGTAGGTAAATAACTTGAAAACCTACAAATAACTTTATTATACAAATAAAGTAAATACATCATAGAAAATTATAAATATGTATTAAAAAGATGATTACAGTTTACAATTTGTTTATGTAATTTTAGACTTCACACATATATATGCATATACATTGCATATATATGTATACTCATTTGAGTGTGTGTATGATTTTTTTTATAAGAATGGGATGATGCTATATACTTTTTATTTTACCTGTAACCCATTTGGTATTAGAACAAGACCTATTATCAACGATGATATAGATTTATATCGTTTTTAATGGCTACAGGTAGTATCTTTTTGCGTCTATCAGGGCTAGTTTAATCAAGTGTCTTTTGTTATTTCTATTTTTAGAAAGGTATTAACAGACATTGATTTGAGTGTCCTTAATCTTCGGGTTCTTATCTAATGATTATTTTAGAATAAGTGAAATAGTATCTGACTTTTCCATTTGGTTTCTTGATAACTATTGAGAGTGAATTTTTTATGTTCATAGACGGTTTGTGTTTCTGATTTAGTGAATGACCTGTTTATGCTGTTCCACTTTTCTTTGTTCAGCAGTTTTTGCTCGTTTGTTGCCTGCTGAATCATTTTCATATTTGAGCAGTTTCTGCCTTTGGTCCTCCAGCTCGTTGATGCCAGATAGGAGCAGCCTTCGCTCTGCCTGGCTCAGGACATTTAGGATGAATACAGAGTAAAGAGCAGGAAGGATGGTGGGAAACCAGTAAAATCAGAATGTGGCCTCACTTTGTTTTCTGTTCTCCTCTTCTGAGGGCACCCTGGCTGGTGAATCATTCTTAGAGTGGGGCTGCATTGGGCCTGCAGGTTGAATTGAGCTGTAGTCACATTTGGTTTGGACTACACGGTGTATTCTTCTCTTGAGCTTTAATTTTCAATTGGCTACCAACATTTACCTTTGGGAGATTTTACACAAAATTATGGATTCTGTTGGGGGAAAAAGGAGAGCTGAAAATACTGGGCCTGAATTTCTGGATAGCCCCAAAATAGCTGGCATGGAGCAACAGCAGTTCCCCTCCCCTACCCCAAGGCCTTGGACTGGGCATGAATCCTTCAGTTTCATCACAGTTGCCTCCACTCCCCCAGCTCAGCTGATTGACAGACACCTTCCTCCTTTCATCTTTATGTGAAGTGCCAGGCCCTCCTGCTTGAAGGAGTAACCATAGCTTTGGCTTGATGAGCTCACAAGTGCACTGATTCTAACTGCCAGTCATGATTACAGTTTCAAAAACGAAAATCTGCAAGTAAAGTAGAGGAGAATTATCGGTATTCTCTCAGTGCACTCCTGGAAAGAATGTTGTAAAAGTAATGAAGAAAAATTATTTTTTCCTTTTTGCATTTTGTTGTTATAATACTTTGAAGACCGCAATTAGTAATTTCCAACGCTAGATGGCACTCCTGCATCGGTGAGGCGGACCCTGGCCCTGACAGCCGGTCTGAGTGGGTTCCTAATGCTGCACTAGCAAGCTTGTGAAGCGGGGGAGCCTGAGCTGCGGGCGTTTTTTCAGGTTCCATTGAGTACATAGATTGGTGAGGATTATGTTAGTAACTTTGATGGCATTTATTTTTTCCTAATTGTGTAAATGTTTCTGGTCAGTCGTCACTGCATTACAAACTACCTTCAGCCTTAGTGGCTTCACACAGCAGTAGTCACTGATTTTGCTCATGCCTCTGAAGCTCGCTCAGGCCTGGTGGGGGTGTCTTGTCTCTGTTCCATGTCGGCTAGGACAGCTCAGCTGGGCTAGGACCCCTTAAGATGGCTCGCGGGGCTGATGAGGTGGCTTCGGCCTCGGGGCCTGGGTGGACACTTGGTGAGCTTGGCTTCCTCATAGCATGTTGGAGCCAAGAGCAGGAGGTCCAGGGGACAGGAAGTGGCGAGGGCCTCCCCTAGGCCTGGCACGGCTTGAGTCACACTGGTCAGCCATGGCCGCCCTGCTCAAGAGGAGGCCACAGGGACCCCCTTCGTGATGGGAGGAGGGTCCAAGAGTGTGTCGCTGTCTTTATCCGGCCGATTTAGGCTTAGAATGGAAAACATTGAAAAATGAATAAAATATAAAGAAGAAAATGAATGGCTGTGTGCTCACGTAGAATATTGCCTAGCACACAGCGAAATAATAGTTGTTAGTGTTATTTATTTTAAGTATCTGTTTACTTTTCTCATATATGTGTTTTTTCCAAAACTGGAATCATACTTTAAGTAGAGTTCTATTATCTCTGTTTTTGTATATATTTATTTGTTTTACATACATATGTATTTATATATATATAAAATGTTAAATTTTAAAAACAGATACATGTATCTGTTTTTACAGATTTTTTAAACAAATTTAACATTTTCTTGGCATATTTACATTTTATTAAATATTCTTCGATCCATTATTGTATTTGATTTGAGGTAAATAATACAGATACATTACTTCCATTTTACTGCTGAGAAAGAGACCCAGAGAAGTTGTAACTTCTGTGGTATAATTATGAGTGTGGGCTCTAGAGGAAGACTGTACCAATTCCAGCTGTGAAATCTTGAGCCAGTTACTTATTTTTGAGTTCAGTTCCCTCCTCTGTGAGGTGAGGGTAACGATAGGGCATGGCTTGTGTGATGATTGGGCATGTGAAATATTTAACACAGTGCCAAGCACAGAGGAAGACTTCCATAAATGTTTGCCATCATTATACATTGTGGCTAATAGTACTAAAATTAATAAAATATTCTATATAGCATACAATTTGAGTTAGAACTTGAGTTTACATGTTCTAAGTTTAGTTCTTCATCCATAGTGTATGAACTATAATGTCTCATTGCTGTGTAAGTAATTGTTTCCTTTATTTTACAGAGAATGGTGGCATGAAGCTCAAAAAAATCCAAAGATAAGACCTAATCCTCATGACACCAAAGTGAAAAAAAAATTACGGACATTGCAACTCACCCCTGGCTTTCCTAACCCAGCTGTTGCCGAGGCCTACCTCAAACCCGTGGTGGATGACTCGAAGGGATCCTTTCTGTGGGGGAAACCTGATCTCGACAAAATTAGAGAATATCCTTTGCTTCTTAAAAGAGAAGGAAACACCTTGTCAAATATGTGTTTGGTTTAAAACTTATGGAAGAGAAACTTGGATCATTTTTTTCTTATATCCCGTTAATCCCATTTTCT
The DNA here is from genome assembly GCF_000001405.40 of Homo sapiens. Classification (NCBI taxonomy): domain Eukaryota; kingdom Metazoa; phylum Chordata; class Mammalia; order Primates; family Hominidae; genus Homo; species Homo sapiens. The sequence continues at coordinate 102,872,516 of NC_000013.11, forward strand.
TAATATCCCGCTCTCCTTTTCACTCTTTCTTCCCTCTCCTCAGTTGTTGTTTTTTGTTTGTTTGTTTGTTTTAAAGGAACAGTGTATCACTCTGTCACCCAGCCTGGAGTGCAGTGGTGCAATCATAGCTCACTGCAGCCACCACTTCCTGGGCTCAAGGAATCCTCCTGCCTCAGCCTCCTAAGTAGCACAAGCCACTGCATCTGGCCCCTCTCCTTAGTTTTAAAGAGGGTCTTTGTTTGAATAAGCAGTGATAAGCATTCATAGATATAACCACATACTTAAATATTATTGATTCTGAAAGAAGGAAAGATGACTAATCTTGTCCTTTTTATTACTGGTTGTCCTTTCCGTGTATATTTAAGTAATCATTTGGATAGATGTTTCAAAACTTGCACTAGAATTAATCCAACTACGTTTGATTTTTTCTCTTAATGAAATAGGCAAGATATCTGAAACTTGTTTTTATTCCAGTTAACCTTTTTTCATAGTCACAAGTCTTTGATGTCCTAAAGTGAGAGCTAAATATGTTTTATTTTATAGAATTGAAAAGAACATAGTGCCAGATGATTATGCTGGAGTCATTTATTTTGTTAGTACTTTCTTTTAGCACTCTAATCTTTATAAATAGGAAAATCTTAGGAGATACAGGGAATGGAATCAAGAATGGGTTCTTTGGACCTTTTTATTTGTCACTTGTTTAAATATCTTTCAAAATATTTATAAGTCTTAACTGCATGCATATTTTGTCAGCGGTATTTCGGCTGGAACAGAACGAAGACAGATGAATCTCTGTTTCCTGTATTAAAGCAACTCGATGCCCAGCAGGTAATCATGGTGGACCCTTCTCCTAAGTTCAGGATGAAGGGTAGGCTGTGGTTGACAGCTGTTAAAGACCAGTTAACTCTTATTTTGGGGCATAGAGCAGACATTTTGAAATTAGGATAATTTAGATGAGAGAATAGAAGAAAATAGAAAAAGAAAAGTTAGACTTTGGCTTCATTTTCTATGATCACTCTTAGGGCTGAACTTTGGAGTCCTTTCATATTCATTTTTTTCTTTGAAAAAACCAGTCTAATAACTGATTTCACACTAAGGTGTTTCTGATTAAATACATTACCCCTTGGGATTTACTTTCATTTTTTAACGAAAGGAAGTCTTCAAAGCAATTCTGATCATTTAAGTTTTTATAAGTACTAATATTTTTAAATTCTATAAACGAATCTTGAAAGGTAGAAGTTCAGTCATTATTGTGTATCAGTAGGAGAGGTTTTTGTGGGAAGGAGCCCTTTTGTATGACCTTTAGTTCCTCTAGGTACCTACTTCTTGCTTTATCTGTGAGTATGTTCTGACTCACACAAAACAAGCTTTCGCCCACACTAGAAACAACCCACAAAACATACATACAAATAAACCACTTAGCAGAAATGAGAATGTAGCTTTTGTGATAATATATTTAAATTAAACCCATTTTCATTAGGCTTGGATAATTTTGAAAAACATGAACAAAACTAAGACAGCATTTCTATGAGTTTCTCTTTGTTTTTTGGATGACTATCTACTGGAAACATTATAAACCAACCAAAAAGGAAAGCTATTTGTCTTAGTGTCTGGTGATTTCTTAATTTCAGATAAATTTTGTTGTAATATTTATCTCCTTTTTCATTCTAAAACTTAATGTGTTTATTTTTCCAAAATTAGAAAATGAAGAAAATGAATTAAAACTACTCATTAGTTACCTCCTCTAATACAGTTGTTAACATTTAGGTTAAAAAATTTTCCTGCATTTATTTGTGGCCATACTAAATGTAACTTAATAGATCTAATCCTCCCCCCCAACTTATTAGCATATTTTCTTCTATGTATTGTGTGGTTTTCTTAATTCCAGATGACTAGATTATATTTCATGAAAGATATTTAAATAATTAGTTCAGTTTACTTGTTAGACCTTTAATTTTCAAGTTTGTTATAGTAATGCTGTGATGAACATTAGGCATATAGCTTTACCCATATATTTTTTTTTTGAGACGGAGTCTCACTCTGTCTCCCAGGCTGGAGTGCAGTGGTGAGAACTCGGCTCACTGCAAGCTCCGCCTCCCGGGTTCACGCCATTCTCCTGCCTCAGCCTCCCGAGTAGCTGGGACTACAGGCGCCCGCCACCACGCCTGGCTAATGTTTTGTATTTTTTTAGTAGAGACGGGGTTTCACCGTGTAAGCCAGAATGGTCTCGATCTGACCTCGTGATCCACCCACCTCGGCCTCCCAGAGTGCTGGGGTTACAGGCGTGAGCCACCATGCCCGGCCAAAGAATATCTTCTTAAAAGTGAATTTACTGAATAAAAGGCATGAATATTTCTTACAGTTGCTAATATATACTGTGAACTTGCCTCTCAAAGGTATTGTATGATGATAATGTTTTTAAAAGAAAGATATAGTAGGACTTAGAAACAGGCCCCATGAAGTCGTGTTGCTCCTGAGGAAGATGAAATGTTTAGCTACAGAAAAATATTTAACGCTCTTTGAATATCTTAGGAAGAGATTTCTCATTTGAGATGTGGACTAAAGACTTAGTTGACAGAGATGGTACAAGTACTGCTTTAGGTATGATTTAGAAAGTGAAAATTACTGTCAGTAATTCACTGGGAGAGAACTGGGTTTTGGGAGATAATGAATTAATATTCTCTGACATAGTAATCCAATGTGAGTGATCAAGGTTGAGCTTGTTGATTTGGTTTAGAAACTTGACTTACTTGTCTGATTTATTATTATTATTCTTTTGTTATTTTTTTAGACACAGCTCCGAATTGATTCCTTCTTTAGATTAGCACAACAGGAGAAAGAAGATGCTAAACGTATTAAGAGCCAGAGACTAAACAGAGCTGTGACATGTATGCTAAGGAAAGAGAAAGAAGCAGCAGCCAGCGAAATAGAAGCAGTTTCTGTTGCCATGGAGAAAGAATTTGAGCTACTTGATAAGGCAAAAGGAAAAACCCAGAAGAGAGGCATAACAAATACCTTAGAAGAGTCATCAAGCCTGAAAAGAAAGAGGCTTTCAGATTCTAAAGGAAAGAATACATGCGGTGGATTTTTGGGGGAGACCTGCCTCTCAGAATCATCTGATGGATCTTCAAGTGAAGATGCTGAAAGTTCATCTTTAATGAATGTACAAAGGAGAACAGCTGCGAAAGAGCCAAAAACCAGTGCTTCAGATTCGCAGAACTCAGTGAAGGAAGCTCCCGTGAAGAATGGAGGTGCGACCACCAGCAGCTCTAGTGATAGTGATGACGATGGAGGGAAAGAGAAGATGGTCCTCGTGACCGCCAGATCTGTGTTTGGGAAGAAAAGAAGGAAACTAAGACGTGCGAGGGGAAGAAAAAGGAAAACCTAATTAAAAAATATGTATCCTCTATAATTAGTTATGACAGCCATTTGTAATGAATTTGTCGCAAAGACGTAATAAAATTAACTGGTGGCACGGTCTTTGTATTTAGTGTGTGGTTCCTAAAAACAAATGCTAAATCTGACATTTGTTTTTTAATGTTTTACTTTTCTAGTATTTTTTAGCTGAATATTTCAAGTATCATTGGATATTATCTTGTATTCACAGGCTTTGTCTTTTCATGTTTTCATTATCTTAACAATGTCTGATCCTTCCTGGTCACATGTTAAAAAAGCGAAAAAGATTTCTATTGATCAGCACTCACTCTCAATAGGCTTTCCCTCTGACATTCAGACGTAGCTGAGAAGAAATACGTGCATGTTTCTAATTCCACAATAGTGGCAGTTTTACACAACTGTTTAGCCCTGCTGCCCACGGCTTTGCATTTTCCCTCAGGTTCCACTTAAAAGCATAGCAGGAGGGAGCCTCACTGCTGGAACATATTTCAATATGTTTGCTGTGGTTTTAGCAAACAATTAGGAAACCTAAATGGGGTGCATCATTCTACCTGTGAACATTAAGTGTATGGGAACCTCTGTACCGTTATGTTTGGCTTTTAAACCAGACTTCACTTATTAGAAGCTGACTTCTGTGTAAATGGATTTGGAGGCTGGGGGCTGGAGTTGAACTGGTGTAGGTGGGTCAGCTTTAGGAGTGGCCTGCAGGGGATGATTGTTGTTGACACAGTGTTTGTTCAGAGTGGACAAAGAAGGTTATTTTAAGACTGCTCCTGTGGAGACGTCTCCCAAGAACAACCCCCAAGCTCCTATTTGCTTCGAGTTAAGAATGATTGGAGGAGAGTACTACCAATTACTTTGAGCGTGGGTCCTCTGCCTTCAGAGCTACCTTCCCAAGTCTGTGTCCTTTTGGCATCTTTAGTATTTCCATCTTTCCTGACTTTTTCCTTCAGCCTTCAAATTGAAAATCTTCACCAATGAAAACAAAATCCAAATAGATAATCTCCAGCAGTCTTTGAACGACTCCTAGATGTGTTGTTTTTTAGGCTCTCATTTATATTGACTTGGCCAGCCAAACTTCTCCAGTACTTGGACTACAGCAGCTGCTTTTCTTTGCACACTATTTTTTCCTAATTTCAAATACGTCTTCTGCATCCATCATTCTTCTCTAGCAGCTCCTTCTAAAGTCAACAATGATTTCCACATAAACTCAAATCTTTTCTTCATGCTTCTTTTCTCTGGAGGTACTTGGAGCAGAACATTTTTGGAGGCAAGGGGAGGGGAAAATTAACTTTTTCGTGTTTTTCTCATTTCTCAGAATTACTTGTCACTGGGAGTTTTCTGCATATATATTTGCAGGTAGAATAATTGTCTTGCTAACAAATTTAATTTGATGCCTTTAATAGATATTTACATTTGTTTTTCACTGCGTTAGCTTTGGGAAAGGATAAGCTACTGTAACAAAAGATGCTCATATACAGTGGTCTGAATAAGCTAGAACATTACTTCTCTCTTACTCAACAGTCTGGCCAGTCTGAGCTGGTGAAGCAGTTGTGCACCATGAGGTCATGCAGTCCTGTGTTCAGCCAACCCCTAGGGTGCTATCTTGCCTGAGTGGTCTATACTGGGTGATTACTTCATCTGCATTGCATCCTGCCAGAAGGGGAAAGAACCAAAGTCCAGGGCAAGCAGAAGGGGAAATGGATGGTCAGGACCATGAGAAACCTGTTCTGTAACACTATTTATATGAGAGTTTGATATTGTATCTTCTTTTTCTCTTAACCCTGTGACCAAGACATAATGCTTTTACAAGGGGAGAAACACGTTTAGAGACATTAACCAGTTTTGCCAAATTCACCCATGTAGTAGGTAAAACTTCTCACCTGAACCAAAATCTTCTAACTCAAAATTCCAGGGTGCTATTTTACCTATGAAAGAGGTTGCCTGTTTAAAATAATCAGCAGCTGAACAAATTCTTTATTATTCACATCAAGTTGGTGTACCTAGAGCTTATTTAGGATGATGACCATCATACGCCTTTTCGATTATCTTCCAGCTCATTAATATTTTGTTTAGCTTTATCTATACTTGCTGTTAAACCCATATATTGAGTATTTTATTTCATTGATTGTTATTTTTCAGTTTTATTTGACTCTTTTTTTTTTTCAATTTGACTCATTTTTATAGATTCCAGTTCCCTGGTGTACTTCTTGTCATCTGTTTTTGAGTATCTTAATCACAGTTACTTTAAAGTCTGTCGAATAACTCCAATATCTAAGTCACCTATGAGTTTATTTCTATTGTCTGTTTCTTGGTATGCATGGGTAAATTTTAACTGAATGTTGGACAGTCTATGGGAAAAATTATAGGTACCCTGTACCTTCCTCTAGAGAGGATTCCAGAATGTATTTGGACAGGCAGCAGAGGGGAAGATCACCTCAGTGCAGCCAGCGAGGACAAAGTAGATTGAAGGCTAGTTTGCAGTTTTTTCTGTAAGACTCCAGCTTCTAGTTTCACCCGTATTCCAGGAAAGTCACTTTCCAGGAGTGCCCTGATGTTTCTTCTTTTGCGCTTGGATCTGCTTTTGCCACTGAATGCTTCAAAAATTAGCCTCTTGCCCTAAACAGCTTAATCAGTCAATTCTTCGACTGAATAGTCAGCACTAAGCGTCAGGCTTCTCTCTCCCTTTTTTCTGGGATCTTGGGCCCACAAATCTGACTGTCTTGGCAGCCACACTCTTCTTTTGTCTCCACAGTTCTGTGAGATTGCCTGATGCTCCGCTGCTATCCTTACATGCGGTCTTCTCTTTGGCTTCCTCAGGAAACAGCAATGCCTGGAATTCTTGGCTGCCTTGACAGCTCTCTGATACTTTATAACAGAGGCATGTTTGTGTGGGGTGTGTGTGTGTGTTTAAAAATCTATTTTTCTCATTGTTAATAGAAGCTGAGGTTTGCTATAAGCTACTTACAGCTGGAGGCAGAAGTCTGTATGTATTTGTTAAACAGTCATGTTGGTTAAGATGCTTGATTGAGGGATTCTGCCTCTTAAGAGATCTAACAGTGAGGATTGCATGATCTTTCAAAAAAATCCTTAAAAAAGACAATGGTTTTTATTCGTCATTTATTTTGTTTTTAAAAAAGCCCCAAAGAAAGAGTATCCTCTGCCCCAAGTTAACTGCCTATGAATAATAGTTCACATTGCTTAGGATTTTGAACTTTCCAGAATGTTTTTACCTATAATATTCACCCCACAAATATATGTTGTATGACTTTTGTATCATTTTTAAAAGACATTTATATTTTTTTGAGATAGGGTCTTGCTCTGCTACCCAGGCGGGAGTTTGGTGGTGTGACCACGGCTCACTGCAGCCTCCATTTCCTGGGCTGAGTGGTCCTCCTGCCTTGGTCTCCCAAAGGCTAAGGCACCCTGCCGATATATACTTGTTCTATAGATGATGAAACCAAGAAACATACTAAGTAAATGGCTTAAAATCACAATCTAATTATAGGCAGGAATAACTAAAATCAGGCTTCCCAACTCCTAGCCCTTTCCAATACATTAAAGTGACCTCGATTCATCTGTGTATACATTATGGACCTGTAGTCACACTCCTAAGTTTAACTTTCCAATATTGCTTTATCTTAACTCTGTAACTTTCTATCAGGGATCTTTCCAGTGGCATGGGAAATGTGTATGTCCTCTGAGAGGCACACATACATGCACTTGGGCAGGTGCACAGATGGATCTATGTTCGGAGCCTGCCCATTCAGTCTGAATAAAAAGGAATCATGGTAGTTTGATTTCTGGGTGCAGAGCAATGCTACAGACATTCTAGTATGGTTGTTGGAGTCTAAAGACAGTGTTCCCATGCAGATAGGTGACATGAAAAATATGTAGCGTTCATTTCCTAGAATGTCATAGCCACGGAGTCTTAGAATAACTCTTGGCATCCAAGTTAAAAGCTGGATCACTTCCTCCAAATAGTCTTCACTCACTTCCGGGAGTGGGTTGTATTCACCTTTAGCTCTGTTCACGAGACACTCGTGGGATATTCCTAGCCTTCTGCCCCCTTAGTTACGGGCATTGCCGTCTCACTGCTGTATAACCAGAGGCGTGGGAGCTGCAGCTGTCAGAATCCTAATCCCTTCTGCCTGGACTCGTTACCAGTGGTAGCGAGTGTGTATAGTAGTAAACTGTGCTGCGATGCTAGCCTTTCAGTCACTACCAGAGGTCCCAGCAGCAAAAACAAAAATTGTGGATGATACATTTTAACCTTCTAGAAACTCAGCTAACTCCTTTAGGTATGTCCAGGCTTTCCATTTAAATATCAGCCTTAAGGCAGACATGTCTTTCTTTAATGGAAGAGATCTAAATTGGGAGCAAAACATGTGACCACTTTTGCTATCGTTTTAGCTGTGTAGCCTCAATGACATAATTTAACCTTGGTTTTCCTGATTTGCAAACTGTAGGGAAAATAATGTCTTCTAACTTGCTGAAGTATGCTGTAAAAGAAAATGTGGTGGCTGTAAAATGTGCTTTGGGATTCTCGGAAGAAAGGAGTGCTATATTAATTCATGGTACTGCAATTGTTATTTTACCCCAGATTGAGAAGTAAAATATCAAATCGTTATTTTCTAAAGTTTGAATAACTGTTAAATTTATTCAGATAATCTGCTCTATTCAAGAGGCATAAATAGTTTCTTCAGTTTTAAATATATCGGCTGTGATGGTATGGACTCCTTAAGGTAGACGCTGCTCAAAAGATTATCTGGCAATGAGGCTGTTTGACATTGCATAGGTGCTAATGATGCATTGATGGTAACAAGTGAACTTTCAATGTTTTAATCGCCTCTTAAATTTTAGGATTGCAGTCTTACTAGTCAATATGAAGATGATGCCTTTCTTTGTTACAACTGAGGTAGTCTCTGGTGAAGAATATGTTTTCTTTCTGTAGTAGCTTTTTAAAATTTCTGACTCAGAAGCTTTTGTTCTGATTTTAATTTGTTCTAGATAGTGTTTAGATGGTCTTTCTTAAGTCACGCTTCGTTAATATATGATATTTTAATATAATTTTGTCTGCTGTATTTGAAGTTAAGCTTTATTAAGAAACTATAAAAGCACTCCATACATATTTTGAATTATTACCATTTGATATTTTAATGTATTATCTATCTAGTTTTCAAGAAATAATGAAGAAAACATCAATATATCACCTACCATCATTTCATTACTTGATGGATTCAGAAGCTCAAGAAGGTAAGTCATTTTATGTTTATGTAGCTTACCAATTCTAAGAAGACAAATAACTAATAGAATATAAAGTGTCACCTTTGTAGTATTCATTAATGTCTTAAATGGAGCTGACACTTTTATCAATGGCATATTATGTCTTGGTTTATATTTGTGAGCCTGCAAACATCTTGAATCATGTTTAAGTCTATTACTATACCATGATCTTGATGATATGTTAAAGATACTTTTGACAGATTAAATTAAATATATAGACTTACTAAGCATGTACAGGGTTTTTGATCTTCAAATAAGGAATACATTTTTTTCTCAAGTGCTGTACACTAAATGTATGATGTGATTTCTAAGCAAATTTTATTTCAGATAAGAAGCTTGCAAGAAAGATAAAAATAGTTTTATGTGAAAACTATAAGTTTTTACTGGTGGTTGGATGAAAGGTGAATTTAGGCTATACAGACATCTGTAGCCTGAGTTTATGGTTCCTCTAACTATTTATTAGAGGCAAATACATAATGTAATTTGACCTCTGGATGTAAAGAGATTAAGTTTGAATTCTACTATCAGTGTGGTTATTTGAAATTGAACCATCATTTTTATATAGTCTTAAGTATCAAGCGTGACTTTGCATGGGTTATGTAATATAACTGTCCCCATTGTCTTGAGATCAAAAGTACAGACATACACTCTTGACAGACTAGAAAAATTACCATATTTTTGTAGAGCAGTTGTAATACAAATCTAAATATCTTGATTTCTTTTGTTCTCTCCTTATCTGCACACACTGTAGATGTTTTCTGAACACTATAGTTCTGGTTTTTCTGTTTTTGGCCATTCCAGGTGGCTTCTACCTAGGAGAACACATCTTTAGGCCAAGAAAGCTGGGTGTATGCCCAGTGTTGGCAGCCTACCTGGCTTAAACACAAATAGTTTTACCAAGCGATTCTTGCAAACCTAACCATTTAAGTCGATCACTTAGAGAACCCAGCCATTTAGATGATTTGAATGAAGACGCAATTTCTGTATGGTTTATGAATAAAATTATATCATTATCATTACCATTAGTAACAATTCTTGGTTTCAACTGTGTAGAAGATAATTTGGCAAATTACAAAGGAAGTGGAAGAAGTTCAAGGTAAGGTTGAGACGGAACTAGCATTACAATGTTTTACAACACAAACAAACACACTCTGTAATCATCTATATAGCCAAATGAAGCTTTAAAAATGTGTTCACACACACAGAGCTAAGGGAATTAAGGATGTGCCCTTGGAGCAGATCAGGTGGCATTTAGTTGGAAAGCCATCACCAAGTAGAGGAACACTCAGTTCTCAAGTACTGAAGGATACTGACTTTTCCTGCCCTCTTTTATACTTAGAATCCTGTGCTTGGAAAGGATGGAGCAAACCCATAGCTCAGTGCTCATATTTCAACACTGGCATGAAGATCCAAGAACTATAGGATGTCACTTATTTATACACAGATTAAAATTAGGGCTATGGTGGGTGCTAAAAAATTCTTCTGTATGTGTTTCTAAGGCTATATTGTAATCTAAGGTGTCTAAAACCTTACCCACATTAACTATTCTAAATATCCTATGTTGCCTGCCTCATGCCAGCAGCCTCTCTCCAGCTGTTAGTACACGTAGCAATCTGTTATAGAATAGTAGGGTCACCGGAGGACCTGCAGCCTTGGGGCAGATTCATCCTTGCCCAAGGCTCAGTGATTCTGGCTCTCAATGACCCTCGAGTCTGTCACGTCAGCTGCTTACTTGACATCCTACTTACTACCTCTTGTCAGTTTAGGGCCTTCAAGACATAGATGCCAAAATGGGGCTAAGCATGTAAGGGATTTACTGGGGGAAATGTTTGTGGAGGATAAGGAAGAAAACAGAAGTAGGCTAGGGGAGCCTTCAGAGCCCAACATGGGTCCAGTGCCCGTGAGAGGAGACAGAAGACAGATTGGATGGGAAGAGTCTCCAATTGCAACACAATTCTGAGACAGTCTCAGGTGGGCTGATGAAAATCCCTGAGCAGGAGTTGCCCACTAGAGGAGTGTCCTATATGGAACAGGAACTGGCTGGCTTGAGTAGGCAGCCTCAGGAGGAACATGGTCTCCCAGGAGCCACAGGTGCAGCAATGGGCAGTGTTGGGCAACTCTGCTCCTTGTGGCAGGTTCTCTTAATCTGAGTGGCACACCAGGGTAATATGTATTTAAAATAATTTTCCTTTACAGGTTTGCCCTTCCACCTATATTTTCGATCTCACTCAATGGCAACATCACTCCCCAGGCTACCCAGAAACCTGGAATCATCCTGATTTTCTCCCTTTCCTTCACACCCTTCATCATTACATCTCATTGATTTTACATTCCTGATATGTTTCCCTACGCCTTGTTCCATTTCCACCATCACTTACCTTGATTCTTCATTATCTCTGCTCCTGACTGCTGTTAACCACCTTCTAATTGGCTGTCTCGCTCTGGGCCAACTCCCTTTCTTTACCCTCTCTAGTTCTTTTCCCACACTGTAACCTGCACTGCATGATCTTTTAAAAATCCAAATCTTGTCACATTTGTCTTCTGCTTGAAATTCTTCAGTGCCTCATTATTTCTTACAGGATAAAATCAAGGCTTCTTAGTATGGTGTAATGTGTTTTACCTTGTGCTACTATCCTCATTTATCCTATATTCTGGTTCTCAGGGTTTCCAAAATTGGTCAGGAGACTTTTTGCCAGTGGGCTTTTGCACATGTCATTTCCTGTATATGGCAGGTCTTCCCTTCTCCTATTTGACAAACTCATAATTAGGAAGGCTCAGATAATTCTTTCCTGAGCTCTCTGAGAGGTGGAACTTTCCATTTTTGCATTGCCTACTGAAGTCTCTGTTATAGCACTTTTACTGAACCTCTCTTATATAGCACTTGGTCTGCCTTCTAATTCATAGTGCCCAGGTACTTAATAAGTGAGTGAATGAATGAATGAATGAATTAGCTATAACATAACCGTATTGGCTGACTTAAATTTGCTCATGAGTGATGATCTTGTATTTCTGATCATAAGTCAGTTGACTCCCTTCAGGACCTAATATAATGTTCTCCTCAAGGCATCACATTAAAAATTTTCAGGAGCATCTTCATAAATCTTTGCAGAATTGGATTAATGGGTAATATGGTTTTTATAAACAGTATTGCATTAATATATATGGAAATTTATGTAATTCTACCACTGTTTTAAGAAACCTATCAAACTACAGTCTGAGGCAATATATTTAATATACTAGTTGGAGTACTATAGCACATATAATTACTAAAGTGAGAATAATTTATTAACACATTTTAAACATTTTACAAGTAACATGAATAATTATCTTCCAGATAAGACTAATAAATTTTCTACATGTTGAATAAAAATAACTCTTGAATATACCAGTCTACTTCAGATGTCTTCAAAACTCAGATTTGAACGTCAAGTTTGAATGTCAATTGTCCACCCCTAGGGGAGGCATACCACCACTTTGAAAGCACACACGTTCATACTTGGCTCCTTGACCCAAGGCCTTCATTTAGACTCTTGTCATTTTTCATCTAGACTGTTCCAATAATCTTCTAATTAGCTTGTAAGGTCACCAGTTCTTCAGCTCCTGCTGTCAGATGTAGTTCTTAAATATCAAATCTGATCATGTCAATTCCTGTTCTAATAATCTTTATTAGCTCCTCCTCACCTTATAGAACAAAGGTCAATGTTGCACATAAATTTAATCCCAACCTACTTCTTCAGGCTTATTTTCTATAGTTCCCCTCCATGCACCTTGTGTAATATTCATTATAATCCCTAAAGACACAATCCAAAATGCCATGATCCTGAATGTTGAAATCCCCAAAGAACAAATGCCCTTACAGCTAATTGAATTCCCAAACCATAATGATAGATTTGGAATTAGGTGCCATCAAAACTTCTAAAGGTGGATTTCAAGGTGTTAGCAACAGTTTCTTTTTCCATTCAGCCCAATACATTTGCCGGAAAATTCAGATGAATGGATTGCCTGTAGAATATAGTAACATGGAAAACTTCAGTTTATAACGCATTATTTGTCTGCATTGGCATTCCTTCTAGCTGATGAAATTCTAGGAGGTCTTAATGAGTTAAAGCTGAATTTGCCTGATGAAGCCAGCAAAGTTACTGACTCTAAAATAACTATGTGCATGGTAGGATAAGAAAGCACACAATGATGTTGCTGTTCGATCACCAGTATTGTTTCAGCCAAATCTGTGGTCTGTATATGAGTGCATGAGCAAAGGATTTCCATGTACCCAAAACAACACAGAAGCATGACACAGAGATAGGAAATTTAATAGAAAATGCTCATGTCAGTGTGTATTGAATAAAACTAGAATTTCAAAAAGAGCAGCATCATGTAGAAAATCAATGTGAATGTATTCTTCAAGAAGAGCCATGTCCTAAAAGAAAAGAAACAGTTACTCATCTCCACGCAAGACTTCAGAATACAGTTAATGATTGTGGAAGTCGGCCAGCTCTTATGGGCTACCTCCGTGCAGTTGCCCATAATTTATCCCTGTAATGCGCTTTTTCATATGTTGAATTTTCTTTTTAGTTTCTTTGGGAAGGTTTTGTTTTTCTTTTTCCTTTTTTAAAGTTTTTTTCCTCACCATTTTAAATCATCAGCATTATTTTTTACAACTCACTATGGTATGCTACGTGTTTCATCTTTACATTTCCAAAACTAGAGGCATAAATTGTATGAGCTTTTAGAGAGTTCTAATTTGTTTTATGCACTTTTTGTTTTTTGCAAAATTGACTCCATGGAAGTGCATTTTAATAACACTGACCTTGTGTGTAAGCATTGTGCATATATATGTAAAAACCTTAAAACTTCCTCAATAAATAAAGGGATATCCTTTTTCTGCATCTGCATTTGTGAAAGATAACATTTTTCAATATCTCAGCTCTTTAGGCAACTGTATATGACTGTATATGTGGTGGTGACCCATTGTTGGTATTTAATTTTAATTTTTTTAGCAAGGGGCGTCTCACTATGTTGCCCAGGCTGGGCTCTAACGATCCTTCCACCTCAGCTTCCTGAGTAGCGGGGACTACAGGCGTGAGCCACTGCATTCAGCTCCACTGTAGGTTTGGATCTGTTTCATCAGAAGACTTAGGTTGTTCATCAGGATATTTCAAGTGACCAAACTATATAAGTGATTTCTTTATGAATACAATTTCTCTGCTCATAACTGTTATGCCTGTGTAACTGTGGGTAGCACACCTGAGTGCTTATCATTGCAAAATTATGTATATACAATTTTATTGTATAAAGTAGCCCACAAAGTGTTCTGTTGTGTTTTTATGTTTCTAAACTCTTTTAAAAATGTAAATATGTTTTAAAGAACTTTTAGAATTATTTTTATCAGAATTATGTATTTGGGGTTTTGATCTTTCAGGATTCAACACTGGGGATTATGGCATCAGAAACTATCTTTTGGGATTCTGGCCCAAACCTCTAGCCTTGTACCCTCGCTCCATAGATCTTCTAACAGCTCCTGGGCTTAAATATCTCCTCTTTTATGATGCTTCTCCTGATTCAACCAACCAGTGGTGCTTCCCATAGCATTTTAGAAAGACCTGTTTTATAGCATTTATCAAGGTATTGACATTTGTTCAGTTGTCTGCCCCTTCCGTGATCTCAGTAGCAAACTTGTAGTACAACTAATTTAGGTTCTTTATTTTTCCACTTGCATCCTGAGCAACCTCAATAAAAGGTGCATTTTCTTTCTTTTGTAAACACAAAGTGTAGCATTGTTTGGTCTACTTGATTAGAGTTACAACCTCTGTACATTCTTGAAACTAAGAAGACCAGCAGACAGAGAATATCTGTAGAATCTTCTCAGGAATTGGTTTCAACATAAGGGTCCAAGACCTTGGCATTGCTGAGGTTTTCAGAATTCTATCTTTTAAGTTAAGCCTGTGACTATTTACTAATCTGAAAATATCTTTAACTTCTTTTTTTTAATCTGTAGGCATTTCTAAGAAGCACATGACATTCAGCTTTGAATAGAAGATTCATTTGAATGACAGTTTCTTTCATTTAGTAGAGGGGATTTTACTTTAAATTTTGCTGACAGGTTTTCGTGACAGCCCTCAAATGGAAGCTTGAATTCACTTGTCACAGCTGTTAAAGAGTTGTTGTTGTTGTTGTTTTTTGTTTTTGTTTTTTTTTTGTTTTTTTGGGTGGGGGATGCACTTCTGTTATCTGATCCTTCCACTTATTATTGCTATTATTGACCTTAAAAGTATAGAAGAGAAGAATATAGACAAAGCCTCTATTTTTGAAGGCTTGTTGTAATCCAGCATTGAAGTCAATTCACTGTTGAATTTTCCTCTTAAAATCGTCATCATAATGTGGCAGAATCTTGCTACTTTTCACTTTATACTTGAAATCCCTTTAATTCTGAGGAGAACAAGAGCACCTGGTAGATTTTATTTACTATCAGCAAAGAATGAATAGCAGGAAAATGGTGTTAAGACTTTTTTTGTATCAAAAGCATTAAAATAGATAAGCCCAAGATAGCAACGTAATTGTAATACTCTGTCTTGACAATGTTTTATTTACAATCTATTTTAATATTTGTGTTTTAATATTAAATTCACCAATAAAATAATGTTCTAAAACTATAGTAGATAGCTTTTATCTGAAGGTACAGTTATCAGAAGTTTGCTGCTTTTCATATAGGGAAGCCGATGTACAGAATCTTGTGTAATATTATCTGGTTTTTGTTATTTGTCCTGGGGGCTAAGTGCTAGATAATGAGGAAAGAATATATGTGGAAAAATTATTCTTCAGAAATGTATATTAAAATTCCATTGTATGGCAATGCTATTAATTTTTGTAGGAATTGCTCTTCAAATCTTAAAAACCAGACTATCTACTAATTCACCAATCTTCTCAATATTCGACTCATATTCAACAACTAAATAAGCATGCAGTTTAAGGGGCATGTTCTTTGTAAATTATTTGGAGCATAGATTTTTTCCTTTTTGTTACAACAAGGCTGCTGTAGGCATGCCTTTATAATAGGGCAGCTCTTTCCATTAGATTCTTGTTTAGAGATTCTTATTATCAACCTTGAAATGGGTGGTGTTATTGTTGGAGCTTAATATTAAACATGTCTTGATTTACATAAATAATTACCATTAAAACTATCACCTCAAGGCCAGGCGCAGTGGCTCACATCTGTAATCCCAGCACTTTGGGAGGCTGAGGTGGGTGAATCAGTTGAGCTCAGGAGTTGGAGATCAGCCTGGGCAACATGGTGAAACCCCGTCTTTACTAAAAAAATACAAAAATTAGCCAGGCGTGGTGGCGCATGGCTGTAGACTCAGCCACTCAGGAGGCTGAGGCACGAGAATCGCTTGAACCCAGGAGGCGGAGGTTGCAGTGAGCCCGGATTGTGCCACTGCACTTCAGCCTGGGTGACAGAGCCAGACTCTGTCAAAACAAAACAAAACAAACAAAAAAAACAAAACCCTCAAAAAACAAAACAACAAAAAAACAAACTATTACCTCAAAATCTTTAAATAGAAGTTCACACTGGA
Organism: Homo sapiens; assembly: GCF_000001405.40. NCBI lineage: Eukaryota > Metazoa > Chordata > Mammalia > Primates > Hominidae > Homo > Homo sapiens. The sequence goes on from NC_000013.11 coordinate 102,888,769, forward strand.
AAACAGCAACCAATGTTTTAAGATGGAAATAATTGTCTGTTTATGTGTATATGTTTGCTTTTAAAATTTTACACTTTTAGACAAATTATTATTTTTTTCCGTGTCATAAAGAAATTTCATTTTAATCCTCATTCCTCTAAAATAATTTTTATGGTTTTATCAGCATGATACTTACAAAGAGCATATCCCCCTTTAGACAAATTATTTTAGGCAGCCAAGTTTAGTTTATTTGGGTTTCATGCTATAAATTATGCTAATTTATGAAGGTTATTTCTTGTTGGATGCTTGTAGTATTCATATAATATTTAAATGCAAAAGAGAATATTAATATAAAGCATTATCAATTAAATTTTATTCAACCTGATAATGTTTTCTGTGATACATGATCATCGTAGGTGTATAACTAATTTTGCATTACCATTTATGAGTGATATAGTTGTGTTCTTTTTAAAGTGTGTATGCAATTAGTAGTGGTTATATTCATTTCGTGAAATCTCTTTGAAGGTCCTTTGTTTTAGGAGTGTAAGTAATTTTCATTATAATATATTCATAAATTTTTAAATCTCATTTCCATATGAAGGTAAAGATGGGGTCATTCTTAGAATGAAATAACTCTATTCAGAAGGACGCAGTCAAAAGCTAGGAATTCATTTGTTATCCCTCTGTAGTTGTTAGGACAGGAGCACTAATCTGGCCAACTAACCTTTAAAAGAACATGCAAAGTCAAAGATGTCAGGTTGTACCAGTAAATATTCACCGGCAAACTTTTTATATCAAAGACTGGAACTTTCGAAGATGCTCCTGGGACTTAGTGTACTCTAACATCTATTAATCCCTGGTACCTTAGGTGACTTGTCATAGAAGTGCTACATTTACAAGTAGTATGCAAGGAGGCCCAAGAGGACAAATTCAGTTAAAGGTCAAGGAAGCAATTAACGTTCTCTACTTTTCCCTAAAGAACTTCCACAGCAAATGTTGCCCTCCCCCTGCATCCCCAATCTTACCAAGGCAAGTGCATATAGTGAAATGGAAGTTAAAGTTCAAATAAAACATGTTTCCAATATTATTTGGTTCTTAGAGCTCTTCCTGAATGTGAATGCACACTGTTGTTTAAGGTGAAGTACAGTGAAAAATATTAGAAGAGATGGCTCTCGCTGAAAAATACCAAATTTCTGTTTCTTTGTTTCCCCTGCATCTCTGTCAAGGGTCAACGTTTGCAGTAGTGGTAGAGGTGGGTGGTAGGCTGGGCCCTTCCTGTGGATGTGGTTAAATTGGAGTTCTTTTGAGGAGTACATGATTCTGTTTGTATTCTAAGCAGGACACACACACACACACAGACACACACACACATGCATGCACCCCAACCTTCTATTTTCTAGTCCTTCAAATTTTGAAAACTCTTGTGTTCACTCAGGTCTTTTCTTCTTTTTGTTGAACATGTTGAACTCCCCAAAACTGTCCTTATAAGGCCGAGTTTCAAGATTTCTCACCTCCCAGTTGCTACAGTTTCTCAGTGTCCCTCTAAAGTGGGCCTTCCCTAACTGGATGTACAAGTATAATCTGACTGGTGTAAAAGAAAGCCTCTACCTCCATGATTTTGGAAATTATATTTTTAATGTGGGCTAGGTGCACCGATTTTTTGATGATCATATTAAACTTTTGACTCATATTGAGCTTGTGGCCAAGTAAATGTATCTGTCTGTCCCCATCCCCTACACAGTGCTGCTAAACTCAGGCTGAATACAGACTTTAGACTTATCTTTATTAAATTTCACATTGTTAAGACCAATCCATTTTTACAACTGAAGACATTTTCCTTCACATTTAGTTTTCTGTTATACTTGTTGTCCCCATCCCATTTATATATTCTGAAAATTTTATAATACTTGTAATGTCATCAGTTAGTCGAACCATTGACAAAACTGTTCATCAAGGCAAAGCTGAGAACACACCATTTATTAGAAATGTCTATCCAGGTGGGCACCAAAGCCAAGAGCCTTGGGAGTACTGTGGAAAAGCACTTTCTTCCAATCCAACAATTCTTTATAGGTATGCCCTGAGATACCACATGTTTGTGTCTATGGATTTCCAATTTTTCCAAGGGCAGGGACCATGTCTATTTGGCTAGCTACTATACTCCATCACCCAGCACTGTGCCTGGGACACAGAACAGCTAGAATTGCGCTAGGACACCAATATGAAGAGGTGGGTTCTTATATTCCATCACCAATCTCTCTCTTATTCTATATGAACTGATTGGTGGCTCTTAAAATATATTGCTTTAAAAAAGTACATCAATTATTATTTGTTGTGTGTAGCATTGCAGAAGGGGATAATGGTGATTTGAACTCCCATGAAAATAAGAAAGATGTTGCCACCCTGATGAATGGAAATATTAGCTTACATTGAGAGTCATTTTCAAATAGTTTACCTTATTATTTCTCACCTAAAGTCACTGAATATTCAAAAGCTCCTTAGACTAAGCAGAAATGCTGTATTTCCATCAAGTTCTTTTCTCTTTTCATGGATTTACTTATACAACCATTACCTTTTTCTTTTCCTTTCAGACACCAGAGAAGCCTATGATGACAAGCAGGTGGTCACAGAGATCATGGCAAGATGTTTTATTCCAACTCTGATAACAACTACTTCCTGGGAAAGTTTTCATTTTATTGGTCATGAGATTCGAATTACTGAGGCCATGGATTGTTATGGTGCTGTTGTTTGGCCATCGGTATAATTTCATACAGAATTTGTTACATTCCAATTATTTTTCCAGCCGGTTTTATTCATTATTATGTTCTATTTGGAAGAAGAAAACAGGTTCCATATTCCTTCTTTGTGACCTCAAATAGTACTATGTTTTAGAAATCATGTGACTAGGAAATTATTTCTCCCAATTAATTCTGTAATTCTATTTCTTTTCTTTTCTTTTTTTTTGAGACAGAGTCTTGCTCTGTCACCCGGGCTGGAGTGCTGTGGCTTGATCTCAGCTCACTGCAACCTCTGCCTCCTGGGTTTAAATGATTCCCCTGCTGCAGCCTCCTGAGTAGCTGGGACTACAGGCATGCAACACCACACCAAGCTAATTTTTGTAATTTTGGTGGGAATGGGGTTTCAACCACGTTGGCCAGGCTGGTTTTGAACTCCTTGCCTCAAGTAATCCATCCACCTCCACCTCCCAAGGTGCTGGGATTACAGGCATAAGCTACCACGCTGGGCCTCAATTAATTCTATTTCTGACTTTATTGAAATTTGTAGGATTAATACAGGGTGTTGTTTACTTCTTCAGTTTTTAAAATAAGAGTTTAGAGCAGTAAACATTTTTATTTCCCCTTTTATCAGCTCCATTTGAGTTAAACAATTACATTGAAATCTATATGAGTCTCACATGTAGAATGTCCTCAAAGACCCTCAATCCTTTACCAACTGTCCCATGAAGAGTAATGGACCCACCACCCCACCTGCCCCAATCCCACACACCACTTGGAAATGACTAGTATTATCAGAAGTTGCTTCCTTTAAAAATGATCAAACCTAAGCAATTGAACTCCACATTTTTAGTTATTTCTCTTTTCCTCTCAATAATCCCCAAGGAATTTTTCTAGCAGAAATGTTGAACCTCTCAGAGGATGCACTTTTGTTCATATTTTTTGGAGTGATGTACAAGTACACACATGAGTACTCTCATGTACTCATATGAGCACGCATACATAGCATAACATTAGCAGCATATTTGTCCAATAAAGTTTAATTTTACTTTCTGTTATTACTTGCCAAGCGTCCCTTTTTTTTTTTTTTCTAACTTTCATAGGCCCTTGTTCTATGCTATTTCCTGGAAACAAATGCAAAGCAGTATAATATGGTTGACAAAAACGTGATTGAAATTGGAGCTGGAACAGGGCTAGTCTCCATTGTGGCAAGTTTACTTGGTAAGCAGATATTTTTGATTGAATAGAGGGAGTGTCAGAGAATTTAATGATCAAATATCATTAGTTGTTTTACTATCCAGTGTACTATGACCTGTGCCTATCTGTGACTCCTTAACTGTTTGAATGGGCTTCATCTAGAAACTACAGATTTTAAAGTCTCCTTACCAGTCTCTTTTATAGTTTTCTGCATTAAGTTGTGTTAATTCCGGTCTCTTTCATAGTTTTCTGCATTAAGTTGTGTTAATTCTTCTTGTGGAATACTGTCACAAGCCTCAGATGAAATGTTCTAAATAAGAGTTGCATGGAAGCATTCTGGTTGCAAGAGAAGAAATGTGAAATACCAGGCAGAGGCAGATTCTATTGCTGCTGATTCAGATGCACTTTAGATTTTAGCGCCATTTCAGTGTTCCCATGTAGCTGTAGATTCCTTTTGAGTTTTGAAGTGCTATGCTTTTATGAAAAAGCACGTATCAGAATAGGGAGATAATATTAGAAATCACACAAAAATCACACGTCTGCTTCTATTTTTAGGTGTTTGTCCTTGAATTTGTTTTCTCAGTTCATTCAATTCTTTTTTTTTTTTTTTTCTCTGTCGCCCAGGCTGGAGTGCAGTGGCGCGATCTCCGCTCACTGAAACCTCCGCCTCCTGGGTTCAAGTGGTTCTCCTGCCTCAGCCTCCCCGAGTAGCTGGGACTACAGATGCCCACCACCATGCCCAGCTAATTTTTTGTATTTTTAGTAGAGACAGGGTTTCGCCATGTTGGCCAGGCTGGTTTCGAACCCCTGAGCACAGGTGATCCGCCCGCCTGGGCCTCCCAAAGTGCTGGGATTACAGGCATGAGCCACTGCGCCTGGCCTATCTCCATTCTTTTTTATTGTGACCCTGAGTTCTCTCACCAGCATCTTTTCCAACTGAGCATGTGATAGTTTTTAACATTAAAAGAGCCTGTTTCAGTTCAGTCTTTTTGTTATTGTTATCTATCTCATTGCCTTAGTTTAGCTCTTTCTCTGATGTGTGCTACCCAGATCCATCCTGATTTCCTTGATCTTCAGAAATGTACACCTGCCACTTTGAGAGGAATTGAACATTTAGAAATTTACAACTTTCAAATACTAGAGATTTATAAGACTCTTGGAGTCTTCCCAAATAATATTTTTTAAAAGTTGCTGTGTCCTGATATTGTTTTCCAAAGTCACTATTCCATTTATTAAGGGTAAGTCAGAGTCACTATTCAATTTATACCTGAAAGCCTGACTTAGGAGCAGAATTTGTGCTTTGGGGAGTCATTTGTTTTATTAAAAAGAATTGGTCCCTTGAGTCCGCTTGCCTAACTTGAAACAAATATTAAAAGATAGAAACTTTGTTTAGTCAGTATTCTGAAAGTGGTAGTGTTTATCTCTCTAGGCACAAAGATATTAAGTATAAGGGAGAGTTTGCATTCAATATGGGCAAAGGTGTATTCCTTACTCTGAGATTTAAGAAAGATTTGTTGAAAATGATCGACCCACCCATAGTAGAATGTAAAGGCTTATATCTCTGTGAGTGTACCAATGATAGGCATATTCCCCTCCCATTTTAATATTTTCACAAAATACAGTTGATGCCAAGAGACTTGTGATATTGCAGCTGAGGAGTAGCTTCTGATTTGGTCTGAGCTGAGCTAGACTTCTCTTCCATTTCTGCTTTCTTGTTCTTCACCTGGTCTGTGCTTTTCTGATGCTGTAGAATTGGACAATCTTAGATTTATTTGCAGATTATTTTTAGCCTTTGCTTTACTGCTCAAAGTTTACTTTAGTGACCAAATTTCTACAAATTTGCTCCTGCCATATTTCTTCCTCAAAAACCCATCACTATTCACTTCTATCTTGGAAATTGTTTACATCTTCATCTATGAGTGGTAGCTTTATGAGCACTATACACACGTTGTGACTAGGTTTTTAGCATGTTTTGGTGGGAAGATTTATACTTGTGATGGGCCAAGTTGAAAACCTGGGCATAGCATGGATATCATAATACTTTTCAGTGAATGCCATTGAAAGGTCTTCTTGTCTTCTTTCTTCCCTCCACTTCTCACATGAGCACTTCTGTTCAACTATAGGATGTCTGATGTTACATACACTCATTTGGTCTCACATGACCGAGGCTCAGAATTCTTTTAGGGAGGTACCTATTCTTCCATCAATGACTTCTCATTGGTCCAATGAGGGTGCCAAATATTTTGACTTTCTCTTTCTCGTGCTTATTTTTCTCCTGGTATGTAGCAGATAAATAGCAAACAAAAACAATAGTAACAGCAAAACATACCAGAACAAAAACCAGGAGAACATAAAAAATGCAATGGTGCGCAAAAGTACCATGGGTCTCTCTCTCTCTCTTTTTTTTTTCTTTAAGCAGAGGCATATAGCTGCTTTGCATCCATTTGAATGGGATTCCCTTTCTGTGTAGAGGTACTGATGAGTCTTTTTTTAGGGGGGGATGAAGAATTGTGCAGAACTGCAAAGTGCATCCTGGCTTGAAACTTTTGATTGTTCTACCTTATCTCATGAGGGTTACTTTCTCTACTGTCCTTTGCTTCACAGGTGCTCACGTGACGGCCACAGATTTACCCGAATTACTTGGAAACCTGCAATATAATATTTCCCGAAACACCAAAATGAAAAGCAAGCATTTGCCTCAGGTTAAAGAACTCTCCTGGGGAGTAGCTTTAGATACAAACTTCCCCAGGTCTTCTAATAATTTTGACTATATTTTGGCAGCGGATGTGGTCTACGCTCATCCTTTCTTGGAAGAGCTCCTCATTACCTTTGACCATCTGTGCAAAGAAACCACCATCATCCTGTGGGCCATGAAATTCAGGTTGGAGAAGGAAAATAAATTTGTAGATAGATTTAAGGAGTTGTTTGACCTGGAGGAAATTTCCAGTTTCCCTAGCCTGAATATTAAGTTGTATAAAGCTGTGAAGAAAAACCGGAGGAGCGTATGACATCCTCGATGAGGATGTGGAAATGCTAAGGCAATTTTTAGCAAATAATCACTTTAAAGAAAACCCTGAATAACTTTATGTGCCACTGAGTTTCCCAAGGGGAAATACACACACAGATGCGCGCGCACACACACACACACACACACACACACACACACACACACACAAAACCCCCTACTACAAGAATAGAAGATAGTTTCCCAAATTTGCCTCACCCCAGGCAGTAATTTTTCCAGATACTGCATGTGAGTCTAGGATTGGGGTAACTTGTTCCTAGTTTGTCTCTATCAGCACCCAGGCCCTGGGCCTGCCTTCTACTCATGCGGTAATAGAAGCTCTTGGCAAAGTCACACTGCACTGTTGTTGTCTGTTCTCCTTTTTCCTTATATCATCATTTATTATTATTTTAATAATGGTGCAATTATTATTTTTAATGTATAATCACAAAATGATAGTTTTTAATAATATCTCTTCAGTGAAACTTGTTATTCTTTTAAACATAAGTGTAGATGATTCTCTCTTTAGAAATAATGAAATTGACTACAGTGGGATCTGCAAATAAATCTGAACAGACAGATACATAATGTAATGGTAAATTTCCGACTTGTGTGGTTTTCATTAGTGCCAGCTTATAGGTGGTCTGTCATCTCTGCCTGGCAGAGTAGACCTCTGATGTAACCTCCGATGAAATCAGTCAAGCTTGTGGATTTGAGGTCATGGATGAGGACATTTTATTCTGCTAAATGAAAAGTGAATGAATGCAAGCAAAAATTGTTGAGACATTGGAGAAGTTATTGTTTTGTTTTAAGCCAACTATCATTATTTTGTATCACAAAAACAGAAATAAATACAAATGCTTTGGGTTAAAAATACATATGAAAAGATATAGGCCTCTAATCTCAGATAATCAGACATATAGCTGGTTTTAAAGTTTAAAGCTCTTCTGATGAACATATATACATCTAGATACTTGAAATATTATGCGACTTTTTCACATATGCTTTCCTTAGAGACTAGAATAAAGTCTGTAGTAATTCAAGTCAGTGCAAAAAGAGCAAAGAATTAGGATTTTGTACTATGTAACTGCCTAGACGACACTGGTTGGCAATTACTCTGCTGTGTCCCCAGTAACATTTTTTAGGCTGTTGCTGTGCCCTCGGGGTGATACTTTCCTTCCTAGAATTAGTCCTTTCTGCTTTGCTGAAAGTTTTCTGTCTACTCCAGGTTGAGTATAGATGAAAAGAATATTTTCTAGGACTCTGATCAGTAAGTCAGGATACAAATATACTCCAGTGTATTTTATTTTATTTTTTTAGTACATGTGGTTCATGGGACCATCTCTCAGTAATTCCCAATATTTACATGGATCTTTGTCATTTTCACAGTCTGTTACTTACATAAAGTCATTTAATCCTCACAACCATTCTAAGAGGTAGAAGCTATGCTATCCCTGCTTCACGGATAAAGAAACTGAGGCTGAGATGTCCCCTGGCTACACATCTGCAGAGTGGCAGTGCTAGGACATTCAAGTCCAGGTCTGTATGAGCCCAAAGCTGTATTAACCACTGCACTGTCTTTATGTATTTAAAACAAGAATTTTCAAGCTTTTAAAAACAGGTGAAGTCATTTCTTCAAAATCTAATAAATATCCAGAAAGATAAGCAAATACATTAAAAAAATGAGAACTGTTCCATTTTAAAACTTTTATTTCCTATATGAGTAGGTCAGGGTAGGCTTGTTTCGAAGGCAATATTTAGGTGAAGCTGACAGGAGGTAGCAGTGTAGGTGTCTGGGGAAGGGTGTTGCAGGCAGAAGGAACAACCACACAGGGATCTGGAGGCAGGAGCCAGCCAATCCTCTGGAAATATCAAAGGCCAGTGTGCTTGGCACAGAGTGAGCAGGAGAGGCTGGCGCAGAGTGAGCAGGAATTCAGAGAGGCTACAGGGAGCTAGATCACGTAGGACTGTGTTGCAGGCTGGGTTCTCTAGAAACAGACTCTGAGAGGGAATTGGGTGAGCAGGTCATTTTTTAGGGAGTGCTGTTGAAATGAAGACCTATGGAAGGGAGTGGAAGGAAGTAGGACAGAAACAGGTCGAGCTGCAATGCAGGCCCGGTAACAGTTTGAGGTGACCCCCACATGGAGCACTGTCCTGAGAGTGGCCTCTGGAGTTGTCCTGACTGGGGAGATACGTCTGGGCCTTTATGACCCCATGTGGCCCAGTCATTGGATATGGGCTGCCCTGGGAAGACTCTGTGACCTTGGATGAGGTGACTTCAGCTGAGGCAGTCCTGAACATGTTGACAGCTGTGGGCTGCCTGCCACCAGCTCCAGCAGCTGGGGTTAGGTCACCCTCAAGAGGATCTGGGTGGCTTATCATAGGGTCCAGCATGATCTTTAGGCCCCAGAAAGAGCTCTGGCTGTTCTTCTGGTGGAATGGAGAATCTCTGAATGGTTTTGTGAGTAGAGGAGTGAAATAAACTTTCCTCATGTAAGGACCACTGTGCCTGGCATTTTGAGACTAGAATGGGGAGAGATGAGACCAGGGAGAGGCTGCTGCAATCTGATGTGGCAGCCTGCATTGGAGTGACAAGAAGTGGTCAGTTCTAGACGTGTTTGGCTGCCAGAGCCAACAGACCTTCCCACCATGTAGAGTGTAGAGTGTGTGGGAGAAAGAGTCAGGGCTGAGCCACTGTGCATACATTTAGAGTCAACAGCTTAGAGATAGTTTGTGAAGCTCCCTCAGGGAACAAAAAGACTAGACAGAGAGTAAAACAAGGACTAGGCCCCGAGTCCTTAAGAGATCACATATGGGTGTGTATACTGAGATGATTTTGAAGGTTCTGCACACTCTCCCCCACTCCAGTTATAAGAGTATCTGTTGACTCTGAACAACATGAATTTAATACCGCAGTGGTTTTTGAACTGGTCAGTAGAGTTCCAAGGTTCCCAAAAGCTGCCTCTAGAGGCTTCTAGGAGACTGAGAGTTGTAAATGCAGCAGGAACCTTGGGGTAACAAATGAAAAAATGACTCCTCTGCTAAGAAAATATTTGAATATCATTACTAAGTTATTTTTAGGTAGAATATGTAAGGTGTCCTTTGAAAGACAGCATTAGGACCAAACCAACCATACAATTCTATAAAGTTCCTCTTTCTCTATGTGCCAATCTGTCAAATGCAGTGTTCCAGATTCATTATTTTATTCTGTTTATAGCATTTACACCCAAAGTTTAACACCCAGCCACACACATCATGTCCCTCTTTTCCACTTCATTCGATTATCCACTTCATTCTTTTATTCTTTTGTCTTTTTGCTGCAGTTTCTCCATACTTTTTAGATCCAATTTTACAATAATTTAATTTCAAAAGATGTAATTAGAGTAGGCCTTTTCTACCTTACTTTTTTCTTTTTTTTTGGACTGGGAATTGATTTGTTAACTTCCATCCAAGGGAGTTATACTGTGAATTTTCGCACCTTTTTATCTGGCTTTTTGACAAGTTAGACTATGTTATTAAAAACCTTGGTCCAATTCTTTCAGTAACTTTCTGGATTTCCAATAGAATGAACTTAACTGATTGTCAAGGTTTTAATATAGGTTAATGCAGAATAGCTATCACTCCACAGAAGACACCCCAACCTGCAGGAGATTCTCTGCAGCTTAAAATTACACACAGGTAACCTTGAGAGTTCTGTTCCCTAGACCGTATCGACTGTCTTTGGAAACTAAGTACTGCACCAAAACCTTCTATCTTGGAATGTAATGATACAGCCTCTTTTATTTGTACCAATTTTTGTCTACCAGAATTTATAAAAAAAGTTTTTTTCATTCCGTATTCATACTCTGTTCCCTTTCTTTTGGATAAAGAATTGGTGACATTGGGTAACTTCCTAACATATCTGCAGCCAAATAGGATGCTTATTATATTGTGGAAGAGATGAAGCATAACAGAATGGACTGTTCCTTTTCTTCATTAAGGCCTCAGAGTCTAGGAGCTTGGCCTTCTCAGTGAAAGCCTGGTCTATATAGACAGAGACCATGTCTCATTTGTTTAGGTAGCACCATTTGCACATGAGCAGACAAATAATTTCTAAATATCATTTGGAAGTGAAACACATCTACTGAGTAGAATTTTGATACAAGAAGAGATTTGCAGGTATTAAATTGGAAAACTAGCTGGTGACCTTGGGTTGTAGATATAAAAGAATTAAAGTCAACCCTAAGTAAATCAGACAAGTAAGCTTATTGATAAGACTAAAATAAATTTAATATACTGTGCTTCTTCCTACTTCATTTTAATTTAGTTTTCATGGAAATCTGTAGGTGAAGAAAATAAAAATGGTCAAAAATATGTTTTTTTAAGTCATAAATAAATTATAAGGCCATAATAGGAAATAAAATTGGGAATGGAGCAAGTGAATAATTTGTAGAAGTGTTAATAGGAATACAGGCACAGCAAAATTTAAAAATTATAGACATTTGTGTTAGTGTGCATGTGTGTGGACCCAGTTCCTTCTATCTTCCTTATGAAGCCTGGAAGTGGTTTGTGAATGAGTTCCACACCCAGGTATCACCGTGTTTGAGTTTGTGATGTGAAATTAAGTCTAGGATATTACCTGCAAGTCCAGTGTCAATATTTGCTTTGCTTTCAAGTTCCACACAAAATCAAAGACAGCGTTCTGTATAATTATACTGTAGTATTAACGGGATAGTTGTGTCTTAGGTGCCTTGGTTAGCATCAATTAGTTCTGCAGTCATATTAACTCCTTTTTGAAGGATTCCTGAGCTAGACATTTGTGTTTACTCAGGTCGCATATGGCTGTGTAGTACTTAGATTGCTGGGCATACACTGTTGACTGCTTATTCTATTGAACTAACCTTTGGTCTCTATCATAAGCAATGCTTTTACTCTCAAAAATCCTGCTCAAAGGCAGGATTTTTCCTCTCTGTTCTTTGTTTGTTTCTTTGTTTCTAAGGCAATTGTCTTTTCCTGAAATCCAATCAAGTTTTAGAATTGGCATTTACCATCAAGCAATTTCAAGGGATTACTAAAAGCAATAACAGATATCCAGGTCAGTTTTGTGATAAATGGTATTAATGGAAAAAACATAGAAAAATATTGAATATCTTCTGCCAACCACGAACACTTTATCAAACCAGAAAATATTGCTTGGTGTTTCAAACAAAAGCACAAACAGAATAAGATTAAAATATGCCATTAAAAATATTTTAATAGCCGGGCATTATTTCATGAAGCTACAAATATAAGTATAAAATTTTTAAAGTGACTTATTTGGCAAATGCTAGATTTTGTAGTTTAGGTTTTGAAAGTTTCTATATTCTCATTGTCCATAGTCTGTAATGCCTATACTCTTTGTTTTAATTTTAAATTACCTCCACTGGATTTTTTTTTTTTTTATTTTTAGTGTCATGATTTAATTTGGGTGTTCTTATCTAGTGCCATGATTTAATTTGGGCTTCTTATCTACTTCTGTGTTTTATTTGTTAGTAGAGTATAAATCATAATGGCAAAGGTTGTCTCTTTGTCACAAACCATCATAAATAAGCCCAAAGGACAGGCCATAAAAATGTAAGAAATTCTTAGATTAAAAAACATGAGTAATGCTTCTACCTACCTGGCATGCAGAGGTAAAAGTACAGTTGGCAACTGGTAAATTATTAACACTTTTCTACCAAGGATTTCCTTATTCCTTAGTATCTCTGTGATTAATAGATAGTCAATTTAAGAATTAGAAGATGTAAAACATAATAAACACATTTTGTAATCACGTATTGGAAAGAAATTAAGGAAACATTTTGTGCAACATTCAAGGGGTCAGGGGAACAAAGTACTAGAACTCTTGGAAACAGATTTCATATTTTTTTAAGAAATAATTCAAGGAGGCTTAAAGGGAATTATAAGAATGCAACTATTAATTAATGCATAATAAATAGTTGAATAAAGAATAAGTAATGCAACTACCTTTTACTTTCCTTGAATTTTAGTTTTTCTTCTTTTGGAAGCCTCTAATGGTTGTCATTCATTCATTTATTTATTCAGTATTTACTGAAAACCCACAATGTGCCAAGCAGGGGCTGCAGACACAATAGTGAATAGACAGACAGAGCCAGTCCTCACGGAGGCCATGAGCCCAGTGCAGATGGGCAGAGGCAGAACTGGGGATGGCCTGGTAGGGGGAATACATGAAAACCAATCAGTGCTAGGTGTCCTGGCAGGGGGAGCTTAACCCACAACCAGGGCACAGTGAGGGCTTCTGAGGGAAGGTTTAGCTGGGTGAAGGAGATGGAGGTGAGGGCAGAGAGGAGAGACGGGACATGTCCTAGGCAGAAGGAAGTGTGTGTGCTAAGCTTTGGGGGCAAATAGGAGTGACTTGTTCTGATGACTCGCTGGAAAGACTGTAGCTTCTACGAACCTTTGCTGAAGTAATAACCATTATTAGTGGAATAGTCACTGCTTTCAGGACTGTTTTTAGAGATTTCCAGTATAGCATCTCACTGAATCATCCTGACAACCCTAGCGGCATTAACCCAATTTATATATGAAGATGTGGCTCCACAGAAATAAGCCTCCTCCCAGGTTACACATGGGTGGCAGTTGTTGGGATGGGAACCTCTGTCTCTACGGCACCAAAGCTTGTGCTGTTTACAGAGTATGGCCTTGTGTAAGTTTTCCACTCTGAGCCCTGCAAGGAAATCTCGAATTTTAATTTTATTCTAGCTAATTTGGAGCTATCCAGTTTCGTAAACCTTGTCTTCGTTTGCCACCTGAGCACAAATTAGCTTAAGTGGGCTACTCTTGAGATGAGCCTGCAGAAATGTACTCCTGTTCATAATATGTCTCCAAGAGTAGAATTTTATGAATCCACATACATACCCAGCAAAGACTTCACTAAGTTTTTCTTTGCAAGGAATATTGAGCACGTATTAGAGCGATTAATTTAAAGGTGTATGTTGATCTTAAAACACTAATGTGGGAAGCGAAAGACCGTATTATATAAAGGAGATGCTGAGGTGGAAGCAAATGCTGTTCTTTTGCTTGGGCAACGGCTCAGGAAGAATGAAATGAATGAAATGCGGGCTGCCCTCTGGTGACTTTTCAGCAGAGAAGGCCAAGGGGGTGGGGATGAACTTTAAAACCTCATCTGATCTGTTTGTGGCCATATTCTGTGAACGGTGCTGATGTTTATAGGTCTGTTACTAGGCGGGAACTCTCCCTGAATCAGCAGAGTTAAGCCATGGGGTGATGTGAGAACACCAGTTCTTGGAAACCACCTTTCAGCAATCTTTCAACGGGAGGGCCCGCATGGACTCAGGCAGCACAGCCTTCCAATGCCAAAGACCAGGCCGTAGGGACCTAGTGGGAGAATGGAAGGACACCGATATCTTTGGCAGCAAAGTGCTTGTCTAAGTGGAAATGGCCTTTGGTGCCTGTTAGCCTGAGGTTGGCCAGGCACCTCTGTCCCTGGAGGGCGATATTGCAGAGTAAGCTGCAAGCCCTGGCTGGAGGACTCCGACAGGTGACAGGATGTAAGCTGATGCAGGAGCAGGGTGGTAGGTGAGGGGTGGTGGTGGGGGGTGGCTCGGAGAGCTGCCACGATGTCAGAGTCTGTCCTGTGAGCACGAGGTGCAGAGGACGGTGCTGACTGCCACAGGAGAGCAGAGGCAAGGCAGCCACTGAATGTTCCAGAATGGAGAGGAGGGAAAACGTTGTGTTTAAAACTTCTTGTGGGAAATGGCTACCCGGCACAGGCACAACTTCAAAAGCAGGATGGTAGAAATGGAAACCCGAGGGAGAGACTCCAAGGTTATTGAGGAAAAGAATCACAAGATGTTTTTCTCTGATCGTCTCTTTATTGTCCTCGTTCCTGGTTGAATTTTGAGCTGACCAGCAGAGCCTGAAGTCTGCCGATTGTCGTCTCTACGAAGCAGATGACTGAATACGGAGTTTGATAAATGCAAGAAGTCAAAGCCAACATCTGAAGAAATTTCAGCTGGGATGCTGATGCAATCTCTCTTAGACGAAATGCTTGCTTTGCTTCTATTTCATGCTCCTACCAAGCAGGTGAAATTCTAAGGATTTAGATACCATTACCCTAGAGATCCCAGAATAAAATTCGAGTATGAAATTACAGATGATCGCCACTGGGAGGCCCCAGTGATCTGCAAAATGAACTTTTCCTTCTGGATAAATAAGTGAAAATAAAAGAAATGATTTAAGCAAGTGAATTGAATTATAAAAGATGATATGCAAATGCATCAAAAGCGGCAAGGGGTAAATACACAACAATGTAATGTGATAAACGTGTGGTGTTGTCTTCTTTAATTAGACATTGTTTAAATTCCGCCCCTTGCCTGCGCACTATGCACACGTTATAAAATACATTCTCCAAGTAGAGGAGAAATGGGGGCTGGTTTCTAGTTCTTTGAACGCCGTACAGGTGTTCGTTGGTGTGTGGTGAGGCGGAAGGGGTGACGAGGGAGGAGAGGGAAGAGGATGCCAGTGTAAGGGAATGAAGACAGGGAGCAAGCAGAGAGGACACTGGGGTGGGAAGAGAGGTTTTGCTTCTTACAGCCTAAGAGGAAATGTCTGATCGGACTTGTCAGATTTCCATTTCTTGTAATCTAGTGGTTCTCAAACCTGAGGGTGCATCTGAATCACCTGGAGGTTTTGTCAAAACACAGGTTGCTGAACCCCAACTCCAGAGTTTCTGATTCAGTGATTTGGAATGCGGCCCAAAGATTTGTGTTTCTAAGTTCCTGGTGATGCTGATGCTCCTGGTCTGGGAACCAGACTTTGAGACACACTGTGTGGCTGTACACTACGTCTCCATCTTCAGAGATCATCATTTGAGACTGGGGCACGTTGGTACGAAAGGGAGATGCTTCCACCTACCTGCTCCACTGTGTCCTCCACTCATTTCATCTGCTGTGTCTGATGATTCACATCTCTAAAATGCACCTCTTTCTGGAAAGAACACCTCCCCAAGAGGCCTTCTATGAACCACCTGGGCAAATTCCTCTAGGCTCCATCCTTCCCAAGTTCTTGCAAGATTGCATGATACAGGCTACCATTTTTGCATGCACTTAATATTCTTTATGTGCCACGTATGCCCATTTGAGTCTAACACTTTAAGCATAGTTATAGTCTATGAAGTGAAGACGAAGTGAGAAAAATTGTGCAGAGCTTATTTGACAGCCAGAGACTAAGGGGATATTTCTTAAAATTATAGTTTGGGGACTTTGAATATGAGACGTGTGTCAGCTATTAAAGAACAGAGAGTGACAGTGTTTAATTTTATTGCTACAGTGTGTAATAGCTCCAAATTCAGACAGGCTCTTAATTAAAAATGTGCTCCTAGTACCAGAGATTGGATTCCCAACCTTTATATGGTCTTCAGAGGTATGATTCTGATATACACGAACAGTGACAATGTTGAGTGTGGGATTTATGGGGTACAGAGGAGTTTGTAAGGGATGGGGGAGCATGGTGGGGGAAGCTCAGTCAGAGTTTTTGATTTCATCATTGTAGGGGTGTACCTGGGCATGCACCTTGTTTTCACCCACCTTCACCACTTGCCGGATAAGCTAGAAGATGATTGGCATTGGTGAGATTTTTTTTTTTTTTTTTTTTTGAGATGGGGTCTCACTCCTACAGCCTTGACCTCCCAGGTCAAGTGATCCTTCCACTTCAGTCACCCCAGTAGTTGGGACTACAGGTGCGTGCCACTACACCTGGCTATTTTTTTGTATTTTTTTTGTAGAGATGGACTTTCACTATGTTGCCCAGGCTGGTCTCGAACTCCTGGGTTCAGGCAATCCACCCACCTTGGCCTCCCAAAGTGCTGGGATTACAGACATGGTCCACTATACCCAGCCTTGCTCGGTGAGTTTTTCTTTTCTTTTTTTTTTTTTTTTTTGGTCACAAGTGAAATATTCTGGCAGCAGTGGGGTATAGTATTTTTTCTCTTCAAATTTGGGATGAATTCAGGGCATATTCTTCCATGAAACTGGCATCATAATACCTCCAACTAGATAATCTCCATTAAGTAATTTAAAAAACTGAAATTCATTATTATCATTGTAAAAAAAATTTTAAAATAAATTAAGAATTTTGACAGTGAAAGTGAAGGGAGGTGTTCATTCACTCTTTCCTACTATGAAGGGATGGTCATCACAGTGAAATATACCAGCCTGAAGCAGTGGTTCCCAACCTTGGCTCCCGAGTGGACCCTTGTGGGAAGCTTTATGGAAATTCTGTTTCTCTGGTTCTGCCTTAATCCGTTGAATTTAGAACCATCAGGAGTGGGGATGGGTGTATTTTGGTGCAGAAATCTGTGTTTTTAAAATGCTCTCCACAGGATTTTGTTGGCCATTTTTTTGGGAAATATTGGTGAGGTGAATTTGGCTAAATGCCAAGACTTTCTCTCTTTGGCTCTTCCTGTACTCTTCATGGCTTGTGATTTACTGAACCACTTATGAATTCAAGTTTTCTCATTGCACATAATTGCTAAGTAGAGAATTTTCCACATGAAAGACTCCAACTGTATTGAAACCAACCTCAGCTATGTCCTAGGAAACATTTCCCCTAGAGCTCAGTCAATACAGAGTAATTGCTTTTGGAGGAAAGAAAACATACTACCTCACCTCAGCACTAGAATATTAATTGATCTAATCAATAGAAATTGGAATATTCCAATGTTAAACACAAACTACATCCTTTGCCCAATGAACCACAACACCGCCATTTTCCAAGAATCCGAATAGTTCAGCCTCACAGAAAAGGGCTCTGCTTTTCACCAAGCAGTGTTCAGGGGTTCTCTAGAAAGGAAGTCTTAGCAGGGAGTGACAGTGTCTCAAGCTAAAGTGAAAAGCTGAGAGTGACTGCATAGATCTCCAGGGAGAATACTCCCAGGTTCTCAGTGCTGTCATGACCGGGTCCACTCAGCCACATTTATTATTTCCACTCTTAGTCCGCATCGGTAAATTGGATGGAGGACAGAAAACTAACAATAAAGCCTCACAACATAAGAAAATAGATAGATTACATAAAAATAGCTGGATTACATAGGTATGTGTAAAGAGTACATGTGTCTCTCTGTATTATTTCTTATAACAGCACGTGAATTTACTACTATCTCAAAACAAAACATTTAAAAAAAGAGTTGTGTGTTCAGATGTATTTATGTATTTGCTTATGGACTATGCATAAAAAACTTTTGTGTCCCTCCCCTTCCCCATCCATCTTCCTCTATGTGTATATTTCTAGTACGTTTTGGGGCATGTGGAAAGTATTCAAACAGTACAGGGAAAAAGCACATTCCAACCTCATGTTGTAGGGATGTGGTAGGCATGATGTCTGATAACAACTGCCCTATATTAAGGGGTTTCTTCGAGCCAGGAACTTTGCCTAGTTCTTTATGTTTATTATCCTGAGGATAGGGATTGGGGAGAAATGGGGAATGACAGCTGCTGGGTACAGAGTTTTTGTGGGGAGTGATGAAAATGTTTTGGAATTAGTGGTATTGGTTGTGCAATGCTATGAATATACTGAAAACCACTGAATTGTACACTTTAAATACATGGCTTGTATGAATGTGAAAAAAAATCCTTACAACAGTCTTATGAGCTAAACACTATTATCCCATTTTACTGATGAAGAAATTAAAGCTTATTGAGGTTAAGGGACTTGCATAGGTCACATCAGGTTTTAAATGGTAGAGGAGGGATTTGAACCTAAGCCTAACATTGAAGTTTATGCTTTCACAGTTTTAGCAATCTGTAAGGTAATGGGGATCATATCTGCTGGCATCAAATCAAGTGTTTCTGACTTAACCAGTTGCTTTAGAAGAAACTCTTCGTTCCAGAATGACTCAAAATTCTCATGCAAAAAATGTGTTTAAGTATAGTATGTTATGAGTTAACCAAATATACAGACTATTAGGAACCTAGAATTTAAAGCTACCTTAAAGGTTAGGAGTCCAATCTCTTATTTAGTACAAAAGTATTGGTAGCAGATGGTGAATGGGAATTCTTTCAGGAAAGTGACACTTCTCTTTGACAAAACAGTGTATTCTAATTATGAGAAAGCACTTCCTTATATGGAGCTGAAATCTGCTTACCTCTTACAACCAACAAAAAATAAGCCTTTTTCCATGCAAAACGAACCTTTTCTATGAAATTGCAATGAGAAGAGTATAAGACAGTCTTTTTTTTTTTTTTCAGGCTAAACATCACCAGTTCTTTTTCAATCATTTGTCATTTGAAGTTACTTTCACAGTCTTGATTACACCCTTTGGACATACTCCAATTACTCAATATTGCCTCTTAAATTGTGGTCTCCAAAGCTTGAGGCAATGGTGTAGACGTGATCTGACCAAGATGGGAAGCATGCTTTCTGAACATTCTTAATACCTCAGTAAGGGGATGTAGGCATTTCATAGATATGGTAGGAACCAAGAAGTGTTCCTTCCAGGAATCTGACTTTAGTTGGTTCATAGGAAATATAGTATTGGAACACATTGGTGTACCAATGTGGATCCACCCAGGGTGATTATAATATGTGGGATTTCCCATGGAAATTTTTGCCCTTTGTAAACCCAAAGAGTTATTTGCTTTGCAAGATCAGAGTCCAATGCTTCACTTTTGGTAACTGATGAAATTACTCAAATCTATGCACGGGCTGAGTAACAGGTAAGAGGGAGTGGTCATCTACCAGTAGCTGAGAAGTCGTCGGCACCCACCTGAATTTGGCTCCTGGATGAAGGGTCAAGAAGGTATATGACCTTTATATGTGGCATTAGGCATTTTTTATGTATATGTAGATTCATTTAGGGATTTTGAAAGCCACATTCAATATTTTCTTAAAACCATTATGTTTTCTTCAGAAAGCTCAAGTAAAGTCATAACAATAAATGTGCTTTGGAACTTGCCTTTTAAAAAAGATCTTAGCCTTCAACACAGACTGATCATTTCAAAATAGCACAGAGCCAAAGACAACCGTGTTGACCTTTAGAGTTGGCATATTTGTGCCCACTTTTTATTTGAGTTGAATTTCCTAGGTCTGTTTACGTTTTGCTATTGAAACATACATAAACTATAATACTGGTGTAATAATATTATACTTCTCACATTTTTTAAAAGATTAAGAAAAAATTGGTATGCTTCAGTCTGCCTGGTTAGCAGAAGAATATTACGTTGGTCTTATTAGGGCTCTACTCTTCGAATTGTTCAAGAACTTTAGACGCTTGCTTGGTCTTGAAAAAAAAAATGATGGAGGAGTCTTCATCCAGGGCAGTTGATACTGTTACTGTCATGCAGGCAATGCTCTTTGGCTATGTGTAGGGCACTGATTCTCCCTATGGACAACAGAGATCACCCACTCTGGTTGGGAACCATAGGAGCCCTCATCCTTGTTCACAGGGCCTGTGTTCAGTGCCTAGCCCCTGTAGTTACTGATCATAGCCATATTTCTACTGACAATGTAGTTTCCAAGCAGAGCATAGGCTCCCATATCTCTAGAAAAAGATTTTTATTTTTTAAAAAGATTCTTATTTATTTATTTCTTTATTTGAGATGGAGTCTCACTCTGTCCCCCAGGCTGGAGTGCAACGGTACGATCTTGGCTCACTGCAACTTCTGCCTCCTGGGTTCAAGCAATTCTCCTGCCTGAGCCTCCTGAAAATCTGGGATTACAGGTGCTCACCACCATGCCCAGCTAATTTTTGTATTTTTAGTAGAGATGGGGTTTTGCCATATTGGCCAGGCTGGTTTCAAACTCCTCACTCAGGTGATCTGCCCACCTTGGCCTCCCAAAGTGCTGGGATTACAGGTGTGAGCCACCGCACCTGGCCTAAGATTCTTATTTTTTAACTTTAATTACTTTCAGAGAAATTATTTCTCTTTCTACATCATCTTACCATATTATCTTGTTTTAAACTTAAGTCTTTTGTGTAAATAGATGCATGCAAATGTTAAACTTTTAATTTACTTAATTTTCTCACAGTGCTATAAATATCATCAAATGAAAATGGCCACTTACATGAAAGATCTTTAATAGAAATAACTTCTCTCCTTTGTCTTGGCCAATATCTGCATGCATGGCATTTTATTTTTTATCAGGAGAGAGGTTGTTGCTACAGTGAATGACCCCCATTTTTTTTTGTTTTCATTTCCCTTGATAGCAATTTAAAGATGAATTCTCTGGGTTTTTGTCCCTTATCACTTTGATGCTTTGTTACTGACTTAAAAAGAGAGTTCTGTTGGAATTCTTGTTTTATTCATTGAAGAAATACATAAAGATACTAATAAGCTGATTTGGAATTTTAATAGACCATTATTAGCAATAAAACCAGGCAGCTGTGATTAGATGTCAAGAAATCTGCTGTGTTGGGAGTTAGATCCTGAAAATGTTTTGTACAGGGCTCAGGAGGAGAAAATTGTTTGCCCCTAACAAATGCTGTCCAGGCAGAACTGAGCGGGAAGATGGCCTGGCCTTCTGTTTAGAAAGGCTCTCCACAGGGTGCTCAGTTTCGTGCCTCTCTTCTGTTTTCTTCAAAGTCCCTATAAGAGAGTTCATTATAAAAGCCCTTCTTGAAGGTAAAGGCAAAATACCATTGCTAGGGATAATTTATAAGGGATTTAAATTCGCTCATGCCTCCCATTGCCTTTGGTGTGTTTCAGATAATAAGTAGAAGAGAAAAAAGAACATAGCAGAGTAGATGATGATATCTATTTGATTAGCTGACTTGACAGGTATTACCAAGAAATATAGTAAGAAAAATTAAACGCTTCACTGTGTTTATGATACATGTGAAACAATTGAGCAATTCAGTTTATTTGAGTTACAAACTCAAGTCAACAAAAGCAAAATAAAGATTCTTTTGTAAGTGTGTTTATTCTGACATATCAATTCCTCAGCAGAGGAATATTTGGAAAACAGGACAAGAATATATAGCTTTTACTTGGGAACAGCATAGATAATAAAATGACTATTAAATGTTTCCTTTTTAAAATGCTTCCTAGGCCAGCACGGTTGCTCACGTCTGTAATCCCAGCAATCTAGGAGGACAACATGGGAGGATCACCTGAGCCGAGGAGCTTCAGGACCAGCCTGGGCAACACAGGGAGACCCTGTCTTCACAAAAAATTTTAAAATATTAGCTGCATGTGGTGGTGCATGCCTGTAGTCCCAACTATTGGGAGGCTGAGGCGGGAGGATGGCTTGAGCCCAGGAGGTCGAGGCAACAGTGAGCTATGATCATGCCACTGCATAGCAGCCTGGGTGACAGAATAGGACCCTGTCTCAAAAAAAAAAAAAAAAGAAAAAAACCAGGAATGTTTAAAAGGCTTCTTGACTTTCCTGTGTTTACATTTGTAACATAAACATTGTTAATACTCATTTTATCCTTAATTTCCTGAGATTTCTGAGAGAAAATACAAAGTAAGGACATAGAATAAAACCTTTGCCAGATCTAGTTAGGAAGCAGTAAACATTTTACTGTCTAGTTTTGATACAGATAAAAAGCCAAATGAAACAGCTTATTGTGCAAAACCGTATTTAAGCTGCTTATAACTTTTAAAAAATACTTTCTCCTTTTGGAGTTGAGTAAAACTCCTGCACAGTAGGGTACTTGTTCACTTTGGTGTAAAATTGAAAAATTTACCAGGTTTTGAGTATTTAAAATGCCTGAGGGAAAGCTTGGGAAGATGTGGTTTTCAGGTGCATTTTGCAGTGGGGAAGTGACTACTAGCATAGCTATGTCCATCCATCTGTCCATGCGGTTGAAAGGTGTGCTCCAGGTGCCAAAGGCAAAATGAATAATGTACAGGCCTGGATCCCCGAGGCCTGCGGCAGAGGAGGCAAATATCTGCAAGGCCGAGGCGGAGGGAGGGGCCGCTGCTAGCTCAGACCTGCCATCTCACATTCCTGTGAAATGTGCTTCACCTTTCCATCATTGTTCTTTGTCTCTGGACCTTGAGTAGTTGCACAGCTTTTTGAGTCAAACTTTAATAAGAAAACCAAATGCACACTCTTGTTCTTAGGTGAGATAAAATCAAGATTGCATTTAAAACCTGGAAGTTAGGAGTGAATGAATGTGGAGCTTTATCACTGAAATGATTTTTCATCCTTAATTCCAAGGTAGCCTTTGCTTTCTCGTTCACCAAAGGCACCGAAAACACAAACTAGACCTTTGAGAAATGATAATATTTTAAGGTCATAGTTTCCTTGATCTCTGTGAGGCTCCTCTGTATTAAAGTATTTTTTGCTATTTTCTGACACAGATCGGAAACATGCCATTTGTTCCTGCCTTTAAGATACAATAGTTCAACATAGTGATGACAATTTTGAGACTATTTTGATGGCCAAGTGTCTCTTTTCTGGAGTTAAAAGTAGAGGTTCTAGTCTTTCAAGAAGCATTTCAACCACTCAGATGTCCTGGCTGGAAACACCTCCATTATTATCAAGTCCATGTTTCCTTTTAGCTTTTGAATTATTTCATCATCAAGGGTTATCAATTTTACCTCCTAAACTTTGCCCTTACAATAGCTATCAAACAGTCTCCTGACTTTATTTTTCTTCTGCTCCAACCCATTTCTCACAGTGTTATTAAAAAAATTATATATATACATATATTTAATTGACAAAGTATATGTTTATCATGTATAGCATGTTTTGAAATATGTATACTTGTGGAACAGCTAAATCAAGATAATTAACATATGCATTCCCGCACATACTTATCAAATTATTGTGATGAGAACACTTAAAATCTACTCTCTCAGCAATTTTCAAGGATACAATACACTATTAGCTACAGTCACCATGTTGTACAATAGATCTCTTGAACTTATTCCTCCTAACTGAAATTTTTCATCCCTTGACCAACAACTTCCATACACTGTCTTTTTAACTTTTTTTAAAGTCTTTTAGTATCATTTGGAAACATTCATTTAGGCAAAGCTTCCAGAAGCACACTCAAGGAATGAATGGGGAACGAAAGGGACACTGCTTTGTGGACCAGGTTAATTACATTGTCTTCCTAGACAATCTGAGCTTGCCACTGTCCTGGTTAAAACTTGTTTGTGGTGCCCTGTTGCCTTAGGTTAGAGTCCAAACCTGTATTCCAGGTAGAACGCAGGCCCTTGGCCAAACGATCACAGGCCAAGCTCTCTTAGTCTCCATCCTTTTTCTTTCCTTCTCCTTCCACCCTCTCTACCTCCTTTCTTCTCCACCCCATCCCATTTCCCTATCAACATGATGCTTAGTGACTTCCTCTCCCTCA
Organism: Homo sapiens; assembly: GCF_000001405.40. Taxonomy (NCBI): domain Eukaryota; kingdom Metazoa; phylum Chordata; class Mammalia; order Primates; family Hominidae; genus Homo; species Homo sapiens. Next base: position 102,912,986 of record NC_000013.11, read on the forward strand.
AGCCCATTCTTCATCAGAGCCATTCTCTGCTTTGCCATCACTCTCTGAGCCTGGAATACCCATCTCTTTCCCATTTCGGTTCCCTGCTTATCTACAAAGACCCAGCTCAAATGTTCCTCCTCTATAAATTCCCAGAGCAGGCAGCCTCCTGCTCTGTACTCTCCATGATGTAGTCTAGGATGGCTATTTCACATCTCTTTGTCTTTCTTTATGTGTTCTGATCTCTGCCTTTTCAACTAAACTAAACTTTATGAGGCAGAGTCTATGTTTTTCATTTTGTGTACAATTGCCTTGCATTGGGCCTGGCATGTCACAGGTGTCAATAAATGTTTGTCAATTGAATAAATGAAAGTGTGTCACTTTTCTGGCTAATGTCATATATTTTTCATTTTGCTCTAGGTCTCCAGAAAAGAGCATCCATTGAGCTGAGTGGAATGAACTCAGTTAGTTGCTATAAAGTCTATACCTCGTCTAGCCTTTCAGTGATGATTCATTTATCCATTCTTTCATGTAATGCGCAGTTGTTGAGCATTTTCTATCAGGTGTTTTACCAGCCATTGAGAATGAAAAGATATCTAGGCCAGATATCACATCAGCTTGCTTGGAGCCCTTCTAGGAAGGGAAAGGAGCTACAAAAACTAGACTTGTCTCCTTACACGATCTGTGACAACTGTGAGCCTTCTGGCAGTTTGTTTCTAGCTCTTCTTTCAGTTTCAGCAAAAACTCGAGTGAGCTGAGGGCAGGACAAGTTGACGTATCGATCTAGTTATAAATGCTTCTAAAAGGTCCCTCCTGGCTTTGGTAATGTCTGGGCTCAGACACCTCTGCAAAGCTGAATTATTTCTAGGTCAACCATTTTGAGGTTCCTTCCTCCCAGATGAATGGTTAAAAACTCAGATAAGAAGTATTTTTTTAAGTAATGCAAGGTGGAAAGTGAATGGCTTTTGTTTAGTTTCAAACCGATTCCTCATCTTAGGAAGACAGAAGAGCGCTGATGATATCCTGGTGCTGTCGTTTATTTGTGGTGAATTTGCTAATTAAACGCCCACTCCCTTTTCTATTCCTCTCTGCTCAGCCTTCAGAAGAGTGCTGGCATCTGACTTAAGCAAAAGGGAGGAGCGAGTTTTCTAAGGTGGCAGAATGCCAACATCCCTTTGCCTTCTGTTGTCTTGTGAGTGATGCCAAGTCATCTGGTGGCTACTTGTAGTAGAGGAAAGGATTATTAATTGTTCTCTGATAATTCGCTCAAGGATTCTTTAACCTCTTGACTTAAAGTAGCTATGGCAGAGATATTAGAATGACAAACCCAAGGGCACGTAGTAGAATTAATATTCTGCAAAGACCAAAGTTTTGCACAGGTCCCATTTTACTTGTTTTCACGTCACTCCCGTATCTCTGGTGAAGTGGATAGGATGAATTGATAGAGTAGCAAAGCAAAGACAAATGACCACATCTCTTCCCAGCCACGGGGTGACCCGGCTTGCACAGTAATGAGTATAAACAGCAGGCACTCTGAGGCTAAGGAGAGAAAAATGCTGACAGAGCACTTGCTTTGATTGGATTTATAATATTATAGGGAGAAATGGAAAGCGAGAGGGAGAGATAGGAAGGGTGAGGCAATACGGAGTGAGGACGTGGAGACCTATTTATGGCTGTTTCGTGGTCATAACTCAGCTGCTTTGTTTTGCCCACTCAGTGAACTGACCTTCTTCAATCCTTTTGTTTGACAGCCTCAGGGAATAAATTCCTCCTTAATCCACCTCCTAGGCCCAGCTGAGGTAGTGGGAACAGAGCAGCTTCGCACAGAACCAATAAGTTCACTTCCCAGAGGCGAAAGGGTAATTTGTCCTGCCTGTTCACTCCATCACTGCCCTTGCTGTTCTGCGGGTGCACAGGGTACCAATTAGTGCTAATTGCTGCCGATGGTGGTGAAAGATTCTGTGACAAGTCTCTGCTGAGAACAGGGCTGACCCCTAACTCATTTCATGTAGAGCATGCCCATGAGACCAGGTACTTTGGGATAGTACAACAGTGTGGATGGGCGGGAAAGAAAGATCCTTGGCAAGAGCACAGGCCTGTCTTGCTACAGTCCACTAACAGCTACTGAAAACCACAGTTAATTTTTCCAGAAAGAGGAATTTTGCCATTGCTCCTCCAGATCTTACTTTGATGTGGAAGGATCCAAAAGTATCCCCAAAGTAAGAGTCAATCTAATTATATCTGGAGTACAAATTCACTGCTTCACTTCTGCCTAGCAAAGCAGCCAGAGATCTTTATGCCCAGTGAAATAAATTTTTAACAGACTTGCTATAATGTGTCAAAGTTTCCTGAATAAAGTTGAGCGAGTAAGCATGGCTTTTAAGATCTTTCAACGTGATGGACAAGAAAATATCCACGTAGAGAGAAGTAGGGCTGCTTATTGCAATTAGCCACATTATTGCATCTGGAAAATCCTCTCCAAGGAGGATCAGAGGTCCTGGCATCACACATTTAAATTAATATAAAAGAGGTGCTTTGCATTAGCCAAGGAAAAGTTGAGAGTTTTCTGATTTGGCCACTGTACTCTTGAAAAAGGTAGTTCATTTCATATCTAAAGTAGCCAGAGATAGCTTCAACAATTGCCAGCTACCAGTTATAAATAGCTTTCCTCTCTGAAACAAAGCCTCATCTTTCAAATTGCTTCTTTCTTAAGGAAAAAGAAAAACCCTGAGATTCTTTCAGCACTCGCCAGCTGTTCCAGATGTTATGATTCCACATCTAGGGCCACGTTCTGAACTAAAAATATATACATGAGCTTGACTTCCAACTTCTTCACTAAAGTAACATCATAAATTATCTTATTTGTCCCTTTGTTATGTTCCAGAAGTGTTGGTAAGTAGTTTTTAAGGGGAGAGAGAATTTGATCCTCATTTTTTCCGTGAAACCTCTTATGACAAATAGTAAATTTCACTCATAAGATTGTAACCTAGTCCATTAGAGTGTAGTCCAGACTTCTTTTTACTTATAATGAAAAGTAAAAAAATATCCTATTGTTATCATAATCATAAAAACAAGAGAAAATAAATAAATTGGATAACAGAAACTTTTGAAAGTGGGACTTAAAATAATTTGATTAGAGACAGATCTTGGTGGTAGTCTGAAAAGACTTGGATGTTTCCAGAGCCCGTGGAATCAAACAGTTCCTACTACGGCCACCAGATGGCCCTATGAGACCGGAGCTTTTCGTGTAGATGCTGGCGGTGGTAGTGGTAGTGGTGGCAGTAACTATGGTTTCAGGATGGGTTGGGACTCAGGCAGAAAGCAGCAACCGCCCAGCCTTCACGTTGGCTGCATCTCCTCCAACAGTTCTCCATCTCAAACATTCACCAGTTAGTGTGACATTTTAAAAATGGAACTTGGATGATCACATTTTCTTGCTCAAAACTCTCGAATGGTTTCTCAGTATGTGTAGAATAAATTCCAGACTCCTTACTCTGGTTTACAAGGCCCTACATGATCTGGTACATAGCTACTGTTCTGACCTTATTGCGGCCCACTCTTCCTCTAATCTTTTTTTAAGACGGACTCTCGCTCTGTCGCCAAGCTGGAGTGCAGTGGCGCGATCTCGGCTCACTGCAACCTCCACCTCCTGGGCTCAAGCGATTCTCCTGCTTCAGCCTCCTGAGTCGCTAGGACTACAGGCATGTGCCTCCACACCCGACTAATTTGTGTATTTTTGGTGGAGACAGGGTTTCACCATGATGACCAGGCTGGTCTGGAATTCCTGACCTCAGGTGATCCGCCTGACTCAGACTCCTAAGGTGCTGGGATGACAGGCGTGAGCCACCGCGCCCGGCCGTCCCCCGTTAATCTTACTCCAGCCACACAGCCTTTTCGTATTTCTATTTATTTATTTACTTTAAGTTCTGGGATACATGTGCAGAACCTTTTTGTATTTCTTGAAGGGGCAAAGCTCCTTCAGAGCTTGTGCATTAATTGTCTCATTTGCCTCAGATGCTCTTATTCATATCACCAAATGGCTCAGATCTTATCCTTCAGCCCTCAACTCAACATCCATGTAGAGTAAAGCCATCCAATCCAAAGCATTAACTCAGCTGCTTCCCAATCTATCACTTTAGTTTTCTGACTAAGCCTTAATCGTGATTTCTTTCTTCCTTCCCTTACTTTCTTTCCCCTTCTTTTCTCTTTTCCTTTTTTCCTTTCCTCCCTCCCTCCCTTCCTTTCTCTTCCTCTTTCTTTCTTTCGCTTTCCTCCCTCCGTCCCTCCCTCTCTCCCTCCTTTCTTCCCTCCTTCCCTTCCCTTCCTTCCTTCCCTCCTTTCCTTCCTTCCTTCCTTCCTTCCTTCCTTCCTTCCTTCATCTTCCTATTTACTTATCTAATGTATGATCTATGTATTATCAGTTTATCTCCACTGGAATGTAAACAGCATGAGAGCAGGATTTTTTTTTTTTTAAAGTTCATTGTTATTTATCTCATCATTAGGACCATGGCTGTTCTTGTATAGAGAATGAATAAATGGATGTTTGAGATATTTGTAAGTTAGGCATTTATAGTACAAGTATGGTACATCCACAGATTACTAGCATTTGGATAATTTGTAATGGTAAAATTTATCATAAATTAGTTAAGTTTTTTCATTTACCAAACAGTTACTGAACAGTAACTAAGTGCCAGGCATTGTGATGGGCACTAGAGATAATCCAGTGCTGAATGCTAGCAAGAAAAATTATGTTCTGAGAGCTCAGGCTCTATACCAAGGGCTTTTACATATTATCTCATTTAGTACTTACAACAGTATTCTGAGACAAGTTCTTTAGTCTCTAATTTCATTTTACAGAGTAAGAAACAAATTTAGTCAAGATAAGTAATATACCCAAGATAACATGACTGTTGCATTGTGGAACCGGGACTCAACCTGGTATGACGTAGTCCATCCTGAAGGAATCAACAAAGACAAACAATGGGACTAGACTCCAAGCATGTCTGGCAATAGAAGTATCAGGCAGAGATAACAGCATGACTAAAGACATAAAACAAGTTACCAAAATGTGAACAAGACTATCAGAATATTCCAGATGTATCTAACAAAGAACCATATAGAATTTCTAGAAAGAAAAAAATAGTAATTGAAATACAAATCTCAGTGGATAAGATAAAGTCTAGCTAGATTTAAAGAGAGTAGTAAACAGATGAAGAGAGAATTTGTGAACTAGATGACTGATCTTAGGAAATTATCAAGATTACAGCACAGAAAGATTAAGTGATGGAAATATATTAAAGAGAAGTTTAGAGATGTAGACAACAGAATTGGAAGGCCCAATATATTTCTAGTAGAAATTCTAGGTGAAAGAAGAGAAAGAAGGTAAAGGCCAATAGTTAAAGAGTTGATGGCTAAAACTTTCAGAAAATTGATTAAAGCCATAAATTGACTAAATTTCTTTCTTTTTTTAAAAAAATTCTATGTTAGGTTCAGGGGTACATGCACAGGTTTGTTATATAGGCAGATTGCATATTGTGAGGGTTTGGTGTACAAATATTTCATCACCCGTGTAATAAGCATAGCACCTAATAGGTAGTTTTTCAATCCTCACCCTCCTCCCACCCTTTACCCTCAAGTAAGCCCTGGTGTCTGCTGTTCCCTGCTTTATATCTCTATGTACTCAATGTTTAGCTGCCACTTACAACAAATATGCAGTATTTTGTTTTCTGTTCCTGTGATAGTTTGCTTAGAATAATGACCTCTAGCTCCATTCATGTTACTGCAAAGGACATGATCTCATTCTTTTTTATGGCTACATAGTATTCCATACTGTATATGCACCACATTTTCTGTATCTAGTCTACCATCGATGGACATTTGGGATGATTCCATACATTTGCTATTGTGATTAGTGCTGCAATGAATTTGCATGCATGTGTCTTTATGGTAGAATGATTTATATTCCTTTGGGAATATACTTAATAATGGGATTGCTGGGTCAAGTGGTAATTCTGCTTTGAGTTCTTTGATAAATCATCAAACTGCTTTCCACAGTGGCTGAACTAATTTACACTCCCACCAGCAGTATATGAGCATTCCCTTTTCACCACAACCCCACCAGCATCTGTTATCTTTTGACTTTTTAGTAATAGCCATTATGACCGGTGTGACATGGTATCTCATTGTGGTTTTGGTGTGCATTTCTCTAATAATTAGTGACGCTGAGTATTTTTTCATATGCTTGCTGACTGTGTATGTCTTCTTTTCAGAAGTATCTGTTCATGTCCTTTGCCCACTTTTTAATGGGGTTGCTTTTTTCTTGTAATTTTGTTTAAGTTTTTTGTAGATGCTGGATATCAGGCCTTTGTCAGATGGGTAGATTGCAAAAATTTCTCCCATTCTGTAGGTTGTCTGTGTACTATCTTGATAGTTTCTTTTTGCTGTGTAGAAGCTCTTTAGTATAATTAAGTCCCAGTTTCAGTTTTTGTGTTTGTTTTGCAATTGCTTTTGGAGGCTTCATCATGAAATCTTTGCCAGAGCTTATGTCCGGAATAGTATTTCCTAGGTTATCTTCTAGAGTTTTTATAGTTTTAAATTTTGCATTTAAGTCTTTAATCCATCTTGAGTTGATTTTTGTATATGGTGTGAGGAAGGGGTCTAGTTTCAATCTTTTGCATATAGCTAACCATTTATTCCAGCACCATTTATTGAATAGAGAGTCCTTTCTCCATTGCTTGTTTTTGTCACCTTTGTCAAAGATCAGATGGTTGTAGGTGTGCAGCATTATTTCTGGGCTTTCTATTCTGCTCCATTGGTCTATGTGTTTGTTTTTGTACAAGTATCATGCTATTTTGATTGTGTAGCCTTGAAGTATAGTTTGAAGTTGGGGAATGTGATACCTCCAGCTTTGTTCTTTTTGCTTAGGATTACTCTGGCTATTTGAGCTCTTTTTTGGTTCCATAGGAATTTTAAGATAGTTTTCTTCTACTTCTGTGAAGAATGCCATTGGTAGTTTGATAGGAATAGCATTGAATCTGTAAATTGCTTTGGGCCATATGGCCATTTTAACAATATTGATTATTCCTATCCATGAGCATGGAATGTTTTTCCATTGTTTGTGTCATCTCTGATTTCTTTGAGCAGGGTTTGGTAATTCTCATTGTAAAGATCCTTTCACTTCCCTGATTAGTTATATTCCTAGGTATTTTTTTATGGCTATTGTGAATGGGATTGTGTTCTTGATACAGCTCTCAGCTTGAATGTTATTGGTGTATAGGAATCCTACTGATATTTTTACATTGATTTTGTATCCTGAGACTTTGTTGAAGTTGTTTATCAAGTCAAGGAGCTTTTGGATAGAGACTATAGGGTTTTCTAGGTGTAGAATCATATTGCATAAATTGACTAAATTTCATAAATCAGATTAAAAAATGCAACGTGTCCTGAGCTGAATAAATAAATCCACACCTAAACACATCTTGATGGAACTTCAGAACACCACAGGCAAACAGATCTTATAAGCAACCAGAGAAAAAGACATAGCTCTCCTACAAAAGGATAACCATTAAACCAAAAGAAGCCTCATCAGCCAAAATAGATGTTAGAATATAATAGAATAATATTTTCAAAGTGCTGAGGGAAAATCATGGTTAATAAATATTCTATACTTAAACTGTATTTCAAGAGGCAAAATAAAAAAAGACACTTAAAGAAGACTGAGTTAGTGTGCCACCAACAAAGTTCTTGATTCAAAACGTCCTGTGTAAGAGGTGCTTCAGGAAGAAGGAAACTGAACTCAGAAGGAAGGGGTGAGCTGTGAGAATGAAGGTGAATGTGCGGCTCCATGTATATAAGCATCATCCACTTAAAACCACGGAGGCGGTGACTGTGAAGGGTGGCAAAGTCAAGATGGAACTCGATCGCTGCACAACATAATATGTCACATGGGAAGACGATGTCTGTACTTAAATCACTCTAAAGTCATCTAAGGTTAGAGACATTGACAATCTTCAGACTTTAAGTATGTTTTTGACTATGCTGAGGTAATCAAGAAAATCTGAATTTCAGGGTGACTTTGTTTAAAGGGATGACTTAGCAATCCAGGCTTCTTCCACTTAGTGAGGCCACTGTCTTTGATGCACCCACAGCTGCTGTGCATGCTGCTAACAGCGGAGAGAGTGGAAGATTGCAGAGGACACGTGCAGCTAGGCTTGGAAGTGCAGACATCAGGTGTGGCCTCATCCTTTGCCAGGTGCCATTCCCATCATCCCAAACTCATTGCCCCACTTTTGTGTAACTAGAAATAGGGACAGCCTGCCAAAATACTAAAACACTAAACAGTAAAAGAATAGAGGTAGGATCTGTAGCTTGCAAATAAGTAGAGGAAAGAAAAAGAATAAATAAAACTTGGTGAAATTGGTGAAATCAATAGAAACCAAAAAGGAGGAAAAAAGCATAGAAAAAAATGACGAGAAAGTGCAAAATAAAATAGCAGAATAAGCACAATAAATAACAATTACATTAAACTTACCACTTATTATGCAGAGATTATCATAATAGATTAGAAATTCTTTACACTCAAAGGCAAAACTAAAACACAAAGCCAGCTGGATGTAATTTGCAAGGAGCATATCTAAAAAAGATTGAAAAGTAAAGGGAAGAAAAAGATATACCAGCTAAATACTAACCAAAGAAAGCTAGTCTAACCATATTCATTGCAACAGATCCTTAAGGCAAAAAGCACTGTTAAGGCTGATGAGGGTTACTACATTTGGATAAAAGGAATAATTCAGGAGGAAAATATAAGAATTAAGAAGTCTGAACTTTTAGTCACCTAATAATGCAGTTTGTATTTAAACAGCCAAAATTGTCATCATCACAAGGTAAAACTGACAAATCCCTGTTGTAGTGAGAGATTTTTAGCACATCTGTCAGTGATCAGTAAATGATGCAAAATCAAAATTGGTCAGGCTGTAGCAGATCTGAGCAACACAATTACTTTACCTGTACAGAACCTGCTCCCAACAGAAAGAATACACATTTAGGAGGGTTCTGCCGTAATTTTTTCAAGAGATGAAGTGAGCCTCGACCAAAACAACTGCAATGAGTTAAAAGCAAAGAAATGGAAAAGTAACAGGATTTGCTATTTACTAAATATGGGAGTTAAGGAGGGAAAAGGTAGAATGGAAAATTATTAAGGCCAGCCGGCTGGATCGTGATGCTGTAAATGGTGAGAACAAAAAGGATTGAGGAGGAAGTTTGGGCAGAGGGGAGGATGATGAGTCCGGGGGTGACCTTTTGAGTTTAAAGTGCATTTTATGGAGAAAGCTGAATATCAGCTCCCCGGGCTGTTCCATTTGAATAGTCTTCTCTGGCTTTCCATATACACGTGTTCAAAAATAATATTGCTGATTCATCCGTATTTAATAGATAACTCTTAGTGGAAATGCTACTTGATCAATCAGGTAATACTTAGGGGGCTTATGTTGGAACAGCTAATTTTATTACGCACTACTTATTATTAATTGATTAGGGCTCTTAAGTAGGTAAGAGCTTTTCCTTTCAAGTGAGTTATAGAAGTAACTATTGATTCCTTAAAGCTGATCTATAACATGAATCAGATAATAATAATAGTAATAAGCTATCATTTGTAAGTACGTACAAGCTCTTCCACATATGCTATTATTATTTTCACAGTGATGCCAGGAGGTAGATAGAATAGGATACATATTATTATACCCATTTTGCAGATGAGGAAATTGAAGATAAAATCACACAAGTGTATTCTCTGACCTTCAAATCCTGTTGGTTTTATAATTTAGACTTTCCAAGATGGTTGCAGGCTGAAAAGGTTGAAATGAAAAAAATAGCCACTTCTGCTTTTCTTTGGTGCTTAATTCAGGATGCTTTGCTCCCCATCTTATCTCTTGCCCTGGGCTTGCTGTTATGAGGTCTTTATTTCTCAGGAGGCTTTTTTTTTTTTTTTTTTTTTGAGAAAGAATCATGCTCTGTCTGTCACCCAGGCTCAGGTGCAGTGGCATGATCTCTGTTTACTGCAACTTCTGCCTCCTGAGTTCAAGCGATTCTCCTGCCTTAGCTTCCCAAGTAGCTGGGATCACAGGTATGTGCCACCATGTCTGGCTGATTTTTGTATTTTTAGTAGAGACGAGGTTTTGCCATGTTGGCCAGGCTGGTCTCGAACTCCTGACATCAAGTGATCTGCCCACCTTTAGCCTCCCAGAGGGCTGGGATTACAGGCATGAGCCATCGTGCCTGGCCTCTCCTGAGATGTTTTGATCCTGGAGCTTGTGGATAGGTTTACACGTGTGCAGATATTTTTGCATATGTTTTTATTCACTCCTTTTTTATGCCTTTTTTTTTTTTAAACTCAAACCTCCTTTCCTCCTTCCAGTGCTCCTTCCCATACCGTAATGGGTGGAAAGATAAAAGCTACAGTTTCTGGAGGATTCTATTCTCTGCACTGAACCTTGACCAAGAGTGCCTATGTGATATTTTCTAAAGAGAAACTCAACAACTTTCATTGATTCTCAGAAGTCTCCAGAACCACCGTGGAGAGAGAAGGGAATAGTAACAGGAAGACATGCTTTAAGCAATCATTAGATTTCTCTTTTGCATTTCACTCTCCTTTGCATTTCTCCATTTTTCTCTCTAGGGACTGTAAGTCCAGTTAGAGTTATATATGACTTGATAACGTAGCAGAAGCGGGGGGAGGTTTCCAAAACTCTATCCTTTTTATTTGGGAACAAACAATATCTAGGTACTAAGTTTCTCTATGGTTAAGCTAAAGGAAAATGCCCCTAATACCCTATACTATTTTTGATATCTCTGGAATGAAATCTATATTATACAAATGCAGCTTCCAAAGGACAGAAGTAATTACACTAGTCCTTACGTTTGTTCATTTCTGTATACTTCGGAAAAGTCATTTGCCTTCATTGGAATTAACACAGACGGGTGGCTGAGAAGACTTGGATGTGGCTTTCAGCCTCTTTATGCCTCCAGGTCTTAATTCTTCCTCTTCTTTCATTTGAAATTTTCTCTCCTCATCTTCCGCTTGCCAAACTCATTCTCATTCTCAAGAACGAGCTAACATCCCTCCTTTGGGAAGGTAGCTCTTAACTCACCCCAGTCTGATGTAATCACTTTCTAGTCTTCCTCTCTAGACTGTGTGCTCCTTGAGCACAAAAGAACTGGGTCTTTTCATCTTCAAAAAAAACCCTTCTCTAGCACTGAGCATAGTGTCTCACATAAAAGGAAATTTCTATATATTTTATTTTTTCGTGTTTGGTGTGAGTAAATATTAGCAGTAAAGTGCGTAATTCTTAAAAGTCTGTTTGAGACCATACACATAGCAAAGAAGCATATGAAGAAAATATTCAACATCACTAATCATTAGAAAAATCAAATCAAAACCACAATGAGATACCACCTCACACCAGTCAGAATGGCTATTATTAAAAAGTCAAAAATAACAGATGTTGGTGCGGTTACAGAAGAAAGGGAACACTTATACACTGCTATTGGGAAGGCAAATAGTTCAGCCACTGTGGAAAGCAGTTTGGAGAACTTACAACTACCATTTGACCCAGCAATCCCATCATTGGGTGTATACCCAAAGGAATAGAAATCATTCTGCAATAAAGACTCATGCAGGTATACGGTCATCACAACACTTTCATAGTAGCAAAGACAAAAATCAATCTATATGTCCATCAACAGTGAACTGAATAAAGAAAATGTGTAAGTATACACCATGGAATACTATGTAGCCACAAAAAAGAATGAAATCATGTCCTTTGCAGCAACATGAATGCAACTGGAGGCCATTATCCTAAGTGAATTAATGCAGGGACAGAAAACCAAATACAGGCTTGCACTTCCCTTCCCTCCCCTCCTGATGCCATGCAAAGAGAAAAAGGAAACCGAATCCAACATGTTCTCACTTATAACTGGATGCTCAACATTGGGTACACATGGACATGAAGAAGGGAACAATAGACACCAGGGCTTACTTGAGGGTGGAGGGTGGGAGGAAGGTGGGGATTGAAAAACTGTGTATTGGGTACTATGTTCACTGCCTGAGTGATGAAATCATTTGTACACCAAATACCAGCAACACACAATTCACCCCATTTAACAAATCTGTGCATGTACCTTCTGAACCTAAAAGAAAAGTTGGACCAAAAAAAATTTTCTCTCAAAGATTTTTGAAAATGCACACATAAATATGCATGAATGAGGGAAAGAAGGAATGAACTAAAGATTTGGCATGCTGGAGATCTGATTGTGTTGACATTGATTGGGAATCCCAACGTGCTCTCTCTCTTAAGAGTTCAGAAAAACAGTTCCCACTAGTCTACCTCACTGCTCTGCCTCTGGCTGGACATTGTTCTTTCTGGGTAAGACCTGAGCACAGAAAACTCTTGTTTGCAATAAAGAATTCCCACTTACCATTCACTCACATTCATTCCAAAGAGTTTATTGAGTGCCTGTTAGGTTCTAGACACTATTTTAGGCACTAAAACTCAAGAACAAAACCGAGAAGAAACATCTGTCTTCTCATTGAGTTTACATTCTAGTGTAAGGAGATCAAAAATTATCCATAACTACAAGAAGGGAAATATGTTAACATTTATGTGTTATAGAAAAAAATCGAGCTGGGTCAGAGGCTTTGGGGGGTCTGGGTGATAGTGGGCTGCTTTCATTTTAAATAGAGTGGGCAGGAGATGCCCTTCTGAGGAAGCGACTCTTGAGGGAAGATGTGGGGTGAGTTGGCCATGAAGACATCTGGGAGAAGAGCATTCCCTGCACAGGAATAGTCAAGGCAGAGGCCCTACAGCAGCTGCTGGGGCTGGAGCAGGGTGGGCAAGGGTGAGAAGGAGGGGGTAAGAGGGAGGGATTAGAAGGAGGTAGTGAGGGCCTTTGATGGTTTGGCTGTGTCTCCACCCAAATCTCATCTTGAATTGTAGCTCCCATAATTCCCACGTGTTGTGGGAGGGACCAGGTGGGAAGATAATTGAATCATGGGGGCAGTTTCCTCTCTACTGTTCTCATGGTAGTGAATAAGTCTCATGAGATCTTATGGTTTTATATGGGGAAACCCCTTTTGCTTGATTCTCATTTTCTCTTGTCTGCCACCATGTAAGACATGCCTTTTGCCTTCTGCCATGATTGTGAGTCCTCCCTTGCCACGTGGAACTTTGAGTTCACTAAACCTCTTTTTCTTTACAAATTACCCAGTCTCCGGTATGTCTTTATCAGCAGCATGAAAATAGACCAATCCAGTCTTGTAGGCCATTTTAAGGACTTTGGCTTCTTTCTCTGAGGGAAGAAGGAAGCCACTGGAGGGCTCTGAGCAGAGGAGGAATATAACTTGGCTCAGCGATTTCAAAGACTTCCTCTGGCTGCTGTGCTGGGAGTGGATAGGGGGTGAGCAATGGTGGAAGACAGAGGAGGTACTGCAGTTAGCTGGAGACAGGGGACAGGCAGCAGGGGACCAGTAGCAGGTGGACAGGCTCAGGTCAGAGGCATCTGGTGAATGGTGCTTTTGACTAATCCTGATCAACTGTGAACTTAAACTGAAGACTCAGGTATCTTTTGAAAGGCTTCCATAAAAGTGTTGATATGGGTAATAATTTGTAAGGTTTTTGGATGACAGAGCCTATGCTCCACAAGACTCATATCTTGCTTTTTTTAAATGTGGGTTTTCTTCCTATAAAAGAGTTGCTATTGATACAACATCCGTACCATAAATTGAAAGTCATCTTGGTTGTATTGTGTGAGCTCTGTGGAAGGAATGCTTCCTGGATTTGATCAAGAAACATGGCATCTGAGTAATTTATTAGAGGATTGTGAAGAAGTGTAGGTGCTAGGGGATAATGTTTAGACTTTTCAAAAAGTTCTGGACAATATTTTAGACTATGAGCTATTGAAGTGTAAGTGTTTGAGTAAGAAATTGTTTAAAAAATAGAAAACCAGTAGTATAAGTAAAATTTTTGTTGGGGAGCTCATTAAGAAAATTCTAAACAGCAAGATTCTCAGTGAATTCCACAAGTCTATGGTAAGAGACCGTTTCCAGAGAAACAGGAAATACTTTTCACATGGGGAATATGCTAACAGAACACATTAACCAGAAAGCTGGAATCTACTGAAAATAGTGGTAGATCTTAAAAGTCTGAAATAAAATATTTTTGTGGATACCTTCCTAGTTTGACACAAGAGATATAAAGATGTTTGTATGTAAGCCTTTGAGATTGAACCCTAGAGAAGACCAAGAAGTTTCTACGTGGATAACTCACAGATAAACCTCAAATTCAGATTCCCCTTTCCCTCACTCCAGGCTCTTTATCTTGGATAATTGCCTCATCCTCTCGGTCTCTTGCTCGATCCAGAAGCCATGAATACTTCTGCTTGCCTGTTCCCCTATCAGGTGCACAGCTCGGCTGAGTCTTCTATTCCTCATCTGTTCCACTCCCTCCTCGGTATTTCCACCCCCAGCATCCTGCTTGGGGCTCTGCCATTTCCCTTCTGGAATATTCCCCTGGCCACCTGGCTGGTTTCGTGGCCTCCATTCCAGCCCCACTCCAGCTTGTCCCCAGATGGGACACCAAGGTGAGGGTTCTCACCCACAAATCTGATAATGTCAGTTCCCTCGGAAAACCCCTGAACAGCTTCCCCTTGCCTTCCAGATGAAATCCGAAATCCTTAACGTGGCACACAAAGTCTTCTGTTATCTGGCCCTTGCCTTTGTATTCTCGATTCTCCTCTTATCACTCCCTTCCTTGAACCCTGGAACCCTCATTGGAACTGTGTACAGCTCCCTGTGTGTCCTGCTCATCTCAGTGAGGAGCTTTGCATGTGTTTAATTTCCTCCTGCAGCACTGGGCTTCCTGCAGGGTTCATTCCTCCTCCTCCTCAACATCCCAACTTGAGGTCACTGCCCTAGGAAATCTTTCTTCTCTGTCTCTGTTTCTACATCAGGTATCATTCCTGTGTGTTCCCATAGCATTTTGTGTCTATCGCACTTGTTTCTTGAATTGTTACTATTGTTGAAAAAATTTAAAAAATCTTAGTCTCCTTAAGCTTTAGTAAGTCTCAGAAATGTGAAACATGCTTAGTTAATGTTTGCTAAAAGAACTCAGACCTTCCATTACATATCCTTGTATATGACTATCAAACACGTCTCTGTTTTCAGGACTTTTTGTTTCTTTGTTTTTTTGAGACAGAGTCTTGCACTGTTGCCTGGGCTGGAGTCCAGTGGCGCGATCTCAGCTCACTGCAACCTCTGCCTCCTGGGTTCACGCGATTCTCCTGCCTCAGCCTCCTGAGTAGCTAGGATTACAAGTGCACACCACCACACCTGGCTAATTTTTTGTATTTTTAGTGGAGATGGGGTTTCACTATGTTGGCAAGACTGGTCTGGAACTCCTGACCTCGTTACCTGCCCACCTTGGCCTCCAGACTTTTGGTTGAGTGTGCTTGTAGAGATCTTATTTTTATGTGGTAGTATTTTAAATATGGGGTTGAAAGGACAAATGACCTCAGTACCTATGTTATCTTTTATTGCATTCCACTAACATTCCCATGTTTCTGTTTTTTGCCTTCTCTCATCTTCATTTAGCATGTCAATATTTTATAAAATAGATGATGATACAGAACTTTCAAATATATATCCCAGGAAATAAACAAGATGGAACCTGGAGTTGGTCATGAAGAATTCTTGAGAGCCAGTATTCTGAGTTTTTCTTCAGTGACCCAATGTTAATCACTTTGAAAGAAGAGAGGCAAAGAAGTCTGTTTTTCATTCCATCTCTTTGCCTGTGTAAATAATTACTATCAGTTTCTAGGCTTTAGGACCAGTGCCATAAAGACATTTTAAGGTTCAATTTCACAGACTCATTTCTGACTATCTCAGGACACCATGGGAATGATCTGTGTACTGTGTTGTTTTCTGGAGTGACTTGGCCATGCAGCCCTTTTGCTATGACACAGCAGCAGAAATCAGGCCTGTTTTATTTAGTGCCTCCTTTTTTCTTCCATTGTTCTCATGTGTTTCAGACCCTCACCACCTGGTGACCGGCTGTAACCCCCTCTCCAGCTTCCTTAGGGGGCAATATCCCTATGAGAATGTGAGTCAGAAACACAGTGGCCACTGGATACAGCACTGCTAGAGACAAGCGAAGATCAAGCAAGCTGAGGTCAGCACAGGTAGACAGGTTCAGCTGGAAAAAGGACTGGGTGAGCTGTGCTTGGAATGAGACTGGCAAGTCTGATCTGGTGCTAGGCGGAATTCTGAACTTAAAAGTTGACAACAGGTGGGAGAAAATTTCAATAGGGCTGGACATACTATGAAGAATACACAGAGAAATTACTGGCTTTGATAAGGATCTCTGCAGATGAGACATTTTATCTAGGGCAATTCAGATATATTAAATTGGCCCTACTCCAGGTAGAGACTTACTGGTCTTAAAGGGCTCTCATCAGTTAAGGAGAAACCACTTCCCTTAAAAGGAAAGGCGTTTCTTCATCTAGCTGTGCTTCTTCAGTAGGTGAACAAGAGGGGGAATGCAAGTGAAGGAGACGGGCACAAAGCCCGACCTCCTTGTGGACTTGGGCTTCTCCGGGGAATGCTTGTTCTCGGGGATGTGGTTGGATTAGCCCTGGGAGGTGGGGAGAGGAGGAGATCGGTGGAGGGCGGTTTTCTTCCTTTTCCCTTTGCTTGGATTTCCCCTTCTGAGACCAAGTCACCATATGGCACCAAAGGGAGAGGTTTGGCCCAGGAACATAGACTTCTCATTTTCCAGTTTGCACAGCTCATCCTGCCCATATAGATCTCTTCTTCACTTTCAAATAAAGCTTCCTGAAATGTAATTTTCATTGTATCAAAGGCCTTTAATGACTTCTTATTGTTAATAAATTGCAAACCCCTTAGGCTGACATTCAAGGATCTTGACTATCTGGCCCCAACCTACCTCATTCTTCCCAAAGCAAACCCTTGACTCTGAAGCAAGTGTACTGGCTGTTTCTTGAAGACACATGCAGTTCCTGTCTTCAGGATTTGTCCATACTACTATCATCCATCTAGAACACCTCTTCACTCTTCTCCATTGATGTGAATTTTTAAACACAACTGCTCAAATCCTACCTTTTCCACTCTTTTTTTTTTTTTATTTTGAGACGGAGTCTCGCTCCATTGCTCAGGCCGGAGTGCAGTGGCGCGATCTTGGCTCGCTGCAAGCTCCGCCTCCTGGGTTCATGCCATTCTCCTGCCTCAGCCTCCCGAGTAGCTGGGACTACAGGCCCCTGCCACCATGCCCGGCTAATATTTGTATTTTTGGTAGAGATGGGGTTTCACCGTGTTAGCTAGGATGGTCTCAATCTCCTGACCTTGTGATCCGCCCGCCTCTGCCTCCCAAAGTGCTGGGATTACAGGCGTGAGCCACCGCGCCCAGCCCCTTTTCCACTCTTGACCCTTCTGAAACCAGTTGGGTTCTTGCTTTTCTTTCCGTAATGTCTAACTGAGTTTGGTGATCTCTGGTAAGAGTAAATGAGTGAAAAGAAAACAAAATATTAATACCAAAGACTGTGTGGAAGGACTATGCTTTCCAGAAGTAAGCTGTCTAAACTTCCTCCAAGAGATAAATGCCTTTAAGATATGCATCTCTTACTTTGCCCTCTTGAGTATCAGATATCTTCCTCTCTCAGCGTGGCATTTGTTTAAAATCCACTGGGGATATTTTTGCATCACTGACTGAACACACTTAGAGGGCTCAAGTAGCAGAATATTCTCAGGGCACACTCTGTGTCTTGAGTCCGGGACATTCTCAGGGACTTGCAGCTATCAGTTTTCTTTCCAAGCATGCAGACACTACTTATGTAATTCTGGCCTCAAGGGTATTTCCAGGACACTTGTCTGCAGACAGGAGCAGGATAATTAGCACATACACGATGGCCCATACAAGAGGGGGACAATTAGGATAAAAGTTGGAATGGTCCAGATTTTAAACTGAAACTGCTAGGTTGAGAAAGACTCAAGACAAAGGCTCTACGGGGTGTGGGCCAGGAAATGTGGGTTGGCATGGTGTTAGAAAGTCCCCATGAAAACACAGGATATGATTTATTTTATGCTTTCTTTTATTTTTTGTTTTTGAGATGGAGTCTCGCTCTGTCACCAGGCTGGAGTGCAGTGGTACAATCTTGGCTCACTGCAAACTCTGCCTCCCAGGTTCAAAGGATTCTCCTGCCTCAGCCTGCTGAGTAGCTGGGATTGCAGACACCCACCACCACACCTGGCTAATTTTTGTATTTTTTGTAGAGACAAGGTTTCACCATGTTGGCCAGGCTGGTCTTGAACTCTTGACCTCAAGTAATCCACCTGCCTTGGCCTCCTGAAGTGCTGGGATTACAGGCGTGAGCCACTGCACCTGGCCACAAGGATATGACTTAGATCCCTAGCATGTTTGCAATGCACACTGGACACTTGCAGATCTCATGTTTGAATGATGGGAATTGACTAACTTTCCAATATGCTAAGACGGGTAGACTTTGGTCAAGGGAGGTCAGGAGCATCCAAGTAGTTGAAAGAGTTCTGAAGTCGTTGTACAACTGCTTGCCTTAATGCAGCAAATGTTCTGTGGATAATATCTTCCTGCCGAGTTACATCAAATGGAAATCGAGCTGTGTATTTTCTTAGCATCTTAGGCCACAGTGCCCTGTGCGTTTAACTCAAAACTCTTTAAGCTATAGTGGAACACCCTTAATGGATCATTTGGCATATGTGGTGATGCTTACATGAAACAAACTTCTAAAAAATTTAAACTAAACCTTTTAGAACTTCCCACTAGGGAGCACAGTTGCGTTGAAAGGCAATATAATTTATGACATCAGAAGACTCTTGTTAGTCTCTTTAGAAAGTGTTCTTTTCATTTTCCTGACTACATTTTCTTTTTTTTCAAAAGAAAATCAATTATTTCATTAGATGAAACATTTTAGGATGCATGTATGTTTTTCAGGAATCACATACAAGGTAATAGACTGTTATGGTGATTTCTATCCAGCACAAGCTACATACAAGTAATATTTCATTGAGGTTTTCTGGCCCATTATTTTTATAGGTAAAGTTATATTTAGGGAGGGGTAATGGTGTGTCAGGGGAAACGGATGCTGAGACATTATAATTAACTTGCATTTTAAAGAAAGGCAAGCTAGACACTAGCCTTAGTGTGTAAGCTGTAACAATTAGAAAGAGATCTTTATTCTAAAATTATTAACTGCAATAATTAACTTTTAATAAACTCTGATTCTGAGATACTATTGGTTGGTATGACTAAATTTAAAAGTCAGCATTTTGTGGTCACACACCTGTATCTACGTATTTATTTTACTAGGATGCAATTGGTAAAACTCTCATTTTTCTTATTTTGAGTAGAAGTCAGTAGTAGTTTGCAACATAATTTAGCAAGCAAACTGTTCAGCATGATTCTGTCTTTCTATTTGTATGAGTGAGGTTTCATGACCCTTGGACCACAAAGACTTCACTTGGAGACAAAGTGTGACCCAGCACACTCCCGTAAACTTTTAAATGATCCAGCCTCATGACCGTAGCTACAATTATAAAGAATATTATAGTTCATTTTTCATTTGTTTATATATACACAGCAACTTATTTTATGTACAATCTTGATGCATAACTCAGTAATTATGACACAGTTACCCCCAAAATATCGGGGCTATGTGAATTAAAAAATGTTCTTAATAACCTTGTATTTCTTTCAGAAGAACCTATAAAAAGGAATGATTGCTTTTCAGAGCAGCAAAGGATAATCAGAGAGCCCAGAGTGGGGGAAATCTCTTCTCTTGGGCTTTGCTTGGGACTCATCCATCTGCTGTCTCTGTTCTCAACTGTCTATTAAAGCAAATGAGCAGACTCATATTCTGTTTCTGTGGAAGAGCTCATTACCTCCCACCTTTAGGATGAAGCTCTAACTTCTTACATAATGCTCAGTGCAGTAATACTGGGGTCAAGACTGGAATTCTTCCTTAAAGCAAGTTATTGGATTATGATTCTATAGTCAGGGACCTCAGTAATATTTGGTGTATCTTTTTTTTTCTTTTTTTTTAAGGCTTCCTTCAAACTTGGAATCCAGAGCAGACTTTCCTGGTAAAGAGATGACGCTTTATTGCTTTAACCACTATTTTATTTACCAGGTGCTTAAATAATGCTGACTCTTTGCCAGATGCGTGAAAATGTCTTAGAAATAATTAACTCCTTTAATCCTCACAATGACTCTAAGATAGACTCTGACTTTTCCTATTTCACGAATGAGTAAGTCACATGCCCAAGGTCACAAAGGTAGACCAGGAGCACAGGCTGAGCATAGGCATCAGCTCTGGAGTCCATGTCCTTGGCCACAGTCTCTGCGGCCATTAAACCATCCATACAGGTTACCTTCTGGAACCTAAACTCTCACGTGCCCTGGCTGGTGTCTCTAAGCCTGTCCTGGAGGATGCATCAGCATCCTCACGGTTCAGCATCCCCCAAAGAAACCCCACACATTTACATCCCACCACCAGCTTCCCTTCTTGCAATCCAGACACAGTGGATGCCTGGATGAGATTTCTCATAACTTGGTGCCTTTACACTTCTCCTTACTCCACTCTTATGGGAGACTTTTTCCCTTTTTATTCATAGGATATTCTTCCAGCGACTTTTCAAGGTATAGCTCTTTTGACCGTTGCCTCCTTCTGGCAGACTGAAGCACGTGCTTGGTCCACACCACTCCAATGCTTCCTGTTTGATCATAGCCCTCTTATGCCATCTTTCAGCCTGATTTGAGTCCTTTTGGACTGCATCTGGGATTTGGGGCCTGGCTCAATAGGCCCTGGGGCCTGATAATTCTGGGTGGTGAGTGTGGGGCCAAAGTCCCACCCCCTTCCTTAATGAAACCCTATAGAATTTTTAAGAGCTGACCACCTTTTGAGCAATGCTTATTATCGTTATATGCATGACATGCTCCTTCTTAACTGGATCAGCCAATCTGTTGAAATGACTCTCATAGCTATAATAAATTGTCTGGGACGTGAGCTTCAGAATACAGATATAACACTAGAAAGATCTAATTGAGTTTAACTTTTATTTTTTACTATTTTTTTTAACCAAGCAGCAGCACTGATGGGTTTAACCTTTATAGACATACGTATTTATAAGACTCTGACCAAAATGCTAAAAACAGATGCGAAACAACACTCCACCAAAACATTACATTGAAAGAATATTAATTTCATATTAAATATGCCTATCATAGCCTCATGAATACACAGTTATTAGATTTCCATAGGAACTGAAAATGCTGAATAGTTAAGAATTTCCTCAGCAATTTATTTCTTGTTAGGATTTCTCCTGTAATCTGTAATAGTTTTGGCAAACTGAAATAACAATATATTGCTGTAATCACATAAATCTCCAATAGTTCTTTAGTCAGCCTGGTTTTGATATTTGAAAAATAGATATATTATTTTCACATGCAAACTGAGGATAAAAAAATGTGAGAAAAAATCAGTTCATAAGCCAAGTGTGCATTACAACAAGGTTTTTAATGTTTTAGAAAAATCTTGGCCGGGTGCAGTGGCTCACGCCTGTAATCCCAGCACTTTGGGGGGCCGAGGCGGGTGGATAACTTGAGGTCAGGAGTTTGAAACCAGCCTGGCCAACATGGTGAAACACTGTCTCTACTAAAAATGCAACAAAATTAGCCTGGCGTCATGGCACATGCCTGTAATCCCAGCTACTCGGGAGGCTGAGACAGGAGAACCGCTTGTACTCGGGAGGTGGAGATTGCAGTGAGCCGAGATGGCACCATTGCACTCCAGGCTGGGCGACAGAGTGAGACTCCATCTCAGAAAAAAAAAAAGAAAGAAAGAAAGAAAAAAAATTCATTACAGTCGGTACCCTTAGGTGCACCTCATGTGACTAATTCCTGACTCTTTAATATACTATAGCTACCTTTTATTTATCTGGGAAGTGAAATTTCTTAATAATTGTAAGAAAAGAAAAGGAAATAAATATTTTGGGTAAATAAGCTACCTGTCTGGAAAATCTTGCTTTAAGTAGAACCAGCACTTGGAATCATTGTCTACATCAAGTACGTTTCAGGTCAAACAGAAACAAAAGTGCTCAGAAATGGGGAGAAACTAGGACATCAACATAAAGAAGTCCTCAGGTGTGTGCTTGGGTGATGTGTATTTGTGTTGTCTCATAGGATGATTTCAGGAGCAGTTGAAATAATACCAAAATATTCTCTTTCCTTTAATGCGCAGGCAGTGTGGGGCAATAGTTTGAGAAAAACCGAAGAGAATAATTAAATGATCAACTGCAAAGATATTAGGAATATTTCAACAGTGTCTGTCAAGAAGTTACCTTGGCTAAAGAGATTTGGGTTTTATTCTTTACCACTTGCTAGGTGCTGTTAAAGTTAATACATGTTTTTGTCTTTTTCTGAGGTTAAGTGTTTACTTGGGGATTCTGGTGCATTTTGATGTGGAGATGTTTTAAAAGTACCTTGAGAGAAAGGATGAACACATTACTGTAAAGTGAAGTACACTGTTTCCAGGGATGGTTGGCTTTTAATTTTTACCTTGACTCACTTCTCTATTGAATTGAACATAAACTTCTTTTGTCAACAGACAAAATGAAACAAAATGACATCTATATTCTACATGTTTCTTCCAGAAAAAAAGAAGCACTGTATTGCTAACTGGTGCAGTCAAAAAGGCATTTGTGTCTTATGTTTCATTTACTGAAGTTCTTGAAAATGCAGTTTCTTTAAGAGCCTTTGTAAATATTCCTCTTCTACACGATAAAGGTTTTCTGTGCAAATTCATAAATTACTATAGGAGGGAGGTTTAAATCTATTTGCTGGCACTTGTAAATTAGAAATTTTGCACACATTGTAAGTGCAGCCGTGCAGGAAACCACCACTGATCTCAACTTGAATGTATTCTATCCAGTTTTTACTTGGGAGGCTTTGATTTCCAGTGCAATTAATTAAGCAAACAGGAAGAAAGTTAGTACTTTTTATAAAACAAAGGCCCTTACATTGAGGCTTTCACGGGTCTTATAAGTAGACAGTTCTCCTAAATCCTGCTTCACAGATCTTTTGATTCTCCCTCAAAAGCTTTATCCTATTCCAATTGACACTCATCACCACAGGAGGCTTGCTACTTGCAAATTTCTCTATTGCTGCTTTCATTTCCTCTTTAGTAATAGAGGCAATCAGTTTCTCATTATCCAGAAGATCCAGTTTTGGCATTTTAATTTTAGCCAGAATTTTCATAATCTGTTATCAGCTGCTAAGTCTGATGCAAATATCAGTTTGGAGAACAAGAACAACAAAAAGAAACTTTTTACATTATTGCCATCTATTGATAAGATACAGAACCTACTAAAAACTGTGGTCTTTCTGATTTTGATTCTTATTAATATATTTGTTACTCCTGACATTGGGATACTCATTTACAAAATTTAATAGAGATTTATTAAGAAAATCACAGTACATACTAATACTAATCTTTAAGATTCATTACATTTCTGCTTTGGGAATAGAACCACATCAGATATTATCAGGATCACGGAGAACAGGTTTGGGTCCTAGTAGGAACAAATTAGTGCCCCTCAGTGAGGGTGGTACTGTGCTGAAAGACGGCAGTATAGTTGGGCCTAACTAGTCTCTACTAGTTTTGGGCCAATCACCCTCCCCACCCTAATCATTAGCCTTGTGTGTTTTGAAGAATTAGAAGTTAGAAGAACTACCATTTAGGAGAAGAGAAAAGAACAAATAAAAACTGGAGGAAAAATTCAAGGGCTTTATAATTCATATTAGTAGACAAGTTTTACAAAAACAAAGAAATGACTTTCTTGTTATAAAATATATAGTGCTTCACAAACAACGTTGGAAAACAATCTGTGACTGTAGTCTTTAACATTCATTTGGTATTTAGGGGTCCGGGGTCTAATTTTAAACTTATTTTTTAACATTAATTTGTATAAACATGTTTGAAATTCTATTTGATTTATTTGAGTAAGCTTACTTTTATGTGCGTGTGTGTGTGTATGTGTGTTTGTGTGTGTTTAGAGATGGGGCCTCACTCTGTTGCCCAGGCTAGAGTGCAGTGGCATAATCAGGGTTCACTGTAGCCTTGACCTCTTGGGCTCAAGTGATCCTTCTGCCTCAGCCTCCCGAGTAGCTGGGACCACAGGCACACACCACCATGCCCAGCTAACTTTTAAAGTTTTTTTTTTGTAGAGACAAGGTCTTGCTATGTTGCCTGGGGCTGGACTTGAATTCCTGGGCTTAAGTGATCCTCTTGCCTCGGCCTCCCGAAGTGCTGGGATTACAGGTGTGAGTGACCACACCTGGCCTACTTATGTTATAATTCACTGATTTCATTAATTTAATTCATAAGTGATTCATTTTTTATTTTTTGGATCTGTGTTCCTGATGGTACATCCATCTGCTTTGGGGCAGCATTTTGCAGACTCTGAGAGCTGTGAGTTTCTTTAACATGCCAGTCTGCCTAGTGGGACAGCAGCCTATGGGCTTGAGGGCTAGGCAGGGGGCACTCTAGCGTCCTTGTTGGAATCTTGGACTCTTTCATTAGTCAGAAAGGCAGCAATGGGAGACTGTAGTTATTAGGACAAGCAGACCGTCTTTCTTGCCCTCTTGATAGCCGCAGCTGCTTCATCCTGAGTTAGGAGGCTATCACTGTGGCACAAGGAAATGTATTTTACATAAAAAGAGAGAGACAACTACCAGTCAGGCCTTCTGTGTGACTAAGGCTCAAAGCGCCAATTCTTTTTAAATTCTGCTGACTCCTGCTGCAGGCCGTCCTGGCTGATCCTCAGCCGAGCCGACAGGGACATTCATCTGAGAAAGAAGATTCTAATGGGGGTGGGAAGCAGTGGTGCATGGCAGGGGTAGTGGGTCCCCAGGAGTTGTGGTCTAGAAGGGTCATGGTGAGTTGTAGAACAGAAGCACTCAGCATAGGTTAATTCAGTACCCACCATGAGAGACACACTGCTGTAGGCATGGCGGATGTTTGTGAATGGCATGTGGTCTTCACACATTAGAGACGCTTCCCGCGGAAATCTGCATATCCACATGTTGGCGGTCCTACAGAGGGACGATTTCTGCCTGAGGGAGTCAGAGAAGGTGTCTGGTGTAGGTAACTTCTGAGATGAGGTTCGTGGGGTGAGGGGCTCGCCAAGAGAGGAAACACAGGGATGGGAGGGGGTGACAAGAGCATTCCTGTTGTAGGTTCACCCCACGGCATGAATCGTGAGACTCCAAGGTAGGTTTTGTGGGGTGCAGTGGTGACCTGCTGTGGCTGCAGCATAAGGGAGGGGTAGGGAAGGAAAGTGGAAATGTGGATTGGGGTGAGAGTGGGAAGAATCTTCTATCAGTGCAAGAATCTTCTATCAGTGCAAGTAAGTACATATTCTATGTAGACGGAGTGGGAACTTTTACTCAGTGGGATGACATGGTCACATACCTGTTTGGAGAAGCTAGCTCTGTTGGCTTCAGAGTATGGATTGAAACTGGGGAGAGACTGGGGGAGGGGAATGACATAGGCATGTGTATGGCTGATGCAGAGGACCTGAGCTAAGACAGTAATATGCAATCGAGATGCTGGATTTGAAATAAAATTCAGAGACAGAAGCAACTGGGCTTAGAAAACGCAGCAAAAAAAGGGGCTGACCCTGAGATCTTGAACTTAGGGATCTAGGAGATGGTTTTGCCATGAACAAAGGGAATGCAGGCAGGGGGCAGGTTGGATTAGTAGGGAGAGATGATTCTAAATGGTGGAGCCCATACTCCAACTCAACGCAAATACAGAAACACCTCTATTTCCAGCATCTGAGCCTCTCCCAGGATGATCACCGTTACTGACAGAGCCTCAGAAGGCTTTTTTCCCTCAATAGAAGCATATCTTTTGGAACAATTTTAGATTTACAGAAACTTGTGAAGATAGTATAGCAATTTTCTATATACTATGCATCTAATTTCTATTATTAACATCTTAGATCAGTATGGTAAATTTGTTACAATTAATGAAACAATCTTGATTTATTATTTTAACTAAAGTCTGCAGTTTATTAAGATGTCCTTAGTTTTTACCTAATGTCCTTTTTTTCTGTGCCAGGATCTCATCTAGGATACCACAGTACATTTAGTTATCATGTTTTCTTAGGATCCTCCTGGTTGTGACGCTTTCTCTAAGTTTCCTTTTTTTTTTTTTCCTTTTAGAGACAGGGTCTCTCTGTTGTCCATGCTGGAGTGCAGTGGCATGATGTTGGCTCACTGCAGACTTAACCATCTGGGCTCAAGCGATCCTCCCACCACCTCAGCCTCTCAAGTAGCTGGGATTTCAGGTACACGCCACCATGCCCAGATAATTTTTGTATTTTTGGTAGAGATAGGGTCTCACTTTGTTGCCCAGGCTGTTCTTGAATTTCAGGGCTCAAGTGATCCTCCTGCCTTGGCCTCTCAAAGTGCTGAGATTACAGGTGTGAGCCATTGTGCCTGGCCCAAGTTTCTCTGTTCTTGACAACCTTGATAGTTTTGAGAATGCCAGGTCAAATACCATCCCTCACTTAGGCTTTTCTTATGATTAGACTGGGCTTATAGGTTTTTGGGACAAAGATCACATAGGTAAAGTACAAGTCTCATCACATTATATCAAGGGAGCACACTGCAAATGTGACATAACTAGTTGTTTTTTTTTTTTTTTTTTTTGAGATTTTATCTTGCTATGCTGCCCAGACTGGAGTGCAGTGGCTATTCACAGGCATGATCATAGTGCCTTGCAGCCTCAAACTCATGGCATCAAGCAATCCTCCTGTCCCAGCCTCTTACGTAGCTGGGAATATAGGTGCAGGCTGCCATGCCTGGCAATGATTTATAAGTGATGTTGACCTTGATTACCTGGCTGAGGTAGCGTTTGTCAGGTTTCTCCACTGAAAAGCTACTTTAAAAAAATCCCTTTTTCATAATGCACTCTTTGGAAAGAAGTCACTATGGGTGGCTCAGAGTTAAGGAGTAGGGATTGACACTCCACTTCCTTGAGGGTAACATATTTACATAAATCACTTGGAATTTTTCACGCGAGATTTGTTTCTTTTCCCTCGTTCATTAATTTACTCAATCACTTATTTATATCAGTATGGACCCATGGACATTTAATTTATACTTTGGGTTATGATACAGTACTACTTTATCCTGTTGCTAAATTGCTTCTGCCCTGGCCATTGGGAGCTCTTTCAGTTGGCTCCTGTGCCAGCAGGGGGCAGTTGTAAACATACACTAGGTTGTGGCACCACGGTCTGTGTCAGAGGGAGGGCTGGGAGCCGTCAGAAGAGCCCTTGAGGTTTGCCTGCAGGAGGCATGGGGAATGGATAGCAGAGGTTGGTGGACCCAGAGTTCTGTTTAGCAACTCAAAGGTTCTGCGGATTCTTAAGCAGGAGGATGACATTATGAATAGTGTCTTGGATGATTACTTTGGAAGCTCCATGCATTGCGTAGTTTCACTCATTCATTCATTTAACAAACTTTTAAAAATCCTGTTCTATCACCTGCTGGGGAATGAGGGTGGAACATGATGGGGAAAGAGAACTAACACTTACTGAGAG
Organism: Homo sapiens; assembly: GCF_000001405.40. NCBI lineage: Eukaryota > Metazoa > Chordata > Mammalia > Primates > Hominidae > Homo > Homo sapiens. The sequence continues at coordinate 102,940,668 of NC_000013.11, forward strand.
CCTACCTGCCACATGGCATTTTATACACTCAATTCCAGGTAATTCTCATAGCAACCCAGTGAGTTAGACATTGCTTTCAACATTTTATGGCTAAGAAAACTGAGCTTATTCTAAGAATAGCCAGCTGACATGTACAAAATCTAACTACCCTGCAACTGCTGTCCTGTGAGGTAGCAAAAGCCAACCATATGAGACATCTGACCAATCCCCAGTGTCTTACCCCAGCACCAGAAATGTAAATAAAGAAACCTTCTGATGATTCCAGTCCCTGCCAGCAAACAACTGCAATTGCACAAGAGACCCTGAGCAAGAACCACCCAGCTGAGCCCAGTCAACACTCAGAACTATGAATGATAATAAATTGTTTTATTCCACAGAGTTTTGGAGTAGTTTGCAGCAATATAAAACGGATAAGTGGCAAACACAGGTGGTGTTTTTTTCCTCTGCACTATCTTCCCTCTGGTAGTGTCTGCTGTTCTGACAAGGATTCTAGATTGAAGCAAAGAACATGGGAAGCCATTACATTTATCTATTGAGGATGCCATTTGGGTCTGGCTTGAGCTGGGTTCTTGTGGATGAGAAGAGGCAGAACTAGGTGGCATCTTAAGAGAACTTGCATTAGGGCAAGATAGCATTTACATTAGTGCATTGTAGAGGGAAAAGATAGTGAGTTTGTTATCAGATAGTATTGAATTAGCAGTTGCTTTCTCACTTCCTGGTAGTCTAACCTTGGATATCTTCTTTAACTCTGATTCTCAGTTTCCTTGTCTTTACAGTTGGGATGATCTGAGGATAACAACAGATCCAATGAGGCAAAAGTAGTAAGTACTCAATAATTGTGTTCCCACAGTTTTCTAAACATATCTCTATTATAGCACCCATTGCATTGCATTTGAATTGTTTATTTTCCAGTTTGTCTCCAAAATACTCAAGTCAAGTAGACTCTGAGCTTCCTTAGGAAAGCTTATATTACATATTTTGTATTCTTGCTGATTAGCACAGTATACAGAACAGATATAAATAGCTGCTGAATGAAAGAAGGAATTGATGAATCAGTGAGTAAAGATGAATTGTGGAATGAAAGAAGGATAAAAAAATAACTTGAAGGTAACTAGCCTATTTGGTTTGGGGTTTGAAGGTAGCATTTGTTAAAAGGGGGAAAACCAAGGTGGAAAGAATTCTAAGAACAGTAGAAAGTGATTGGTAGTAATAGATGTAATACTAGGCTGAGAAACAGATCTGGCCAAGAAAAAAGTTTCAATGGAGTGTTCAGAAGCCCCAGGTGAAGGTGTTAAGGAAGAAATGGGTGCTGAAGGAATGGAAGCAGCATTGGAGTCCTCAGGGTTGGCTGGAGATGCCTGTATCCACACATATAGAGTATATGCTTTCTCCCCTGAGGAGTTTATTTAGCAGAAGGTGGACATATTAGATTGCATGATACTTAAAGAACACATTTCCTATTCATCTAATCATCAAATATTTATGAATCATCCAATGTATTCTAGCAACTGTGCCCAGCATGGGAACATTGTGCTGATCCAAGTATGTATAATGTTTCCCCCTTATCAAGCATATGTTCAAAAGAGAAGAGAGTCATTGAACAAATTATCAACCAAATAAATAGGTAACTATTAATTGAGTTACAACTTGTGAAGAGAAAATATAGAGACTGTTCGCTTTTCATCAATTCCATTCTGTCCATCTTTAGTCAGAGAACGCCTGAGTTTCAGCCAGGAACATGACCAAGCATCTAGCATCTTTTGCAACTTGCCCAAGTGACTAAGTTCTGGCCAATGGTAAATAAACAGAATTATTATTATTAATTTTATTATCACTTCCTGAGTGTGCCTCAAAAAGGAATCATGTATATTCTCTTGGTCCTTCCCTGCTTCCTGCTGGCTGGAAGATAATAACTGAAACTGCAGCCTTCTACTGCAAGATAGAAACCATGAGTTGTAGACTGTAGAACTTCCCATATAGTCTTGGACTATGGATTATAATGAGGCAGAAGAATGAATTTTCATCTTATTTAAATCATTGTATCTTTTGATCTATTTATTATTGCTGTTTAGCCTATATCTTAACTAGGAAAACTACTAAAGAGGGTGTATTAGTTTGCTCAGGTTGCTGTAACAAAATACCATAGATTGGATAGTTTAAACAGAGAAATTTATTGTCTTGCAATGCTGGAGGCTGCAAGTCTGGGATCAGGATGCCAACATGGTTGGGTTCTGGTATGGGCTCTCTTTTTGGCTTATAGACAGGCACTGTCTTGCTGTGTCCTTACATCATGACTGGGATACAGAGAGAGAGAGAGAGGGAGAGAGAGAGAGAGAGAGAGCACAAGAACAAGACAGCACTCTGGCCTCTTCTTATAAGGGCACTGATTCCATCATAAGGGCCCCACCCTCATGACCTCATCTAACCCTAATCATCTCCCAAAGCCCCCATCTCCAAACATCATCACACTGGGGGCTAAGCCTTCAATATATGAATGTTTGGGGGACACAACTCAGTTCATAGTAGAGGGCAAGGGGAGGACCCAGTTTAAATGGGAGTAAAGGGACAGGAATCTCCCATGAGGAAGTATCTTTGAAGCTGAATGAAGAAGAGTGCTCCAGATAGAAGGAATAGTGTGTATAAAACCCTTGAAGGGGGAAGGAACTTGATATTTTCAAAGAAGTATGAGGGAAAGCAGGTGAGAAAAGACCGGGGTAATCCCAAATGAAACAGGAAGTCTCTGATGGGTTTTAAGTAATGGGGTACCATAAACTGATTTGCATTTCCAAAAGCTTCCTCTCTACTGGGGGGATTGGAAGGAAAAGGAATGGATGAGGGGGTATCACTCAGCCTCACGGGGGGATAATGGCAACTAGCCCTAGAGCTGTTGTTGGAGCTGGAAAGAAGTGATGAATTTGAATGATATTTTGAAAGTAGAACTAACAGGTCTTTTTAATGGATGGGATATGTGTCAGGGAGAAGCAAGGTGCTTTCAGGGTGATCCCCAAGTTTTGAGAGGGAGGAGACTAGAGGGTAGAAAAAATTGGCAGATTAAGACCACGTGTCCAATGTCTTTTGAAGATGTTATATAGAAAAAGAGCCCCAAATCCAGCATTCAGTACCCACCACTGTCGATTATTAGCCATGACCTTGGGGATGTTACAGCTTTACCAACAAAGAAAACAAGGTTTTGAGATTAAGAAACATAAAGTCAGCATTTTGAACTTAAAATTCACAGAAGTAATATGTCATAGTAGAAAGCATGGGCTGTGAAGACAGGTGTCCAGTTATATTACTTCCTTATTGGGTGACCTTGAGGAAGTCACTTAAATTACTAGAACCTCAGTTTTCTCATGTGAAAAAAAATTAGTGGGCTTGTCCTGTGGATTAAAAATGATAATTTCTGTAAAACAGTAGCAGGCTGTCTGGCATGGTAAGTGCCAAGTAGATATATGCTTAATTGCTCCAAGTAACTTACATTTAGTGTTCAATATGTGTAGAAATCAGATAATTTAATTGTATATTTATATTCCAAAACTCAGAAAGGGGAAGACTGAGAGACAAATACAGGCTGAATTGCCTGAACTGCAGCAGTCATTACACAGCCCTCTTTCTTCCCGGGTCTGAATATTGAAACTGGGAAGTGAGTCCCTGAGGGGTATTGGAGTTAGACCCTGTAACTCACTGGTCAACATGTTCTGTTTTACAATTTTCCAGAAGGTAGCAGTGATCTTCTGGAAAAGTTGTCAAGCACCAATAGTAAGCTCTGAATGCAACTTCAACAGTTGTCATTATTTTTTAGATTTTTCATTTATAGAAAGTCCATGCAGCTTCCTGGAATTTGGGGGTATTTGCTCAATGTACTGTGGGGAAGTGGTCTGAGCCTACAGCAAGAACACCACTTTCATAGTTAATAACTAAATAGTCAACAAGCGCACCCACTCAAAGGGCAAATCTGGCCAAGGTATTAGGATTTGTACTAAGAAAAATGCCTAAGGTATTTCATGGATATTTGATGAAAGTACTTGGTCATCACCATGATTTTAAATTCCAGTGACCTGGAAATTCTGAAGGATGATTTCAAAAAAGTTTTTACTCTTTTTCATCTCAGTGTGTGGTGGATGGTGCAGAATGCATTCCTTCTGTAGAGTTACCCACAGGTGATAGCCTTCTTCTCAGTGTGGCAGAGGGGACATGGTGGGAACCCCTGAGGTAGCTGGACATTTATCTGGACCTTGGTGAGAGAGCCTGGCCCCTTGGTACTTTGAAAAAATGTGCAGTTTGGATGGGAACCTTTGGAAGTCAACACTGGAGAAGTGGTGGGACTTTGCCTCCGTGGGGTGTAACTTGATCCTATTGGGAAACAAGGATTTGCCTTTTACAGAGTTTTGCCTCTATCAGATGATAATAATGAGATTCTTCAGCTTCTCCTTAGGCATTATTCTTGCACCTGTTGCTTGTGGGGCTTGAGTTTTTAATATGCTAGATGCCACTTTATGTCTCATTCCTAGTGCTGGGTTTTAGCAACACAGAAAGCAGAAAGCCTGACGTTCTACAGCCATATGCTTGCATCGTTACTTAAAGAGAAAGATAGAAAGAGCAGAAAACTCTTGATATTTGTTATTTTAATTTTTCAAACAAGAGGAGCAGAGCGAATTTCCACAAGTGAGAACAAAACTAAATCGTGCTGAAGAGAAAATCTATTCTTCTATCCTTTGGACTTATTTTTTTGTACAAGTAGATCATACGTAGGTTAAAATAATCACAAAACTTGGAATTTATCCAGTTGTATAGTGGGTAATTACAGAGTTGCTTTGTTTAATGATGTGGTATTTTATAGAAGGGCATTTTTAACCTTTGTCACTAGTGCCAAATGGAAGGGGACACAGCCCTTCATAAAAGGTATCATAATTCTAATTGCATGTAAAGTTTATTTAGAAGCAATTCATTTTTAAAGACGTGTTCCAGTTTGTGTACTTTGTTTTTAGCGGGTAAATATTGCGGACGTAAATTGGTTTGTGGTAACAAAAGTAAAGTAAGAGCAAGTGCTTGTTAATAATCTGTTTCACTATTCATATTTCCAAAGTCCAGCTCTGGCTAACAGAGACGCTGCAAATTCATTTCTAAAACACAAGGGAAGGCCTTTATATAATCAAGTGGCTCATTAGAGAAGATCAGAGGATTTCAAAGTACACTTTAAAAATCAGAACTAACGTATTGTATTTAAAAACAAGATCAAAGTGGACACCATGTCCAGAGATCTTTTGCATATATTATCCTTCCGTATTATTATCAGAAGTGACTTTCATTGACATTCACTGTAAGTCCATGCACGTACTAATGATAGATTAAACAGTTAAACCACCACATTTATTCATTTGACATGATTATTGGGTGACTTATGTGCAAAGCGGTGTGAAACCGAATACCACATATAGTGTCTGTCTTTTGTCTTTGAAATGCTGCTACTGAAGTGGCACTTTCAAAAGAGAAGTCATGACACCTTGAATGTTGTCCTGGGGCCAGGATCATTTAAAATAATTAATAGAAGTGGAAAGTGTATTAAAATTTCTAAAGGCTTTAAAATGTGAATTTAACTAAATTCAAACATTTATTGAGCACCTCATGCACAAGGTACAGGGCTAGACAAAGTGGGTTGTGCAAAAAGGAATAAATCATGGTCTTTGTCCTTGAGAAGCCTTTGGTTTAACGGGGAGACAGTATATGCAGATCTATGATATTATAGGAGTTATGAGAAAGTGAGAGACAAGATGCTGCGTGATCACAGAGGTGAGAGGAATTGCTCTGTTCAGGGGCAGCAGGAAAGGCTTCGTGTGGAGACTGAGTCAGACCCTGAAGCACAGGTTTCAAAGCATGTAATGAGGGAAGAGCCTTCTCCATGAGTACTACTCTGGACAAAGGATGGAGATGAGGAAGTGCACTGTGCATTTAAGGAAGCATTTCCATGTAGCTGTGCTAAATGTCCCATGAGGGGGATCATTGCATGAATGGCAGAAAAGGAAGAGGATGAAGTGAAAAGTTTCAGTGATCTGAAAGTGATGATCTGAGTTTATAGTCTGATATGGTTTGGCTGTGTCCCCACCCAAATCTCCGTTTTCGTGACAGTGAGTGAGTTCTCAGGAGATCTGATCGTTTTATAAGGGGCTCTTTCCCCTTTGCTCCTCACTCTTCTCTCTCCTGCTGCCATGTGAAGAAGGTCCTCTGCCTTCCACCATGACTATAAGTTTCCTGAGGCATCCCACAGCCATGTGGAACTGCGAGTGAATTAAACCTCTTTCCTTTATAAATTATCCAGTCTTGTAATATTTTTATAGCAGTGTGAGAATGGACTAATACATAATCCTTCTACTTATTAACCACATGCATTTGGGTGTCATTTACCTTTTGGAACCTTAGTTTTCTCATGTCTAAAAAGATGTAGTTAATTTCTGCCTGGATGGTTAGAATAAGCTAGCTTACACTGCAATAACAAACAAACTGAAATCTCAGGGACTTAAAACAATAAAAATAGAATGTTTTCTAACATCAGGGTTTAATTTGGTTTCTAGGGGTGGGAGCTCTGCTGCAGAATGAGTTTTAAGCGCTTCATCTTGAGATGCTTTTGTCTCCCACACAGGTCTCCACATTCACCACCAGAGGGGAAGAAAGAGGGAAAGAGTGTGGGCAATCTTTTAGGGAGCAGGTGTAGAAGTACATTAAGTCTGTTCACATTCCATAGACCAGAACCAGTCCCATGGTTCCACCCAGGTGTCAGCGGCTTAGAAATAGAGTCTTCGATGTGCCCAGGAAGAAAATGAACTGTGTTGGGATACACATGACAGTGCTCTGTGAATCTCCAATATTACTGTGAAAATAGTTCATAGGGCACTGTGTCTGAAATAATATGTGTGAAAGGACTAGGGCGATGCAAGTCACTCCTGTCATGTTAGTTTCTTAAGACTGGAAATAGTTACGGGCCAGCCTATCAAGGGTCTTCAATTGTTGTCAATTTGAGAATTTATAATTTACTTCCTAGGTTATGGGGTTAAAAGCTTTTGAAGAGGGGAGTTACTTGAAAAAAAGTATGCTTGAAGAAGATTGGACAACTACCTATAGGGCTGGAGGGTCCTGGGGAAAACTGTAGACAACGGTCTTTCGTGGTTGTTGAGGGACTATAGAGCCTAGACATAAGCCAAAGCCAGGGTTCTGGAAAGGCAGGCAGGGAAGTAGGAGGATGGCAGCAGACTGAGATATTTTATTTGTCTTTACATCCACAGTATCTTCCACAGAAGCAGTACCTTCACATGCGGTAAATAAATGTTGCTGAATGAATCAATAATGACTTAATGAATGGATGAGGAAATGAATTCCATTTTGCAGAACAGTTAATTTTGCATTTGACTTTCTCTCCATATAGATAATAAATCCTTCGAGGTTGGGAATCATTTTTTTTTCATTATGAAAGGTCATGATATGAGGCTAAAATGCACAAATAATTTATGGCTCTGGGTGGCAGTGAGTCCTCATGCATGCAAATCGGGGAAGAGAAATTTGCAGCTGGGGATTATCCTGGCGGCGCCAAGACTAACAAACAATGGAGGGACAAAGCCCGTGGACATGGGGAGACTGAATCATTGTGAGATAGGAAAAGAATACTGGCCTATGCAGTTTAAATCTTTTATTGATTTCAGCATGTTTCTCACTCATCAGCATGACATTTTAAATAACAAAGTATTCCTTTGTTAAAATCCAGAGGATTATATGAAATAAACACTACTTCATATGAGAAACTCAGAGTTGAAATAAATGAAAATTTTAAAACCCTATCCATGATTTTACAAAAGAGAAACTATAAAGATAATTTTGTTTGCTTTTCAACTTTAATGTAATATCTGTGTAAACAGAATGTTATCTATGTTTGCTGTACTGTAGTGTTTCACTCTATATAATCCTCGGGATTTTAGTAATTTAGTTATTGCTTCTGATAAATCATTTAAACATTTCTTTTGTATTTTCTCTGTTTCTCTAATGAACTTTTTTAGTCATCTGAATCAGCAGGATTGGTGGTAAAGAATTTCATAAAAATCAGCGAACATCCTCAAAATTGTACAATATAGTTATCAAATCAATTATAAGGTGAAACATTCATTTATTGATTTAATAGACATTGACCGAATATCTTCTATATGATAACATGGTGGTGGTGGGGGGATTCAATGGTGAGGTAATGATAGATTAGAATCCTTTTTTTTCAAAACATTGGAGAGCCAGTGCATTGAATTTCTGCCATTCAACAGGCTGAAGCAGATGATGACAAACTCTTCCAAATATTTTTGGCCAGTGGAGCTTTTCAATCAATCCTCCCTTCAACTTTAAGGAAACAATATTTGCTTTTTATTTTAGTGTGTACTTGTAACAATAATTAAGCCGTTTTTCAGCTATAAAATGGCCAACAATCAAAGGGCTATCAAATTTTCCCGGCTTGGCTTCCTAATTCTTTTTGTTTTAGGGTTAAGAGAAATTTGTCTAGGTATTTTCAGTGTATATATAATATATATGAATGCAGATATAATACACATATTATTACATATAATATATATATTTCATACTAAAATGATATGTGTGCAATACTATATTTTCAATGACCTAGAGTGTAATAAGACTCTGAAGGCATTCTTCAGCAAAGTAAATAATGTCTGAATTATAAAGGGTAAACCTCCAAACTTCTGTGTTCTATTGCACTATACACACACACACACACACACACACACACACATATATGCATATATATATATATTTCAGTATTATATAAATTGTTCTTACAACAATTTAGTCAACTAGAGGTTAGGTGTATGAGCTAACATGTTCCTGTGCAATTAATGAATTGAGTTATTATTTTGCAGGTCATTGGAGCGGAGAACAGATGCATACAAGCCTCTATAGAATTTCACTTTCTTTAGGTGATCAAGGCTAGGATCACAGAATCCTAACCACATAGATATATTTTCAAAGCAAATCCAGCTAAAGATTAATTTTACTCATTTGTAATTTTATTTGTTTGTTTATAATAATGCTATAGTGATTTTTAAATGGATTAGACAGAACATTACTCATATTAGGAGGAGCAGAACAATGATTCTGGGAAATGTTAATCAGGGTTCCCCAAACAAAGGCTATCTGATCAGATTAGCTGGGACTAGCTAGACTGTATGCTACAGTTCCCATTTGGTGATTCAAAATATTGATTGACATTTTAAAGTATCCAGAAGGGCTTCAGTAAAAAAAGTATCGAACTTTGCTTGCCGTTAACAAACTCACTTAATAGTGCAAGGAAAGTCTATTTTTCTTGGCACAGGATTAATGCTACATTACAAGGAAAACTACAAAGTTTTTCTTTGACACCAGTTTGGGAAGCACTGCATTAGCTAATTTAGACTATGCTTAATGCTGTTAAAAAATGTAACTCAAAATGAACGCTAAGTCTAAATCGAACACATCGGTTTAGTTTCACAGCTGTCTGTGAAATCTTTGGCAATGATCTGGCCGTCCTGTTCTACTTGCATTTTCCTAAATGTGTCATGAGGTGATGCCACCATTCCCTGCTATGTGCTTTTCTTTTTGTCTTCTAGAATGTCCTTACGGCTAACTTACGCAAAGCCTGTATGTCTTAGCTCAAGTGGGACCTGTGAAATAGTTCCCTGACCTCTTCTAAATGTCGAGAACTGTGTTATTTTACGCCACTTTTGAGCTAACACTTAAGCCTGCCACTGATTCACAGATGCTGATAGAAGACACAACACTCCTGGGTAAGAGACAAAGGACTTTTTCCCTCCCTGCATAGCAAGTGGCATGCAATGAATGCTTGTGTCAGTTCCCTTCGTCTCCCAAGTCCCACTGGGGCCACACAGAGTGGTCCTGGATGTTTAATTAGTTATATTTATTTATGTATTTTTATTTATTTATTTATTTTTTAATTTTACTTTAAGTTCTGGGATACATGTGCAGAATGTACAGGTTTGTTACCTAGGTATACATGTGCCATGGTGGTTTGCTGGATCTATCAACCCGTCATCTAGGTTCTAAGCCCCACATGCATTAGGTGTTTGTCCTAATACTCTCCCTTCCCTAGTCCCTCACCCACCGACAGGCCCCAGTGTGTGATGTTTCCCTCCCTGTGTCCATGTGTTCTCCTTGTTCAACTCCTACTTATGAGTGAGAACATGCGGTGTTTGATTTTCTGTTTCTGTGTTAGTTTACTGAGGATGATGGTTTCTAGCTTCATCTATGTCCCTGTAAAGGATGTGAACTCATTCGGGGCCCTGGATGTTGCACGTGTATTTGAGAAACCCTCAGCTTAGGGAACACCAATATTTGGTAATAAATGAAATGCAAGCAAACCTACCTAAGTTTTGCCCAGGAGGGAGACATCTTTTTTTTTTTGAGACAGAGTTTTGCTCTTGTCACCCAGGCTGCAGTGCAATGGCATGATCTTAGCTCACTGCAACCACTGCCTCCTGAGTTCAAGCGATTTTCCTGCCTCAGCTTCTTAAGTAGCTGGGATTACAGGCACCCTCCACCATACCTGGCTAATTTTTGTATTTTTTTTTTAGTAGAGTTGGGGTTTCACCATGTTGGCCAGGCTGATCTAGAACTCCTGACCTCAGGCAATCCAACCACCTCAGCCTCCCAAAGTGCCGGGATTACAAGTGTGAGCCACCACGCCCTGCCTGGAGACATTATCTTTATTGTACTGTACAACATTCTTCCCTCTGCTCCAGAAGAAGACACTGTTCCTACCTTTCAACTGTTCATGTATATTTTTGAAAAGAGAAAAAAGGCTGTCATGCCTCTGCTAAGAAGACGTGTGAAAATGAGAAAGACCCACAGAGAACTGTCTCTCAAGACTAAAATCCTAGTCACCAACTTAGTGCTCTTCCTTAAATTACCCCAACCACCAGTACAATCCCACGATTCTGATCTTTCTTGAGTGGCTCTAAGTGCTGCTTTTCTGGTGGGGATGCGCTTTTCTTTCTGCTTTTATTGCAGCCAGCTGAATAACAGACAGAGTAGGTGTTCGGCAAAGTTGATGAGATACAAGGTGGTGTCTTTAACTGTTGTCTGAAGCTGTCTTCAAGTGCATTTCCCCAGTTACCTAAGGAGAAAGGAGAGAGGAATGGAATAAGCAGGCTTTCACTAAAAGGCTCAGATGGCTTTAGTAATTCAAGGAGGAAATCTTCCTTTCTTATAGAAGCAGCAGTGCCGCAGCAGCGTTGCGGGGCAACAGGACTCAGTGGCCTGCAACTCTTAAAGGCGGGGAGAGACCACACTAACCAGAGTGCTGGCAGCCACACAGCAGTGTCAAGGAAGGCGATGACAACCAACCATCGTATCAGGGATGAAACAGGGCCTGGCAGGCAGCTGCAACACCGAGTAGCGGATAGGAAGACTATAGATCATGCAGCATCTGCTTAGGAGTTTTCTGGTCACAAAAATGCGAAGAGGAAGAGGAATCAGCATGTGGGAAGGAACAGAGATGGATTATACATTGGGGGAACCCAAGTCAATAAATAAATAAATAATATGTAAGTGAATGAATGCACAAATGCATAAATACACATTTTGCAGGAAGAGTTGGGGTGTGGGGGAAGGGTTGGATTGGAGGATAAGATTAGGCAAAAAACTAGCTGGACCATCGGTAGTGAAGGGCTCCTAACTTAGGTGCTTCTCAAAGGGGAGCTCTCAGTCCAGTAGCTGTTTGTCAGGGGTCCATGAAGAGATGAGTGGAGAAATCAGGACTGTGTGTTTAGAAACTTTCGCAGCAATTTGACAGACTCTTTTCTTTTTTTCTTTTTTTTTTTTGAGACAGAGTCTTGCTCTATCACCCAGGCTGGAGTGCAGTGGTATGATCTCGGCTCACTGTAACCTCCACCTCCCGGGTTCAAGCAATTCTCCTAACTCAGCCTCCTGAGTAGCTGGGATTACAGGCATGTGCCATCATGCCTGGCTAACTTTTATATTTTTAGTAGGACAGGGTTTCACCATGTTGACCAGGTTGGTCTCGAACTCCTGACCTCAAGTGATCTGCCTGTCTCGGGCTCCCAAAGTGCTGGGATTACAGGCGTGAGCCACCGTACCCCATCAGCAATTTGACAGACTCTTTATGCCCATGACGTGTGACAATTAAAATTTGAGACTTTTATTTTGTATATGTTTAGGTTTTTTTGTATTAAATTTTTCCAATAAATACTTTTTACTGTTTTACACATGTATGTTCTGTTACTGAAACTTGGTTAGGAAACAAACTGATCTTCAGTCCAAATAGTCTGAGAAGATAGCAGTAGGTGAAGGGCTTTCAGAAGGAAAGTGGCATCCTGGGCTTGTCCTTTTGCACTGATTTCCCTGGTGCCTGCAGGGAGGATGGATTGGAAGAGGTGACACCAGGCGCTGGATTTAAGTTAGAGGGTGATGAATGGCACTCACACCCAAGAGGGATGGTGAGAGCCTGAACTGAGGTAGCAGCAAGCAGAGATGGAGAGACAAGGAAGGACTCAGGGGCCAACAGTAATAGCTAACCCTATCAAAGCACTGGGTAGGTAGCGGGCACAGTCTAAGTGCATCCTGTACTGTTATTATCACTCCCATTTTACAGATGAGGAAACCGAAACAGAGAGATTAAGTGACTGGTCCAATGTCAATCAGCGAGTCAGTGGTGGTGATGAAACTGAAGCCAGGTAGTTCTACCAGTAGGACTTCATGGTGAATTATTTGAGTGAAGCGGATGAGAACCACGTCAAGGAGGACTCTCAGGGTCATGTCCTGAGGGCCCTGGTTGTTGGTGCTGACAGGGGACAGACACGGAAGATGGAGGAAGAAGTGTAGCTTTGGTAAGAGACCCAAAAGGTGACGAGTTCATCCCTGATACTTAATGTTTGTTGAGTAAAATTGCAGAAATGCAATGAACTGATTTTGATTATTAACAAGCCTTTTAAAAATGAAAAAAATATACAGAGACGAACTATGATTTGATAGGCACTTTGTTACGTGCTTCAGTGTAATTCTTCAGATAACCCATTAGGTGGGCAGGTTGAATACAAATGGGCAAAGGAAAAGGAAAATGTGAAAATGGCCACAGTGTTTCCATCAGCCTGGATGAGTGAGAACATGTCAATAAAGAAATTCGAAAAGGGGAGTAGGTTTCTCTAGATAATGGGTGGAGAATACAAAAAAAATTATTGATTGCCTACTGTGTGTTAAGGGTTGACAGTACACTATCTTGTTTAATCCCCATAATAACTATCAAATATTTATTATTATTTTTGTTGAAAATGGAAGCCATTCTCAGAGATTTAAGTAGCTTAAACCAAAATCTCACAATAAGTAGAATTCAAACCCAGAGCTGACTAGAAGCCTCGTTCTATTCATTATCCTGTGTTGGCTATAATATGATGAATTTTATACAAGTGAAATTTGAAATTCAGGGAGGACACCATGAAGAGATGTCTAGCAGGCAGTTTAAGTAGGATGAGAAAGCAGAGTTAGAAATGGAGATTTGGGAGTGTGCTGGCTAGATTGCTGTAATGACACCCAATATTGATGCAGTTTGATGGGGCCTTCCTACATTGACCTTGGGCTTGTCTGTGTGGCTTGCTTTGCCAATGGGACAGCAGCACCTGTGAGGCGAGCGGAAAGTTGAAAATGTAGAAGATTGCGTGGGGTTTACTATCTATGTGCTTTTAGAACCTTGAGCAGCCAGGAGAAAAAACTCAGCCTAGCTGGGTAGATGATAACAGATATATGGCCTAGTTTCCTTCATGGTCTCAGCTGACAGCCAGGCAATCCCCAGAAGCAGGGGCTCCCAGTGGGACTGGCAACTCACTGCAAATGCATGAGTAAGCCCAGCCCAGCCTAGCAGAATTGCATAGCTGATCCCATTCAATGTTTCTGCCCCATAGAATTCTGAGCTAAATAGATGGTTGTTATTTTAAGCCACCATGTTTTGGGGTGATTTGTCATGAAGCAGTAAGTCATTGATGCAGAAAGCCATTGCGTTAATGGAGTAGTTGCAGACTTTGCAGATTTGAGAGTGCATGAAATCACAAAGAAGAGAAGTATTGAGATTTGAATGATTTATTTTATTGAGTTTCTTTTATATAATTTTATTTATTTTTAAAACAATCCCCAGCTCAGCAAAGTTGTGAGGACAGTGCAAAGAACCTCTTCTCTTTCTTCTTCCTTTCCTCCTTTCCCTCCTCTTCCTCTTTCTTCTTTCTGTACCATTTAATGCCCATCATTTCCAAATGCAACCATTAAAGTCAAGAAATTAACATTGATGCCTTACTAACATCTAATATTCAGGTCCCACTCCAGCTCTCCTGTTGGCTCAATAACACCTGCCAGAGAAAAAACAATCCAATTCCAAATTATACCTTGCTTTCAGTTGTCTTATCTCTATGTTCTCCTTCATTCTGGGATCATTTTCCAGCGTTTTCTTTCCAGCGTTTATAACCTCGGAGAGACTTACTAATCGGTAGCAGCATTTTGAATAGTAATATCCAAAACAAATGCCAGTAATATTTCCTAGGCTCTAAAGAAGAGCTACACCACAGTCTAATTGTTATCAAAAGGAATTCAAATATTGCCCAGAGCCCAATTATAGGGAAAAATGATTTTAGGTTTATTTTCTCCATGCCACCCCTGTCTACTTTCCAACAGTCATACAATTTAGTGAGAGGTCATCTTGCATTTCCCCAATGACCCCAGGGAGATCCCACCCTCGATCTGGGATCGTTCCCATTTCTCCACCCTCAGTACACCCAGAGGGAAAAGAACACTGGGGTGTCAGTGATGGGTGGAAAGCTAAGCTATTTTACCAGGTGGTTTTAGAAGACAAACAATATTCAGATTTCAGGAAATAGTGAATATATTTTTTTTTTTGGTAAGTACTTCTTGAAGTAAATAGTTTTCAGAAAGGGAGGTGGGAGAATGGCATTGATCAGGGAAGTGTTTTTCCCTTTAAGTTTTGGGGGCAGTTATCACCTCTGGCTTTTGTGCCATGTCTTGCCTGAATGGCTGTTGTCTTATTGACTCTGCCGGTATAATCTATCTGTATTTTCAGGTACTTCATTAAACATTTTTGGGCTGCTGACATCCCCTGTCAATATACAACACTTTTATTATTGAATATTTAGTAATGTTTTAGAGGATCAGATTAAGGATTGAAAATGGTCCCACTGTCTCCTTATCTGATCAAGGAACAAGTGCAAGGATAGCAAGAATGTGCTGGGAATAAGATGGTTTACATGAATCTTTGTGCTCCTTCAGAAATTATCAGCTGGTTTCAGCAGACACTATGGACCTTATCACCTGGAGGGAGCTCTGTGCACTAAAAAAGAAAGAGTAGACTGAGTGTGAGTGTGTGTGTGTGTGTGTGAGAGAGAGAGACAGAGAGAGAGAGACAGAGACAGAGAGAGGTTTATTTGTTGGTTTGTGTTTTCCCAATAGCATTTACTTGATGGCACTTTCCTGTACTCGTTATGTTCTTATGATCACTCCAAACTTCTTTCCATTTTCATTTTTTCTTCTCTCAGCTTAAATTAAGAAAAGTGAGAGAGTTTGAGATAGTTAATTTACAGTTAATGTCTACATCTTGAAACATAGCCCACTCTTCTTTGTATATGTAACAGTTATGTTTCAGTAATTCCATTTAGGAATTTTTGAGGCAAAGGTAGAAATTTGCTGTGTGTTTAGTCACAAGATAAATACACAGTCTTCAGTCTTCTTCAATATCTTCTAACTGCGGTCACTTTCCTCTAATGGTAACTCACAGAAAACCAATAACATCTCCAATAAAAGGGTTAATGATACCTGATTCTCCTCTGGGGCCCTTAGATTCTGCTGAGTCTCTTCTCAGATCTGGGGAAATATGATTAGCTGTGAAGTCAAGGCAGAGTATCCTGCCGCTGATGGACTCACTCTGTCTCTTCTCAGGGAGGATGGCCAGGGCTGTGGCTCCTTCCAGAACCCATCTGAGAGTCAGTTTTAATCTATTCCTATCTATCAAACTAGGATGTGACCAAAGGCAGGACGTCCTGGTCAAGGAAGCCCAGTGAATAACACAATCCAGCTTGCAATTGTTCAAGGATGCCAAACATTTTCAAGGCTGAGTTCACGGGGAGATTGCCCCCTTTTGTATTAAAATTGGATGTAGGGGTGGGTAAATTAAAGTCAGCTTAAGAGATAGTGCAGAAACTCTTTACCAACTTTGCAGGTAAGATACCTCCCTCCACCCTCTAACACAAAAGGGCAATAACTGAACAAAAAAAGAGCTGTGTCTATCTAAAAGGTTTTTAGAATAAATAAAACATAAATTACTCCATTACTTTTCCCTGTTTTTAACTGTTGTAGAGCAATATTTCTCAGACTTTAATGTGCACCAAGTTACCTGGGGATCTTGTTAAACTGCAGCTTCTTACCCCAGTAAGTCTGGGAGGAGGCCCAAGGTCCTGCATTTCTAACAAGCTCCTGGGTGAGGTTGATGCCATGAACCGCACTTGCAGTAGGAGCAGCTTCTGTAGGCATCCTCAAAGGATGGATCAGCAGCATCACATCAGCATCGTAGATAAGTTTCTAACATAAAAATACTTGTCAGAAAGGCATATTTCTGGGTGGGTCCCAGCCCAGGATCACTGTAGCAGGTGGAATGGCCCCTCAAAGATGTCCACCCCCGAATCCCTGGATTCTTCAACTATATTACATGCAACACGAACTTGGCAGAAAATTAAAGTTTCTAAACTTTTAAGATAGAAAGTTTATTCCTGATTATTCAGTTGGCCCAATCTAATCACAGTAAGTCCTTAAAAGTGGAGAAGTTTCCCTGACTGGTGTCAGAGAGGTACAGCAGAGGTGTCAAGAAAATTCAAAGTGTGAGTGGAACCTTGCTTGCTGGATAGGCCACAGGGAGAGCATGAGAAGGAATGGAGACAGCCTCCAGCCTCCAGCCATTCACCAGCAGCCAGCAAGGAATGGGGACCTCAGTCCTATAACTGCAAGGAACCGAATTCAGGCAACAACCTGAATGACCTTGAAAGCAGGTTCCTCCTCACAGCCTTCAGAATGGAACACAGCCTGGCCAGATGTGGTGGCTCAAGCCTGTAATCCAAGCACTTTGTGAGGTCGAGTTGGGAGGATTGCTTGAAGCCAGGAGTTTGAGACCAGCCTGGGCACATGGCAAAACCCCATCTCTACAAAAAATACAAAAATTAGCCAGTCTTCATGGTGTGCACCTGTAGTCCTAGCTACTCAGGAGGCTGAAGTGGGAGGATTGCTGGAGCCCAGGAGTTCAAGGTTAAGGTGAGCTATGATTGTGCTGCTGCACTCCAGCCTGGGCAACAGAGTGAGATCCTGTATCTATTAAAAAGTAATAATAAAGAATGGAACACAAGGTCTGGTGTGGTGGTTCACACTTGTAATCCCAGCACTTTGGGAGGCTGAGGTGTGAGGATTGTTGAATCCAGGAGTTCAAGACCAGTGTGGGCAACATGGCAAAACTTTGCTTCTACAAAAAAATACAAAAATTAGTGGGACGTGGTGACATGCACCTGTAGTCTCAGCTACTCGGGAGGCTGAAGTGGGAGGATCGTTGGAACCTGGGAGGTTAAGGCTGCAGTGAGCTGTGATTGTGCCACTGCACTTTAGCTGGGGCAACAGAGTGAGACCCTGTCTCAAAAAAAAAAAAAAAAGAAAAGAAAAAAAAATGGAACCCAGAACTTCTGACACCTTAATTTCTGCCTTGTGAGACTCCATGCAGAATTGTGCTGTACCTGAACTTCTGGCCTACAGATCTGGGAGATAACAAATTTATGTGTTTTTAAGCCACTAACTTTGTGGTAATTATCTGCAGCAGCAATAGGAAGCTAATATTCTGCCTGATGAGAAACTTGGAGTGCAGGGCTCAGCAATCTGTTTTAACCAGCTCTGCAGGTCATTCCCATGCATTCTGTAGAAAGATCCTGCTTTGCAGTCCAACATCAATGAGGTGCCTCCGCTTAATAGCTGTTGTTTTTGTAGCACTGGCCAATCTTCCGAACATCCTTAATCTTGAGTTTTTTTTCATGTATAAAATGGGATTAATAAAACAAAGTGTTAGTAGCAAACCTTTGGTCAGAATCTCTGGTGGAATATTTAACAGTTCTTATTACTACAGCAGGCCCTCCAATGTTACCTTCCTTCTACAATTTACCTCCATGGACACACTAAATACTAACAGTATTGATGATTCTGATGTCAGTTTTCTGAGGATTAGGGCTTGAAACTTGACCTTAATGCTCATTGTGTAAATATGAGCTGGAAAGGAAAACAGGTCTAATTTATAAGTAATTGCCCTGCTCAGCTTAATTGCTACTCTTCAAAGAGGGAACAATGAGTATGTGTCCTTTGCTTTTAGGAAAACATTCAACATTATTCAAATCTGGATACAGAACATTTGGTTCTAAATGTGACCTTTTAATCATAGCAAGACTATAAGCTGGTTCTTCACATCCCACTATCTTTGCGGTGGGACCACAAAAGCTAAGATGTATTAATATTCTGCACATTCTTAGGAGTGCAATGTGCTAGTTCTAATTTGCTTGTTTACTGGAGTGCTCTAATAAACATTAATTTTTAAAATTTCAAGTGCATTTTTTTCACTTATGTCCATTTCTGAGGTAAAAATACTCACTCATTCTCTCTTCTTTAACCACTCTGCAGGGTGCACTCCTTCCTCAGATGATTATGTATTCTTCTCCTCCATGATCTCTACAGCCTTTCCTTTCTGACCATCAATCACTGTGGGATGAAGCTGGTTGATCAGGTTTATTTTGCAAATGATGCAGTTTGCAAAGTCCCAGGTTCATAGTCATTTTCCATTGCTGTCTAGCCCATACTAAGACTCTCAATCAATCAACACTTGCAGATTAATTTTTCCCTCTGTGAAATAAAAAAAATTAAGAGTTAAATTAGGCTTCCTGGCTTATGTATTTATTAATCAATCAACCTTCCACATAATACTAAATTAATCTTTATGGTACAATATCTGCATACCGATTTCTGTGTCTGCCAGCTCTAAAATAGTGCGGTGCTGAAGCAAGATTCTATCTGCTGTGAACATTTTTATAATGAGCTGCAGCCCTAGAAACATTGAAACTCATTTAAAAAGTGACCTGAATAATCTCTCAGGGAAAATTAAATGGGTGAAAGATCATGAAGAAGAAGTAAATATATATTTGAACAACATCAGGATGGCATCTATTCTTTACTGTGCCGGCCTTGCTTTTACTAGCATAAAACTCTAGGTAATTCAGAAAGGAATTGTGGTGGGGTGTGCAGGGGGGCTTTTCTACGACTTACAGATGCTCTTTCTTCAAATATATATATAGTGCAAATCTCCCATGTCCAGATCATATTTCTTCTTAGAATGTGTACTAAATGTTCTTAGTGTCCAGAGAACAATACTATTTTTTTTTATGTCTAACAAGATTTGCTTTTCTCCAACAATGGGGTCTAGAATAGAGGTTAGTTGCCTAGAGTGTGGTCCTGGGACCAGCATCATCGACATCACCTGGGAGCTTGTTAGAACTGCTGAATCTCTCAGATTCCATCACTTCTAGCCAGAATCTGCTTTTAACAAAGTCCTAGGCAATTTATATGTTCATTAAAGTGGGAGAATCACTGGAGTAAAAAACTGGCTGGGAGGGGGAATGTGGGAACTATGGGGGATGTGAAGAATAGAGGTAGTGAGAGACAATATTGAATCGAAATGTGCTTCTTGCCTGCTCACCATCGAGTGGAGAAGGGTTGGGGAGGCATCCATTGATCTCCCTTGCCTTTTTATCCTGGAGTTCGGTAGAATGCATGTGTTAAAAGGCTGAGTAGATTTGAGGGCACAGTTTATAATTACACACTGACGGTCTGCATGGCTTGCATTCTCTAATAGAGCATCTTCAGATTTTTACTGTGACCTTAAATGAGAAGCAGTGTAGGGTAGTGGAAAACCCAAGGGTTTTAACTCTAACTCTGATAATGTGTCAACAGTTTATATACAAAATTGGCAAAATAGCCATGCCCATTACACATGGATTACATGAGATAATGCCTAGGAAGCTCAAACTTCAGTGACCAGAGCAAAGTAGTTATCTACAAAGTGTGTCTTTGCCACTTTTTTCCTTCTGATCATTCACTGGTCCATCCGTCTGTGTACCCCACACCTACTGCCATTTAGATATAAATATAGTGCATAAATCTATCTATCTATCTGTCTGTCTATCTATCTATCCGTTCTCACACTGCTGTGAAGAAATACCTGAGATTGGGTAATTTATAAGGAAAAGAAATTTAATTGGCTCACGGTTCTGCAGGTTGTGCAGGAAGCATGGCAGCATCTACTTCTAGGGAGGCCTCAGGAAACTTACACTCATGGTAGAAGGGAAAGGGGAAGCAGGCAGTTCTTACATGGCAGGGGCAGGAGGAAGTGGGGCAGGGAGATTCCACACACTTTTAAACAACTAGATCTCATGATAACTCACTATCACAAGAACAGCACTCAGGGGAAATCCACCCCCATGATCCAATCACCTCCCACCAGGCCCCACCTCCAAAGCTGGGGATTACAATTCGACATGAGATTTGGGCGGGGACACAGAGCCAAATCATATCAGTCAGTCAATCCATCCATCTACCTACCTACCTACCCACCTACCTACCTACCTACCTTCCTACCTACCTACCTAGTGCATTTATCTTTCTTTCTACCTTGTTTTTCTGTCTTTTGATATCAGTAATGATTTTCTGTCTTCCCATCAAGTATGCCACTACCAGTATCTCCACTCACTCCCCTTTCCACCTACTTAGGTGAAGACATTGAGGGACGTCAAAGAACTTGGGAAGAAGTGTTCCAAACAGCTGAGCTTGCAAGGTATTGAATGCTCTCGGGTTAATATCACGTGTACATTATGTCCAGCTTCATGAGCTTCTATCCTTTTCCACCTAAAAGATGACTGGCACTTCCCAGGACCAATCTGATTTCTTCCAACATGTTCTTATGACACCGATTTGGATCAGATGAGGCCATGCACATTTCTCTCCAGTCGGCTTCCTGGTCCCTGCATACGTTTGTTACAGGGTTGGATACTCCCACAAATCCTGGTGAGGAGGGCGAGACACAGTTAGGTTTTGTTGGAATTTAAGCTTTGAATACAACCCTGATAATGCTGGACTCTCAGTTCTCCCCTCTCTATTGGGATGTGTGGGGAGGGATGAGGAGGGCATGTACCTTGTGCTTATGTTTTCACAGGGATGGCTCTTGAGCCCAAGTGTTTTCAGGTAATTGGTATCAAGGATCCTGACATTGAGAGAATGAAATTTTGATACTGAAACTGATCCTTCAATATGAACTGGAATTATTCCCCGCTGAGCCAAACTGCTCATTTATCTCGTACGTGACAAAAAATCTGCTGTAGCATATGGTTTCACCTTTTATTGAAAAAAAAAAAGAGTCATTTTAATTGCTAGTTAAGACTGCTGGGTTACTTAAATTTGCAGGCTTTTTATTAATGGTGATCTATTTCATTTAAAGCAGCAATAAATGAGATTTGGTGTTAGCCTCCCAATTATTAAATTTCATGGGCACTGTTAGAAGACTCGAGGTCACCCTTTTGAGAGTCTGAGCCATTTACATTTAAGGATTTAGTATACTTGAAGTGAGGGCAGAGTTCTGACACATAGCAGGTTCTTAATACATGTTTGAAAAGTTGAAAAGGTAGATGTGCACAAGCTTGTCTCCATTTCCCTTTGATACTCTTGTTCCCACCGTCTAAGGGTGGGATATACTTTCCCTCCATTGTATCTCTCAAATGGAAACATATGTGGCAACAGTTGCTTAAAATATCTGCTGCAGGTATTGAAAGCTGTACATTTGCTTATTGAGGGTTAATCTGACTAATTTCTTTACTTTTACTTGATGAAGGCAGGCAGGAGGAGGAGCTATTCCAAATATTAATAGCATGGCTATTATGAACAGAGACTGAATGACAGTTTTTAGTTTGTGGAATGGAAGTCTCATTCAACTATCTTAGAAGAGGGACAACATGCTTTGATGGAAAGAATTCTTGAAAACGGTATTTTTTTTTTTGAAATTTAGAAGTAGAACTTTTTGTTTTAAATCAGCTTTTTATTTTAAAATAGCTTTGGACATACAGAAAAGTTGTAACAATGGTATGGAGAATTCCCTTATATCTCTCATCCAATGTCCCCCATTGTAATCATCCTATATCACCATGATACATTTGTCACAAGTAAGAAACAAGCATAGGTACATTATTCTTAATGAAGCTCAATACTATATTCTGATTCCATCAGTTTCTCCCAAATGTCCTTTCTCCATTCCTGGACCCCATCCAGAACACCACTTACATTTAGTTATCATGACTCCTTAGCCTTCTGCGATCTCTGACGGCTTCTTAGACTTTCCTTGTCCTTGATTACCTTGATGGTTTTGAGGAGTGCTGGTCAGAAACCTGTATTCTTGTCTCGATTCTACTCATCATTGAATTGTGACCTTGAGTAAATCACTTATCTCTCTAGATCTCAATGAGTTTACCTGCAAAACGCGAGGCTGGAGATGAAAATATTGTTTAGGTTCCATCGAGTTTTCAAACTCTCATTCCTTTTAATATTACAGGCAGATATCAGAACCTGAAGTGTCATGTTTTTAAAAAAATATTTTTATTAAGATGGGGTGTCACGACATTGCCCAGGCTAGCCTCTACCTCCTGGGCTCAAGCAATCCTCCCACCTCAGCCTCCTGAGTAGCTGGGATTACAGGCACATGCCACCACGCTGAGCTCCATTTTGGTTTTATTTCTAACTTGCTGTTTAACTCTGGCTAGATATTCTAGGTCTCCAAACTATAATTCTGTGAGGAATATTCCAGTGTTTTAGCCTTCAAGTGGTTAATTGGCCATATTAAAAAATATTATGGGAATCTTAAATGTGTTGTATCTACGTGTCTCTTGGTTACTGTAAGAGACAGAACATAGCTTACCTCCTTTTGATGACTCAGACATTAGCTGAACATCAGACATTAAACTGACAGGTTTTGATGTTTGTGCACCCTTGGGGTCGTGGAGGTGTCTCAGCCCATTCACCTCAATCAAGGACACAGGATTGTTGTGGTGTTTTGTTTCTTTCATCTTGTCCTTTGCTGTCAGTTGTCACTTCTTATGCTGTTGGTTACCAGAAGAATACAGGTAACTAAACTTCAAGTCAGTAACCTGAAATTTGTACATCATACTAAGCTCATGGCCTCTGACTCAAGGGTGACTCTATTTCTTTTTCTTCAGAGCAAAGTGCGTTAACTTCTTGACAATTTTCTTTGCAGCTTTCAGGCCTTTTTAACTGATTTACATGGTTGATAGCAATAACTTGAATGTCTAGAGTTGCCAGAAATCAAATTCATGTGATCTAAGTTGAAGCTGGGGAGGAGTTGTTATATATGAATGTACGCAAATACATATTCAGTGATATATCATGTTTGGTGTATAAAAGAACTACGTTTAAAACATTTTTATCATTCCATACAGTACTTAGCACAGTGTGCTATATGTAGGCAGACAACTAATAAATTTTGTTAAAATGCAATCTGAACTTGATCATGAGGGTTGTAAATCCCAATTCACAAGTATCTGATGGTCATTTAAATTTTTTATGTATTATAAAGGCATGTATATAATCTCTTGAGACTCCACAGGTCTCCTTGTATTGTGGGTACACAAATGGGGCACTTTAACAGGAACAATCCAAATTTCACCTGTCCCACAATGCTCACAGAGGACTTTAAATACTTAGAAATTCCCCAGGTGTGCTTAGAAGTGTGTCTATCACTGCCAGATGTGAACACAGTCCCCCAGCTTTAAGAAGGCAGCGTCTGGGTTTTGCTGTGTTTGCAGATCGCTCCCATCTCTGGTAGCATGTGAAGCCCTGGAGCCCAGGGGCGATGGGACGTGCATGACATTTTATTGTGGAGCAGAGGGAGGAACTGCTCTCTGTCTTCTGTCCCCCTCTTCCCCCATCTTTATTGTTATTATTATTATCTAATATTGGTGGGGGGAAAGGGGTATTTCCCTAAGCTGTGTGTTTTTAGTGAAACAGCTTCTCTGGTTCCCCTCCCCTCTCCCTCACACATGCTCTCCCTCTCTTTCTACGGGCCTTACTCAGGTGTTTACTGTGGGCTAAATTGGGAGACAAAGCCGAATAATAGAACCCTTTGTGCTGGGAACCTCCCGACATGGAGACACCGAGGCTTTCCTCCCAGCTCATGCTCATTCTGCCTGTATTCTCTTTCTTTTGGTGGGGTCTCTAAGAGGCAGTTCCTTCGCACCTCTTCCAGATGTGCTTCTGATGGGCTCAATCTGCAAATTCACTGGACATGTCTAGGTATTTGTGACTACCAGCCTAGGCTCCTGCTGGGACCCCAAATATACAGCATCTCCAACTTGCTGGATATTGTATACTTCATGTAGGAGCATACACTTCATGTATGTCCAGCAGGTTACCTATGCACAATATGGACAACCTTTGGCAATTCCAGGTTTGAGGAAGAGTTTAGATATCATTCGGGCCTTATTTTACCTTTGTTATTTCATGCCATGGTGTCCACCTCATGGCTGAACTCCTTTACCAATAGAAGGGCAGAGGCAGATACAGAAAGCAGCTTAAATATCATTTTAGCAAGCAGCTTAAATACCATTTTAGTAAGGTGTATGGTGAAGGAAGCAAGTAAAAGGATTAAATCAAATGAAACGTTTGAAATCAGTGATAGATTTCAATTACACATAGACTTCTTTCTTCTGAGCACAAGGTTAACAGCAGATTGAGTGTATGTGCATGTATATCTCCACATACACACCAGTTCCCAAATAGAACATGTTCTTTTCATTCTACCTGTAATATGGCTGGGAGATCAAAGACTAACTCCTGTTGCTTTTTTATTTCTCAATATCTGTTGAGAAAGTGCCTCTGTTATGTTTCCAGTTTGTAGAATAGATCTTGTAGAATTTTAAAAGTAAGCCAAAATGTTAGTGGAAAAGATGGGTGTGTGTGTCTGTGTGTGCATTCTATTTTCCACAGCTGTCACCTGCTTTGCAAAGATGTTCTTAAAAGGTACAGAGAAATCCAAGGCATTGCCCATGATGCACTTAGGCACTTAGCCTTGAACCATACTCAGAATGACCTTCTCAAATCCAGTAAACAGAAGCTCTGTGACTATTTTATTACATGCTGCGATGCTCACAGTCATAAGTAGTTACCCTGAACTTTCACCCCTTTTTGGTTTTTGAAGTTATGAAACAGTGAACTTGAAGTGACATGTATAGAGGAAACCTGCCTTAACCTGCTCCTAAATGGCTTCCCTTTGCACGGTGTCCTGAACAAAACTGAAAACATATTCTACAAAGTAGTTATATTTTTGATCTAACTAGTGGAGAAGAAAAGAGGCTAAAAAAATAAAATTCAGAGGAATCATATTTTTATAGATATAAACCTTTTTCTTTCCAACTTTTATTGTAGGTTAAAGGGATACATGTACAGGTTTTTTACATGGGAAAATTGCATGTGGCTGGGGTTTGGTGTACAGATAATTTTGTCACTCAAGTAATCAGTATAATAGCCGATAGGTAATTTCTCAATTCTCACCCTCCTCCCACCTTCCACCCTCAAGTAGGCACTGGTATTTTTTGTTCCCTTCTTTGTGTCCTCAAATAGACATTTTAAAAATTCATACAAAAACATTAGGTTATGGCTGGGTGCCGTGGCTCATGCCTGTAATCTCAGCAGTTTGGGAGGCCGAGGCGGGCGGATCACCTTTGTTTGGGAATTCAAGACCAGCCTGACCAATATGGAGAAACCCCATCTCTACTAAAAATACAAAATTAGCCAGGCATGGTGGCACATGCCTGTAATCCCAGCTACTCAGGAGGCTGAGGCAGGAGAATCTCTTGAACCCAGGAGGCAGAGGTTGCGGTGAGCCAAGATTGTGCCGTTGGACTCCAGCCTGGGCAACTAGTGAAACTCTGTCTCAAAAAAAAAAAAAAAAAAATTAGGTTTTTGTGATGGTTGATAGTTTCCTAAAAATATCACCCTGGAAATGTTTGATTTTCATGGAGTTTTATCAAGCACTCATCAATCAACCAACAAACCAATCAGTTAATCAGTATATACATATTTTTGAGTGCCTATTATATGTCCAGGATTTCATTAATGAATGAATGAATAAATTTACTTACTTGACAAATATTTATTAATTTCCTTCTTTGTATAAATAAGGCACAACTAGGTATTGCCAACACTACAAAGTGCAGATACTTTCAAGAAACTTACAGTTGATTAAGGGAGACAGAAGTGTGAATGCATGGTTTAAATACTATGTAACAAGTATAGTCATAGAAGTATTTTTAGGGTAGCGAGATTCACTCATTCATTCATTCAATTACTCATTTGCTCATTCATTCGACTTTGGCTTATGTTCTAGACAATGTGTTGGGGTCTGGAAATAGCAGTGTTAGACAAGACAGAAAACCAGCCACTGTTCTCATGGAACTTATATTTTCATGCAGAAGGGAACTGAACAAACAAATAAGTAAATGCATTATATAAATAAATGCATTTTAGAAAAGTAAATAACATGAAATTGTTACAAGTACCATGAAGGAAAGCAGGAAGATGCATGAGAATGTAGAGCAAATGTCCTTAGAGATACTTGGAAATAAGCAACTAACTAAATAACTTTGCTTTTAGCTTCTAAGTATTCGTATGTGAGGTCATGTGTGCAGCTCTGAGTGGGGCCACCATCTGAAAGAATATCAGGACGCATTAAAACCTTGACTGCACACAACTGGGCTGGGTAGTGGGACAGGAGCTGGTGCAGGAATCAGTAGATTTGGTCTTCAGTCTTGGCTTGGATATTAATGACCTTAAGATATCACTGAACACTTCTGGGTGTCAGTTTTCTCACTTGTAGATCAACTACAAGTTCATCTACAAATTGGGCTGGGTGATCTGTAAAGCCCTATAATTCTGCATTCCCAGTAGGATAGATGCATCCTCAGCCTTTTACAGGGGGCTAAGTTTTACATTGAGACAAAATGTGTACATATGCTTGGCAAGTCTTAGCGCACTATACAACACAATCACTGAAGGAATTAGGCCAGATAGATTCATGTGCACATGCTCAGGACTCATCCGTATGGGATTTGGAAGCAGAGGTAGTTCATCAAAGGCACCCCTCCTCCAAAGACCATGTGCCTTACACAGTTTCTAGGTCTGCCCGCTTTTAAAGATTTGATGGAAGAGTCACCTGTGCACCTTATTTCACTTATGCATTTACCTAATCGGAGAAAAGTAACAATAGACTTCCAGAGCAGGAGTAGAAAGAAGCAAAGGAAATGGTGGACAAAGGCTCCAGGTGTGCTGGTTGGGCTCTGGACCCAAAATCCAAATTCTTAGGTTCCAGTCTAGGCTTGCCACTTTCCAGCCTTGACTCACTGGGCAAGATACTGAGCCTGGCGTTCTTACCATCGTCATATAGGTAAGTGGTAGAAGTTGTCCTGAATTAGTGGCATTCTGACTTCATCTTTAGCGTTAGATACTCCTTCCAAACAAACCAGGCATGAAATTCCAGCATGCCTGACAGAAAAAAGGGGAGCCACACTGATTGAAGGAAAGCTTGAAGACCTGTGGCCATGCTAACTGGGCCTTTCCCTCTCACTCCTAAAGCAGTCTTGAGGCAGGAAATCAGGACTTCTGGAAATCCAGTTTGGAAGCCCTTGGGCTAAAGAGCATCTGCATTGATGACAATCTGGTAATATCTCCATGCATAGTCCTTTGAAGTCCCCTCATTTGTCACCAATGCACCCACTGACTTTTCCCCTGCTTCTACTAACTTACTACGTAAAAGGACACGGGTGAATAAAAGAGTCTTTCTCCCTCGGTTTCTGAGCTTTGGTGGCTTTGAGTACTGGAGAGCTCAACTGCAGGTCCCCGCCTTGCTGCTTCCATATTCCAGCTACTCTTCTTTAAGTGAATGCTGGCTGGCATTTAGGGCAATCTGGAGGGTTAATAAGAGCCCCCCATGGCAATTTAATCCTGCATTAGGTAAAGACGCTGTACAGACTGTGGAACACTTGACTTATGCAAATATGACCTTACACAGATTGTTCTATGAAGCCCATAATAACATTTTAGATATGGAAATTTCCACTGTGGGCGGAAACACAAAGTTCTGCGGTGTGTGGCTGATTGCCGGGAAGCCAGAGTGCTGGGCAGGCAGGGCCATACAAGGGGAGGGCCTTCGGACTTTGCTTTCACGTTGCTCTGTTTTCCTATGGATTTTTGCTAGGCTACGTGTGCTATTTCAGTATTGTTTGTGTTGTTACTCCATTTATTGCATTCTAACTGTGACTGAATAAACCAGGTAATAGCAAGGGGGTACATTAGAAGAAAAAAAATGAAAGTTTAAAGGTTCTTAAAAATGCCAAAGCCTTTATTCCATTGTATGTGGATTTTATTTGGCTACTTCAACATTGAAAAGTATTTTGAACAAAAGCGCAAGCACAAAAGAGCACATAATGTTTTCTGCACATGGTGCAATGCTTAAGAGTCTAGGTTTTGGAGCTAGACAGATGGATTCTGAGTTTTGTCTCCTCTTTGCTATGTGACCTTGTCAGATTACTTACTGTCTTCCAGCTCAGTTTATCTTCTGTAAAGTGGGTGTGATGATGATACTGGAGTCTCTTAAGATTTTACTAAAGATTAAATGAGATAATACATGTAAAGTGTCTAGCTTTTGGCCTGGTACTTACAAAATCATACAACTCACAATTAAATTTCATTTTTGCATTGTTGGTAATGTTTACATTTCATAAATAGCACCTGCTGTGATAGCACTATGGATTTTTTTGAGTACTTACAAAAGCAGGATCTAAATGAAAAGTTAGCGATAATGCAGATAAAGGATGAAATTTAAAAATGTATACTATGTATTCAAATGATGATTCAAACAAGGAAGATAGAGAGCGAAAATATAATGCTTATAATGCAATGCTGTGGGAAGCCATGGGTGGTTCAATAGATTTAAAATTTGTGCCAATGTTCAAAATGTAAAAGTGAGAGGTTGAGAAGGCTAGTGCAGTCATAAAAGCCATAAAAATTATCCTAAAATGTTATGAATAATTATAAGGAGAACCTGGTATGGCACATAGCAACTTTTTGTTGTGAATTAAATTGGGCTCTTTTAGGGAATGATGTCAAAAAGGGGCAGACAATAAACAGTATTAAAGACCACATAAGCTAGTCATGCATTACTTTTCCCAAAGCGTTCAGTGTTAGTTAAAGCTAATACTGGCACTGGTTTATCATTTAGAACATCCATGTGTACTCGAAGGCCTTGGCAAGCTTGCAAATGTGTATATGTTTGAGCCAAACGTGCTTTGAAAGACACTGGGAGCAGCATGGGTGAAAAAAAGTGAGTAGATCTGGGCCTCTGTGAGGAAACCGAGGACTAGACCATGCTTTTATCTTTTGAGATCTTTGGCAATAGAATAACCATCAGTCCTAATTGCTTAGTGTTGCCTGACGCTCTCTTTCCATTATGTGAATTTATATTTTTATCTTCTTGACTTTCAGTTGCTGATAGGTTCTCCGTGATTGACTTATTACATTCCTGTTTGGCCTACATTTACTTGGAGTACACCTGTATCATTTTGAGAGAGACCTTCTTAGTCTTGCTAAATTGAAAGCTTCATTTATTTACTTTTTTATTTTTGTCTAGAGTTGGACTGGCAAGGCCTCTGAAGTTGTGAGTTGACTTCGCCTAGGCTGCTTGTTCTTCAGTCTCAGAACATCCTTAGCCACAGGTCATCTTTAAGAGCAATTTACTTATTTCATCTTGGTGAGAAAGAGCACTTAACATGAGATGGACCCACTTGACACATAGGTGAAATATTGCGTAGCAGATCTCTAGAGCTTATACTTGCTGAGCAGCAGGTGTTCACCTTTGTAACTGTGGGAACTTTACACTTGTGGAACAGTAACTCTCTGTTTCCCTTTCTTGTAGTTTCTGGCAACTGCCATTTTACTTTCTGTTTCTATGAGTTTGACTATTTCAGATCCCCCACATAAGTGGAATCACTCAATATTCATCCTTCTATTGCCACAGAAAAACTTGCATCAACTGATGCTGACTTGGATAACCTGGGATTTTTTTTTTTTTTTTTTTTTTTTTTTTTTTGGTACTGAGTGCAATGGCTGGACTCAGTACCAAATGGCTGGAGTGCAATGGCGCAATCTCGGGTCATTGCAACTTCCGCCTCCCAGCTTCAAGTGATTCTGCTACCTCAGCCTCCCGAGTAGCTGGGATTACAGGCGCCCACCACCCCCAGCTAGTTTTTGTATTTTTAGTAGAGAAAGGGTTTCATCATGTTGGCCAGGCTGGTCTCGATCTCCTGACCTCAGGTGATCCACCCGCCTCGGCCTCCCAAAGTGCTAGGATTACAGGCATGAGCCACTGCGCCTGGCCGGATCACCTGGGATTTTAATCTTTCAGCCTAGCACAGTGCCTGGATTGCAGGAGGCATTCAACATATACTCTTTGAGAGAGGTCTTATTTAGAGTCACTGAATTAAAAGATTTATTTTGCCTGGGTGTGGTGGCTCACATCTGTAATCCCAGCACTTTGGGAGGCTGAGGCAGGCGGATCACCCAAGGTCAGGAGTTTGAGACCAGCCTGGCCAACATGGTGAAATCGTCTCCACTAAAAACACAAAAATTAGCTGGGCATGGTGGTGGGCGCCTGTAATCCCAGCTTCTCAGGAGGCTGAAGCAGGAGAATCGCTTGAACCCTGGAGTGGGAGGTTGCAGTGAGTGAAGATTACGCCACTACCCTCCAGCCTGGGAGACAGAGCGAGACTCCATCTCAAAATAAATAAATAAATAAAAGCTTTATTTATTTACTTTTTGCCAAATAATAAATTTTTGTATGCTTTGGATGCATGGAAGAAAATGATTGTGGCCAAATATACATGTTTACCATAAAATCAATTTATTGCTAAGTACTAAAGAGTAAAAAAATTACAGATGCGACAGTAATAACAGCAACATTTATCCATTGAGCCTTTCTTGCCTGCCAGCCCTGGTGCTAAGCTTCACGTTCATTTAATCCTCACAACAATCCTGGAAGGTATGTATTAGAATCTCCATTTGTAGATGAGTAGCAGTATTTTAAAGTTTGGAGAATAGCCCGGAAGGTCACAGTATTGTTGGAACTGAGCTCATGCATTGGAGATTATGGAATGATTTGATCAGTGTTACTCTGCTTCCTTCGTTGTCTCCAAGCTCTGATGGAAAAAGTTGCAGACCATCTTAGTCACTACCTGGGCAAGCTTTTCTTTTTTTTCTTTTTGTTGTTTTATTTCAATAGCTTTTGGGGTCCGTGTGTTTTTTTGTTATATGGATGAATTATATAACGGTGAAATCTGAGATTTTAGTGCACTCATCACTTGAGTAGTGTACATTGTACCTAATGTGTAGTTTTTATCCCTAGCCCTCCTCCCATCCTCTCCTTTCTGAGTCTCTAAAGTCCATAATATCACTCTGTTTGTCTCTGCATACTCATAGCTTAGCTCCCACTTGTGAGAGCTAAGTGAGAACATATGGTTTTGGTTTTCCATTCCTGTGTTACTTCACTTAGAATAATGGCCTCCAGCTCCATCTGAGTTGCTGCAAAAGACATTATTTCATTCCTTTTAAAGGCTGAGTAGTATTCTGTGGTGTGTATATACCACATTTTCTTTATACACTCATTAGTCGATGGGCATTTAGGTTGGTTCCACATTTTTGGGTAAGCTTTTCTTTCATAACATACATCTATTTGGTCATTTACTTTTAGTTTTGCCATTCAGGGTGACAGAGATATTTTAGATGCTCTGATTATGTTAAAGAATAAACCCCAAGAAAGGTGTTTATTGAAATGCAGTTAGTTTATCCAGACATATTCCTGGTTCTTAAGCATGTTTCCTTGTTCAAGTTCAACCGTTTCAGTTTGGTTTCCTGCTAAACTTGGAGGAATCAACTATTCTCTTAGAGTAAGGATTTTGCTTCTTGTCTCTGAAATGATGGACTTGAGTGCCCTGTGAGACATAAATTGCCAACATGCATCCTGGCGTCCTGGAGTGAGGTTTAGAGGGGAGTGGTAAGACTGTCCTAGAGTAGTTTCAGTGGAAATGTCTTTCTCTCTCCTCCACCCTCTCGCTATCGTGTTTTCTCTCTCTCTGCATTGTATGTTGAGGAGCACCAATCCCATTAGTAATAAAAATCAATTGCACTGAAAACAGCTGTGGTCAGAATAACTCGAAGGAACCATTCTTCAAAACCCACCGCTGCATGTCAAACCCCAGACTTCACAAACAGGGCAGTAGTTTGATCTTAAATTATTTGAATTTACCTTATATTCTTTGGCTGTAAATAAATAAAAAGCCCCTTTCTTCCTAAATTTAAATCAGAACTGTTACTGAGTTAATTTAAGAAATTTGCTCAAGCTAATTTGCAGTCATTAATTTCATGCAGATTTTTAGTGCTTTGTAAAAACTGCCCATGAAGAAAATCCACAGACAGATATTCTGGGTAAGTGCAGAGACATTAGGTTTCAAACAGCGGGCATGGGCATAGGCACACCTTTTAATTACACTGAACTTATGATGGGTCAACATTTCAAGGTTGATCTGAATCGTGCGTTACCTTGAGCACTGTCATCACACTCAGGGCAATCACTGACCTTGAAGGAAAACAGTTAATAATGAATAGCAACTCAGCAATTGGTCATGTCACAAGATAACTGGGAGAGAGAGGGAGGAGAAAGAGAGAGAGAGAGAGAGACGGAGAGACAGAGAGACAGAGAGAGAGAGAGAGTTAAAAACATGAAGCTAATGATTCCTTGGGCTTTGTGTTCTTTTTCCAAGATACAGTGAACATGCACTCAGCCATCCATCCATATTTTCTTTCCAACTTCCCTCCAGCTGTATTTAGGAACCCTGTGTCTGGCTGTGTCTTTTGTTTTGTGACCTAAACTGGCTTGTATGGGAATAAAACTTGCCAGCCTTCTTCCTTGTGCATGTTAGAGAATGAGTATTGGTTGAATGGATTTTACCCTCATCTCGTTAGGATTATGCTCCAAGAAGTGTGAGTTAGTTGCATCACAACTCAGAAACTCAAAACTCTTAAAAACTCATAATTTTTCCTCTTTTTCTTTTTAAAAATTCCTTAAAATAAAAACCTCTCCTTACTTTCTCTAGGATGAGGAAATCATCCTTAACATAGAAAGATAATTATTCCACATTATTATTATTTTTATATTCTTTTCCTCATCTTCTTTGTGGTGGTACCACATTTTTTTCTTAAAGCACAAAATAATTTTTTTCAGCCTCATGCTAGTACTGAGACGTACCTGTTGTTAAGACGATCGGTTACAAAGCATGTTCTTAAATAAAGTACCTGTCTTTGGAAAGCAAGCCCCCCAGTATGGACTGAGTGGGGTGAGCAACGAAGGCAAGGTGGAGGCACAGATCACCTGTGCACCTCAGGTGTGGTCTCTTCCAGGCACCCCCCACCTACTATCCCGTCTCTGTCCTTCTGTCCACTGAAAAGTGCCTGTGACAGCTCACTGAATTCCAGCCTCACCTCCCTGACAGGGCATCTGCGAACAGAGACTTGTAAGAATTCCTGCCAAGTAAGCTGCAGAATGCAAAGTGGTATATGAATATGTAATAGCAGCCATTATCAGTTGATCCCCCTGTCTTTGGAAAGAATCATTTCATTCATTGTGGAGAGAAGGAGGGGCAATTTCAAATGGCCTGAGGTAAGTGGCATTTCATATATTGCCAATCAAATTAACCTTGAACCTTTCTCTGCTACTTAGAATTCCTGTTCTTTTTCTTCTTTCTCCATCATTGAGAATTAAGATGATGTGTATAAAACCACTTTTCTCTCTGCAATACTGCACTTCATCTTCCCCTCCCTCCCCAGGGAGGAGGGAGAGGAACAGTTCTGTGCATCAATCAAACTGACTGAGACTTACAGTGGAGAAAAGTGAGACTCTGTCACCGAATGCAGGAGATACAATGGTGTCTCCGATGCAACCCAGTAATTGCTTCTCCCAAACTCCCCTTCCCTCCAGCACTGGATTCGCAAATGCAGCTTGATCTGAGTCAGGCTGCGTGAGCCTCAGATCAGAGCTGCCAAACATGCCCTTATAAAATGTTACAGGAGTGTGGATCTGAGACTCTTTCGTTTCCTGGTTCTCACACGTGGAATTTGGATCTTTGATAGAGTAGGTCTCTTTGGAGCTCCTGGCTGATTTTCTCTTTATCTGAGCAGAAAGAAAACATTGTAGAAATGTGTGTGGTAGGAGGCTGTTAAATCTGTGCATTTTGTAAATGAGTATTTAATAATCATGTACCTTTTCAATAAAATCATAGGTACACTCACATATGCACACATGCTGTGAATATATACATTTTTCTTTCGTAACTTGATCTCCCTGGATACATTAAGCAAATAAGAAATCTACCCTTTTAGACAGGCCATGTCTTACTGCTAAATAGTCATTCTGCTAGTTAGAATGACTATTTTATTTCAATTGTGCTCTCCATTTTCTAACCCCCATAATTTTATTTATGCTGTTCCCACCTGGACTGCCTGTCCCTCCCCCTCAACATTTCTGCCATGTATGTAACCTGATTCTGTAACCTCAAGACGACACAATTTTAATCCTATCCACTGTTAGGTCTTTGTCTTATACCTGCCTTAATGGAAGTGATTTCTTTCTTTTTTAAAACCTTAATACACTTCGTAGCTATTTCATGGTACTTACTACATCATATTTTGTATTATATCTATGTGGTTCTTATTTTCCCAATTCTCCGAAATGTTGTGATCTATGTAGGCAAGAGCTATGCTTGATATTCATGTGTTTCACACCTAGAGGCAGAAGGATTGAAGAAGGTTTACAAAAGTTTACAGAAAATAAAGGAAATTAAAAATAAATGAGAAAAATGAGGCCAACAATTTTTCTTTGCAGCTGGACAGTATCTGGAACAGTGCCCTTTAAGAAGAAGGGTGGGGTACTGCGAGTCCCCC
This sequence comes from Homo sapiens, assembly GCF_000001405.40. Classification (NCBI taxonomy): domain Eukaryota; kingdom Metazoa; phylum Chordata; class Mammalia; order Primates; family Hominidae; genus Homo; species Homo sapiens. Next base: position 102,975,885 of record NC_000013.11, read on the forward strand.
AGGTGGAGGTGGTCTCCAAGCTTCTCTAGTCAGCAGGCAATGGAGCTCCTGGTCAGCAGCTAGAGTTTCGTCAAGTGCACCCAAGCTTGGACAGTAGATTTTGTTACTTTGTATCCATATTCCACCCAATTTATATTAATAGTTACATCTGAGCAAATAAATATAATATACATTAAAAAATACACTTTTATCTCTAGGATCTGTGCCCAGTGAGGTAAAATGAAGTCGGATCCATAAGAGAAAGTGAGAAAGTGAGTCTTGGTCTTGGTATTGGATAAAGTACACTGGCAAGCAAGAGCAGATTCTTGTTTGGGGGATGGTTGGGCAAATATGTAAAGGCAGTACCAGAAAGAAATTGTGGTATATGTGGAGATAGAGATAGAGATGATAGAGATAGATAGATAGATAGATAGAGAGAGAGAGAGAGAGAGAGAGAGAGAGAGAGAGAGAAGCTCTCTGTCAGGTGGAGTAGAAGGGTCAAGTTGAATATTGCTGATAACAGTACACTTACTGGATACTCTTACCAAGACTGAGGAATATCAGAATGAAGGAAGTAGATGGAAGGTTTTCTTTAAGGTTATACATGTATTTATTATGTCATTGTTATTTCCCTCTAAATAATAATACACTAAAAATTACGGTGACCATAAAATTGGTTGTCCAAACTGGAATATTTCTGATAGTGGAAGGTGACACTGTTATTGATTCAGGATGGCAGCCACAAGCCAGCCCTTTCCTTGGCAGCCAGGATGTCCAGTCACCTTCTTGGTAGTGATTGTCATTTCTGTAGATGTGATCAAAAGACCAATGTGACGATTGGATTTTTTTTATACTGAAAATAGTTTAGGTTTATCTTTAATTGTTCACTGAAAAGTCTTTTTTTTTTTTTAACACAGCCTTACAGAATCACAGCTGGTCATATCTTCCTCCATATATTAGATGCGCTTTCCTATAGTGTTTTCTAGACAACCACAGGATGGTCGAATTCCCTCATGGAGTGCTATGGATTTCCTCTGCGTCTTTTTCTCCCTCTTGACTTAGCTAGGACTTCTGTTGTCCTAGTATGCCACATTTCCATTTGGGTGAAGTTGTATTAGGATAGGCATTGCTTTAATCTATGGCTGTGCTGTTGATGACTTTCTGCCATTTAAAATTCAGCAGGGCTTGGGGTGATGTTGATTAAACGAACCAAGATGTCAGATGTGGGGAGAGCCTAGTTTCACTACTCATAAAAAAATTCATAACAACATTGCATTACGATCCATTGGTTTGGTTTGGATACAGTGTGCTATTAAGAGTGGCAATGTGAATGGCAGGTATGTCTAATTTAAAAGAAGGTAAAGTTCCCCCTATTCCCCCTAAAGCTTCGTTCACACTGACAAAGAGAAATATAGTGTTGTTTATCTAGAAAATTCAGGCTGAAAGCATTTACTACCAAAGACTAAAATTATACTGTCTTGAATGACCTATATTGATGGCTAACATTGATTAAATTCTTTGAATTATTGCCTAAACCTTTATTTCATTTATCTAGTGTAGAAAATAATGCAGAGGTGCTCTATAATTGAATGCCTGGCAGTCTGAATAACATTCCTTAAAGGGTTTCCAGTCTTTTAAAATGTTATCCCCATTTTGGGAGCAGAGAGTTGGAACAATAGTAGTCAAAATTCTAAGGATGTACTTAAAAATTGTGAATGGAACGATGTTATCTTAACATTGGAAAGCCAGGTGGGAGTGACTGGAACTCAGGCACTCACTGTTTTTTTGTTGTCTTGGTTGCTTGGGAAAGGGAAGGGAGCCAGCTGATTTGATGTCTTATGTATCAAGAATGCATAACCATCCACACATAAATAAAAGTTTTACAGTATCTAATAATCTGTAAATGAATACTGATTTACAATGAAAACAATTATCCCTGTACAAAATGTCTCAATACATTTATTATGGTTGCTTCAGATCAAGGATCAGATCTGATAGCGTAAGAGTTGGGTACGATTTGTCTTCTCCAGCTGTTCCTGCCTGAATCTGAGCTCCACCAGTCACTGAACATTGGGTGATAATAGACATTCTAGAAATATGTGAAAGGCAGCAGAGAGAAGGGCTTTGACAGCCTTTCCTTTTACCAGCGGCAAAGACAATGGCTGGCAGGAAGGATCCTTCCCTTTATGCAATTATGTCTTGGGAGCTCCAGCAAAACATAGTGATTTTTGTGCTTTCATTTTTAAAAGCCAAAATGCTCTGAACATTTCATGCTTTCTTCATAATCCATTTTCACATTTTCCATTACTCAGAGGAAACGGGAGGCCTGGGCTTTAGATACAAATAATCAAAAATACTTATTCACTTTTCATATGTTGCTGTTGATGCTTCGTTAATATCGTACAAAGCAAATTCGAGAAGGCTTCACTAAGGAGAGTGGAAATGGTCTAGGAGATGATGTCAGCTCACAAACAATGTGAAAGAGAAAAGTTTCTGTTTTCAACTGGAGGAAAACTTGGCAAGGACTTTATTATCTGGTTAGGACCTAGTCATCTCTTGATTTCCACACCCCTACTTTCAATTCTGTATCAGCTTTGTACAAGGACCAACACCAGAATGGTTATATTTTAATTGCTTTTACCTAATGAGCTTGTAAATTGGATACATTAGTTATTATACCCTGGGCAGTTTTCTCCTTTTGTGAAAGTTATGAAGGGATAAGACACTTTTTATATGGTCTTTTGCTTCTGCGGTCACGTAGAACGTGTTTTTTTTTTTTTTTTTTTTTTTTTTCAGATGGAGTCTCGCTCTGTCTCCCAGGCTGGAGTGTAGTGGCGCGATCTTGGCTCACTGCAATCTCCACCTCCCAGATTCAAGCAATTCTCCTGCCTCAGCATCCCAAGTAGCTGGGACTACAGGCGTGCGCCACCATGCACAGCTAATTTTTTGTATTTTTAGTAGAGATGGGGTTTCACCTGCTGGCCAGGATGGTCTCAAACTCCTGACCTCGTGATCCACTCGCTTCGGCCTCCCAAAGTGCTGGGATTACAGGCGTGAGCCACTGCACCAGGCCAGTCACATAGAACTTTTAACTAATATCATAACAATAAACACAAATAGGATTTCAATCAATGAAATAAACTTTAATTTGAAATCTGGGTGCTCATTCTCTTGATAAATATTTATCACATTTAAAAAAAATGCACCTAGCTCCTCTGATGAGATAGCAAGAGAAAAAACTTGGGACCACTTCCTCAAGGAGCTTAACTCCCAATAAGACAGAAAATTTTGCAAGTCATACATGCCACTATAAGAGAGATATGAAATTCTACAAGAGAGATACAGTTTAACTTTATGTGATTTTAGACACTATTTCTACTCAGGTGAGCTAGGAGTGATCCATGGAGGAGGAGACATTTAATCTAACAGTTAAATTGTACTTAGGATTTAGACATTTGAAAATGAGTCAGTTTATGTAATATTTACTTATTATCTAGTTATTATTACTGTTAGTTATCTATTGCTACGTAACAAATTACCTCCCAAACACAGTGGCTCAAAACAACAAACAGTTACTATTTTGCAGTTTCCATAGGGCAGGAACTTGGGAACAGCTCAGCCAGGGGTTCTGCTCAGGGCTCTCATGAGGTTGCAGTCAAGTTGTTGGCCAGTGGTCATCTGAAGGCCCGAAGGGGGATGGAGGATCTGCTTCCAAATGGCTTGCTCTTATGGCTCCTGGCAGGAGGCCTCAATTCTTTGCTGGCTCTTGCCAAGAGGGCTCTGTGGGCAACCATGTGGGCCTCTCCATAGGCTTGCCTGAGCGTCCTCATGACTTGGCAGCTGGCTTCTCTCAGAGCCAGCAATGAGAGAGAGAAAGAGAAAGAGAATGACAGCAAGCACACAAATAATACGGAGGAGGCAGCATCTAGGTTTGAGGGCATTTTACTCACTTCTGCTTCATTCTATTCATTAGAAATGAGCCACTAAGTCCATCCCACATTCAAGAGGAGGGCAATTAGGTCCCATCTCTCAAAAGAAAGATAGCAGAGAATTCATGGACATGTTTCTAGAACTTTGCAGTGGGGCTGGGGAAGATGGGAGAAGAGCATTCAACTTCGGGGAGGGGCTGGCCATGGCAAAGATCGACACTTGGAGATAAGTGCAGGATGTGCTGGGTAATTCAGTTTTCAGAGCTTCAGGCTGAGATAATAGTGGAAAATAAGACAGGAAACACAGAGAGAAGGGATTTAGACTCCATGAGGAAGGGCTGAGAACCGTGCAAGGCTTTTAAGCAGGGTGGAGGGAGGCATAGTCACAGTTGTATTTTAGGGCTTAATCAAGCAGCAGGAAGAATCTAGCTTTGGGAATTTGGAAGGAGCAAAAGAGGGGGCCTGTGAGGAGGCTACCGTGGTCAGCAGGGAACGGACCTGGAAAGAGATAGTTGGAGAATGGCTTCAAAACAAACACTGCTCTTCTTCTTTCCAACTCTACATAATACAAATAGCTATAAAGATGAATACATTTTTATGTGTCTGACCCAACTGTTAATGGAATCTGCCTGTGTTTTAGATGCTGCACCTCATGGAGCTTTTACTAGGCTGGTGAGCTGAGCTGTAAGCTTGATGCACGGCAGCCGTCCTTTCTGTGCTGATTGAGTGCAGTTTGTCCCTTGGATGGCAATTGCACAGAATGCCCACAGGGTACATTCCTAATTGAGTCTGTCTCTTAACTGTAGGAAGAGCCCGGTGTTATTGCTCAAATAAAACCATCCTAAATTGGAATTGTTCATGGCAAAATTGCCACCCTTTCCTTTCTTCGTTCTCAACATCTCCATTACTGAGAATGACATTATTCTTCTACAAGCACTTAAAGTGTTCATTTACTCGCAGTGTATATTCATGTCTTTGCATTTGCAATGTAGAAGCTTCCTGGGCTTTGTGAAGCTGTCCATTCCTGGCATACTGGCAACACAGGCCACTAAAAAGCCAGGGGCATGGCCAGAGTCGGAATTCCAACACGGACTTCTTGACCTCCCCATTGTTTCTGTAGGAAATCTGATAACTCCAGGCTGTAGGATTTATTTTCTCTCTCTGAATTTATATGAATTCATGAGTCTGTAAGAGTTTAGCATGTACCATTTTCCTAATCGTGGGTTGAGCATGGGTTCATTTTCTCATCAACTTGACTGCAAGCTCGCAGAATGTGTAGGCCAGAATCTCGTGCATTCTTTTAACTGCAGGTAGGGGGATGGTTCCCTTAATGCCCAGTGCATTAAGGGAACTTACTAAATTCCCAGTCGAACAGCACCATTCAGATGAGACTGGTCCCCTTTATTATATTAGCCCATCCTCCACACAGGTGTTTTATTCTTTCTCTTCGTACCTCTAAATCCCAGCTGTGGTTGAAAGCCAGGATTAGGATGTATAGCACCTGCCCACTCCCCTCTTTATGTAGGCTGCCTTTTTGACCCTATGTAAGGGCTAGATGAAAACTTTAAGTGGCCTTTAATTTCCCCAATGTTCATTTGCATCCAATTAATCCAATTTACCTGTGGATAAATTTAAGTGATAATAATGTGATGTTTTGTGAATATTTACGATCCTGAATGTATTGGGTTGTTTCTCTACACTGTTAATGTTGCCCAGGAGTTAATGCGGTGTGATTCGTTGCCCATTTAGTAGTGCCTCTGGTAATGTCTGAGATGGTTCTTAGGGTGTGCACCAAGGTTTAGTAATGGAATGATACCTTTTTTTTTTAATATTGCGTTTTTGTTGCTGCTTACTATCAGTGAAATATCCTGAAGCCCTCGGAATATCTTCCAACTCCTGGAATATCAGTAAATACAAATTGGAGGTGAAGGGATTATGATCTAGGCATACCTTTCTGCCTAGGTAATTTTACAGGTAATTTGTACAGATTATTATTTGTACTTATTATTTTGGGAAACTATGAATAATAGTTGTACTCTGAGGGGATCAAATAACCTTCTAGCCCAATTCTTTCACTTTTCCTGTGAGAAGAGTTGTCTTGCAGAGATGTGGAGTGGTTTCTCAAGGGTGCAGGGCCAATTCCTAGAAGAACATCCGTGACTTATATACTGTTTTCTGGATCCAGTGCTCTGTCCAATAAAAACACACAGAAGAACCCATTGCTTCTCAAAAAAATCCCTCCAGCCCTCCTCTCCCTAAATCTAACAATCTAATACCAAATGAAACCAAGATAAGAAATCTGTACTTGTTAATTTCTTTTTCTTTTATCTTCCAAGTCATCAGCTTCTGTAGAAGTGGTGGAACAGTATTGTCTTATTGTAATTCAAATAGCAAATATCAATGACCATTTGCTAAGTAATCTTACACAAAAGAAATTACTGGCTGGGCACAGTGGCTCACGCCTGCAATCCCAGCACTTTGGGAGGCTGAGGCGGGTGGATCAGTTGAGGTCACTAGTTTGAGACCCGCCTGGCCAACATGGTGAAACCCCGTCTCTACTAAAAATACGGAAATTAACTGGGCATGGTGGAGTGCACCTGTAATCCCAGCTACTCAGGAGGCTGAAGCACGAGAATCACTTGAGCCCAGGAGGCAGATGTTGTTGCAGTGAGCCAAGATTGTGCCACTGTACTCCAGCCTCAGACCCTGTCTCAAAAAAAAAAAAAAAAAAAAAAAAAAAGAAGAAGAGATTGCCTAGATTACCTACACTAATATAGAGAGGAGTAATGAACATAAGCACTTCAATTATCAGAAACATGGGAATACCTTTCAGGTATAAACACACACAATCGGTTTTCAAAATGTAAGTATTATATTCTGGAGTATGTTGATGTCATAACAACATTGTGTTTTTAAAAAGTTAATTCTAGAGGTAGTTGAAAAATCTTTATAGGGATGTGGGCTTTGAGAACATCCTGGAAGGAGCAGAAAAAGGAGGAGGAGGAGGAGAAGAAAAAGGAGGAGGAAGATGAGGAGGGTATTTGAATGAGGCAAAGGTGGAAGACAAGTATTTCTCAATGTTCAGAGCCACAAGTGGACAGGCGTGTAGTGTTATTTGGGTTATTTGTAAATAATAACATAACAATATATATTATTTTATTATGCTTTAATAGAGACCATGGTGATGTAAGATTGGGATGGGTGTATCTGAAAAGGTGGGCAGTAAGTTGGATGTAGTACACAGAGGATTGGAGATGGCTATACTGCCTGACAGTTGAGGGTGGAAATTCCTGAAATAGAAACTAATACGTTGGCCATCCTTCTTTAAGAAGGGGCAATCAGATGCTCTAGGAGTGGAAATTCTTGCAGGCTAGAGGAATATGAGTTAGTACCAGTGGCAGGCAAAAAAGACTATCCCAGTATTGTGAAGAGACACCACGGACTTTAAAGTCAGCAAAGTCGAATATTGCTGAAATCATGGTTTCAGTTGTTTGACAAGGAATGCCAAGGCCTGCTAGTCACTGCATCTACCTCTCTAGTGCCCAAAAGAGGGCTGGCACATAGTAGGTGCTCAACAAATATTTATAGAATACATAGACTAGGTATTTGTGGCAGCATCAGGAAGAATCAGAGAAATCTGATACTATTATGGAGGAGGGAGTGTAAAATTTTCCAATAAGAACAAATACAAAGTCAAAGGAGAGTCTTCATTTGAAGGTTGTCAAGATGATAGATTTAACCGTGTTTCCCCAGGAGCTGATGATGTTGGAGGGCAATGGGATTGGAGCCTGAATAGAAAACATCTGGGGATGTGAGGATTGCCCTCAAGCAGTCGTGTTTCCTTTTAGTGTTGGTTCTGGAACTCATTTAGATACTTTGACATTTTTGTGCTTCAGCAATGTTAGAGCCAAAGACCTTGAGGTCATCTGAAGATTCATTTCCTATGATGCGGCAACCTCTAGCACAGTGTTCACATTCCAAGAAGTGCTTAATATTTAACATGCTCTGACTTCCTTAATCACCTTTCAATATCAGAATCCTGTGCTTTATCAGATAAGCCTTTTTAGCCTATGGCAGGTGATATTGTTTCATCCAATCACAAGGCGTTCAACTCGGATGATGTTGTCTTCAGTGCTGATTCAGGATCTTTCACCAAATTCTCATGTCCTGTCCCTTGCCCAGGAAGGAAGTTAGAGAAAAGTTGAAAGGTGAATATTGATTTACTATCTCATCCTGAAATTCTGAGATTCAGTCTCTGATAGAGTGGAAGTGGGTCATGTTCTATGGCTAGCTATATAACGTTAGAATGTGGCTTTTTGGAGATATTTTTAGCCTCCTTAAAAAACCTTATAAAATACTCTGCTTTAAAAAAAATGTTCTAAGTAATGTGAAAAACAGATATCACCACTCTATCCTTGATTCTTAGCCTATTACTGGATATGTCCCCGGGGGTAGGGTAGAGGAGGGGCTCAGGAATGGAGTAGAGCTTGATTTCTGTTATTCACGTTATTGAGTAAAAAAATTGTGCTTTTAACATTTTGTCATGTTCATTTTTATGCAACTGCATTAATACAGAAGCATTAAAATGCCTTTATCAAATTGTCTATGTCAGCGTGTTCTGCTTCATCTCCGGAAAAAGAGAGAGACTTTGAAAAAGAGCTTCTTAGAGAAGAAGCTTAGGATATGAAAGGTTCTGGGACCAGTCTGTAATTTTTGCCATATTTTATGGAGATTCTACGGGTTTCTTTGATCCAGGAACTCATATTCTTGTTACAGCTCATTTGATCACCAGGATGGTTATGTGCTGTTTATTCAGTCTTGAGCTAGGTTGGTTTCCCTGTCATAAGCAGTCTGGAATACCCACAGGTATCACTTTCTCTATTGCAGAAAGTTTTGAACTGATCGATGACCTAGCTACATAAAGAAAACCATGCTGCATTAGCAATAAACCATGTCCCCCAGTGTCTTACTGGGATTGGTCTATCATGCGAGTATGGTTAATAGCACGGTATGACATGTTTACATGATCATTGCGCTCTTACAAATACTATCTAATTTAATGTTGATGGAGCCACTGTAGTGAGCAGTGAGATCTCTCCACTCAAAACATCTATGCTTGTTAAATTCCACTAATGAAGAATTTCAGATCACTGATCAGTTTTCATTTGTAAACAAAACCTGAACTATATCTGATGAATACAAAATGATAATTGTCATAATTAGTGTGTTTTATTGCCATCATACATATATAGGAAAGTTGGCAGTGCTTTAATATATCTATTCCATCACTTCAAGTTTTTTTTTTTTTTTTTTTTGAGATGGAGTCTTGCTCTGTCGACCAGGCTGGAGTGCAGTGGCGTGGGGTTTCACCATGTTAGCCAGGATGGCTACCATCTCCTGACCTCGTGATCCGCCTGCCTGGGCCTCCCAAAGTGCTGGGATTACAGGCGTGAGCCACCACGCCGCGCGGCCCACATTTTTTTTTTTTTTTTTTTGAGACAGAGCCTTACTCTGTCGCCAGGCTGGAGTGCAGCGGCGGGATCTCGGCTCACTCCGCCTCCCAGCTTCAAGCGATTCTCCTGCCTCAGCTTCCTGAGTAGCTGGGACTGTAGGCACATGCCACCACACCCGGCTAATTTTTGTATTTTTAATGCAGACAGGCTTTCACCATGTTGGCCAGGATGGTCTCGATTCTTGACCTCACCATCACTTTCAAGTCCAGGCTTTCAAGTCCAGGCTTGCACTAAGCTAGGTTCCTCTGACCGTCGTCCTGCCAACTGACAGTTATCTGGTGAAGTCCCCAAGTGGGGGCTTTGCTGCATCAGAGCCCTGGTTCATTGTTTACGCCCAGCCCAACAGAGACAATCCCAGTTTACACTCTAAACTGGAACTTTGGTTTGCCTCCCTTAAGGAGAAATAGGCTCTGATTTTCCAAAGCAGATGTTCACCTTTAATCCAGGGGCAAATGCTGGATTAGGGAAGGTCAGGCAGTTTAGTCTTTCTGTGCTGAAAGACTGGACCCTCCCTAGTCCAGTCCGAAATTATTCATTAGTGAAACTTAACAAGCATAGATGTTTTGAGTGGAGAGATCTCACTGCTCAATACAGTGACTCCATCAGCATTAAATTAGATAGTCTTTGTAAGAGCACTATGATTATGTGCATCCATCACTGCGGACGATGACTCAGTGTGATGTTGATGCGATACTGTGGCAGCTTCCCTGGCACACAGAAGCCCTGCATTAGATTTCTGGTGTTGTAAGTTACCACGTAGAGGAGTACTTTTCAAGAAACCATATTGTCAAGCCCTATTCTTAGCTAGATTTATATTTCTGGGGCAAGGTTAGAACTGAATCAATTTCCAGAGATTGGAAGAATAATTTAAAAAAAAAATTTTTATTTTAGGTTTAGGGGTACATGTGTAGGTTTGTTGTATAGGTAAACTCATGTTACGAGGATTTGTTATGCAGATTATTTCATTACCCAGGTACTAAGGCTAGTACCCAACAGTTATATTTCCTGATCCTTTCCCTCTTCCCAGCTTCCATCCTCTACTCTCCAATAGGCCTCATTGTGTACTCTTCTCCTGTATACGTCCATGTGTTCTCATCATATAGCTTCTACTTTTAAGTGAGAACATGCAGTATTTGATTTTATGTTCCTACGTTAGTTTGCTAAGGTTAATGGCCTCCATCTCCAACTGTGTTCCTGCAAAGAACATGATCTCATTCTTTTTTAATGGCTGCATAGTATTCCATGGTGTGTATGTACCACATTTTCTTTATCCAACCTACCACAATGGGCATTTTTTAATATTGAGAAAACCTTGGGAAAATGTTCAACAACAAGTAAATTTCCTTTGGACATATTCAATGTTTAAGTAATATTTTTGCCATAAGAGTCTCATAAGGTTGTATAAAAGATTGTAAGAGACTTTGAAATTTAGCGGGTGTCTTGGTCTACTCTCCATCTGAGTTTCTCTGCTTGTATTTGCCTTTGGCTAAGTGTGTTAGTCTGCTCTCACACTGCTGTAAAGAACTGCCTGAGACTGAGTAATTTATAAAGGAAAGAGGTTTAATTGACTGACAGTTGTGCAGGGCGGGGGAGGCCTCAGGAAACTTACAGTCATGGCAGAAGAGGAAGCAAACACATCCTTCTTCACTTGGCAGGAAGGAAAAGAATGAAAGATGAATGAAGGGGGAAGTCCCTTATAAAGCCATCAAATCTTCTGAGAGCTTACTATCATGAGTATAGCATGAGGGAAACTGCCTCCATGATTCATTTATCTCCCACCAGTTGCCTCCTACCACATGTGGGGATTATGGGAACTATAATTCAAGATGAGATTTGAGTGGGCACACAGCCAAACCATATCATACCGTCCCTGGCCCCTCCCAAATCTCATGCCCTCACATTTCAAAACACAATCATGCCTTTCCAACGGTCCCCCAAAGTCTTAGCTTATTCTAGCATTAACCCAAAGTCCAAGTCCAAAATCTCAGCTGAGACAAGACAGGTCCCTTCTGCCTATGAGCCTGTAAAATCAAAAGGAAGTTAGTTACTTCCTAGATACAATGGTGGTACAGGCATTGGGTAAATACACCCTTTCCAGATGGGAGAAATTGGCCAAAACAAAGGGGCTACAGGTCTGATGCAAATCCAAAATCCAATAGGGCAGTCATTAAACCTTAAAGTTCCAAAATGATCTCCTTTGACTCCATGACTCACATCCAGGTCACGCTGATGCAAGAGGGGGGCTCCCGTGACCTTGGAAAGCTCTGCCCCTGTGGCTTTGCAGGGTACAGCCTCCCTCCTGGCTGCTTTCATTGGCTAGTGTTGAGTGTCTTTGGCTTTTCCAGGTGCATGGTGCAAGCTCTTGGAGGATCTTCCATACTGGAGTCTGGAGGACAGTGGCCCTCTTCTCACAACTCCTCTAGGCAGTGCCCCAGTGGGGACTCTGTTAGGGGACTCCAATCCTACATTTCTTTTCCCCACTGCCCTAGCAGAGGTTCTCTATGAGGGCTCTGCCCCTGCAGCAGACTTCTGCCTGGACATCCAGGCATTTCTGTGTATCCGCTGAAATCTAGGCAGAGGTTCCCAAATCTCAATTCTTGACTTCTGCACACATGCAGATAAAACACCATGTGGAAGTTGCCAAGGCTTGGGGTTTGCGCCCTCTGAAGCAATAACCTGAGCTACAGCTGGGGCCGAAGCAGCTGGGATTCAGGGCACCATGTCCCAAGGCTGCACATATTCCCAAAGCTGCACAGAGCAGGGGGGCTCTGGGTCTGACTCAGGAAACCATTTTTCCCTCCTAGGCCTCCAGGCCTGTGACGGGAGGGGCTGCTGTGAAGGTCTCTGACATACCCTGGAGACATTTTCCCCATTGTCTTGGTGATTAACATTTGGCTCATCATTACTTCTGCAAATTTATGCAGCCAGCTTGAATTTCTCCCCAGAAAATGGGTTTTTCTTCTCTACTGCATCAGCTGCAAATTTTCTAAACTTGTTTGCTCTGTCACCTCTTGAATGTTTTGCTGCTTAGAAATTTATTCCACCAGATATTCGAAATCACCTCTTTCAAGTTCAAAGTTCCACAGATCTCTAGGACAGGGGCAAAAAGCCACCAGTCTCTTTGTTAAAGCATAGCAAGCGTGGCCTTTACTCCAGTTCCCAACAAGTTTCTCATCTCCACCTGAGACCACTTCAGCCTGGACTTCATTGTCCATATTACTATCAGCATTTTGGTCAAAGCCTTTCAACGAGTCTCTAGAAAGTTTCTAGCTTTCTGACATCTTCCTGTCTTCTGAACTCTCCAAGTCTCAAGGAAGCTTCCAACTTTTCCACATTTTCTTGTCTTCTTCTGAGCCCTCCAAACTGTTCCAACCTCTGCCTGTTACCCAGTTCCAAAGTTGCTTCCACATTTTCAGGTATCCTTATAGCAGCACCCCACTCTCTGCAGTATCAACTTACTATATTAGTCCATTTTCATGCTGCTATGAAGAACTGCCCAAGGCTGGGTAATTTATAAAGGAAGGAGGTTTAATTGACTCACAGTTCCACAAAGTTGGTAAGGCCTCAGGAAACTCACAATCATGGCAGTAGGAAAAGCAAACATGTTCTTCACATGATGGCAGGAAGGAAAAAAGTGAGAGATGAGCAAAGGGTAGCCCCTTATAAAATCACTAGATCTTGTGAAAACTTACTATCATGAGAATAGCACCCTCGCGATTCAATTACCTCCCACCAGTTCCCTCCCACCACATGGGGGGATTATGGGAACTACAATTCAAGTGAGATTTGGGTGGGGACACAGCCAAACCATACTACTAAGAGTCTTACAAACCTTTGGAGATGAAAGTTAACTTATAGAAACCTGATAAAGATGGAGAAAAAATTCCTTTCAAGAGAAATACAAATTGTGTTTGGTGTAATTAATTAATTAATTATTGTCCCTGTGACTATTGGCAGTTTTGCAATTTTTTTTCCTTTTTTTTCAGAGATAGGGTCTCACTCTGTCACCTAGGATGGGACTCAGTGGTGATCATAGCTCACTGAAGCTTCAAACTCTTGGGCTTAAGTGATCCTCCTGCCTTAGCCTCTTGAGTAGCTGGGACTACAGGCACCTAACAACATGCCTGGCTAATTTTATTTTCATTTTCATTGTAAAGATTGGGTCTTGTGATGTTGCCCGGGCTGGTCTTGAACTCCTGGCCTCAAGCAATCCCCCCCACCTTGGTCTCTCAAAGGGCTGGGATTACAGGTATGAGAGTCACTCACACCCAGCTAAGTCTTGCACTTTTTATAAATTCATTTCAGCATTACTTATTTGACTAAATATATATCTGGTTTCTTATATTTCAGTGACATGAGTTCTTTATTCTGGATAAAAGTTCTTTGCCGTATGTATGATTTTCAGGATATCCTAGTCTGTGGCTTGTCATTTCACTTTCTTAGTGATGTCATTTTAAGTGCAAATAATTTTAATTTTGATGAAGTCTATTTTACTATTTTTTGTGTCATATCTAAGAACTCTTTGCCTAACTGAAAGTCATAAAGACTTTATTCTTTTTTTTAAGTTTTCTAATTGTAGCCTTTAAATGTAGGTCTATGATCCATTTAGAGTGAATTATTGTGTATGGTGTGAGGTAGTGATCTAAATTTACCATGTTGCATATGGATATTTAATTGTCCCAGCACTATTTGTTGAAAAGACTATCCATTTTCCATTGAATTGGTTTGGCACCTTTGTCAAAAATCAATTGACCATAAATATAAGGATCTATTTCTGGACTCTCGCTTCTGTTCCACTGATCCATCAGCATATACTGATAGGCTAATATCAGATAACTTTAGATATTTGGTATGTTAGTCTTTAGCCAAGATAGGCATTACCAATTAGTAACTGTTTCTAAGATTTGTGACACTGTCCATCTGGAATATGCACTAAAGAGATTTGTATTTTTGTTTTTCTTCTTAACAGCAAAAAGAAATCTCTGTAAGCTTTCCTTCCTCATATATTCACTCTCTCTGACATTTTCTTAATTTCACATTCAACACATGCATACGTGCATTTTAAAAGAAAAGAGATATAGACATTTACCATTGGAAAACATTTTGATTCAGGTTCTACAAGGGATTGATTCAGCAGTTGGGGTGCCCTAACCAGTTTAAACATCTGATATTCTGGGAGGTCTTAGGTAATTGAAGATTGAGATTAAAATCTCTGGTATAGTTAGATTTTCTTTTTAAATTGTTCATACTTTTTTTTTTCATTGTACTTACATTTTCCCTCAAGTTTTGAATGCTTCCCTTCCCTTCCCTTAAGGCAAATTCCCAGAATTTGAAATGCCAAATTCAAGAAGGATAAACATTTCATTATGTCAAAGTGATAAAAATAAACATTTATTTTTCTAACTCAAGTGAGCCAAAATACACATTATGTTTTAAAAAGTAAAGGAATAGCTATGGGATATTGAAAAGTGTAAGGCAATTGATGTTGTACATATTAATTGCATGATATACAAAATCTAATATATGGTCATGATGTAATGAAATTGATGTAATATATATTTTAGTGTCTTAATATTTACTTTTACATTGCTTTCTAAACCAAATCACATTCTTTTAAGTGGAATGGGTTTTAGTTGATAAAATTCAGTAAGGCTTGAAGTTATTTCATCAACTTTTTGTAATTATCTTTCTCATTAATTCATTCAACTACATTTCATTAGGTAGAGACTGTGTTTTGGGTACATTTCAAGAGGCTGGGCCACAGCTATGAATACATCCAAGGCTCTGCATTCATGGAACTAACATCCTAGCAGGGAAGACAGACCACAGTAACAATTATATGTAAAATAGTGATAATGGCTAAGAGAATATCTAAAGCTAGGTAAGTCAGAGAGCGTGATGAAACAGAGGTTGTAGGTGGATACTTAAAAGAGAGTTACCAGCTAAGTCCTTCTGAAGGAGGATTTGAGAGGAGACTGAGATGAATTGAGGGTGAGCTGGGTGAATATTTGGGAGAAGAATATTGCAGTTAACATAAGCAAGTAGTTGGATATGAGGGACGGAGATTTCTAGGCAGCTGTGGATCACGTATGTCTTTGTAGTAGGTCATGGTCAAAAGTGTGAATTTTATTCTGAGAGGATAGAAAGCCACAGAGGATTTGGTGGGCTAAAGAGTGACATAATCTTATTTGTGCTTTTAAAAGTTTCCTGGGGCTGGGCGCAGTGGCTCACACCTGTAATCCCCGCAATTTGTGGGGCCAAAGCAGGTGGATCACTTGAGGGCAGGAGTTCAAGACCAGCCTGGCCAAAATGATGAAACCCTGTCTCTGCTAAAAATCAAAAAATTAGCCGGACTTGTTGGTGTGCACCTGTACTTCCAGGTACTTGGAAAGCTGATGCAGGAGAATCACTTGAACCCAGCAGGTGGCAGTTGCAGTGATCCAAGATCATGCCACTGCACTCCAGCCTGGGCAATAGAGTGAGACTATGTCTCAAAAAAAAAAAGTTTTTCTGGGAACTATGTATCATTTTATCTGAAGGTAGACAAGAATGGGAGCAAGAAGTGTAGTTAGGAGGCTACTTGTTAATATTTCACAGTCTGGGTGAGAGGAGTTTGTATCTTGGACTAGGACAGTAGGGGCAGAAATGATAAGGAAAAGTTGAATTTTGGTTAGGTATTGTCTTCGTCTTCTCAGGCTGCTATAAAAAAATATTGTAGACTTAGTGGCTTATAAATGACAGAAATTTATTTCTTACAGTTCTGGAGGCTGGGAAGTCTAACACCAAGGCACCAGCAGATTCTGTATCTGGTGAAGGTCCACTTCCTTATAGGCAGCTGTCTTCTTACTCTAACCTCACATGGCAGAGGGAGTCAGGAGTCCCTCTCTAGCTTCTTTTATAAGACACTGATCCTACTCATGAGGGTCCCTCTCCAATAACCTAACCACCTTCCAAAGCCCCACCTTATAGTTTCACCATCTTGGAAGTTAGGATTTCAACATATGAATTTTGTGGAGAACAAATATTCAGATCACAGGAAATTTTTAAGGCAGAGCCAACAGGATTTGCTGGGGTATTGGATATGGGGTGTGAGGATAGTATAGTAGCCTTTTGGCCTAAGCAACTACGGGCATGTTGACACAGTGTACTGAGATGTGAAAGATGGAGGAGCATATTTGGAGGCAAAGGTGAAGAGGTAAGGAGCTTTGTTGTGAATACGTACAGTTGGAGATACTTTTCTCATCCTGCTGATAAGAAAATCCAGTATAATAATGATCTCAGGAGAAGCCAGTGTTTTGTCTCTAGAGCTTTTGTAGAATTACTCAATGGTGTAATTCTATTCTCAAAAAATTGTTTATCCTGGATAAACCCAAAATGTAGTTTATCCTATTTTAAAAATTAGTACACATTTTATCCTCTAAAATTACAGGCTTATTTGTTTATTGGACATGGCTTTTATTGACTTTTCCTCAGAGTTTGATTTTGTAGATTTTGGACTAAACTGCATGAACTGCATAAATATAAACCCATAGTCATATTCAAACAGGCTAAGGAATCCTGTCTGATAGAAATGCAATTTTTTTTGCATTAAAAAAGAATGCTTTCCGGTGCCTTTTAAATTAGCTTCTTAAAGAGCATTTACTAATTTTCCCCCCAGATTAAAAAAATTATAGTAATATATACATGATATAATATTTATCATTTTAATCATTCGTAATTTTACAATTCAGTGGCATTAAATACATTCATAGTGTTGCCTAACCAACAGCACTGGCTATATCCAAAACTTTTTCATCATCCCCATTCAAAACTCTGTACACATTAAATAACACTTCTCCTTTTCCCCATTCCCTGGCCCCTGGTAACCTTTATTCTACTTTCTTTTTATTTTATTATTTTTTGTTTAAAAAATTTCACTTATAATCATGCATAATTACATATGTTTATGGGGGTAGAGTGTGAGGTATTAATATATGCACACATTGTATAATAATCAAATCAGGGTAGTTAGTATGTCAGTCATCTCAAACCTTTATCATTTCTTTGTGGTAATAACTTTTGAGATCCTCTTTCCTAGCTGTCTTGAAATACACAATACATTGTTGTTAGCTACAGTCATCCCACTATGTAATAGAACACTAGAAGTTATTCTTCCTTATTTTTAACTTATTCTTTAGCCATTGAACAATCCCCCTCATTATTTCCTCCCCGCTTTCCTCCCCAGCCTCTTGTAATCACTGTTCTGCTCTCTATGTCTGTGAAATCAACTTTTTAAGATTCCACATGAATTAGATCATGTGGTATTTATCTTTCTGTGTCTGGTTTATATTACTTAATACAGTGTCGTCCAGGTTCATCCATATTGCCACAAATGACAGGATTTCTTTCTTTTTTATAGCCAAATACTATTCCATTGTTTATATGGAATACTTTTTCCATATCCGTTCGTCAGTTGATGAATACTTTGGTTGATTCCATCTTTTGGCTATTGTGAGTGGTGCTTCACTAGGACTGCAGATATCTTTTCAATATATCAATTCCTTTGGATTTCAATTTCTTTGGATATATATCCATTAGTGGAATTACAGGATTAAATGGTAGGTAGCTCTATTTTTACCGTTTTAAGGCATCTCCATACTGTTTTTTATAATGGCTGTACTAATTTACATTCTCACCAGCAGTGTGTAAGAGTTCCCCAGAATTTGTTGTTTTTTTTTTTTTTGATAATATGATAATATAACACTTTTGAGTAAGCTGGATAATGTCCCTTCCCCTTTAGAAAACAGAAAGCCTTGCATGGTGTTAAGCTTGTATTATCTTGAGCTGAGAGTGCCCCAAAAAGACAGATAATGACCATAATTATTGCTAGGAGGGCTACATATCAATATTCTAAAACCAGAGTTACTATTCTGGGTACACATTCTCCAATATTTAATTAGTTCTCAAAAAATAACAAGTATTTCATCTACTAAAATATTCACTTTATAGCTTGTATAAATCTGTTTTTGCATTGCTATAAAGAACAACCTGAGACTGGGTAATTTATAAAGAAAAGAGGTTTAATTGGCTCATGGTTCTGTGGGGTGTACAGTCTTCTGCCTCTGGAGAGGCTTCAGGAAACTTATAATCATGGCAGAAGGTGAAGGGGAAGCAGGCTCATATTCATATGCCCAGCAGGAGAAAGAGAGAGAGCAAAGGGGGAAGTGCTACACACTTTCAAACAGGCAGATCTCATGAGAACTCACTCACTATCATGAGAACAGCAAGGGGGAAATCCGCTCCCATTATCCAATCACTTCCCACCAGATCCCTCCCCCAACATTGGGTATTACAATTTGATATGAAATTTTGGTGGAGACACACAGCAAAACCACATCATTCTACCTCAGCCCCTCCAAAATCTCATGTCCTTCTCACATTTCAAAACACAATCATGCCTCCCAACAGTCCCCTAAAGTCTTAACTCTCACAGCATTAACTCAAAAGTCCAAGTTGACTCTCATCTGAAACAAGGCATGTCCCTTCTGCCTATGAACCTGTAAAATTAAAAACAAGTTAGTTACTTCCAAGATACAATAAGGGTACAGGCATTAGGTAAATGCTCCCATTCCAAAAGGGAGAAATTGGCCCAAACAAGGGACTACAGGCCCCATGCCAAGTCTAAAACCCAGCAGGGCAGTCATTAAATCTTAAAGGTTCAAAATAGTCTCCTATGATTCCATGTCTCACACATCCAGGCCACATTAATGTAAGTGGTGGGCTCCCTAGGCCTTGGGCAGATCTGCCCTCTGGCTCTGCAGGGCTCAGCTCCCATGGCTTCTCTCAAGGGCTGGTGTTGAGTGCCTGCAGCTTTTCAGGTTCATGGTGCAAGATATTGGTGGATCTACTATTCTGGGGTCTGGAGGATGGTGACCTTCTCACAGCTCCACTAAGCAGTTCCCCAGTGGGGACTCTGTGTAGGGGCTCCAACCCCACATTTCCCCTCTGTACTGCCCTAATAGAGGTTATCCATGAGGGCTCCACCCCTGTAGCTGACTTTGCCTGGACATACAGGCATTTCCATACATCCTTTGAAATCTAGGTGGACACTCCCAAGCCTCAACTCTTGCCATCTATGCACCTGCAGACTTAACACCACGTTGAACCCTTGGCAGCTTCTGACTTGGACCCTCTGGAGCAGTGGTCGGAGACTTACCTGGGGCCCTTTTAGCCACGGCTGGAGCTGGGGTGGCTGGGACACAGGGCACCATGTCCCAAGGTTGCACAGAGCAGCTGGGCCCTGGGCCTGGCCCACAGAATCATTTTAGTCTCCCAGGCCTCCAGGCCTGTAATGGGAGGGGCTGCCACAGTGGTCTCTGAAGTGCCTTGGGGGCATTTTTTCCCCCATTTTCTTGGCTGTTAGCATTTAGCTCCTCTTTACTTGTGCAAATTTTTGCAGCAGGCTTGAATTCTTCCCCAGAAAATGGGTTTTTCTTTTCTGCTACATGGTCAGGCTACAAATTGTTTGAACTTTAATGCTCTGTTTCTCTTTTAAATATGAGTTCCAATTTCAGACCATCTCTTTGTGAACACATACAAGTGTACACTGTTAGAAGCAGCCAGACTAGCTCTTGAATGCTTTGCTGCTTAGAAATTTCTTCTACCAGATATCTTAAATCTTCTCTCACATTCAAAGTTCTATAGGTCTCTAGAGCAGAAATTTCTTCTACGAGATATCTTAAATCTTCTCTCACATTAAAAGTTTCATAGATCTCTAGAGCAGGGGCACAATGCCACCAGTCTCTTTCCTAAGGCACAGACTGACCTTTCCTCCAGTTCCCAGTGAATTTCTTATCTCCATCTGAGACCTCATTAGGTTGGACTTCACTGTCCCTATCACTATCAGCATTTCAATTACAACCATTCAGCAAGTCTCTAGAAAGTTCCAAATCTCCTCTCACCTTCCTATCTTCTTCTGATGCCTCCACATTATTCCAACCTCTGCCTGTTACCCAGTTACAAAGCTGCTTCCACATTTTAAGGTGTTTTTATAGTAATGTCCCACTTCTCTGGCACCAATTTTCTATATTAGTCCATTCTTACATTGCTGTAAAGAACCTGAGACTCAGTAATTTATAAAGAAAAGAGGTTTAATTGACTCATGTTTCTGTGGGTTTTACAGGCTTCTGCTTCTGGAGAGGCCTCAGGAAAATTGCAATCATGGTGGAAGGTGAAGGGGAAGCAGGCACATTTTTACACACCTGGCAGGAGAAAGAGAGAGAGCAAAGGGGAAAGTGCTACACACTTTCTAACAAGCAGACCTCATGAGAACTCACTCACTATCATGAGAACAGCAAGGGGGGAAATCTGCCTCCATTATTCAATCACCTCCCACCAGGTCCCTTCTTCAACATTGGGGATTACAGTTCAACATGAGATTTGGGTGGGGACAGAGTGCCAAACCATATCATAGCTTATTTAGGAAGGTGCATAGTATTACTTCTAATGAAGGTGTTCTATGTGTGCATTGTTGACATTTTCTGTGACTAAGATAAGTTATATTTACATCCACTTTAAAAGTTTACTAGGCTTTTGTGAACATAAGTAGAGGAGTAGAACTCTGGGTTCTTGGATGTTCATTTGTTTTTATGATTCACACTACTTTAAGGAGACTCTTGGTCTTGCCTACAGTTATGCCTGGCCTTATCTTCTTAGTGAGAAGCCATGCTTTCTTGTCAAGCATGAATACTCAATAATCTCCACAGTTTCCAGAAGAGCTATCAGTTTTACCCCCAGCATGATTGTTAAGGCACATACGTTTATGTCTAATGAACAACACAGACTATTTTAATACAGTTGTCATGTAATTTTTTTTTTTGAAACAGGGTCTTACTCTTTCTCCCAGGCTGGAAGTTCAGTGGCATGATCACAGCTCACTGCAGCCTCGACCTCCTGGGCTCCAGCAGTCCTTCTGCCTCAGCCTCCTGAGTAGCTGGGACTACAGGTACACACCACCTCACCCAGATGATGTTTTTGATTTTTAGTACACATGAGGTCTTATTATATTGCCCAGACTGGTCTCGAACTCCTGAGCTCAAGTGATCCTCCTGCCTTGGCCTTCCAAAGTGCTGCGATTACAGGTATGAGCCACTGCACTTGGCTTTTTTTTAGAAATTCAGTTGGGGGAATTTTGAGGAATATGCAGTCCATCGGTTCCTTCTGATATGCTAAAATCCACCACGTTAAGTCATATCAGCAGAGAGCTGGGTGCCCAAACCTCCCAGTAGTGGGTCTCTGCCAAACTACTTACAGCAATTTTGGCATGATAACCTCAGCCCATATTGATGGCTAATATGCATTTGAAACTTACAGTTGTGTCAGCTGTAAGGATGTAGTTGAAAATCTTGTTTAATGTAACACAAAACCTATTCCGTGTCCCCTATGTTTTTTCTAGCTCCCCATAGCCAAAATTTTTCCCTAATTTCTCAGGAGATGGAACAGATCCCCAGGCTACAATCTGCCTTCATCCAAATCTGCAGTTCTCTAACTCTATTAATTAAGAACTTATTTTTCCTCAGAGATTCTCTCTTTTGTTATTTATTGATGTGGATTTTCCCTTTTATTTTGATGTACTTGGAGGGTAAAGGGGTAATTTGTTATTTTTCCTTACTTCAAAGATTCAAACAAAAATAGATTGTATCTCTTCAGTTATCATTAAACATGTCTTGGCTAAAGTGGTAAGTTGTTTTTTTCTTGTTGTGGTTGTTTTAATTTTCATTTCTTTGATTTATTACTGAGGTTAATTTTTTCAAGTATTTATAAACTATTCTATGTCCTCATTTGTGAATGTCATGTTTGTGAGCCATTTACATACTGGATTCTCAGTGTCTTATTGTATTATACAACTTCATCATGTATCAAAGACATAATCTTTGGTTTGTATATATATATATATTTGTACTTTGGTTTATATTTATATATCTTATATTTATATAATTATTATATATACATATAATTATGTAATTATATAAATATAAGCCTTATAAAATGGCTTATGTTTTGAGAAACAGAGGGCTTACATTTTCATGCAGTAAAATCTATCTATCTCTTTCTTTTGTGATTTCTTCCATTGCCTTCATACTAATTACCGTTTAATGCAATTTAAAAAAATTACTTCTTGTGGGTTTGGACATGGTCGTATAATTTTTACAAGTCTTGTTTCATAAACAGGCATAGTAGTAGAGTGCTTAGAGGACAAAAATGCACAATAAATATTTGTTGCTATATTGATAAATGATACTTGATTAATCTATGGAGTTTACACTTCCCCCAAAGTTATGCTGAAAATTTTTAACAGGAATACATTAATATTCATTTGCATGAGCATTTCCTTTTGGACACTTACAGAGAATTCAAATAAAGTCATGCTTTTGGACATTAGCAGAAAACTACACCCTTATCAATATTCTTGATTGAATAAGGGAGAAACTCTTTATCATATATTTCAATTTGCCTGGCTTACCAAAAATCCTATCTCATGTATGCTGAGGCTCTTGAGTCCAGCTTTACTACATGAAGCATCTGTCAGAGAAATAGGAAAGAATTAAATTGTAACATGATTTCACATCTAGTGAATATATTTCTATCAATTTTTTTGTGCATGACTGTGAGATTGTTGAATCAGTTAGTACTGCATTTGGGGTCCCAGAAGACTAACTCCTGGTGAGGAGGAAAATACTAAAGTTAGATGGAAGGTTCAAGTCTTAACTGTGATTCACAGAGGGAGGTGGGGCGGGAAGGAACCAATCACCAAGAAGCCAGCGGCAGAGAAGGAAAAAAATGTATTTTGCAATGAAAAACAATCACAGCTTGTTCTTTTTATTTATCCCAGTATACCACTTGAAATGCAAAGGAATGGCAGTTTTACAGAAATTAGTGTCCCTACTTTTTGCCACATCTTAATAAAGCAGGGTAAGCTGACATACATATTTTGATAAATATAAATATATGGCAAAATCCATATGTCATCTCCCCGAGTACTGATTAGTTGATCATAATAACCTCTAAGTTGGAAAAGGGATTCCATTAAAAAACTTCGAGGAGTTTCTATGGGTATCCTTCTTGCCCTTGGCTTCTCTACTGATGTACAATCCCACACCTCCTACCAGCTGCCCTCCCTTCTTCATACCAGCCAATGCAATGGTGCAAAAGGGCATCCCCAGAGTCAACCTGTTGACCCCAGTAGTGCTAATTCCCTTAAGTACCTTACATCTTGAGTTTGGTCCTCACACTCTTGCTAGCTTTTGAATGGCTTCCTGCTTCCAGAGGCTACCCTAACTGGAATTTGGCTTTTCGTTTTCTTCTGTGGTCTCAGGGACACTCATGTGACTTCCTCTTTTTTAACCATGACAGGGAAGAGAGATGGGGTTTTCTTAACACCATCTGGGGCCTCACCACTGTGCAGTCTCTGTTCCTATGGTGTCCTGTAGCTCTGCTGCCCATCTGCAGTTGGCAATTGTTTCCACACTGTTCAAGGGTAAAGGAGACATTCTGAATTTTTAAATCAGGGATCAGTTGCCCTCACATCTTGTTCTAGTGTCCAGACGACTGTAGCCCTGGGCAGCTGCAGCAAGCTGAACAATACAGTTCATGACAAAGGGAGGCTTATTTTCTAGAGCTTTGAGTTGCCAACATGCGTGTATGGTCAAGCAGCCCACACATACCACGTGGATACCTTTCCAGAGGTAGCTTCTGTACTGGGCTGAAGAGTGTCCCCCAGGATTCATGCCCACCTGGAACCTGTGAATATGACCCTATTGGGAAACCAGTCTTTGTAGATGTAATCAAGGTAAGATGAGGTTGTACTGGCTTAGGGTGAGCACTAAATCTAGTAAGATAGGTGTCCTGATAAGCAGAGGGAAATATGGACACAGAGACAGACAGACAGGGAGAATACCATGTACGATGGGGACAGAGATTGGGAGTGATGCATCTACAAACCAATGAACACCAAGAGTTGCTGGCAGCAAAAGAAACTGGAAGAAGTAGGGAAGGATTCTCCCCCAGAGGCTTCAGAAGTAGTGACGTCATGCTGACACCTTGATTTTAGACTTCTAGCTTCCAGAACTGTGGAGAATAAAGTTCTGTGGTTTAAAACCACTTTGTAGTAATTTGTATAACAGGGAATTAATAGAGCTTGATTCAGCAGATGCTTATCTGGAAAATATGATTATTCAGTTCAACTGAAGGTAACAAAAGTCGTCCATCCAAAGAGTTATCACAAATGGCTCCAGGGTAGCTCCTAGGGAGGGGCCTGCCGTGTGAGGTGAGTGATTGTCGTCTGTTCCCTTACTTCGGCCCACTTAAGGCAGTTGGATATTTATGGCCATAAGGGTTTCTGCTGGCCCCATCTTAGGGCAAATTGGCGACGCTGGGTTATATACCATCAGTGTCCAGCTTAAGGGCCTGCCGTAAGGAAATCTGATGTCCTAAACACTTGTTGAACATTGCTAATCTGGGCTTTATCTCTGATCTATCCTTGTATACATATAGCTGAATATTAGTTTATGTTTATATTTCCTCTCTGTGTTTTTCTCTTTCATCACATCCTAGTATAGAGCTGGTCTACCTTTGCGTTTTCTTGCCCCAGGAAAATTTTGTCGCAGTGTGGAAAGCAGAAGTTGTCTGTAAAACTTCCTGTTCTTTCTTTTTGATTTGTTTGTTTCTGAAAGCCAAAGTTTCAAGGGGAAGGGATGTCTTATAGAAAGCAGCATGGTGGCTGGGAAGAAATACAACCAGAGAACAAAATTTCTTAAACTAAAATAAATTCCCCAAGTCTGGTGGGTGGACAGGGCCAGGAGAGCAGCAGAAATGTTCCTAGTTCTTCTGAGCAGCCTCTTGAGAATGTGACAAGTCTCTGAAGAGGAAGCTCCTGGGTGCATCCTGCCAGAGAGAACTCAGGATGCACCTCCTTGAATACATCCTTGCCCCATGCAAGCACAGAAGCTGCAGATGCTTGTTGCAGAAACAAAGAGAACATCTCAGCTGTACCCAGTGTGGTGCATGACCAGTGGCCCGAGGGACTCTAACATCCTGGCACTGTGTGGGACACTGAACCATGGAATAGCCCTGGATTAGTGTGGGGGCCCCAAGAATGAATCCTGTTTCCTGCCAGTAGGGAATTAGGTAGGCTCAGAATTGCAAATAAACTGATTTATGGAAAATAAATATATGCGGCATTTTTTGCTCATTTGAGTTTGTAGCCTAAGATTCAGCCCCTCTCTTTTCTTCTAGTGGAAACTGATACCAAGAGGGTGCACTTTGTCTGTGGGATTCATTGGTCACAGTAGGTTCATTATCCAATGAGCTCTTCCACCTCCACAGATGTGGTCACCAGGCTTTCAGCAGCAGACTCTGTTGGTCTCTTGATATTGGAGGGCACTTTTCAAGGCCTCCAACATTTGTACTTATGGTTTACCACCCAACGCCCACAAACCAATGGTCTTCAAAACATGCAAAATGGGTACCTGCCAAATTTCTACTCTGGTTACATCTTTTAATTTATTTATTCATTTTATTATTATTGAGACAGAGTCTTTCTCTGTCACCCAGGCTGGAGAGCAGTGGTGCAATCTCGACTCATGGCAACCTTCACCTCCTGGGTTCAAGTGATTCTCATGCCTCAGCCTCCCGAGTAGCTGGGATTACAGGTGTGCGCCACCATGCCCGGCTAAGTCTACTCTAGTTACATCTTTTAACGCCTACCTGTCCACTACAAAATGACATTTTAGCTGCACCTACTCCACTTTGAATGCTGCTTTGGCCTTACACCCTGCTCCTCCTCTCTACTCCACAACCCTACTAACATGCTGAAAGGCAGCCAGTATCTGAGTGAAATACAGGTGTCTTAGAAGGATCCTGAGATCCTTAAAGGGAAGGCCCCAGATAAAATGTGGGCCAGAGCATCAGATTGTACCTGGTTCTCCTCTCAGTACATCCACTCCACCTGCCTCTGCCAGAAGTTTTAGAATGTTCTCTGGGATTCTTCAAAGTGAGGGAGGAGAACATCCCTGTGGACTTTGGATCCTAATTGCCCATCTTGTTGTTGACTCTATCTTGCTTTACCTAATGGATCATGACCTTGTCCTTTACCTTGACTCTGGTGATTGGCTTGATGAGAAAGAGAACAAGTGGTACAGGAAGCACTGGACTCCCAGGAATGTAGCCTGGGCAGTCTAACGTGAAGACTGCTTCTCATTGAAGGGATTAGGAGTCCCTTTAGGATCTCTCCCAAGTGGCTTACAGAAACCCAGACTGTGTTTTGCTGTGTAATTGTGGAGTAGGAGGGGGTGGTATTTGAAGAAGCACTCCCTAATGGCCACTTCCCTTACCCCAGTCTTCAATGAAGGTGTGGCACACAAAGGCAGTTTTTTCATTTTGTGTCCTGAACACATACAATTGCTGATATTTCCTGTATCACTACATTTTGGATGTCATTCATTTATTTGTTCATCAAATGTCTGCCATCTTATGTACCAGGTACTTTTCTAGGCCATGAAGAAGCATTAGTAAAACCTATAAATGTTGTCTTAATCCCTTCCTTATGGATTTGACGTAT
Source organism: Homo sapiens (assembly GCF_000001405.40). Classification (NCBI taxonomy): domain Eukaryota; kingdom Metazoa; phylum Chordata; class Mammalia; order Primates; family Hominidae; genus Homo; species Homo sapiens. Next base: position 103,002,902 of record NC_000013.11, read on the forward strand.
TTGAACAATTTCTTACTTTCTGAGGCCATCTTATCCAGATTTATTTCTTCCCTTTCTCTTTGCACATACAGGGCTAGCTTCTGAGACCCCATCTTGGGCTAGAACCTTTTTGTCTAGGTTCCAGAAGGAACATTTGACAATACCCTAAAACATATTTGAGTAAATAGTACATGCAGGTATGCACAGAGTGTGATTTTTGCCCTGGTTTTGGAATGAATCGAGGGTCTAAATTGTGCTACATAATTAAGTTTGTTCTGGAGAAGAATGCTTTGGTGAGGACAAGGACTTACAGGAGGATCCTTGCTGAAAAGTTAACAAAGTCTTCCTTCTGTTGAAGCTGGAGAGCCAAAGCCCCGAAGTCTGTCCTCCTCAGCACGTCTGCCACCTTCGCACTTAGATGATTTATGTAAAAGCCTTTTGTTGTTTCTCATAATATCATAGAACTTTAAGCTCAAAAAGAAAAAGGGAAAGAATAACAAGGATAATTCTTGGTGAGGTGGCGGGAACACCCAGCCTGCCTGCTCAACCTTCACCCTAAATGAGATTTCTTTTTTCTTTTTAATAAAGGGTATGTACTTTCCCAGTCTTTTGACAGAAAAAAAATATGAGTGTTCCCTTGGGTACACTTTCTGTTAGGAAAGCAAATAACGGAAGGAGACCTCTGATTCAAGAAAAGATTTCATAAATATTTCCCAGAAAGACCTGCCTTACTGAGAAGACAGAACAAAAATGGGAAATTCTGAAGTGAAGGCAAACATTGTCTGCTGAGTGTTCTTGCAGAAACATCTGTCTCAGCTCAGCCTATGTTTGGCAGTTCTTTTCTGTCCTGCAGAATGGAGATCCCTAAATACCGCTTGGGATAGTTGAGAGTGAGAGGCTTTTCCATGCTTCTTTTCTATCATCCCTAGGATCTAAATCCTGCCTGATAAGCACATTTTATTTTCAGTCAACAATTATTTATTGAGCAACTACTGTGTTCCAGCTTAGTGCATTTGTGAATTTCTAAGGCCAGGCTTTTTTCTCATTATGGTTTATGGGCAGATATAAAGTGAATGTGGAAATAGTGCAGATGTTTAAAACTGAATTACCAAACCTGAGATAAGAGGGTTGTTAAGTATCAAATGGACACTTTGTTCAACAGCCTGCCAAAATCCTTGGGGTGAAGAATATGAATAGACCTAAGTGCTGATATACACTGAAGAAAGAACATTGTATCAAATGTAGCCAAAACAGTTGATCATGGAGTAGACTTCATATTTTCCAAAGGACTCAGTTATTAATATATAGTGGTCAACATTTCTCTAGTACCGTGGTTGATATTTTCTAAGGCATCTATTATAAGGTGTGTAAATTTCCTGTAGGGTCATGAGCCTGCTATAGAATTTATAGGTGGCCACGTGGAGAAAGTTTACTTCAAGACAGGTGTCAAGAACAAGTTTAAATATTGCCTAAGCACACATGTATGGATTTGTCTGTTTCTGTTCTTTAATTGTCTGAGATTCCCTGCATAAGAAGAAGTTCTAGAGCTACAGTTGCTGGATATTAAGAGGATGCAGGTGACTGGTAGCATTTCTGTGTCTTGCGAGTGTCTGAGCTTCTGTGAGGGACATTTACTTGGCTTTTTCTGCCCACTGTGAACTGGTCTCAGAAGATCTTGGGTCTGAAGGCTTCTGATTCAATGGGATTCATTCTTACTTCTCCTGCTAATACTGATTGAAGAGTGCTTGGAAGTTACCAACCTGCAGAAAGTCTTGAAGGGGCAGAAGTAGGTGAAGCATTTGGGAGTGGATGCTTGCTCTCCTTATACCTCTTTATTTATCTCTGTTCTTAGAGAGATAAGTGTATAAAATGACAGGAAGCATCATTTTCTTCACCTTTCCTTATGACACGATGTGCTAAAGGGATTCTTACTGTATGAGTCATGTTGGTCAATGATCTTTAGTCTAACAGATCATAACTTGATAAGCGGGCAAATTATTGTTCAGTTTGGACTTCGTGTTTTGGATTAATGAGCATGTGTGCAAATCAATCAACTTATTTTCTTTCCAGGGAGGAATGTATAATATTAAATGCCTATGGGATGAAATGTGTGGGAAGCAACATAAGTGATGGAGTAAAAATCTATGGGCCCCAAATAGCAACACTTCTCTCTCTGTGCCCCTGGTCTGCCCTTCCCAGGCCAGGGCCTTCTGACAATGATAAGAAAGGGATAAGATGGTCTTGTCAGTGGCAAGCAGCCAAAATAAAAGCGAACTGAGTGATGAGAAAGACCAGGGCCAGCAACTGCTTTGCAGCAATAACCTCATGCAATTAAAGGCCTTCATAGAAATTTCAGTTTTAAAGTCCATTCCTGTATTCCAGTACTTCTGTAACCTGCAGAAAAATGACACATGCTTCTATAAAAAGAGAAAGATGGGTGTGGTAGGAAAATCCTGACAGAGGAATCAGAAAATCTGGGTTTTAATCCCACTTTTGTTATTTATTGTGTATTATTAGAGAAGTCACATCACCTCCATGAGCTCCAGTATTTTTCTCTGTAATATGAAGATAACATCCATTTACAGAACTTTTGTAAGCATTAAATATGTGTGCACTGCTTTGTAAAATAGAATGTCCTCAAAATCTTAAACATTCTATGTTCAATAACAATAATAATAGTAAAACCTGATTAAGAGCATCTTTGAGGCAGATATGGTCTTACTGAGCATGCAGATTAAGGAATCTCCATGTTCTCTTAGGCTGCCAATTTGTTTAGACCAAACATAAACACCAACACTCACTTCTTGAGAAGTTTAATCTCAACCTATCAGCCGTGTGAAAACCTCAGTTGAATATTGATATCATACTAGCTGTGTACACTTAACACGAGAACAGGGTTTTAAGGCAGTCATAGTATGACCACAAATATTCATCTTGATCAAGACCAGACAAAAGATATATTTGAAAACCAGTACAAATAAGATATATGAATTAAGAAAGATCCCCAATTTAGTTCATATGTCCAAAATAATGTCAAGAAACCATTGTGTGAAACCAAGTCCCAGAACTGCTCATATGTGCGTGTCATTCCAAGGCAAGAGCTCAGTTTGGACAAATCCCCAGATGGTTGGCATCATCTTCAATTTAGTTAAATTGCAGGATATATTGTTTCCAACAATTGGATTTCATGACCTCAATCTTGACGCAGTATAACTAAAATACAAGGAACGTTTTCAACATCATTAGATGCCCCAACCATATTTTGTACTTATAAGAACCACATTGGCCCCCTCAGCTACTGGCTGGGATTCATCTTTTATTGGAAATTATACTAAAAATAAAATAAATAAGGAAAGTTTCATTTTTTTCCCCCATGTGTGCTAGGTTGTGGCACATGTACTATGGTGATCCGATAGATTTCAGGGTCAGTGTAAGAATATATTTTTACATCCCTGGATTCAGTTTGGATAACCCTGGTAAAAAAAAAACTAGATACCCAAAAACTGAGATTAATCCTTTAAAAAATGTCAGTGTGTCTCCTACTTCAAGCATCATTTATCACCACTTTTTTAAAAATCTTTTCTACTCCCATAGTACCATCTATTAATAAGAACATGCCATGGTCTTAGAAGGAGGTTAAAATCAAATATTTTGCATTTGACATAAGACGCCCAGCTAAATAATAACTTTCCTCTTTTAACACATGGAGTTAATTTTGCGTCTCCTTGAGAGAAAGTTTGTTTTTCTTAGCTAGGCTTCTCTGTTTGGCCTTAGCATTTCTGTCACCAGCAGCCCCCTTCCCACCACCACTATTAAGCAGAAACTCCAGCCATGGCATTCAACAAAGAAGTGGCAAGCCTCCAAGAAATATATTTCCCACAAACACACAGCTGAGAACATTACAAACTGGGTAGGTCTGGTTTATGTTTGGTTCACCTCCGAATGTCTCAAGTAAAACTCAGTTGAATGGACCAGTGGCAATTGAGAAAAATCACTCGCGAACTCTGGGTTTACTGTTCCGACATGCCCCACGTGAGCTTTTGTCTTAGGTGATGCCTTATGGTTTGCTGACAGAGGACATCAAAGAATGGGGACCAGGCTGAGGACAATTTGCACCATCTTTAATCATCTGGCGAAAGCTCAAGAGGATTTGTTCAGATTCAGTGAAGTAAAAATCCTCCACTTCAGCACCTCGTTCAGACGATATGAGAACCAGATGGGTCTGTACACGCAGCCTGATTGCTACTGTCTGATGTAGACTATTGGAATTGTGTACATCTGTGCCATGGCATCAGGGAATGCCACAGCCCTTGCTTTTGCTTGGTAGACCACACTAGACCTTTTCTAATTAATGGAAGAACGAAAACATTCGTTCAAAAGGCACCTTGTCCTAGTCATTTGTAAATTCATTAGTTAATGAAACATTACATCAGGTTAGGACTTTACAGTTTACAAAGTACTTTCATTTCCTCATTTAATCCTTAAAATAACCTTGTGAAATACACAGGACTGTTGAAAGAGGCTGTGCAGTAGAGGAGAAAATCCAGTGTGCTACCATTTCTGCCTTTAAACGTTTGGTGTTAACTTATATACAGTCTAACGTTGAATTATAGCAAATTACAAAATATGTATGTGCCCCTGGACCATGTTTCCTCCTAAGGGGATTATCCTTCTCCACACATAATTTATGGGGCACTGATTGTCAGACCTTTCCATTGGCGTACTCATAACTGTACAGAAGAATGACTTTGTTTCGAGTGGGTGAAGGGTGAATATTTGGAAGAAAAGTTTGAATAGCAGGTTAAAATGCCATGTTGAGAAGTCACATTTAAAAAAAAACTTAAAATACCTCATCCATTTTGAAAAATATCTACATGCTTACTTTTGTTACCCAATTTTAGGCAAAACTGGCACACTAGAAAGAGAAGCCACATCTATATGCAATGCGTATCCCAGAAACTTCGATTATTTCATAATTGCTCAAACAAAAATATTTCCTTTATTCTTTTATATACCCTACAGATGTCCAGTGCTAATAATATTAGAGTAATATTGGGATAGATTTTTCCTCAGGTTGTTTGGCCCAGTGTTTTTAGTTAAGGTGACTGTGCTGACAATATGGCTATTGAAGTTATGGTTACCAGGCATCTCTGTGGAGAAAAACTATGTCTGCATGCTCTGATAATTTAGGGGCAATTTTTGTTAGGCTTGTCTCTCAGTTCCTCACAAGCAAATATGGTAACAATCCACCTCGGTTTCCAATTCCTTAGCCTACAGAATCAAGTCCAAATTCCTCTGCAAGGAAAACAAGGATCTTCATCATCTGGCCCTGCCCCTGTGTCTCTCTTCATCTTTGGCCACTTGTACTTTTCTCTCCTTCAGCACTTAAGTCCTTGTAGTCCCTAAACACACGAGCATTTCTCCATATCTACACTTTTGTCCATTTGCACATACCATTCTCTTCAACGTGCTTTTTCCCTGCTAATGAGAATAGAAAACTACTCATCCTTCAATGTTATCTCAAGCTTGACTTCTATTAATTGCATTTTAACCTCCTGGAGTGGACTGAGGTATCTTCTTTTATGCCTCCATTACACTTGTTAATCTCGCCGTGGTACCAACCATGATATATTTTACTGCCTGTCTGTCTGTCTCCTGAGTAGGTTATAAAATATTTGAAAGCAGGAGCTAAGGAGCCATCTGTCATGGTGTCTTACACAGAGCAAGCACTCAAGCGATTGTGGAAGAAATGAAGGATGGACCACATGACTCCACAGCAGTCATTTAAAAGTGGTTCTTGTCGATGTCACCCCAAAACAGCTGTAAAGAAAGAAAATATACCTTTTCTTTTCTTTCTTCTCTTTAAGTAACAAATTCTGTCATTTCAAAAATTATAATCTTAAATATAACATTCTTAAAAAGTGATTTGGCTATACTTTTTAGGTTTGCTAGAAGAACTATTTTGATGAAATGCCATCAGCAATGTCATAGAAGAGCAAAGGACAGTAAATGGCTTTACAAAACACTAAGTTATAGCAAGTCACAATATGCTAAGTTATCCATTAAGTGGTTTAATTGATAATGAGACTTATAGGTTAAAATAGAACAGGAGGAGAGGGAGTTGTAACAACTAACGTGGTATAAATAGTACGGGGTATTTTACTCAGATTATGACTTTCCTCATTCATTGTCTCATTCATTAAGGATGTCTCATAACATTAAGGATGTTAAGGATGTTGTTAATGACAGAGTCTTCATAATAACTAGTTTTTCTCAACTTCTGAGATATATTAAGAATTCAGTGACTTGTCACAGGCTTTAATGTATGATTACAGTATCACAACCAAGAAAGCAGGATAACATTAGGTCAGAGCTGTGGATGGAGGGCAGGAGCCTGAGTCTATGACTACTCTCTGAAGTTATTTATGTTAGAGGATGTTTCAGCTCTTATTACGTGAAGCTCCATAGTTATAGTTTTATCAGTTATTCTTATCAAATGAACTTCCTTAATTTTGTTCTCTTTCTTTATATTCTTTTGGATAAGAATATTATGGAGAGCACTTTGCATCCTTTACCAATTTTGGATTGGGTTAGCTTAAATGAAAATAATAAGATAATCAAGGATGGAGCATATCACTATAGTTGTCCAGGAGTCACAAACACATGTAACTTCTTACATGGTGGCACAGGAATTATTGAGAAACTCAGATGATGTAAGGTAAGTAAAATGCCTGGAATCAAATGAAAGAAGGGAATTAATTTATATGTCCATTAATGGCCTTAGATCACACACACACATGGTTTTCATTTTCATTTCTTAGCAACCAGTTACATTCCAAGGTTGGTACACCAGCTTGAGATTACATCTTTGTAGTCACAGTGTATACTCTTATAATCCATATACAGAGATGCACCTAAAACCTCATCTTCTGTGGCCATAGCTGCTATGTATATGGCAGGTACCTAAGGCATGTCAGTGGAACCATACCCTCTAGACAGATAATTCTGATCCCTATTATTATGAGGATTATTATGTGATGCTAAAAATCCCCATCTCTCTTAATGTTTTCGATTAATGGAAGCACTTTTCACAATAATTCTGTATGATGTCTCCAAAGGTGGCCCCTAATGAGCTATGTCTTAGGGTGTTCAAATCTTTGTGTGGTCTCCTCCCACGTTACATCTGGGCTGGTCTGTGGCTCATGTTACCCATGGAATGCAACAGGAGTGACCCCGTGCCAGCTCTGTTCCTAGCTTTTAAGAAACTCGCAGCTTCTGCTTCCTTCCTCTTGAGATAGTCACTTTTTGGGACCCCTGAGCCACTATGTAAGAAGGCTGGCTATCTTCTTGAAGAAACCCTGTGGTCAGCACTGAGCCTATGAGGCACGAGAGTGGGGCTGTCTCTCAACTTCCCAATCGAGCTTCCAGATGACTCCAGGCCCAGGCAACATTTGATTACAATCTCATGAAAGACTCCAAGAGAGACCATCAGAAGACTCCTGGTCTGACCACTGAATTGTGAGAGGTAGTAAATGATAACTGTTGTTTGGAGATAGTAGATATTGGAGTGATTTGTTACATAGCAATAGATAACCAAGATAGTATTGCAATATTGAAAACACATCTCAAAATTGCTGATCTGAAATATACTTTAGAAAATAATTGGTTCTTAGTTGCCCGGAGGGCTTAAGTTGCTGTTGCGCAGGCTGAGGCTGTTGGAATCCTGGTTCAACTCTGACTGAAGTTGTGCCTTCTATGGAAAAGATCCAGTAGCTTATTCCCAAGGGTCTTAAGAACGCTGAGATGACCCAGGTGGTTGAGACAAAAGATATTTTCAGGGACTCCCCTCACCTTGCTCTGCCCAACAGATTGGCCTTGGAAATAAAAATCAAAATCCTTTTTGATGCTGTTTTGTCTTTCCTAACCCTCATACTTGCAGCCAAATTCTTCTAATCATGTTTTTATATTTATTAGTTTTATATTTATTATTATATCTATCTCTCTTAGAAGTGAAAGGGATGAAAAGAAGGAAGGGTAAAATATACCAAGATAATGATTTTGTAAAAAATGGAGTCTGGAAAGACCTAGGGCTGGGTGGATGAATGAGAAAGAAAACAAGGCAAAAGAAAATGCATAATTAAGACAAATTAGTTTTTTCTTAAATCTCAAATTTTTTGTATTTCTTGTAATTTTGATAATGCCATATACTTATGAAGCTCTTTGTGAGTTTCAAAGCCTTTTTCTCTTACAGTAGGTCGTTTGCCTTAGGACAGTCCTGTAAGATAAGCAGGACATAATTCCTCCTAGTTTAGAGGATGCTTTAACAATTATTTCCATTTTATGAATATGTTACCTGGCAATGGTATGGTAATTCTATTTGCATATTATGTGTAGAACATTTGTATATGTTCACCTGGGTTGATTTTTTTTTTCAGGTTATTTTGAAGTTAAAAGGTGACCAATACTATTGATCAGTGTTATTCTATGGCCTCACTAAAATTTGCTGAAGTTTTCATTCATTCATTTATTCATCCTTTTAGTTTACTTTTTGTCAAAGTGGGAATGTCCTTTTAAGTAAAATCTTATAAGGAGCCACAGTATGTAAAAGTGATACCAGTGGAGCTGTTCTAGTTCAACTGGGGGATGGAAGGATGGTTGGAGCCAATGCCCTTGGCTTGTCTCTTGGTTTCCTCTTCATTATCCTGCAGCAAACTCTGTGGGAGTCTTTTTAGAACTACAGCAATATGGAACCCTGTATTGGATTTAACCCCAAACTTGGTGAGCCAAGTATGTTTTATTTGCCTGAAGCTTTTTTTTTCCCCCCAGCAAACGCTACTCATTTCTAATCCAACTTAGTTCTTCCTAGTTCTTCCTTTTATCTCTGTGGATTTTCTATTTGCTTGAGCTCCTAGTGGATGTCACTTGAGATTCTTGTGTACTCACCCATGGCTTAAAATGACATCTTTGGTCAGAATTATCAGTGTCATTCATCCATTTGTCCATACACTGAGCTATCTATGCATCTTTTCCTTTATTCATCCACCACCCACCCACCTATCTTTCTTTCCATTCAAATATCCTCTATCCACTTACTTCTCTAACCATCTATTCATCTGTGCATCCATCATTCATTTTTCATTCACCTACCTTTGTCAGAAGTAAATGGAAGAATAAGATACACTAAGATTATGGTATATAACTATGTATTCATTTATTTATCCATCTATCTATTCATTCATCCAGTAAACAATACAAAGTATCTGCCTTAATAGAGCCTGAATATCAGAAATAAACTATGACTCTCATTGGATAACAAAATTATAAATAAATAGATAGGCATCTTACTTCACTGCATAGAATTATGCACACGATAGAAACATTTTCATATTTTAGAAAGTAGATTAATCATAGTGCTAGTTTTACTTTCTAGGGCTTCTGTGAGAATTCAAGAGATAAAACACCAAACAGGATTGCTTGGAGCTTTCTGAAGAAAGATGCCAGTGGAACAAAGAACACCACAATTAATGCTCTCTGTCACTTAGAATCATGGCCCTAAAGCAAAATCCAAAGTTGATAATTCAAGTCTAGAGCCCTAAATTCCAAAACTGTCCTCCAGAGGGGAAGAAATGGATGCAAAATTGTGCCAAAAATAATTTATTCTGGTTAAAAAAAAGAAAGTAATTTTTGGCTGTAATATTTTTTCTCTGTCTGTTCCTGAGGATGGAGATAGTTGGCCATTATTGGTTGACAGAAGAAACTGAAGCAAGCTTCTGAATTTACAAGTTGCTTTTTAAAATAAGTTTTACAGCACAGGGAATTGGAGTAGTTTGTCTACTACTCATGACCACTGTTGAGACTTGGATACTTATAAATGCTGGGAAAGGTGAGGAAATGAAGTAGATTTTTAGGCTCAGATTCAGGAAAGAAACCTACCCAGACTCTGGATGTAATGTCTGATAGGAAACAGCATATTCCCCTGCTGCTTGTGGAAATGCCGCTTGATAATGAGTTTTGACCTAATTTCTTTCCTTTTTGCAGCATAATAATTTCAGTCGCTGGGGATACATTCTGATGCTTTAAAAAATATTCTCCTAGATTAAACAAAAATAGCCTCTTTAATCTGACCCCAACTTACACAGCACCCCATTCGCACAGTATATTTTACTTAAGATTACATAGTTGTCTGACTCACAAAATATGACACTGAGGTTGAGACTAATTGTCTTTTATGGTTTTCATGGGTCTTTTTCCTGGATACATGATATGGTCATACAAATTCTATTTGCATATTATTTGTGGAATATTTATATATGATCACCTGGATTTATTTTTCTTCCTTGGGTTGCTTTCAAATAAAATGCAATTGATATTATTGATCAATGCTATTCTAAGGCCTGATTGAAATTTGAAGTTTTCATTCATTCATTCATTCATTTATCTATTTTTTTTTTGTCTTTTTCAAATAGAAGAAGGGAAAATACAACAGAAACACAGCATTTACACAGCAAGAATAACTAAAAATCTTTACTGGTCTGTATTTTTCATAGGCTGCTTTCCAGAATGTGCAATGAGGTTCCCATTTATGTGAGGGCTGCAAGGTCAAATTTCAAAAATGGTCTCCAGTTTTAATTTGGATCAATTTGGAAGAAAGAATTTGAAAAGATTTTTTAAAAAGGGTACAAATGAGGAATGTTATTAGAACCAGTAGAATATAGTGGAAAATGATTCCATTTGAAGCCAGGTGGGAGTTTAATACTGGTGCTAATTCTTATTACCTATGTGAGAGGGCAAGTCTCAGCCTCTCTGAGCCTCGTTTTCCTTATTGGTAAACAAGAGGTAGTAATTAAGTAGGCCAGGAAGATCACAGAGGTCTTCCTCAGTTTGAAGATAGATTAGGGAGATGAATCAGATTGCTTTCACATCAGTTTGCTACCAAACCAGCAAAAAGGCAGAGCAAAGAATATATCAACAGTCAGGACATAAAAGAGGTAGCGCTGGATCTCTGATGTTATGCCCTTGTCCCTCAGCAAGGCCTGCAAAAATCGAAGGCCTCAGTTCCCACACAGAGGGAAGAATCCTCCCCTTTTCCTTAGGCTCACAACGGGAGGAGTCACTTCCATGACACCATTTTTACCTTGATTCTCTAGCTTTTTTTCTGGACAGCTTCTCAATTGCTGCTGTTATTTCCTCTTCTATCTGCCCAGTGGATGTTGGAGTTGCCTAGAGATCTAGCATCTTTCTGCTCCCCTCCCTCTGTGGGATTTCCTTTGGATGATCTCACAGCATTTGACAAACTTAGTGTTTCCATGGCTTCCGCTGCCACCATACATGCAGAAAGTACTCATGTTTATCTCTAGCCTATACTCATATCTAATGGATGCCTCCACTTGAATATCCCATAGAAAACCTGAATCTGTTCAGCTCAAACTCAACCAATAAAATCAGTCTCCCTCAAACATATTTTAGTAAATGGAATCCTCACTGCCTCACTCTCTGAAGCCAGACATTTGGAAATCACCCTTGATTTCTCACCATTTCAGTCTTGGTTCACATTCTCTCCGCTCCTGGATTAGTTCTTGCCTAAATTCATCCTGTATTTCTGCCTCAGTGATTTTTGTAATATTCAAATTACATTACATGATTTCTTTGTCCAACATGTGACGATGATTCTGCTTTACCTAAGGATAAAGTCCGTATTTCTTGGTAGGACATATTAGACCCCCCACGGTTGGACTGGCACCTCCTCTCCTATCATTGTTTCCTGACACCTGTATGTGCAACAAATGCCCCATCCACGGCAAATGAGCCCCAGTTCTCCAAACTCGGCATGTTCTCTCTCACTTATGAACTGTTTAACATTTTTCCTGCTCTTCCTCACTTAAATGCTCTTATCCCTTTTACAACCATGTCAGACTTTTTCTCCACTTCAAAATTCACTTCAGGATGTATTTCCTGGGGAAGCTTTTCTAGATCCCCACATGGCTGGAATTTCTGTTTTTCTACAGCACTTTTGAAACACTCCTTTTAAAGCATTCGTCTCACCATCCTGTAGGGGCTTATTAATTTTTCCCTCTTCCTTGCTAGACATTAAGTGGGCTCCTTGACAGCAAGGGATCTTCTTTCATTCATTCACCGCTAGCCCCAAGCATATTACCTGGCACATAGTAGGAGTTAAAGAAAGCTTTTTAAAAAAGTGAATGCATTCTATAAAATCCAAGCAATATGCCACATGCACTGTTGTTTTGCCACTGTGTCATTATAAATTTTTTTTTGTGATAAGGTTTTTTACCCAACTATATTGAAAGTCTGGGTGAGAAATAACTACAGATCGTGATTCTTCATATCTGCTTGTGTAGTAATGTGAATTCTTCAGAGAAACAGAGTCAATAGGAGACATATATATATATCTATATATACATATGAAGAAATGTATTGTGAGAATTGTCTCACATGATAATGGAGACCAGGAAGTCCCACCATCTGCCACCTGCAAGGTGGAGAACCAGAAAAACTGGTGGTGTAATTTAGCCTAAGTCTGAGTGTGAAGACCTGAGAACCAGGGGGCCTGATGGTGAAAGTCCCAGTCTGAGTCCCAAGGCCCAATAACCAGGAGTGCCGATGTCTGAGGGAAGGAGAAGATGGATGTCCCAGCTCAGAGAGTGAATTTGACCCTTTTCCACATTTTTCATCTATTCAGGCCCTCAATGGATTGGATGGTGCCAACCCACATGGGTGAGAGTGGATCTTCCTTAGTCTACTAATTCAAATGCTAATCTCTTCTGGAAACACCCTCACAGACACACCCAGACATCATGTTTTACCAGCTGCCTCGGCATCCCTTAGCCTAGTCATGTTGACACATAAAATTAACCATCATATCTTGTTATAAGCAAAGTAGGCCCTCAATTTTTCTTTTCGACAAATGAATGAATGTTAGATGACTGAGAAGGAAGCAAATAGACACAATTATGAGCTTGTGGAAGCCTCCATGGGCCATTGTCCATTTTCCCTCCCATTGCCATTGCAAATGAGGCTGCCTTAGAAGGAATTTTGCCACTATTTATTTTCTGGCTTATCTGCTGATGCTGCAGTAGTAGATGCAATAGGAGAGGGAGCATTGGAGAGGCTAATGAGGAGGACGACGACAAATTTAGGAGAAGGAGAAGCAAAAGTATAGGCTAGGAGAGGCTCTGGTTAATCCAGCATTGATTAACCATCAGAGCAATATCATCAACCACTGGAGCAATATCATTTCAACAGGGGGAGCTGAGTGTAGAGGAGGGGAGATGGATATTTGTGAGGTTTGTCAGTCGGGTTTATGAGGCTTGGTTTGAGCTAGTTGTGGAGAGGAGTGTGATGGTGAGAAAAAATGCAGCCTGTTGGCAGGACCCCTGCAGGAAGCTGCTGGAGCCATTTCCCAGAGCACAGATAACACTGACAAGTCACACGGCAGGAACTGTTTTCATAGATCTTTTCAAACACAATTAAGTGGATCTAAAATAGAATTTTAAGCTCCCACAACACCTTGACATCAGAAAACCATGAATAAATAAAATTACAAATCAAAATGCAATTCAAAGGGATTCCATGTGATAATGCCTTTTTCAATAAATGCTGCAGAAAAATATTGTGTGATAAAACCGTATCATTTCAATTTTCTCCTCGGGGATTTTATATCCGTATGCTTTTATGTATAAAAATGTGATTTTGAAAAAAGCCCTGCCACGGAGACTCCTGGGTCCCCAGTAGGTGTTCACAGTAGGAGCAGGCATGGAGGGGCTGGCGGCATCTGTGCCAGGCGGACTGCATTTCCTTATGACATTTTGTGGGGCAGGGAAAACTCTGCCATTCACCTCCTTCAAGGGACTGCCATTTGTATAAGATTCTCCCTCCAGGGATTGTTCCCTTGGGTTAGGGTATATTTCTAGGAAGTTCAAGTTAAATTACAAGTACATTAGCAAGGACGAGCAGCACATTAATCCAATTACAGGCATAAAGACCTTAATGCAAATTTTTCTAAAATGCATTTTACAGAATATTATTTCTGAGACATATTAAGTAAACAAAGGGGGTCTGTGACCAGACAAGCTTGGCAAACCCTGGGTTAAATAGAAACAAAGGATTCTTGCCCTACCTCTCCTCCTCCTCTTCTCTTTTTTCCTCTTCCTCCTCTTTCTCTTCCTTTCCCCCATCCTCCTCCTCTTCGTCTTCCTCTTCCTCCCTGTAGCTCTTTCTTCCTTTCCTTCTCTTTCTTCTTCTCCATCTCTTTCTTCTTCTTTTAACTAGAAATTTCCCAAAGGCTTTATTATGTGTAGAGTGAATTTCCAAGAAAAGAATATAATCAACAGTTTCCAAAACTTACTTGAATATGAAAAGTGTTTTATTTGTGAGTTAAGAGAAGCACATTTTGGTAAATTTTGTCTTTGCAACAATTAGATCATCACACCTGAAACTCAAGAAGCGCGATGTCAGAAACCCAGGCCCTGGATTTGGGCAAAGTGGGCGGCTGCATGCATGGGACGCTACAGGGGTCCAGCTGAACCAATGGCTGCGGGAAGAGTTCTCGGTAACTTAGGAGGGGAAGTAGCAGAGGTCAGAGGGCCCGGAAGGCAAGCCTTCCTTATCTCCCAAACTGGCCTTCTGAGGAAAGCCAGGTAGGAAGGACAGGTGGAAAGAAACGGGGGTGATGCATTGTCTCTGGGCTTCAATTTCAGATTTGGTTTTGAGCTCAACTCGGTAACTGCATGAAAAATCTGATCTGGGAAGATGTGGTTAGGGATGAGTTTGGCTCTTCCCCAAATCAACAGGTCCTCTTGGAGAGTGGATTATCCTGAAGCATGTTAGGTATTTTGAGGCCCAGAGTGGCCTCACTCAGCTCTCTTAAAATGGCTCTGTGTTCCTAATGTTGCCTTTGGGCAGAGGACAGGCAGGCAGCATGACATGATGTAAAGATCATGGGCTTTGGCATTAAAAAGGACAGGTTTGGAATTTCAGCCACACATGTAAGTCTGAGCTCTGCCACTTGCCCCATTGATGACCTTGCCAAATTACTTTAACTCTCTACCTCGGTTCATTTCTTTGGTGAAATGTGAGTATATAAGCTTGGGTTGCAGTGGTTGAATCTGTCAAATAAGAGAATTACACTAGATCTTTAAAGTTATTTTTAGTTCTAATGTTCTAAATTAGATTTATACAAAACACACGAACACACACACACACACACACACACACACACACACACAGACACACAAATAAATAGTTCATCAAACCATTTTTAGTAACAAAGAACTGCCTAAAATAGTTTCTGTGATCTGATGAATATATGTTTCTGCTCACATCTCTTGTGTATTTTTATCTCTGATATATATAAACAGACTCTAGAAGGGAAAAGTTCCTTTAGATATTGAGATAATGTCTACTAAGACGTAATAAAATCTACTAAGACATCATAAAATCATCTACTAAGATGATTTACATTTAATTAAGCAGAAAAATCTGGCGATTTAAATATCTACATTTTCAGTGTATTCTTTGAATAACTAATGTATGCCTCGTAATGAAATGCTGAGTCCTAATTTCTGACGCTCCTCATAAAAAAAACATTTTTTTGAAGGTTAATTGTTCCACTGGCCATGAATAATTATTAATAACAGTTACTTGGGCTTAGTCATTTTTATATTTGCAAGGCAATATTTTTGCAGGGCTCCAACTATTCACAAATGCTGTTTCACTAACTCACAGATAAACTTATGAGAGAAATAAGAGCGTGTTTGGCTACTTATTCCTATTTTGCTGGATGTGGAAGCAGCTTCCTTGGAAACTTTGAAGTTAGAGATATGACTTGGAATAAAGCCAAAAACTGAACATAGTTCTTCTCATTTCCCAGCCTTTGATTTGCCAACCCATGAGTAATGACTTAGCACTTTATATTAATAATGAGGACGATGATTATAATAATAGTTTTTGAGTTTCTTGTTTTGAGCAATTCAACCTGCTTACCCCAAGCCCTTCATCCATTTTTTAAAAATAGGCAAATGAGACCAGAGCCTAATTAACAGTCAGGATGACTTTTTCCTCTTTTTCTCTCGCAATCACTGGATACTGTTGTGTCTTAGAAATGTCCATTAGGTTCACCCTCCCCTCTCCAGTCGCTTTGCTGTTTCCAATCATTACTTCATCACACAATATATGGATTTTAGAAACAGCTTCCTGGCTTGCTTCTCTGCCTTCAGCCTCATTTCTTTTCATTTCACGCCGTGCACCATTACTGCAATACTATTCCAAAGATACCCCTTTCCTTTTGTCACACTGTCCAGGAGCCTATAGTCCACGCATTAGCCCAATCACTCTGTCTGACTTTTGAGGCTTTCCATACCTGGGACTTGTCTTAGCTCCAGCTGCCATAACAAAATCCCATAGACTGGATGGCTTAAACAACAGAAATTTATTTCTTACAGTTCTGGAGGCTGAGAAGTACAAGATCAAGGTGCTGGCAGAGTTGTTTTCATTCTGAGGCCTTTTCTTCTGGATTGTAGGTGGCCACCATCTTGCTGTGTGCTCACATGACCTCTTTTTTGTGTACCCATAATGAGAGAGAGAGAAAGAGAGAGAGAAAGTGCACTCTCACTGGTGTCTCTTATTAAAATGGTACTAATCCCATTAGACCAGAGCCCCACCCTCATGACTTTATCTAACCCTAATTATTTCCCTAAGACTCCATCTTTAAATACCGTCATATTGAGTACTAAGGATTCAGCTTATGAATTGGGTACTAAGGATTCAGCTTATGAATTGGGTACTAAGGATTCAGCTTATTGGGGGGACATAAATGTTCAGTCCATACAGGGCTCCTTCAGTCCCTCCCGTCCCTTTTCTGTTACTCCTTGGTGTGCACTGTTATCTCTTGTTTCCTCATGGCTAACACCTCTCCTCTCTATGCAGTGATTTTTCTCTGTATGCATCTGTTTCTGCTGCTCGCCAGCCTTCTCCCTCTCCTGATTCCTTTTCTATCTCTCTTATTCAGAGAACTTTCTTCTTTCCTTGTATTGCTCAAATTGAACAGATCCTTTAAGGTCCACCTCAAATCACACCTGTTCCAAAGCACACTTTCTAATCTCCAACTCATAGGACTATCCTTTCTCTGAACTCTCGCAGTTATAGTCACACTGTAATTTAACACTTAATCATTCTCTAATTCTTTTATAGTATTTGTGAAATATGTTATTGGAATTTATACTCTACAGGGCACTTTCATGTTTGTAGTCTCATGTGATTCTGTCAGTGAGGTAGAAATTATTATAATTTTTATTTATGCACAAGAAAATGGAGGCTCAGTGAGGTCAAATGACTTACCACTGGTTATAAAACTCGTAACTCAGTGTACAGATGCAGTTTTCTGACTCTAAGACTTGTAGTTCATCTACTCATTGCTTACTCCATTTTATGAATCTTTATACAAGTTTTCTTTTTTCTTATAATAATTTAGGTTATCTTGTGTTTTATGAATCTCTACAGGTAGGATTAAATTCTTTTTTGGTGTGTGTGCATTAGGGGGAAACGAATGCAGTTAATTTCTATGAGGGAGTTTAGAGGTTTATTCCAATTGTATTTCTTCATGCTAAATCATAAACTAGGGAATTCTGTAATAAATTGTAGTCTATTGAACACATGGAGAAATAGAAATAGTGACTTAATTTCTGCATTCTATCTACTAGATTAGACAATTTCTCTTTATTTTTTTCTCAAGTTAAAATTGTCAATCAGAAGCTCTTGGCAAAGACAACACATTTATTCAACAAAGTAAGATATCAATTTTGTTTTGTTGCAATTGCAGTGTGTATATCTAAGTTCCCCAGTACGTGATCTCAGGATATTTTGGCCTCCCACTCAGAAGATGAACTCAGAAGGTGTAGCCATTAGGTGGGGGTGAGGGAGCGTGGAATAATTTAACAGTGGAAACCCACCAATCACACCTGACCCCAATCCGTCCAGACATAGTGCAAAGAAACCACTTACAAATTCTTTTAGAGTGATACCAAATCAGAAACATTTAATGTGCACTGAAAAAGCCAAGTTAAGAATCAAGTTCAGACGTTAGAGGTGAGATATCTACAACTAGAGCCAAGTTAGAAAAGGGTTAGCCCTTTATGTGGCCAAATTAAACAAGACACAATTGAGGCTAACTCATCCCTCTAGGCACTTATAAAACCTACACGTGGGAACTTTTGAAAATGAAGTTAGCACCGATTGTGTCTTATTTTGCTTGGCTGTTTAATGGGCTAACCCTTTAGGAATTTGGCTCTGACTGGAGATATCACACTTTTATGTGTCTGACCTCCTCCTTCAACTTTCCTTTTTTTGGTGTATATATAGAATTTAAAATATCAGATACGGTATTACATTATTAAGCTTAATAACAGTAAAAGATAAAAACAAAATATTAAAAAGAACAGAATGTGCTTAAATAACAATGTAATTAGACTACCGGGGACATACTGCCTTCTTTGTGGTCTACTCACATTTAGGAGTTGAGTTGGATAGTACTGGTTAAGATCACCAATGAAGCTATTTGGGAGAATTCCCAAACCAAGCCTGTTCACTCACTCCCATTACATGCATAGGCAAACATGCTTAAAAGGGGACCGCAGGGTACGTGGGCATAACAAGGCATGAGTTAAGAGGTAAACAGCAGACAGACAATGTACTTTAGTCCAAAGATAGCTCCTGTCCAACTGCCTCAGTGTTTTAAGCTAATAGATTGTGTGTCATTACTGAAGGGCTGGCAGCTCCTGGGGCTACAGGCACAGGTGGGAAAGAGGATGTTGAGAACATAATAAAGAATTGCTTTCAAGGGTGTTTTCCTACTAAGATGTTCTGTGCTGTATCTGTCAGCAAACTTCCACTGCTTTGAGGCTGTAAATTTAAACACCTACTCGTCAATGCAGTGTTGGCTGCATAGATTATCCAAGAAACATTTCATGGCATTTGATTAACTTGTAAATCTTTATTGCAATGCAATAATGAAAGCATCTCTACTGAAATCTCCTGTATACCCAATTTTGGGCCACTATCCCAAGTGGCCTCTTTCTGTGACACATATATATAGAAAATTATACTTTATTTTTGGTCCAATAACCAAGTAATTATACTTGACTGTTCCTTTAACAAGGCCTTCAGTTGAAAAGCACATAAAGCTTAATAAGTAAGATGTATATTTATCCTTATATTTTCTGGACTTAGGTCCTACAAATTGGTGTTCTTTTTTTTAAACGTTTATGTTTTCCAGCATTGGTGTGCCTATGTGGGAAATAGCCTCAACTGTGTATCATGATCTGATTTAAGGTTTTATTCTTAATTCATAAGGTTGATTATAACACAAAATTGATGAAAGGATGCTTCCTGCTATCAAACATTAGGCAAGATTCTGTGCACTGAGCTCAGGAAAGGGCATTGTAAATATTTACATCTTAATTTTTACTCGGTCCTTTTCTTATTGTTGTGCAGCCAAGGGGAATTCTCTTAAAAATTTGTTGGCATTTTTTATTTGGCAGTTTCATACTGAGGTAAATGTTGGCAAATGAACAAACAGCTTCTGTTCCAGCTTCTCTATGGTTCCATTCCAGGTCAGTCCCAGGATCTTGGCATGATTTGAGAAGTTCCTGCTGCCGTCCACCATTTCTGGCCAAGGAGACCTCTGGGAAGCCAAGCTCAGGAATGTAGCCATTCCACCGAACCATTTCCATGGAATGACTCATTTGGAAATCTGTTTTTCCTCTGTGAGATTTCCTGGATCTATCAATTACTGAAATTCCTAAGCAAAAGATACCCTTTCAGGACTTGACCATTGTTTTTTGTTTGTATGTGTATGTTTTTTTTTTCTTAGAAAACTGAGGATGGCTTTACTAAACATCTGTTGCCTGAGTCTATATTCTTCAGGACTCACTTCTGAAAATCTAAGATTCCTTTAAAGTGGTTCGTACTGTTAAATGACTGAATCTTCACTTTTCTATTTCTGCAAACCTCATACAAATTATTTTCAAAATAGACAACTAAAAATTGTAGTATCTTGTACGTGATGTTTTAGATTATGCATACATTGTGGAAAGGCTCAATAGAGCTAATCAACAGATCCATTACCTCAGATACTTATCCCTTTTTTTATGGTGAGAACACTTAAAATCTATTCTCTTAGCATTTTTCGAAGTATAGTACTGTTATTAACTATGGTCACTACATTGTACAATTGATTAGGAATATATTCTGCCTCTCGAACTGGAATTTTGTATCCTTTGACCAACCTCTCCCCAAACCCCCATGTATCCAGCTCCTGTTAATCACTATTCTACTCTCTACTTGGATTAGTTCGATTTTTTAGATTCCACATATATGTGAGATTATGTGGTATCTGTCTTTCTGTGCCTGGTTTATTTCACTTGATAGAATTTCCTTCTTGTTTAAGGCTGAATAGTATTCCTTTGCATATATTTAGCATATTTTCTTTATCCATTGATCCATTGATGAACACTTAGGTTGATTTGGTATCTTGGCTATTTGCCAATAATGCTGCGGTAAACATGGGAGTGTAAATATCACTCTGACATACTGATTTCGTTTTCTTTGGATATACACCCGGTATTGGGATTGCCAGATCCAATGGTAGTTCTATTTTTAATATTTTTGAGAAACCTCCATACTGCTTTCTATAATGACTACACTAATTTACTCCCACCAACAACGTGAAAGGGTTTCCTTTCCTCCATATACTCACCAGCAATTATCTTTCATCTAGTTGATAATATCCATTCCAATAGGTGTGAAATGATATCTGATTATAGTTTCAATTTACATTTTCCTGATGATGAGTGATGTTGAGCATTTTGGTTTATACTTACTAGCCATTTGTATTTATTCTTTTGAGAAATGTCTAATCAGGTCCTTTAGCTATGTTTTAATTGGGTTATTTGTTTTCTTGCTACTGAATTGAATTCCTTGTATGTTTTGAATATTAAATGATTATCAGATGTATGAGTTTGCAAATATTTTCTCCCATCCCGTAGGTTGTCTCTTCACTCTGTTGATTGTTTCCTTGGCTTGCATGAGCTTTTGAATTTGGTGTAATCTTATTTGTCTATTTTTGCTTTATTTGCTTTTGCTTTTGAGGTCATATCCAAAAAAAATCATTGCTCGGATCAATGTTATGGAACTTTTCTCTTACGTGTTCTGGTAGTTTTTTTTTCTTTTTCCAATAATTTTATGAAGTTCAGGGGTACATGTGCAGGTTTGTTACATAGGTAAACATGTGTCATGGAAGTTTTGTACAGATTATTTCATCGCTCAGGTATTAAGACTAGTAGCGGTAGTTACTTTCCCCACCCTCTGACAGTGTGTGTTGTTCCCCTCTATCTGTCCATGTGTTCTCGTCATTTAGCTTTCACTTATAAGTGAGAACATGCAGTGTTTGATTTTCTGTTCCTACCCTAGTTTGCTAAGGATGATGGCCTCCAGCTGCATCCATGTCCCTGCAAAGGACATAACATTGTTCCTTTCTTTTTTTTTTTTTTAATTATGCTTTAAATTCTGAGATACATGTGCAGAACATGAAGGTTTGTTACATAGGTATATATATGCCATGGTAGTTTGCTGCACCCATCAACACATCATCTACATTAGGTATTTCTCCTAATGCTATCCCTCCCCTAGCCCCCAAACCCCTGACAGGCCCCAGTGTGTGATGTTCCCCTCCCTGTGTCCATGTGTTCTCATTGTTCAACTCCCACTTATTAGTGAGAACATGCGGTGTTTGGTTTTCTGTTCCTATGTTAGTTTGCTAAGTATGATGATTTCCAGCTTCATCCATGTCCCTGCGAAGGACATGA
Source organism: Homo sapiens (assembly GCF_000001405.40). NCBI lineage: Eukaryota > Metazoa > Chordata > Mammalia > Primates > Hominidae > Homo > Homo sapiens. The sequence continues at coordinate 103,024,756 of NC_000013.11, forward strand.
ACTCGTCCTTTTTTACGGCTGCATAGTATTCCATGGTGTATATATGCCACATTTTCTTTATCCAGTCTATCATTGATGGGCATTTGGGTTGGTTCCAAGTCTTTGCTATTGTGAACAGTGCTGCAATAAACATACGTGTGCATGTGTCTTTATAGTAGGATGATTTATAATCCTTTGGATATATACCCAGTAATGGGATTGCTGGGTCAAATGACATTTCTGGTTCTAGATCCTTGAGGATTCACCACACTGTCCTCCACAATGGCTTCACATTTAAGTCTTTAAGCCATTTTGAGTTGGTTTTTGCATATAGTGTGAGATAAGGGTCTAATTTCATGCTTCTTCATGTGGATATCCAGTTGTTTCAGTGACATTTATTGAAGAGACTGTCCTTTTTCCATTGTGTGTTTTTGGCACCTTGTTAAAAATCAATTGACTGTAAATGCATGGTTTTTTCTTGAGTCCTTTCTTCTGTTCTGTTGGTCTATGTATCTGTTTTATGCCAATACTATGTTGTTTTGATTACTGTAGCTTTGAAGTTTATTTTGAATTCAGGTAATGTAAAATCTCCAGTTTTGTTCTTTTTGCTCAAAATTGCTTTGGCTATTTGGGGTCTTTTCTAGTTCCGTATGAATTTTAGAATTGTTTTCTCTAGTTATGTGACAAATGCCATTGGAATTTTGATAGGGATTATATTGAATCTGTAGATCACTTTGGGTATTATGGACATTTTAACAATATTAATTATTCCAATCCATGAACACAGGATATCTTTTCATTTATTTTTGCCTTTCTGTATTTCTTTCCTCAATGTTTTATAATTTTCAGTGTATAGGTCTTTTGCCTCCTTCGTTAAGTTTATTTCTAATCATTTTATTTTATTTTTTGGTAGCTATTGTGACTGGAATTGTTTTCTTGATTTCTTTTTCGGATAGTTTATTGTTAGTGTATAGAAATGCTACTGTTTTTGTATGTTAATTACGTATCCTGCAACTTTACTGAATTATTGGTTCTAATAGTTTTTGGGTGGAGTCTTTAAAGTTTTCTATATATGAGATCATGATGTCTGCAAACAGAAACAAATTAACTTCTTCCTTTTCAATTTGGGTGATCTTTTCTTTTCTCCTTCCTTCCTTCCTTCCTTGCTTCCTTTTTCTTTCTTTTCTTTTCTCTTTTCTTTCTTTCTTTCTCTTTCTTTCTTTCTTCCTTTTTTCTTTCTTTCATCCTCTCTCTTTCTCTCTTTCTTTTTCTCTTCCTGTCTTTCTTTGTGATTAGGTGATTTTCTCTAGTTAAATACTTTGATTCCTTATTTTTTATCTTGTGTATGTACGATAGGTTTTTGCTTTGTGTTTACCATGGGGCTTACATAAAACATCTTATAATAGGCCATTTTAAGCTGATAGCAACTTAAATTTGGTCACATTGAAAAACTCAACATTTTTATTCTGTCTTCCCCATTTTATCTTTTGCAGGTCACAATCTATTTCTTTTCACATTGTGTATCCTTTAACAAATTATCATACTATTATTGTTTTTAACAATTTGGTCTTTTTGCCTTTATACCAAAGATATAAGTGATTTACACACTACTATTATGGTATTACAATATTCTGATTTTGACTGTGTACTTACTTTTACCAGTGTATTTTATATGTTTATACATTTTCATATTACTAATTAATTTCTCTTTTGATTTGAAAAACTCTTTTTAGCATTTCCTGTAAGACAGGTCTGGTGGTGGTAAACTCCCTAAGCTTTTGTTTTTTGGGAAAGTCATCATCTCTTCTTCATTTCTGAAGGATAAGTTTTCTAGATACAGTAATCTTGGTTAGTAGTTTTTTTTTTTTCCCTTCAGCACCTCAGATATATCATCTGACTCGCTCTTGGCCTGCAAAGCTTTTGCTTAAAAATCTGCTGCTAGCCTTATTAAAACTCCCTTATATAAGATTTGCTTCTTTTCTCTTTCTGCTTTTAAGATATTCTCATTGTCTTTGATTTTGGACAGTTTGATTATAATATGTATTGATGTAGCCTTGCTTGGATTGAATCTGAATGGACACTTTTAATCTCCTATATATTTATATTTGGAAAGTTATCTGCTTTTATTTTGTAAAAATAAGCTTTCTATTACTTGTCCTCTTTCCTCTCCTTCTTAAACTCCTATAACTAAAACATTTGCTCTTTTGATACTACCCCATAAATCCCATAATTTTTCTTATTCCTTTTTATTTTTTCTCCTCTGACTATATATTTTTAAATAAGCTGTCTACAAGTTGACAGATTTTATTTTCTGCTTGATCAATTCTGCTGTTGATGGCCTCTACTACATTTCTCATTTCATTTATTATAATTTTCAGGTCTAGAATTTGTTTTTTTAAAATCATTTTAATCTCTCCATTAAATTTCTAATTTTGGTCATTTATTGTTTTCCTGATTTGATTGAATTGTTTGTATTTTTTTGAAGTTCACTTATCTTTCTTAAAACTATTATTTTGAATTCTTTATTAGGCAGTTCATATATCTTCATTTTTGGGGGGGGTCATTTACTGGGAGATTATTGTGTTCTTTTGCTGGTATTACATATCCTTGGTCTTTCATGTTTCTTGTTGCCTTACATTGATGTCTGTGCATTTGAAGAAAGAGAGAGGCATCCTAGTCTTTGCAGACTGACTTTATTTGGGAAACTCCTTTGACAGTCAGCCTACTCAAAGATTTTGGGCAGGCTATTTGGCATGATCCATGGACGGGCTTGCTGCTGGAGTTCTCTGGAAGTTCGCCTTGGTGCTGGGCCATGAGGTTGAGCCTGAGGCTTGGATCCACTGGACCCACCTGTTGGTTGGGTCCACAGAGAGGATATGCTTGCAGCCTGTATCTGTGAAGCCAGGGTCCATAGAGGCTGTTCTGGTGGTTTGGGTTCTGAGCCTGAGTCTGCAAGGACTGGCCAGGTGCCAGGATTGGCTTGGTACCTGGGTCCACTGAGGTGGGCCTGGCACCTGAGTCCATAGGAATGGTCCTGGGTCCTGGATCTACTGAGGGGTACCTGGATTCTCAGTCCATGGGAACTGGTCTGTCTACCAAGGCCTCCCAGGCTCCAGCTGGGTCTGTTGAAGCATGGGGCTATAGGGGCCGACGTGGTGGGTGAGACTGCAGGGACCCATCTGGCACTAAGCAAGCCCAGAGCTTGTGTCCACAGGTGTCCACAGGGCATGAGGCCAGGGGTGCCAGCCTGGAGAGGGTTCAAATCCTAGGACTCTGTGGGCCAACCTAGTTCTGGGCTGTTCTAAAATCTTGGGCAGGCCTGGAGTTTGGAGCCACAGGGACTTGCATGTTGCTAGGTGTGCCTGGTGCCTTTACCCACAGGTGGGCCAATGATAATCTTGAAAGACACAATCTCAAATGCCATAATCTCAAATGTTTAAAATTCTGAAAGATCAAAATCCCCAAAATATATTTCTGAAAAAAATTAAAAAATTCTTTAAAAGACATTATTTACATTTTAAAAGGGGATTTACTTTACAAACACATAAAAACACAACAGAACACTTCATAGGCCATTTTACAGAATAAAATAGAAAATATTAACTTACATATTATTGCAAGAGACTTATTGCAAGTACTTATTGCAAGCATAAGCACTCAAGTATACTACTGACAGTAGCATGAGTAGAACAGTTAGGAGCAGAGAATCATATTCCTAAAGAATTAGATCAAAAAGCAAAATGCATGAACACACATCACTATGGTTGGTAATTGTGTGCACCCAGCTTTATAACTGCAGTGATCTAAAATACCATGATGAACAATCTAAGTCTTTTGGCAAGATCAATCAAAAACCACAATGGGTTACTACTGCATATGCAGTTGCCCAAAGAGCTGAGATCTCGAGAATTTTATATTTCACAAATGCAGATGTGTAAAAAAGGACATCTCTTCATTTATTGAAGGAAATTTCAATGTTTTTACATTGAGAGTCAGGGAAGCTGATGGTATTACTCTCAGTCCAAGCCTGAAAGCCTCAGGACCTAGGTGTCTGCTAGTATAAGTCCTGGAGTCCAAAAGCTGGCAAGCCTGGAGTTCTGATGTCCAAGGAAGCAGAAGAAAAGCCTTTCCCAGCTCTCGGAGGGACCATTTCACCTTCTGTATTTGTTCTGTCTGGGACCCTTGCTGATTTGATGGTGCGCGTCAAAGCTGAGGGCAGATCTTCCCCACGTAGCCCACACAGACTCACACATTAATCTACTCTGGAAACACTCTCACAGACACACCCCAAATAATTTTCTACTAGGTTTCTAGATATTCCTTAATTCAGTCAAGTTGACTCTAAAAGTAAGTCCACAAGTCTACCCTTTGTCACCTTGTACCCATACATAGCTCCTTAAACCATACTCAATTTTCAAACAAAGGCAAAAACAAGGTATATTTCATCTAAAATGACACAACTATCCTGTGATTGTGATGTTTGAAATTTTATTTATTTATTTATTTTTGTGACAGAGTCTTGCTCTGTCACCCAGGCTGGAGTGCAGTGGCATGATCTTGGCTCACTCCGCTTCCTGGGTTCAAGCGATTCTCCTGCCTCAGTCTCCCGAGTGGCTGGGACTAGAGGCATGTGCCACCACAACTGGCTAATTTTTGTGCTTTTAGTAGAGTTGGAGTTTCACTATGTTGCCCAGGCTGGTCTTGAACTCTTGACCTCATGCGATCCACCCACCTTGGCCTCCCAAAGTGCTGGGATTACAGGAGTGAGCCACTGCACCTGGCTTGATGTTTAAAATTTTAGATGTTAGGGATTGTTGATATTTCAGCATTTGGGATTATGGCATTCAGGATTGTATCTTTTGGGATTGTGGTCCAAACTTGCAGAGGTCAGCCTGGAGGATGGGTCCAAGGGTGCTGGCTGGATGACTAGGGCTACAGGAACTGGCCTGGTGCTTGGGTGGACCTGAAACCTGGGCCTGTGGAGCCCAACCCTGTGACACCTAGTCTATCAGACTGGCCTGGAACCTGGGGTTGCAAGATCCTATTTGTGGCCGGTGCAGACTTATAGGCTCAGTCCACGGTTACTGGCCTGGAGCCTATGGCCACAGGGGCTGGTCTAGTGCTGAGAAAATCTGGTGCCTGTATCTCAACTGATGGGTCCCTGGCCTGCAGGTGCTGGTTTGATGGCGTGGGCTCTGAGTGCCAGCCTTGTGCTGGGCCATGCCTGAAGCCTGGTGCTGTGGGGGTCAGCCTGGTGCTGGGGGTGGTCTAGAGACTGGGTTGGCTGGGGTTGGCTTAGTGGTGGGGCAGTTCAGAGACTGTGTATACATTGCAGGCCTGGAGCTTGGGCCTATGGGATCCAGTCTGGTGCCTGGGTAGGCCTGGAAGTTTAGCCTGTGGGTATTGAGCCAGAGTCTGTGTCCATCTGCACCTACTCAGTGTTGGGTTTTACTGGAGTGGGCTGGGTATTGGGGTTCAAGGCAAAGTTCTATGCTCTCCTTCCTTTCCTTCTCCTAAGCAGAAGTTATCTCCTCTCCAGCCTGTGCTGCCTGGACATGGGGGAGAGGTGACATGGATAATGTGAGACTGTCCTTCTGACCCTCTTCAAGGTGCCTTTTCTCATTTCTGTGCCACACCCAGGTGCTGTAATCTCTTACTTGGTTTCCTTGCCTCTTGTAAGGTATTTTCATGCATGGATAGTTGTTCAAATCAGTGTTTCTGTGGGAGGCATGAGTGCTGGAAAATTCAATTCCACCATCTTGCCAACATTTTTTCACATAAGTTTTCTTAATATTGCTAATGGTCTTTATAACTTTGTAATTGATTTATTTTCCTGTTCGGAGTGTTAAAATGTACAGTGATAGAAAATGATGGTAGATTGGAAAGACTTCATCTAAAGATGTGAGAAATTAAACGGAATTTTATGCATTCACCAGATATTAATTATATAGCTGCTCTGTGCAAGGTGCATAATAAATGAATATTTACCAAGGACATTTATATTTTAGAATGATCTAGATATTGTATGACATTGATTGGAATGTCGTTTATTTGAGTGGACAACATTACTCGAGCCATGCTAAAAGGATTTCCTGGGAGAAATGAATCTATTGCTTGAGTTTGAGAAAAGCAGTCTTGATTTAGTGGAGATATAGTGGAAAGAACCTTTTCTAAGGATGGGAAGAATGGCAACAAAATAGAGAAATGAAAGTTGTAAAAGGGCTAAATGAAGCATGCACTTACAGCTTAGAAGCTTTGCCCTAATTGACTTTACATAAGACAATATATTTAATGTTGTGAAAAATGGGGTTAATGAAATAATGATGTTAGGGAGGCACTGTACTGAAAAGCTTTAAAGACCATGGCTAGGAAGTCAACAAGACAATAGTTGAGAGACTGATTTTTACACTCTTTTCTTTATGTTTAGACCAATCTTCTGGAGTGGCAATGTTTTCCGCTTTGAGTTGTTAATTAGATCATCTTAATTAAGGATCAAAAATGTGAAGGACAATATATAGTATTCTTAAGAAAAGCAACTCATCTACTCTCAGTGCCCAGTGAAGTGCCTGGAATGTGATATTTGCTCAATAAGCAAGGAATGTTCAGATGAATGACAGGTCCCTAGCAAGTTCAACTCTTCACTTTCCTGAGCATTTATTGCACTACTCATTGTTGATCATAAATTCCTCTTTAACTGAATAATCACTGCTCCTTATATGTTGAAATCTCACCCTTGACCAATTCACAGAAACTCAGAAACTTTCCAAAATAGGAATAGTCCATCTGAACGGTGGTAAACAAGATACTAAAGTTTGCATAATGGAAAACAAATGATGCATAAAAGCTGTGTGCAATGACTTAGAAAGAAAAAAAAACGACAATTTTTAACCTACATCTGCTTCTTTAACTATTTTGGCATGTGAGAATCAGAGTCATGCAGGCATACAAATATTAGCACATCAGAAGACTGCCACATGTCTGCTCAGATGCCTTTTTGGTATACCTCTATGCTGCAGAATAGACTCAAAATAGCAAAAAGCAAGTCAATGTTGTCATATTTGAAATGACTGAAGGTAGTTTTGAACTTTCTCACTGAAGCAACTGTCATGGGGTTAAAGACTTCTACCAAGGCTGCAATGAACCATAAAATCATCCCCACATCTGACATATGGTTCATAACTGAGGTTGAACACCCATCAAAGATCACAAAGTGATATTTGACAGCAAATACTTTTGTGATATCATTTGTTTGGATTTTTAAGAGTGAACATATATATTATTAATATTCCCTTTCCTTTGTGTTTATTGCCTTCCCATACATTTTTTAGGAGTTTGAAAGAAAAACTTCAGAAAAATACAACGATAAGTGTCAATAAATTTTCTGAAGAGAGTTTAAAGACATAGTTAAAAAATTTTTTTTTTTTTTTGATGGAGTCTCACTCCGTCACCCAGATGGGAGTGCGGTGGCATGATCTAGGCTCATTGCAACCACCACCTCCCAGGTTCAAGTGATTCTTCTGCCTCAGCCTCCCAAGTAGCTGGTATTACAAGCATGCACCACCATGTCCAGCTAATTGTATTTTTAGTAGAGATGACGTTTTGCCATGTTGGCCAGGCTGGTCTTGAACTCCTGACCTCAAGTGATCTGCCCGCTTTGGCCTCCCAAAGTGCTGGGATTACAGGTGTGAGCCACCATGCCTGGCTGTGATGTGATCTTGGCTCATTGCTTCCCTCCTGGTTTCCAGCCATTCTCCTGCCTCAGCCTCACGAGTAGCTGGGATTACAGGCATGCACCAGCACGCCCAGCCAATTTTTGTATTGTTAGCAGAGATGGGATTTCACTATGTTGGCCAGGCTGGTCTCGAACTGCTGACCTCAGATGATCCGCCTGCCTTGGCCTCCCAAAGTGCTGGGATTACAGGTGTGAGCCACCATGCCCGGAAAGATTTCTTAAATAAAAAATTGTCTCTTGTCACAGACATGGATGTTCTTCCAGTTATTGAGTAAAAGGAGACTGCTGACACCACCACAACCACATCAACAATACTGACAATAGCAGAGAACAACCACGTTTTATAGATGCAGCAAGTGAGGCTGGTGAAGGGTAAATAGCAAAACCAAGGTTACATCACTATGGCTAGGAAATGGCAAAGCTATGATTTGATTCCAGGATTTTCCAACTCTCTAGACTACTGTTGAGTTCCCAATTATCTCTTATTACATATATAGTTGTATATCTACTATTCATGAGGTGTCTATGGGAGATTGGTTCCAGGACCCTCCACAGATACCAAAATCCAAGGATACTAAAGTCCCTTGTATAAAATGGTGTAGTATTTGCAAATAACCTATGTATATCCTCCTGTATACTTTAAATCACCTCTAGATTACTGAAAACACCTACTACAAAGCCTACACATGACTTCATTTGTGTGGATTCAAAGTGGTACTTGGCATGGAGCAAATTCAAGTTTTGCTTTTTGGAACTTTGTAGAATGTTTTTTTTTCCAAATATTTTCAATCCACGGTTGGTTGAATCTACAGACATGGAACCCACTGATATGGAGAGCAGACTGCCTATGATGGTGCTAGTCTTGGTGGTTGAGTCATACAATATAAGACAAATCCCTGCTCTTTTGAGGATTATACTCTTGTCAGGAAGATAAGAAATGTTTAAACAGGCCAGGCGCCGTGGCTCACGCCTGTAATCCCAGCACTTTGGGAGGCCGAGGTGGGCGGATCACCCGCGGTCAGGAGTTTGAGACCAGCTTGGTCAACATGGAGAAACCTCGTCTCTACTAAAAATACAAAAAAACTCGCCAGGCGTGTTGATGCATGCCTGTAATCCCAGCCACTAGGGGGACTGAAGCAGGAGAATTGCTTGAACCAGGGAGGCGGAGGTTCCAGTGAGCTGAGATTGTGCCACTGCACTCCAGCCTGGGTGACAGAGTGAGACTCCATCTCAAAAAAACAAAACAAAACAAAACAAAACAAAAAAAGAAAGAAAAGAAATGTTTAAATAAGCACTCATCAAAATACAGGGCAATAAACAAGATGTGAAAACTTACAGAACTCTACACAGGAAAGTGGAGGAGAGAGTTAAAAGAATAGGTAGTCATTTTTATCAGAGAGATGTATGTTTTGGTCCAAATCAGTTGTTTTCTGTAATGTAAAACATGCTATTATTTACCAGGACATGCAAATCTACTTGAGGAGGGAAGACATAGCATTTGCATGAATGTTGCAGCTCTGTATAATTTCAGAAGATATTGATGTGATCAGGGAGGGCTACACAGAAAAGGTGGGGCTTGAGTGGGACCTTGAAAGATGAGTGAGATCTGGATGGGAAGAGGAAAATGTTCCGGGCCACTGCAATTGTTCACATAAAAGCATGGAGTTGAGTGTGCATGAGGAGTGACTGTAACATATTGAGTGAATTGGCCTTTTTAGAAAATAGGTTTTCTGGGGAAGTGGTACAAGATAAGACTAGAAACTTATAATAACCAACAGAGAACACCTGGCAGGAAGAGAGAAGCTGACTGAAGGGGAAAAAGAAGATACACGATTCATCTCTCAAAATTGCCTTGGGTTGGTTCTGTTTATATATTAATGTTTTTGCCTGGGATCTTTCCTCAAAAACTCTTATTTTACCATTAAGCACCAAAACCAAATGAATACTGAAATAATTATCTGAAAAAAGAGGAAGTAAAAGTTGGGAAATTATTTCCATAACAGTAGGGTATTTCCTTAGGTGAAAAAATTTGAGTTATATCTTTTATTATTTTTAATAGTTTACTAAAAGTAAAGTCCTTGGAGGGTAAAAAAATAAACTCTTATCTTCAGTCATTCTTCTTATCTTTGAAACTTATCTGATAAGAGTATTTTCAACTTTTGAGTTGCAGGAACAAACATTCTTAATAAAATTATATGGTACTTTCTTTGATATCTGATTTCTAGCTCTGTTTATTGTCTTTCTTTTGGCATTAATATTACTATTACTGTGCTTTTAAAAACAGGTCATTCAGATTTGTTACTTTTAAGTACATAGAAAACCTTCGAATGAAATGTTTTTCTAGACATTTCTTTTATAAGAACAGGAACAAGTGTATATGCTTTTTCTCATTTTAACTGACTACTAATATGCAGTATTAGCAAGTCAATTTTGGGCATTTCAGGAAACAATAAAAAAAGTAAGATATTCTTATCCTGATATTTTCCTTTTTTTTTCTATTTCGTGGTTATAAATGAAAAACATTTAGGGAGTTCTACTTATAAAGGTCCTCTTGAGTTATATACTCTTTGTTAATAAATTGATGTAGAACGTGTTTTCTCTCCTTTCAGGAACCCGTTATGTGTAGATTTTGTTCTGCTTTAAAGTTAGTTTCCCTTTTTATTCTTCATAGGAAGTATACAAAGGCAAAATGAAGTACGTAGACATTAAAGAAATACCCAGTCCTTTAAATCACTGGAGTCAGTCAAGCAAAGACCTTAAGACACAGTCTCAGGCCTCCCAGATTATGTAAATCTCTCTGAGGGAAAAAGACTTATGTGCAAGAAGTTGTGAAGTGACATTGCAGATAGAATGTCAAAATTTATTACTATTATGTAGACAATATTAGAAGAATTCAGAGAAGATGAGAGGCCAATGAGCAGCACAAGTCATTCTTGACATCTATTCACAGAGGTAATAGGGCAAATTTTACATATATGAAAAGCGTGAGAGGTGCTCTTCAGAGCTAGAGAAACTTGAGTCTGGACTGATGCGCGTAAACTACCTGGGACAGTGGGGGTCATTTAGACATGGTGGACAAAAGTTGGAGTCAGGTTATGAGCAGATTTGAAGTCTAGGTTGAAATGTATGGGGGCAGACATCCCCTGTGATAAATTCAGTATCTAAGGCATGTTATATGGTACAACATTTATCCATTAAATAATTCTTTCATTTATTCATTGAACAAATAGTACTTGACCCCTAATATTCACTGAACATGTAGTCAAGTGTGGGGTGTATAAGGCTTTAGAGAAAGGAGAGACTGGAATAAGAGAAACCAAGATGCTGATGTAGTTGTCCAGATACGAGAAAATGATAACTATTACTAGAATAAAGTAATGAAAACAAAGAGGAAGGACTGGATTTAGGAGACTTTTTGAACTAGGATTAGACCAATCATTTTAACTGGTTGGCTATCGGGCATAAAGGAAAGGAAAGAGTAGAAGACAGCTTCAGATTTTCAGTGGGCTGACTGAGAGAATCCTATTGATAGAAAGAATGGAATTAAGTAAGTGGATCCAATTTTAGTGTGAAGAGGACAGGTATCACCTTAAAATAGTAGGGTCTTGTATGCAATTAGAGATATAGGACTGAAGCTTAAATTAAAGATCAGGATTGGAAATAGATATTCGAGTCATGAACAGTATAAAGTTAAGGCCAATACATCTAATTTAATAAGGCAAATTACTTATTTTCTATGCTTGATATCACAGAGGCAAGAAATAAATATCACACATGTTCACAACTGCTAGGAGAGATCACAGAAAGATGAAGAGAAGACTTACAAGGGGCAGAAAAATGGGAGGAAAATGGGAGCAGCCAAGTGTCACATGTGTTGAGGTTTTCAATATTAATTTTGATAGACTTCTTATTAACAAATACTGTTGATTGTCTACTATGAGCTGGGTACTATTTTAGTCAGTACATTTATAAGACTGAGTATAAAAGTCCCTGGCTTTATGGAGGCCACCTGTCGGTGGGGTGAGTGCAAGAGAGGTTGAAATACTATAACATTGTGTGATACAATACACAGGCATTTTAACTAAATGACATAGATATGAAGATTCATACTATGAGTGTAACCCCCAAATAGTATAAAATATATTTTAAAATGGAACATTTTTCCTCTTAGGTTTATGATTCAGTAATCTCAATGATAATAAAATAGACCCATAAAATAAAGATAAGTTGAAATGTGGAATGAACAGAACCTGAGGTGTATGACTTATGCCCATCACCATCATATATAATACAGCTTCTTTCCAAGTCTATACAGTGTTCAAGTCCTTGAAAGAGGGAGTCGGTAAAGGGACAGGGCAGGACTAGGCACTTGAGATGTGTTTGTTACTCTGGGGAATGAAGCTGCTGAGCAGGCCTTTTCTGCATTGTTAGAAAAGTGTGTAATAAACAAAGGGAAGAAGCTTCAGTAAGCTGGACAACACACACGAGTGATAATCAGAAGGTCTCTCCTTTGCAAATACACATCTTGCTTTTGCAAGGATAGTGTTGTATCTCATGGAAAGCTGTGTAAATATCAGGATCCTGTTTATACTAGTTAGACACATGAAACATGCTTGCACATGCTCACATACATACACACAAACACAGTCACACAGTTGGCTCTTGGGTAACTGTCATCCTTTCTCGTAAGTTTTTCCATGGAATTGATGATAATTCAGGTAACGGTTAAGTATGGCCCTACATAAATGCTTGCTTGTTTAGCCAGGAAACATTTGGTATGAACAGCAAGGTGTGACTGTGAAGGGGTTGCTGATATGTATGTGTGGAGTCAATGTATGTTTCGTGAGTTAAGAGATGATTTGTTGCAGGGCTAATGATATTTTGAAAGACAAGAATAAGATACAACACTATCCTTGGAAAAGCAAGATGTGTATTTACAAAGGCGAGACCTTCTGATTATCACTCGTGTGTGTTGTCCAGCTTACTGAAGCTTCTTCCCTTTGTTTATTACACACTTTTCTAGCAATGCAGAAAAGGCCTACTCAGCAGCTTCATTCCTCAGAGTAAAGAAAGAAGCTGTATTATATATGATGGTGATGGGTGTAAGTCATACACCTCAGGTTCTGTTCATTCCACATTTCCACAAGAATAAGAATGCCTTTGCTAGGTGGCATGGAAAAGGAATAAAGACATTTTGAAACTTTTAAACACCTATATGATAGGTCTCTGATATAGTCATTAAAATCATCATTAATTTACTGAATAGTCATCAAACTATAACTATTTATGAGGTTTGGAGAGGGTTTGAAAGAAAACTAACAAAATAAGCCTTTGCAAAGTGCCAAATGATAGTGCAGAAAATAAAAATGATGGGAGTTTAGAAAGGGTGGAGAATAATGATATAACCAAATATGAAAAATAATTGACAGTATCTTAACCAATATGGTAGTGCGTGTCATGTAAGATAAAGTGAATCCTGTAGAGATAGCAGTTCATGCTGGACGAGTGATTTTATTCTCACCTCCTTGGCCCTAGGGAGGTGAGAGATTCTTTTGAAGGGAGGCTGGATTTAGCGGCAACTTTAAGCACAGGACCTTATTGAGTATCAATAAGATACGTCCTGGGGGAGGTATCAGTGTTTGGCTTGAGGGAATTTCTCAGTTCAACAGTAGACTTTTCAGGCGAAGAAGAAAGAAATCAAATATCCTAGTACGAGCAGAGAGGCGAGAGCTGAAAATGTTGGAAGAGACAACATATGGGGGATCTCGTGACCAAAGGCAGCAAAGCCCTGCAATGCTGGTGATTCATTCATGGTCCTTTATATCATAAGAATTAACACCCAGGCTATAAAGTTAATTATATTATATCACTTGAGCATTTGGGAGAACATAATTTGACACAGCACATTAAAAATCCCTGGCATAATGAATATATTACTCTAGGATTCTAGCAAGGTCTAACGAATAAATATTTAAAGTTTAAGTACATTCCCATGAACTCAGTCTAGATTCACTTGATAAACTAGATAAGCTTACAGTTAATGAATTTGTTCTGGTTGACTGAGTTAATAATGAGTGCTTAAAACTCGCCTAATGCATATTTACTCAAAAGTCTTAGGATGGTATGAGTGATGATTCTATGTGCAGTTGGAAGCCCAATGTAATAAATATGTATTCAAAAGCTTTAAAAACCATCACTACACATTAGAATTACATAATTTTTATTTTGTTTTCTGCCCTCTATCCCCACCTAATTGCTATATGGCAGGACTTTATTTTTATTACTGCAAATAAATAGTGTAATTATCCTTTAAAGAAATTTGTAATGGTCTGGTGGAGAATTAATAAAAATCATTATAATTGCACTGTGTACAAATGAAATATTTTTAACACATAGCTTGGCAGTAACTATTTGGAAATTTAACAAGTAATTTTTATTCTCTATCTCTGCAACTTCTATGTTTATTACTTTTAAATTTAAGTCTATGGGGAAGATTCTTTTGGCTTGGAAATGAGCAACGTTTTAAATATTCCGATTCAGAGCCAATATGAATATAAGTAGGCAATAAGTTTCCTTTGTGATAATGAGAGATATGGCAAATCAAATGTTATAGTCATTGTCTTTATGGAACTTTCCACCTTATTGTGCCCCAAGCCAAATGCTGTATGGAGAGACTGCCTTGATATTCCTGTTAGCCTTTTAAGTTTTCTGTTGTTCACCATCACTGATTCCTCAGGCATTTTTGTGAGTACCTTATACCTAAGGCAATTCCAGTGACAGGGATCCTCAGGTCTATAAATTAGGAATCCTTCCAGCTGCAAGTGATAACATATCTGGGTAACAACAGATTAAGTAAGTAGGTGTTTGTTTTGCTTAGGTGTCAAGTTTACAGGCTGGCAGCTATTGGCTTTGCTTCAGTGGCTCAACACTGCTAGAGCTGGTTCTGTGCTGTTCTATAGTCGCTGTTGCAGTACCAGGCAACCCTTTGTCTTTAAGGCAGCAGGAGGTGGGAGAAGGGTCAATGACAGGTGTCTCTATTACCTCGATAGCAACATCAACAAAAAATTACCAAAGGCTTTGCTAGAATCTTCCTGAAGAGATTTCTGCTTCTATGTAATTGTCTAGAAAGGTGTCACATGGCTACCTAGCTGCAAATGAAGGTTGACATGTGAGTTTTTAGTTGAGGTGGGAATCGGAGAGGGGGTTGGAAATGAGTGCTGGGTTAACCAGACAATAGTATCTGCTACACCTGAAAAGCCTGTGCCTTACTGGTGAGGGGCAGAGATTCTTAGGGCCAGTGGGAAGGAAGAAGGTACAAATGGCAGAAACTGCAAGACCAATGGAGAGGTTCATTTCTCTCCACTCCATCCATACTCACCAGACCTGTACATTGACCCCGGGGAAGCCATGTTAACCCTTGAAGCCACTTTTAATATTTCTTTCTCTTGATTTTGTTGTCTCATATATCATATGATAGTAAAGGAAAATATTGAAAAAGCAACCTCATGGTCTCATTTCCTTAAAAAACCCTTTAATGTTTCCCCTCCTTTTTATTCCCTATCATTTGCAAGGATTGCAATATAAATATAATTAATTACCAATTTGCTTTTTTCACTTAACGTGATTTCATAACCCTTTTCCTTCTCTGTCTCATTTTGTTCTTAATGAATGTCTGTATTGTCTTCACTGACTCCTTTAAAGGATTGACATTAGTGATACAGCTTAGAAGACTTAGCCTTATGTTTCTTATGCCATGAGGCATGAAAGAGTCATTATGTCCCAGTAGCAAAAGGACAGAATCATATTTGTTATTTTTCAAAGCTATTCTTTTAAAATTCTTCTGATTTGAGAACAGTAACCACAATGACTTAAGAATTGACTTATATTGTATAAATCAATCAAGCAGCTGAAAACCCTGCTGGTTTGACATGTAAGTAATCTTTGTACTTAAACATCCTAAACTACTATTTTTAATTTTAAATAATGATACTGTCTCTCTTATTACTTACATGTATATTTGTTGGCGTGTACTTATTCCCAGCAAAGGCAATGATGATTTCTTAGAATTAATTTTTCTCTACCAGCTTTATAACACCGAACAGGTTTTTAAATGTACCACTTAGCAAATTAATAGAAGGTCAAACCACTGGAATTTAGAAAAAAAAGAAACTTGATTATATAACTCCAAACAATTTTTAAAACTGATGTATACTTTATACATTCTTAGTTGATATTTAACATTTGTTATCATAAGGTTAAATAATTACAAGTTCAATTTCTGACAAAAGCTGAAAATACAATTTGGTAAAAATGAAAATTTAAAATTAAAGTGATACATCACTTTTAAATATATCCATTGAAATCTACACACCTCATAGATATTTATTACTGATTTTTAAAAAATGAGAAGTTTTGCCTTCGTTTTTGAGAATTTTACATTGTTTTTCTTTTGACTTGAACTTATGTAATCCTTTTTCCATTATAGAATTTTATTCTAATGTGATGTATTTATGAGAATTTTGACACTGTGTATTTTTGGATAAATATTATGTACTTGAGTGCTGTGGTCAACAGAACAGAATATACAGCTAAACTTCTGGAGTTCAAGTTTCACCCTTTGCCAGCTAAGTGACATTGGGAAAGTTACTTAATCATTCTGTGCCTAAGTTCCCTCAATTGTAAAAGTGGGAGAAATATTACATATCCCACAGAGTGATTGTGAGGACTAAATGAGTTCACATGTGTAAAGAACTTAGACGAAAGCCTGGAATGCAATATACACTGTCCTGTTATCGTTAGACTGAGACACAGCAACAACTATTTTGTGCCTCTTTTTTATGGGTTTAAGTGCTTATAAACCTTGTTTACATAAAAAGGAAGATGATAACGAGAGGATTTTTGGTATATATTGTCCCTCAAATTTCCAAGTTACACGCAAAAACAATACCACATAGTGGTCTATCAGCAAAACTTTTTTAAAATACAAGGATTAACAACTTGATGGGATCCTCTTCCAGTTTTCTTGAAAGTAAAGAATTGGAATTACCCATCTTTCAAAATGTTTCTTGAACTGAAGTCATTTGCCATCTCAATTTCTGGAAAGTGTGCTACCAAAGGCATTGCAAGATGTATCTAAGAGCTCTAGACTCTGTTATTCTTCCACTTACAGTCTCCACATTTAACTCTATTCTCACAAAAGGGTGGAGAAGATAAAAATATTAGATACATTTCCTGCTACATCTTGGGCAAAAAAATATTTGATCAGCTTTATTATAATAACATTTACATAGAATAAGAGTCACTAATTTCAAAAGTACAGTTCTGTGAATTTGGACAAATGTATAAAGTTGTGGATCCACCACCAAAGTTATGATATAGAACATTTCTGTCACTTCCACATGGTACATCATATCTTTTTGCAGTAATTGCCTCCCCAGATGCTTGATGCCTGATTGGCTTTCTGTCACCCTTTCACTTCTGGTTACCTTGGGTAAATACCTAGGAGGGAGACTGCTGGGTCCCATGGTTAGTGTAGGTTTATGAGAAGCTGCAACACGTTTTCGAAGGTGGTTGTACCGCTTAGCAATCTACATTCTTGTCAACACTTGTTATTGTCAGCAC
This sequence comes from Homo sapiens, assembly GCF_000001405.40. Lineage (NCBI taxonomy): Eukaryota > Metazoa > Chordata > Mammalia > Primates > Hominidae > Homo > Homo sapiens. The sequence continues at coordinate 103,042,088 of NC_000013.11, forward strand.
TTTTTTCTTTTTAGTTATTTTATTGAGCATGCAGTGGTACCTTATTGTGGTTTTAATTTGGATTTATCTAATATTGTCGTGTTGAGTATCTTCTCATGAATGTACCTCCCATTGCCATGTGCTTATTTGCTTTTAGTACCATTTTTTGCTGAAGTGTCTATTCAAATTCTTCTGCTTATTTTTCAGTTGGGTTCCTTGACTTCTTATTATTGAGTTTCAAGAGTTCTTTATATATTTTAGATCAATTATTTTATAATGTGCTTTTCATATGTTTTAAATATATTTTTTAAACCTTAGAGCTGCAGATCGAGCTCATGTAATTTACAAGAAATGTCTTTTATATTTCTTAATTAGCAGAGAAACCAGTCAATTACATCAGACTTTTTGTCAGAAAAATTTTTTTGACTTCTCTTTTCAATCTTAACAATATAGCGACATGGGCCTCTGTGTTGACCATTTCACATCTGAATTCCAACTTAAGAAAGATAGATAAGGCTCAGACATTTGTTATAGTTTGGTATCTCTTGGAGGAAAAAAAACCCTGTGTCCTCTTTCAATGTCTCTAACCAGTGCTCCTTTGTTTGCTCTCACAGTTTTACTCTCAAGGGTGATGGCTTTTGTGGGTAAATATTGGGATGGAAGTGCTGGCATGTTAATGGAAAATTGTCTTCTCCCCTAGACCACTTTATAATATTTATATATTCAAAATGTTCCAACACAAGCCCAAATACTTCATTTCTAAATCATGAAATACATACCTATACAAATATTCCAACATGGGCCCACATACTTCATTTCTAAATCATTAAATACATATCTATACGATTGGGAAAGATAAGCTTTTCTCAGATACCAATATTTTGAATTGTTTGCTTGGTGTTAAAAAGTGTTCCTACCCTTGACCAATGTACCATAGTAAGATTAGGCCTGAGAATAAGGCCTGACCATGAGAGAGGAGGTGGACATGGAGAACCCAGGACAACTCAAACACTGGGCATTTCAGGCAGGGCAGTTTGGGGAAGGTATACATCTGGAAGTTGAAGAAATGGAAACTTACTCCCTAACCATGCCTGCATACCCTTTGAACAATTTCATGAACTCCCAGGGGTAACCACACCACAGTTTGAAGACGGTTGTTCTAAACTTATGTGGTTTTTGAAAAGGTGAAGGATTGAGAAGCAATGGGATACCAAATATTCCAAGGAGATAAATTGTTTCCTACTGGAAGAGAGTGAGAGTTTCCTAGATTGAAAAGAGAATGATGTCTTTGAGGAGGAGTCAAATGAGGTTGATGACCTGAATTTCTTCAAGTCTCATTTATGAGAGATTTTAATGCAAGAGCTCCATAATTCTTTGTGTGTGTATGTGTATATTATACATATGACATATATATAATATATGTCATATGTATAATATATGTGACATATATAATATTATATATATGTCATATGTATAATATACATATATCATTTATCACCATTTTGTAGGAGGTGAAAGCTTTATTTGTAAGTTCGTGAAATACTTTTATTATTTTAAATAGGCTATCATTGTGTATGTGTGTAAATATACACACACGTGTATATATATGTATATACATCACCATTTCGTAGAAGATGGTGGCTTCATTTGTAAGTTCATGAAATACTTTCATTATTATTTTAAATCAGCTATCATTGTCAAACTATTTTTAAGAGTATTTAATTAATGTTCCCCCTGTATGATTTTCTGGAGGAAAATCCCAGTCAGTATCAGTGGGAGACCGAATTATGAGAGTGTTTAATTAAGAGTTTCTTTCAGGCACCTTTCAAAGAACAATTTAATATCTGAGAAACTCCACCTTATTTGTATCTCTAGAACTGAGCAGTGAGAAAATCTTGACACAAGTCACAAAGATTCAACTAGACCAAACATTACAAAAATCATTTTCATTTATTTAAGCCTTTAAAATAAAATATTCATTTAATATGATACTCAGAGGCAATAAAATACATAATTTAATCGACTTTTCAAATTCATTTAAAAATAGAGAGCTATCATTTTAGAAAGCTCAGCTATTTTTCTTCCCACTAGCAAATTAGGGAAAAAGACTCAAGTCACAAGTTACCGCATCATGTAAGAAAGCCAAGTCCTATCTTGCTCACCTGTCTTGCTCAACAGGGAGGAAAAACCTGCTTGCTGCAGCTGCTGGCATCCAGGCCCTTGATTTTGGGTGTGTTGAAATTACAAGAGGAGTTCTCAGGGTCCCTTTAGTGTACCTGTCTATTTTCTGATTGATGGGAAATGTGTAGGAGGTACTTAGCCGCTAGACTGTAAATCTTCCTTTCCACCATTGGGAGCATATTCTCTGACACTCTCTAAGAAGGAAGTCTGTACCCCCTCTCCTCCACTATCTCTTAAAATTATTTAGTCCATTTTGTATTTGTCTAATGATGGAAAAATATGAAGTACTTATTCAACTGTAAATGGAAATCTTGCATAAAAAGATCAATGTTATGAATTTGAAAAGCAGAATCCCTCACCCCTCTACTGGAAGAGCTAAGTTGAGTTCCTGTTCCCATAATGCTTGGGTGCACCAGCAGAATCTGAACTCAGAACATGCAAATGCAAAAAGCCCTTTCAGCCAAAACACTTGAAATAGACTCTATGAGGCAGTGAAAATACCCAATGCAAAATGGAACAAAACCACTAAGGACCGAGTGGTTAAGATTGTGTATTCTGATTGCTGCAGAATGAGGGAAAGGAAATTAAATTCGATCTTATAATTGAAAGTCCAACACTTGATGAGTTATTTTCCCCTGGCAGCCGTAAACCCCTGCTACCGTATATCAGATAGTCCTGGCTTCCCTTGGCTACACCTACTTACAGCATTGAAACAACTTTCCTGGCTGGTGGGGCCCTTCTGACTTTTGGGCCCTGGGACACGTTCTCTGTTTCAAATACTGTTTAATACTCATTTCCTGATCACTCTCGGACTTGATTCTTCTTATACTACTTACTCCTGCACATCTAATTGACTCTAGTTAAGCATTTCAACCAGGTTTCTGTTACTTGTGTTTTCTATGTATTTTATACTATCTCCCATTGAATTAATTCCTCCACTAGAGTCTTGGTGTTTCTCTCAATACTTCTGTCTTTGCACCTCCTGCCACCTCCCTGACCATGGTGCTTACTGTGGGTGGTCCCTGTCAACTGACTAGCTGTCATATTAGCTATGTGGATCCACTGCACACAGGAAAACCTTGAGGAAGTCCCTCTCCCAGATTTGAAGAGCTCTTTGCCAAATACACACCGTTTGAAAGAATTATGTTTTTCCTTGGAAGATCTAGTGGGTATCACTGGACCCCTGAGGTAGAGCAATAGATGTACGATATCCCTGCTGAGTTAAGAGCCTGCATCCAATATGGTTATTGAATTCTATTTTGTAATAATTTCCTCTCATTTCTGCTTTTGGACTGCCACTGGAGAAGGCAACTTTTTAAAAATACAGAAGTCAGATATTTGCCCATGTTATATTACAAAGTTATATAAATATATAGGTTGCAAAGCTTTTAAAATAATGATTAAAATGTCAGTGAAAGATGTTCATGTCAATTTTTATAATCATAAACACTGAAGAAAATCGTGACCACTGTAATAATAATAATTCATTACATCTACTTTAACATACAGAAAGTCAGGTTGTCATCTATGGGCTAGGAAATTCTGCATAAGAATTCAGTTTTGGTGTTAAAGATGTTTTCATTCTCGGTGTTCCCTATGTCAGGTTTAGTCTGAGAATATTTTGGGGGAATATTTCAATGACAATATATCTATATGAGTATACATACATATATAAAACATATACATATATATAGGAAACAATATTTGTCCCATTAAAGAATTGGGCCACCAGTCACTTGGTACTGAAACCAATACATGAATTCCAATGAAATTCCAATTTTCACTTTAACTCTTTTCTGCCAACTGTCCTACCAAAACAAATAATTAAATATAGTTACGGTTTAAGAACGTAATTTGGAACTCGTCTGTTTTGTCCACTTGATGTCTACTTTTCGTCAGGTTGAAATCCTCCATTTGCCTTATAAAACGATGACTCTGGCTCCGTTCCATTTTCTTTGCTCTCTGGAATTTCTGCCTTGTTTTTTCCATGACATTTCTTGTATGCCACATAAACTAGAAAACAATACACAGACAGTTAAGTAAATTTTATAATAATAAACTGCAAAATTACTTTGCATAGAGATTATAACCTATGATTCACATGGCAGATCACATTTTCTGTAGACTGGAGGCTGCTTAGAGAAAGAAATCACCATTCTTAGTTCTATGGCTACTCATGGCGAGAGGGATGACTGCACTTCAGGAAGACCTAGCATAAATCTTTAGGAGACATTTGCTCAGGGCAGCCACAAGCTTCTTCAGGCATTCAGCCCTGCACGTGGTACTCAACAATGATAAGAACAATAGGGAGGATTTATTCTGTACCGCCATATCCCAGTTAATGTGCTAGTTCTTAATAAATATACACATGGTGCAGTGCAACCTCCAGGACATGGGTTTGATGGTCCTCTGTAGAAGGACTTGAACTAGAACAACGTTCCCATTCCCTCCCTGCCTTCATTCAATCTTTCCCCCGGAGAGAAGAGACTCGGCTGATGGGTGATCAGCATTCCTCTTTTCTGTGGAGCTGCTGGTCTCTGATAGCAAGCATTTCTCAGCTTATTTTTAATGTCAGCTCATCAGGGTAGGCTCTGCCCTGCGAGGCAAGACCTGCAGTGTCTATGCATGTGTGAGTACATGTCTGCACATGTGTGAGGCAGTGGAGGAAAGGGTGGTTTCAACAAGCCCATTTGGTTGCAGATTCAAGTCATGTTTTCCAATTAAGTTTTATCCATAGTTAAAGTGCTATTCTGTTATCTGAATATCTGATTTTTCTTCTACTTCTCAATTGGTCACAAAGGCAAGAGGAGGACAGAAAATACTCCTTATAGGACCCCTCGAATTCTAATACCTCACATATAAAATGGCCATAATAATATTAGCTACCTCATAGGGCAATTGTGAACATTAAATGAGATAAAATTAAATGCCTAACATGGTCTGTGAAGAATAGTAAATGCTCAATAAATGTTAACGTTCATTATGATACACAGCTGAGAGAGATAATGACTTGCTTCAAAGATCTTATTAACTCAAGATCAATATTTCCTTTAGATTGGTCCCTGAACTTCTAGTCATATATTATTTTCAAAGCCACTGAACCACACTATTGAATTTAATTGAGCTTGTGGTCAATTTGAAGATCCGCCACTTATTATAAACTGTTTTGAGCTGAGAGTCCCTCAGCTTAAACTTATGCCAATGATTTCATTTAACCAAACTATACCTCTTGTTTATCCCTTTTTCTTTCCCTCCCTTCTCTCCCTGCCTTCCTCCCTCCCTCCCTCCCTCTCTCCCTCCCCCATCCTTCCTTTTTTCCCTTTTTCTTTCTTCCCCTCCTCTCCTTTTTCCAAAAAAAAATTTAGAATCCTAGCCTTACCACCAAAATATGTTTCCAGGTATTGTATACACTTAACAAAGATTCCTCCCTTATTTTTATACATACTGATGTAACTGGGAAATTTCAAGACCGAGTTGAGTGCTCCCTTTTCCTCATTCCTTCAACTTAATTTTTTATTAATCAACCTCTTTGGGGTTAGTGTTCAACTAGTGCATTACTTAATTGTTCTATCAACCAGTCCACTTTCTCTGGCTTATCTAGTAGACATCATTAAGTAATTATTTGGAAAAATCCCACTGTGTGCCAAATTGGGCAGATCAAACAACGTTATTATACAGAAAACAAGGTAATTAGGCCTGGACTCCTGCTTCCTGGAGCAGTGATAAATCCATGGAATGTTTTCAGTGGATTCAGAGTATTCTGTTCTGGAAAGGAAGCCTCTGCTTTGAGAATGACATTCAAGACAGTAGTGCAGAGGAGATCAGCATCACAGGGCAAGTTGAAGAGCTGATGAAGCTAAGCAGAAAAGTAAAGCAAAACCATATTTTTAGTAGAGATGGGGTTTCACCGTGTTAGCCAGGATGGTCTCGATCTCCTGACCTCATGATCTGCCCGCCTCGGAACCCCGTCTCTACTAAAAATACAAAAACAAAATTAGCCTGTCATGGTGGCGGGCACCTGTAGTCCCAGCTACTTGGGAGGCTGAGGTGGGAGAATGGCGTGAACCCAGGAGGCAGAGCTTGCAGTGAGCAGAGATCACACCACTGCAATCCTGCCTGGACGACAGAGTGAGGGGCTGTCTCAAAAAAAAAAGAAAAAAAAAGAAAAGAAAAGAAAAAAAGAAAAGAGAGAGAGAGAGAAAAGCAAAACCAAACAAAACCAAACTATATCTCTGGACATTTTGTGACCTAACATTTACATTAGTTTTGTTGCGTGCCTTCACTTTATATTCCTCATTACAATGTCATGAGGCTTTAAAAACTAGCTTTTTTATTAAAAAAAATAGAATGTAAAAATAGAGGTTAAATATTATCAGCCCTTGGAAAGGAAAATGTAGAAAGAATTTTCAACTAGGTGAAGGCCAGTGGGCGGTGGGGCCTGATGGGAAACGCTGGGAGCTTCATGCCACAGGACAGGAGAAGTAAGAATTACTTAAACTACACCTAGTACTTTACATAAGGAACATTTTTGCTTCAACCACTTCAATTATATGGGTATTTAAAATATATATATACATGCATATACACATATGCACACACACATCTTCCTTGTAAGTTAGCCTGGTAAATTTTCTTTGTATACCAGTTTTCTGATAAATATCCTATATTTATAAAGCATATCAAGACAATGTTTTGAAAAAGATCACCAAATCCTGAGTTCCTGGGCGAATGCCAGAAGGCGCACAATAAAATGGTCCCAACAGGTTCCTCTGCCTTCCTTATTACTGAGGAAAAGAAAGTCATTGGAGAGAATCGGCCTCCATTACTTTTCACTCAAAAATAATCTTTGCTAGAATCTTTTGGTAAAACTACCATCTTTTCATCAGCAATTGGAAAGTCATGATAATATGACGGTGGCTTTTTCCTCTCATATATTTGTACAATTCACCACCAGGAACGGGGAGTTTTAAAAAAATGTTGTTTTAGCAACTCCAGGATTTTTCAAAGATTATCATGAAATGGGATTGGCATGATTCCTTACATCCTAAGAATATTGCGGCAAAGGCGAGCTGGAAAATGCTGTAGATGAGCGGGAAGGTGAATACGACATTGAGCTCCTCAGGAGTGAAGGAGAGCTGAACGATGGTGGAACATAGCTGCGTGTTCTGCATCCCCGTTTCAAAAGCAACCGTTCGGCACCTAAAGAAGATGTTAAGAGAGCACATGTTTTAGTAGTTTTGTTATTGTGAAACATGAAAAGCAGATATAATAATAAGTACATATATATGCATTATGTCTCTGCTTTTAATGCATGTATTTAAGATAGGCTTATTCAATATATAACTTTCTATGGAATAAGTGTAATACTTATTAATGTATATTATACATCATCTCACCTATTGTATATAATATAAATAAATATATTTAATATGTGCATATGAAGAGTTGGCTCATTTACCACAGTGTTAGGTAAGTGGCCAAGAGGGTTCATTTCACCCTTTTCAATTATGATTTTGGTAACAGTGTAGAGCACAGGGCAGCAGCTCAGAAAATGCTCAAGATATGGTATTTGTTGTCGCTGTTTTATTGTTTAATTTGTTTTGTTTAGGCTGGGCTAAACAGGTGGCTCACACCAGTAATCTCAGCACTTTGGGAGGCTGAAGTGGGAGGATTTCTTGAGCCCAGGTGTCCAGGAGTTCAAGACCAGACTGGGCCACATAATGAGACCCTGTTTCTAAAACAACAAAACAAAACAAAAAAATTAGCCAGGCAAGGTGGTGTGGGCTTGTAGTCCCAGCTCCTCGGGAGGCTAAGGCAGGAGGATCACTTGAGCCAAGGCTTCAGTGAGCTATGATTGTGCCACTGGACTCCAGCCTGGGCGACAGAATGAGACCCTGTCTCATAAAAATAAAAAATTGTTGTGTTTAAATCTTGACAGAAAGTCTATAAGGTAGAAATTATTGTCCCCATTCTACAGATGATAAAACTCAGAGAAAGAGTGAATGCTGGGCCTGAGGTCCCCCGGGCAGTGTGTGGTCGGATTGGAAGGCAAGCCCAGGTCTGCCTGACTCAAACACTGCGCTCTTCTTGCTGCCCATACCCACTCCTCTCTTTCCCAACTTCATACATGCATCTGTCCCTACACCTGTGTTCTCTCTGCCTGTGGATTCGATGGATTAGTCAAAAAGAATTGTTTTTGCCCGGTACCAAATCCAGAAGTGTGAAACCCATTTTAATATTCGGCGCCTTTGGAGGATGAGCTCACCCTGCTGCCAGCTGGAGGAACGCTTGTCTATTCCAAGGCAGCCCAACTGCTTTCATTAATGTCATTCCACTCAGAGAATAAGAATACTTAGCAATGGAAGAGCCCCATCTGCCTTGTAAGCCGAATGGTCCAGAAGACTTTGAGCAAAAAAGAGGCAGTCAGTATTTTCTTTCTGGGGACTTGCATGACTTCAGAATGAATGGGCCTATTTAGAATGACATATTCAGAAATAGGATGAATGTGATTGATGAAGGGCTAAGGATTTTGATCCTGTCTTCAGTGTTTGCAGCTGTTATGGATTGATTATGTCTCCCTTTCCCCCAAATTCATATGTTGAAGTCCTAACACTCCGCACCTCAGGATGTGACATTATGTGGGAACAGGGTCATTGCAGATATAATTAGTTAAGATGAGTTCATTAGAGGAGGCCCTTATCCAATGACTGGTGTCCTTATCAAAAGGGGAGCCAGGCCACAGAGAGGTGCACTGAGGAAAGACACAGGAAGAAGATGGATGTCTGCAAGCCACGAGGAAGGCCAGTAAGGGATCCCTCCATCATAGCCCTTAGAAAGAATCAATTCAGTGACACCTTCATTTTCACTTCTAGTCTCTGAAACCATGAGACAATAAGTGTCTGTTGTTTAAGCCACTCAGTTTGTGGTTCTGTCTTATGGCACCTCTAGCAAAGGAATACAACAGATATTACAGATTAAAATTCCCAATGTGATTTACTAAATGCCATACCTGTACCAGGGTAGACCAGCAATTCTAGCCAGAAGAAACCCCAGGGAGTAACCCGCCACAGGAAATATTGTTCCTATAATCCACAGTTTGGGAGCAATGATCCAGGCGCTTTGGTACAATATTCCTCCAACCACAGCTATGAGCACAATGAGGATGGCGCCCGCGATGGACCCAATCTGAAAAAAAAAGGAATAAGTGAACCCAGCAATCATGAGTCAAAGCAAATCCAAGTATGTTTGTCAGAGACAAAACCTCAGCAGTCTCCTTGTCCCTGGGGGAAGTGATGATAAAGTTGTCTTTCTATGTACTCCAAGCCAGGAGGCTGCAATCAGCCCACTGGAAATACTGACGCTTGTCCCATGCTTTAAGCTTTAAGAACACAATAGGACATGTAGCAACCATTTGCAATTAGTCTGAAGATTTTCTGACTTGAAAATTATCCTTGTCAGAACAAAAAGACAACCCATTTCGATGACAGCCTGGAAGATTTGGCTTCCAGATTCAACTACTCCTATTCTGTTTCCTTCAGTAAATCAGGAACTTTCTGAACTGTAGTTTCTTTATTTGTAATTGGGGATAAAATGTCGCCCCAGCTTCCCTTTATGATTGTTACGATAATGAGAAAATGGGTATAGAACTCTATACAACTTTAAAAAAGGTATAAGCAAATGAAAACCACTGTTGTTATTTTTTTTCTCCTTTTCACATTTAAAACAAAATTTGGAGATTATAAACATTTTTTGTCAAGAGAAGCAAGGAATACAATGGACTTACTTTGCCCCGAGCAGCAGAATCTATCTATATTATCTACATACATATCCAGATCATCTAGCTAGAATATAGTTAGTGAATGGGATTGCCAGGCAATGAAATGGCCATATGCATACAGACATAAGAAAGATATGTTCTATTTTCTAAGAAAGCCATTTAGATATATTGTATAACACAAACTCACATAACAGAGATAACAGTAATATGCCCTGAGGACAGAATAGAGTAAACCCAAGAGGTGATAGTTCAGTGGAGTGTCTTAAAGAATGGGTAGAAATTTTTCCTGTGACTGCAATAAAGAAGGGCATGCTAGGCTGGGCGCAGTGTCTCATACCTGTAATCCCAGCACTTTGGAAGGATCACTTGAGCACAGGAGTTCAAGAACAGCATTAGCAACATAGTGAGATCCCACCTCTCTCTCTACACACATATAAAGAAGGACATTCTAAAGGAGAAGACTGCATGGCTAATGACTTCAGGCCCCCACTCAACAGTAATCATATAATGAGAATGAAACCATTTCATGGATGGAAAACCCTATGGTTTTGATTGTCACAGTGGAATATTTAATGGTGTGAACTGGGATACTTACTTTAAGTATGATCTTTGCTTTTTGGGGCCATTTGTGATTAACAAACATTCCAATGGAAACAGGAACAACGAGAGAAACCAGAGATGTACCTAAAGATGACAGAAGGGCAATGTGATCAGCAGAACAGGTGACACAGGAAAGAGAAAAACAGAAGAACAAGCAGCCTGAAGAAAGATTAGGTGGTATTTCAGTCTTCCTTCTTGAATACACAAAACAGAATACAGAATTACACACACACACATGCACACACACACTCACTCAACTTCTTCACCCACTCCAGTAAATAATTTAATATTATTGGTAGATAATTGATAATATCAATGCTGTAAATTCTTTCACTAAATTCTGCATTAATTTTTTAGAGTTTCTTATTTTGCCAGCATACATTAGTTTTAATTTGTCAGAATCTTGGCTTCTTTAGTCTTTGGATCTTTATATCTCTAGGAAAAATAGCTCACCAAGGTGTGTGTGTGTGTGTGTGTGTGTGTGTGTGTGTGTGTGTGTGTGTATGGCATACAAAGATGACATTTTACATTTGTCTGCTAGTTCATGGTAGTAGAAATAAAAAATAATTTTAAAATATTTTAAAATGAAAGAAAATGTCCAAAATTAGCTCAAGATCACCAGGTATTCTGACATCTGACTTTTGGTTAAAACTAGCTTTAGCTATTCAAATTTACAGCAGAGAGGTGAGAACAAAAGTTGAGAAAGCGTGCTTTAAATTTTCCATGAGATAATATATTTGACGAACTCTCATGTAATTATAGTTCTTTGCAGTAACATGCTCACCTGGCCAGATAAAAGAGTCATACTTCAATTTCACCATGTTAAATTTACTGCTGTTTTTGCGACATGTGGTTTGTTTCTCCATGTTATTTAACACTCATTTGTCCAATAGCTGATTTCATATAATTTAGCACCAACAACTTCTAACTTTTCATAGGTTGTTTCTTTTTCAAACATCCTTTTAAAGCAGTATAAGAAAGTGATATTGAACGGTGAAATTCTGAGAGTGGATGTTGCTTAGTATTGATTAACTAGGTAGATTGAACTAGGACTAGAAAACAGATTCTGGAATCCAAGGCTATAGATATTAATTTAAAGTGAATGCAATAATGATGAAAACATAATTTCCTTGTAGTCTTCTAGCCCTCCTGGCAATATAAGGGTCAGTGATGACTTTTGCCCAGAAATTACTTAGCAGAATTAAATAATGACTAAGGGTACTAAGAGTAGGAAAAAAAAAGATAAATGAGGGGGAGTAAGGAGGGAATAATGGAAAAAAAGATGTGAAAGAGTGGCGTTGACACACGTACTGCTGAGATGCCCCAGAAAAACCCCCCTTGGGTATCCTTGCATCCTGCTGTTTTGGGAGTGATATGGTTTGGCTCTCTGTCCCCACCCATATCTCATGTTGAATTATAATCCCCAGTTGGAGGATTACAACTAAAGGACGGGTCTGTTGGAGGAGGGGCCTGGTGGGAGGTGATTGAATTGTGGGGGGCAGACTTCCCCCTTGTTGTTCTTGTGATAGTGAGTTCTCATGTGATCTGGTTGTCTATAAGTGTGCACACCTCCTTCTTTGCTCTCTTCCTCTGCTCCAGCCATGTAGAAGCTGCCTGCTTCCCCTTCCCCTTCTGCCATGATTGTACGTTTCCTGAGGCCTCCCCTGCCATGCTTCCTGTACAGTCTGTGGAACTGTGAGCCAACTAAACTTCTTTTCTTTATAAATTATCCAGTCTCAGGTAATTCTTTATAGCAATGAGAGAACAGATGAATACAAGAAGGAAACTCCCTCTCCTGGGTCTTTAGACCATTGCCTAAGTTTTTGAAGTTTGTAGGTCTTAAAACCATCTGGATATATGACTTGTTTGTGATGTGGTAGCTTAAATCTAGCTGCAAGTCCTGTGCTTGGAATGTTAGTGTGGTTAGGTTTTGGTCCTATATTTTAATGTGCTGAATCTGTTTGGCCCCTCCTGCTAAGAGTATTCATCTTTTTGAGGCAGCCCAAGCCAACGGGATAACACATAAGCAGCACCACCTGCTGAAATCCATGGCAGAATTGCTTTTCTTTCCTGACCAGATGAGGCCAGATGAAGTTTTTCAGGGACCTGGGGTTGACTGGGAAAGGGACTCTGTCTTTCTTTACACCCACAGTGTGTGGCTTCTGCTTGTAGAGGTGGATGTTGTAACTTTGGTCTCCAGTGGGCTGGTGATCTTGCTCTTTTCTTTCCCCATGCTCTGTTTGTTTTACGTATGCCTCATATGCCCATGTTCTCTCTGTAAAGTGCCTGTCTATGTAGATGAAAAAGCATCCACTCATGGTTACACATTGAATCCATAACTTGGTCTTTAATCAAGTTTACACAGTAGATATCAGAGGAAAGAAAGGTAGAAAGAAGAATGAGAATGAAAGAGAGTGGTGGTGAATGGATTCATGTGGTGGGACTGGGAGCCAGATAGATTTGGAACTGAACCTTTCTGTATTCCCAAACTGTGGGAACTGTGCAAATCATTGAACCCCTCTGAGCTTTTGTTTCCTCATTTGTAAAATGGGTGGAGTTATGTCTGCCTTACAGTGCTGTTGTGAGAATTAAATGATGAAATGGCTATAAACTTCTTGGCACAAGACACTTAAAAATGTGGGGTAGAGAGGAGTAAGTACAACAATTTGCAGCAGTGGTTTTATTTTAGTGGTACCAGCTGCATGGTCTGCCTCCTCTCGATCCAGATGTCAGCATCTGAGGGGGCTCACAGGTGTTTACTGAATCACTGGAGCATGAAGTTGTACCAAACACGTCTGCCCATAGAGCTGTGTAGAGAATAGACTGTGGGCTATTCCAGCTTCCTGGTGACCTTGGGCAAATAATCACCCTGAGCCACAATTTAGAAAGCAGTGATAACATCTTGTGAAGCAGTCAGTTCATTTATTTTCTATGTTAAAGAACTAGAAAAACCAACAGCAAAAAGGTGAGCTTGGAGGCCTGGGCAAACATGGTGAGCAGGGTTAATATCTGTAGAAAGTAAAAAGTTTCCTCTTCAAAGTGTCCCTTGTTGTTAAAGGAAAATAATAATAATAATAAACATTAGAAATAATAATTTCTTTTAAAGACTAACTTTCTTCAAGCCCCCTTACTTTGTGCTAGTAACTCTTTGTTAAGCCCTATTCTATGTAGCTGTTAGATATAAAGGAATAAGTACATTCTATGTCCTTGTACTTTAACCAAGATATTTATGCTGAACATGCTCACAGGTACATTCCAGCTTGCAGCCTATGCCCCTTCCTTATTTGGAAATATTATTACTTTTCTAAGTCCTTTCACAAGCAACGTCCTCTTTTCCTTTGTTGTCTATTGCCTATACCTATTTAGAAAAGTTTTAAATTATTAGCCAGTCAGGTTTTAGCTTAGATTGTGATGTCTGGCTCCAGCCAATGGAGACAGGACACAGTAGCAGGGACAAGCTGCATAAGGGATACGAATTACTTCCCTCCATTGTTCAGGTGTGCTGTCACCATTGTGCCATCTGTGAGGAGCACTCTTTCTGCAGAAAGTAAAATTGCCTTGCTGAGAAAACTTTTTGTCTGAATGCTCATTTTTCCTTGTGGTACTGAGGAACAAGTATTCTGTTTCTGAATAAATATTTTACATATAACAATATCTTTGTTTTTCAAACTTCTCTCTTTTTCCGTTTTCTTTTCTCTTTTCCTATTTTTCTTTTCTTTTCACTCTTGACCTCTTATGATGACCTTTTCCTCCATTGAAGTGCTAATTGATTTTTCATTTTCTCCTTATTTCAAAATTTATTCACATCACAGAATATGGTATAAGTCATTCACACTGCAGTTAGAATTATTCAGTATTTCCATGAGTCATTTCTCAGAAGGGAATGTATATCAAAAGGAGAATATTTTATGGCTTAAATTATTAAATTATTACAGTGAGTATTGTGGAATCAAAATTCCTCACTCAGCAGACAGGTTCTTTGAGAGGGATATAATGGTCACCACTCACGTAAACTATGGTTTTTAGCTCTATGGAAGGCGTCCGCTGACAGAGCAGCCAGAGAGTCAAGCAGCATGAAGGCAAAAGCAGGTGGTAGTGGAGGGTCACCCTAAAGTCTCTTGTCAGGAGGTTATATATGATATTAAGGTTCTCTCCTGGAGTCTGAAGAATCTTGTATATCAAAAGCCCATACTGAATAGGGCATGTCAAGGAGGACAATTTTTTTTTTGGTCTAATGGTAATGGTAAGAGTAGGAGAGAGAGAAGAGGCTACAAACATTGTAATACAGATCATCCCCAATTAGTATTCACAAAGTTTATTCTAATTCAGTTGTATATTCCCTCAATCACCCTAAATCACAGAAGCAGTCTTTCTCAGAAATGGAAGGCATTTCAGCCCAGCTTCCTATCCCAATAGGAGTCCCTTTTACAAGCATCCAGGTGGCTTATCATTTAGCCTTTGCTTGGATGCTTTCTTCAATGGGAAACCCACACCTTTCTGAGGCAGCTCATTGGGATTTTTTTCCAAGGTCAGTGGGGAAAAAAACCCAGGTATTTGGGGCATATAGTGTACCTGGTGATTGTTACTGATTTACTATTTTGCCCACATCTTGTCTTTTGTTCGTGATAGTTCTGTGGGAAATGCCTATTCCTGGTATACCAGGAACTCTCTTGTTCTTCCTTTGACCCTCATCCCTAAGTTACAACAATAACTTAATCTCCCACTATAATTTGTTTCCCCAGAAACAGAAAATAAGGTTTTTGGGATGAGGGTGAAATGAGACAGAGTCATTACTAGTAAATTTGACTCCTGGAGCATGACTTTGCCATTAAATCAACTTTTGGGTCAAGGTGTGGCTCACAGTCGAGTGTTAGAAACAGTGTGTTTCGTCTAGCAGTTTTCTGTTGTAACACTCTGGATTGCTTACTCAGTGCTCTATTTTGAAACCATTATGTGATTTTAAAAAATTTCTTCAGGCTGGGCGTGGTGGCTCATGCATGTTATCCCACTTTGGGAGGCTGAGGCCGGCAGATCACTTGAGGTCAGGAGTTTGAGACCAGCCTGACCAACATGGAGAAACCCCGTCCCTATTAAAAATACAAAAATTAGCCAGGCGTGGTAGTGCATGCTTGTAATTCCAGCTACTAGGGAGGCTGAGGCAGGAGAATTGCTTGAACCCAGGGGGTGAAATTTGCAGTGAGCCGAGATCACGCCCCTGCACTCCAGGCTGGGTGGCAGAGTGAGACTCCATCTCAAAAAAAAAAAAAATTTCTTCAATTCAAGTGTCTGGATGCAAAATCCTATGACCATTAACTAGTGACACTCTGGGTTAAGGAATAGGTGCAAGCTCCCATGTCCCCAAAGCTTAAGCCTCCTCAGTCCAGACTGAGGGCTGGGGAGGGGGCTCCTTTCCCTGGTGATTCAAATTGAAGAAAAGACAGGTTCTCCCATAAGGTCAAGGTTTGGAATTTACATTCTGCCATCACTCTCCAAACGCAGGGGTGACTTTATAATGAAATCAGGCAAAAACTCCTACTAGGGCAATAACGGTCAGGTGTGAGCCTGGTCTGAGAGCCTAGCAGGGGGTAAGCAGAGAGTTTGAGGGTAACAGTCAACAGTCTTACAGATGGATGACTTACCTATGTTATCATAGGGAATTACGATGCTCCCAGAGTCGACCCACATTTTGGTATAGATAAGGAGGCACAGCGGCATCATTCCGAGGGCAAGCAGTGTGGAGCATGTGGTCATGCTGACGCTGAAAGGCAATGGGCAGATTGATACATCCACCTGTGGTGTTCTAGGGAAGATGCTGTTTTATTTTTATTTTTTAATTTAACTTTTATTTTAAGTTTAGGGGTATATGTGCATGTTTGTTATATAGGTCAACTTGTGTCATGGGGGTTTGTTGTACAGATTATTTCATTGCCTAGGTATTAAGCCTAGTACCCATTAGTTATGTTTCCTGATCCTCTCTTTCCTCCCACCCTCCACCCTCTAATAGGCCCCAGTGTCTGTGTTCCCCTCTATGTGTCCATGCGTTCTCATCATTTAGCTCCCACTTATAAGTGAGAACATGCAGTATTTGGTTTTCTGTCCTTGTGTTACTTTGCTAAGGATAATGGCCTCCAGCTCCATCCATGTTCCTGCAAAAGACTTGATCTAGTCCATTTTTATGGCTGCATAGTATTCCATGGTGTGTATGTACCACATTTTCTTTATCCAGTCTATCATTGATGGGCAATTAGGTTGATTCCATATGTATGCCATTGTAAATAGTGCTGCGGTGGACATATGTGTGCATGTGTCTTTATAATAGAACGATTTGTATTCTTTTGGGTATATACCCAGTAATGGGATTGATGGGTTGAGTGTATTTCTGTTTTTAGGTCTTTGAGGAATTGCCACACTGCTTTCCGCAATGGATGAACTAATTTACACTCCCACCAACAGAAGATAAGTATTCCTTTTTCTCTGTAACCTCGCCAGCATCTGTTAATTTTTGCCTTTTTAATAATAGCCATTCTGACTGATGTGATATGGCATTTCATTGTGGTTTTGATTTGCATTTCTCTAATGATCAGTGATGTTGAACTTTTTTTCATATGATTGTTGGCTGCATGTGTGACTTCTTTTGAGAAGCATCCGTTCATGTCATTTGCCCACTTTTTAATGGGTTTGTTCATTGTTTTCTTGGAATCTAATTAAACTAAAGAGCTTCTGCACAGCAAAGGAAACTATAAGCAGAGTAGACAAACAACCTCCCGAATGGGAGAAAATTTTTATTTTCGATTCATGATAAGAAAGTCCTGCAAGAATCTGTCTCAACCTGTAGCATCGTCTGGTGTGATGAACAGTAATATACATGTGCCTATGTGCCTGAGTGTATTCAGGGCCTGGCCTTGAGCAAAATGGGCCATATTTGGTGTCTTTCCACTTTGCCTTGTGCCGTCCTTCCCTCCCCTTTTATTCTTAAGGGTCAGAAACAGTATTAAACGATGGGTTAAAGTCATCATTAAATAATGTATAAGGTTCGCTGGGTGTGCCATCCTTCAAACATTCAATCAAAGAACAGCAAACACATTTAAAGCAGCTGACACCACCAAGGCTGCATGTGTCTGACCATGCTGAGATGGAATGGGCCTCCCTGGGCCCCTGGAATAGAATGCATGTCCGAGGGAGGAGGCCTCGCTGTGTTGCCATAAAGCAGAAAAATTACTGCCCAAGTGACCCTAGCTTGGGACAAGAAGCGGAAGCTGACTTAAAAATCAAAAGAAAGCATGCAAGCGGCAGGGTAGACATAAATTCTTAGCACTGAGTAAGTTATTGGCAATTTGGCAAATGTGTGTTCAGAAGAACTAGTGTCTGGTATCATCCCTGCTCAGAGTGTTTGCATTTTAATAAGAGGGTCTGGCTGAGTAGGCTATCTACATGGAGACATTAATGCCAAATGATGCTATCTCTAGTACTAGGACAGTGGGTCAAAGAAAGATTTTTGGGGAGTGAGTCTTCCGGGTCCTCTTCAAAGGGATCTGTACACAGCGTACATTCTCTGCCTTTAAAGCCTGAGCTCTAAAGCCACACACTGTCTGGGCTGAAAGCAGGCGGTGCCACTTAGTGTGTTAATTTGAGTAATTTAGTTGACTTCTCTTTACCAGTTTCCTTATCTAAAATGGCTGTAAGGATAGAATGAGCCAATGGTGTCCGGCACTTAGACCAATGCAAAGCACTCTATTAAGAGCTGGTTGCTACTACCATTTTTTTTTTTTTTTTTTTTTTAAATAGGGTCTCTCTCTGTCACCCAGGCCAGAGTACAGGGTCACCAACTTGGCTCACTGAAGCCTGGGCTCAAGTGATCTTTGCACCTCAGCCTCCCGAGTAGCTGGGAATACAGGCATGAGCCACCATGCCAGGCTAATTTTTAAATTTTTTGTAGAGATGGGGTTTCACCATGTTGTCCAGGCTGGTCTCAAACTCCTGGGCTCAGGTGATCCGCTCGCCTAGGCCTTCCAAAGTGCTGGGATTACAGGCGGGAGCCACCGCACCCTGCATCTCTCTGCTGTGATCATTTATGTTACCATGTTTTTGTATCTTGTGTTCCACCAAATAGAATCGGGAAACTTAGAGAAATGAGAAATTTCTCTGAAAGGCCCTTCTCTCAACAGGTCGTCATTGAGGTTGTCAAGAGTAGTAATTTCTTAAGGGTATTATGGGTGTACTTGAAAGAAAATGTTAAATATTTATATTACCTGCCCCCCAAAACAACAACAACAACAACACACTATACTAAGAAAGGAGCTAACAATGAGAAATTTTGTTTCAAGGCACAGTTAAATTTGCACAGTTTGGCAAAATACAGGGTGGGACAAAGTTCATCAGAGAGCTTAACTTCTCTAATAATATATTTATTTTTAACCAGAATGACCTCATTTAAAATAGGCTTAAATAATTTAGATAAAAATACTTGTTTTAGTAGAGCTAAAATATTACAACAGTAACAAATAATGTGGATGTATTTAAAACTTTAAGCAGTTCAATCTATTCTGGTTATAGGTAAATTTAGGCATGAAATAGATGCTAAGGCAGAATTGTACACCAGACAAACAAGTTAATTTGTTATTAATAGTACTTTGTCCTACTTATAATGAAAGTACTGGAGTTTGAAGGTAATTTTTTTCTCTGTTCCTTCCTCTCTTCTTTCAGTGTTCTCTTTTTTTTTATTTTATTTTAAAAAATATATTAGAATGGATTTAAAGTTGTCCCTATAATAAAATCACTTTTTTTTCTGTGCATCCAATATTTTTTTCTAGAGTGTGGTGGGAATCTGGTGGGGAAGTGAGGAGGATTTATTAACTGGGTTCCAGTGAAGAGAAGTCTGAGAATTTTTGTTTTAAAATGTGAGAAAATGTTTAAGAAGGAAGTCTTTTTCTGTCTTTGTTTTTTTTTCAAAGATCCTTGCAAAACCTTTAATTCTGAATATTGCTAAGACAATCTATGACGTTGTATCATAATTTTGAGTTTGGTGAGAGCAGTTTCTTAAGGATCGTGATGAGGGACAAAAGAGGGTTTGGAGAAGGAAAGGTTTAGACTTGTGAGCAGCACTGACGAAGAGACCTTGCAGATGAACAGACGAATAGGTAGCTGGAAGTTGATGCTATTTGAATGAATATAAGAACAAAATCAAACCACTCAAAATGAGATTTAAAACAATTCACAGATAACGAATTTTAAGAAATAATATAGAAGCCTAAATTAGCAAAAGAAAATATTATCTTACACGAAAAAATCTGAAGTTCTATAAAAGGCATGTATATAAAAAATACATACACTGCCTTGAATTTATATTAGACTGACAGAAAAGAGTCAAGTATAAGAAAAATAAAAAAAAAATCTTGGTCTTAATTTTGACTTCAGCTCTATTAACTGCCAGGGAGATTTTCTTTTGTGTGTATGGAAATAAAAGAAAGAATAAATGTAAATTTAGTGAATGTTGAGGAATTCAGTGAAATCAGTGTTAAGCAATGTAAAAGATTGTAATCATATTAGAAGTAAAATACCAAGTTTGAAGGCTCTAACGTAGCGTATATAGGCAGTGCTAGAAACTGGAGAAGTGAAAAGTGATAGAAGCAGTGTAGAGAAAGCTTATGAGCCTGCAAAGTGGTAGTGGGTAGACCTGGGTGATTCCAATTCTGACTCAGGCATACATTGACTCAATGACCTTGGTCAAGGTTATGAATCTTAACTTCATTATCTGCCAAATGCAGAAAATAATAGTACTAACTTTAGAGGATTCTTGGGAGGATGAAATATACCAACTTATTTTGAGTACTTAGCACTGTGCATGGCATATACTAGTGTTTAATAAATATTAGCTAGTAAAATCAGTGCTACTGGAGAGAAACAATGTTTGGTTACTTTTAGGGAGAATAAAGGAAAAAGCCGAATGGTTTTGGGTTAGGTCTCCCAGAGTAGAGAAGAGAAGGACATTTATGGGGTTGACATAGGAAGGATTGATTGCTGTGAATTTGTGGTAAGCTACAGGGTGAGATTTCTTGAATATCTAAAATATCAATGAATGCTGCACTGGAAGCTGAAAAATCTAACAGCATTTGCCCAAAGAACAAAGGATGTGGTAGGAAAGTCTGTAAAATAATAAAAAGGAATGTAGAAAGTAGGTGGCAGGGAAGGAACTGGGGGCAACTGGGAGAAGGATGCATAAGAATGGATTCCCCAAAGAGGAAGCCAAAGAAAGGAAATGAGAAGTCCTTGCATGGTGTCGCTGAGGCCATTAAGAAGGATGAAGACACCGGATATTTGCCTGTGTCTGGGGAGAGAGCAGACAAAAAGGAGATAGGATGTTTCTGTGTCCTCTCAACTATGGGTTTTGGCCACAAGCAGATTCACCTGAAAAGTCACCATCTCTTCTCCCTGATGCTTTTTGTGCATGTGATGTCCATGGCACAGCTGCAACTTAGGTGAAAATATATGTGCACCAATCAGATTCACAAACTCCAGGCTGGGAGTGGTCAGAGAAGGAGCTGAAATAGTACTTGCTGGATTCCAATGATCAAGGACTATTGTCTATTTTTTTTTTGTTTTTCAAAGTCACTAGAGATTGCAAAATGCGGTGGCTTTCCAGGTTCATAAGAGATGACAGAGTGAGAGAGAAATGTTTTGGTTTCTTCTCCCAAGAACCATAACCAAGAGAGTTAAAACCAGGTGGAATGGTTTTGCTGGCATTGTGTGGCATTAGCTCAATTAGTGTAGCTGCCTGTTAACATAAACAGTCATGTCTTCATGCCATTGCTGGAGTTCAAGTGGAGATGGAGAAGGTAAAATTCTAAGTGTACACAACTGGAAATATAAATGTTAGATAGGATTGTATCTAAGTAAATTATCAGGAGACTTTAGTTATCCAGTTCTTAATCCAGAAGAATAAAAAGTTTTGGAAAACTGTTACGCAATAGCTCAGGTTTTACCCTTTTAATTAATTTGTATTAAAGAAATATTGGAATATTGTTTTCCTAACACACAATGCATAATGTCATCATCTTACATAGCAGTATAATTTAACCTCTTCTCAATGATTAAGACCGATCATGATAAACATGATTATCGGTTGTTCTAAAATACCGTGACATCTTCTTGTGTTTGTAGAAGAGTAAGTGATACAGAGACCAGAGACTGGAATAAGTGCTACAGAAACCAGAGAGAATAATTGATAATTAAGAGAGAATATGTGATAGAGAGAATAAGTGATAGAGGATAAATGATAGAGAGATGGCTGTGTGTTGTCAGTGTCTGCTTTGCTTTGCAGGCATTTGATCTTCTCTTTTGCCCTTCCTAACACTCTGCTTCCTTCCCCGCTTCTTATTTCTGGGAAATAGCACAACAGAACTTTAAAATAAAAATAGTTAAGTCGGTCCCGCATGAGGAGCATTTATGAGATTAAGTGAAATTTATTTTGGGTGTGCAGTGTCTTTTATTGGGTCTTGTTGAGCTCTGGATAGGTGAGGTTGCTCCATGTTGCGTTACAGGGCTTATTTTGACTTGCTGGAAGGATTCATTTGCACGGATTTAGCTGGAGGTTTCTACCAAAGCTTCATATTCTACTTTTAGTTCTTATTAAAAAAAATAATTTATAGGAATTGTTATGCTAGGTGGACAGGATTACATAATCATCTCCTGTTTCAAGAGAAATAAGATTTCCTTAAAACCACAGAAAAATGTAACTTGGAGCTTTTAGGTTAGATCTTACTGTTTTTAGCTCACAGAAGAGAATTCATTTCAACAACCTAATAGTCCAGTACCACACACGTTTTTTTTCTGTCTTATAAAAGGGTTCCATATGTGGTATTACATTGAGGTACAAAACTCCTCTGCACTAAAAGTTACAAATATTATGAGAAAGCTGTTTATTGGGGGTCAAGGCCCAATGTTCCAAGTAGTTCACTTTTCTCAGTGTAACAGGTGCTGGCATTTAGAATTCTCACTTCTGTGTACCTGTGTCCAGGTCAAACTAAATTGAGGTCTAAAAAGACCTTATTGCTATATCGTGGTTCACAGATTAACTAAACCTGAATAGCACTTGCCATCCTATGTTGTTTTATAGGGCTTTCCTTAAAAAAAAAAAAGCAATTGCAAGGTGGATATCATGTGTTTTCTTATGTGAAAGACTAAACCATATGAAGGTATAGGGTTTGTATGACTTTTCTAAAGCTTCTGGAGAAACCAGCACCAGTTGAAATGAGACAGCAGGTTCCTAATTGATCACTGGGTACTCTATCAATCCAGTGTTTACAATTCTACACTTTGTGCTTCTCTCCTCTGCCAATAGTAGCTGGGGATGAACAGAGCTAATTGCCTACTGTACAGTATTTAATAAGCACACGTTGCATTAGCACCTGGATGGTTTGCAGAAGGAAATGCATACCTTTCAAGGGAAATGAGGAATTGTGAGCTAAGGAAAAAGACATTTGTCTATTCAACTTTTAGCATTAAATTTCTCAATCTAGTCACATTAATGCTTCATCTTATTTCTATTAGTTTTTTTTTCCAGTGCTAGTTCAGACTGGCACGGGATGAAATGGGCAAACATTGCAATTTAGATTACTCTGTAGGAAGTGGAGAAAACGTTTTCTGTTTATTTTGTAGTAAGGTAAGCATAATTTTAAAAAAGCTGCTATAGGCTTTTTCCCCCACTTTTAATGCCAGTAGAGGTGAAGCAAATTTACAAATTCTTCCTTAGGTTTTATACCAGGAAAATGTTTGCCCAAAGAACTGGCTATATTTGATGGAGTTGACCACTGTCTCACTACAGGTTCTAATGTTTGACAAACAGTTTTATTTTATGATTGCACCCAGAGCTCCTCATCATTACAAAGAAAGTGTATTTTGCTTTTTTTTTCCTGCTACCAACAGGATAAACCTCCTCAGCTGCAGCTTGTGGTTTGGAAAAGATTACTTTTTTAAAAAAGCTTTGAATCTTTTCCTAGAGATCAACAGCAATTATGCAACTCCCTGTTAACTGAGTTAGATTTAAAAACACAAACACAAAATATAAATCCCCCAATTCCAATAGCTAAGCAGCTGTGCTAGAAGGCACGGGAATGCATTTATTCTCTCCTGTTTGATTCCTTAGTCATACTTTAGATGCGTGGCAAATCAGTTGGACATTCAGAATGCCATAGGCTTCTGGAAGGATTACTCCAAGGTGATTGCAGTAGTTAGAGGTATAGATAATCTTACCTCAGGTCCATGTCGCCATCGACCCAATAGGCCAAGATATTGGAGGCAGTTCCTCCAGGGCAGCATCCTATAATGAGCACCACTACGGCCTGGAGCGGGAGGATGTCAAAGGCCACCGACAGGATGAATCCTGTGAGGGGCATGATTCCAAACTGACAGAGGAAGCCAACACAAATGCCCCACGGCCGCTTTATGTGCCCTAGAAATTTCTTGATTTCCACGTTGCATCCCATGGAGAACATCACCAAGGCCAACAGGATGGTCAGCACCGTACTTAGGACCACACTTAGGATGTTATTGAAATTGCTCTCAGGTACCACACAGGATGCACCAGAGCAAACTGTTGCATTGTCCACACAGCTGTTCGGATCATTCATTGCTGGGTCTGCTGCTGGAAAGGCCAAGTCCACAGAAGCGCTGGTCCCTGGGCCCTGGCTCTGCTGCTGGTTGAGTTAAGCAACGTTTACTTCTACCCCATCAAACTTTTAAACCCCTCCTAAAAATATGTCACTTGGTGTCTCTTTTGAAAGCCACCTTAGGGAAGTAATAAAAAACAATAAAGCTAGGATGTCAGTTTCAAGAGGTAGCATTACAACACAGAGCACGTTGTGAATCACAAAAGTCCAGCAAAATTATTGGTCAAGACAGAGAGTTACGATTAATCATTTATTGGCATGATAATGAACCATGCCATATAAAAAGAGCCACGTTAATGTTTAATGTCCTCGAGGGTTTGTTGGATAATTTCAGTTAAGTGACTTTTAAAATCAACTCTGAATAGTACAGAATCTTATAGGGATTGAGCCATAGGAACCATGCCATATAAAAAGAGCTGTGTTAATGTTTCATGCCATGAAGGTTTGTTGGATAATTTCAGTTAAGTGACACTTAAAATCAACTCTGAATAGTACAGAATCTTATAGGGACTGAGCCATAGGAACACATATTGTTCTCCCATTTCCCTTTCAATAGAAGGGTTTAGGGCCCTGAATAGTTGAGTGCCCTGTGCCTAATTATGTTGCAAATCAGGTGTCAGACTCTGAACTGGGACCCAGATCTCCATCCAATTTCCACTCCCAGTAGTTTTGCTACTGTATCAGTGTTTCCTGGAATTGCTTTGTAGTGTCCATAAAGTATATGGAAATTTAAGAAACTTCTAGGGTCTTGGTGCAAATCTGAGAGAGTAACATTTGGGAAGATAGAATGTTTTCTGTGTTTCCTGGTGGAAAGGAGTCTGACTTGCACAGCCACCCTCAACTACTTACACATGCAATTATGTGTGCGTTGTCATAGTAACAGAGTACTTTATAGATGGAGACAATACAATTATTTAGAGGGATGAACCTCAGAGAATTAGGTCAAAGTGACAGGATCTCTTTGTGCTTGGAGTCATAAATTGAAATTCGATTTTTTTTTTTTTGGCAGGGGGATTCCAAGAGAGATTTTTGTAAATGTCAAATAGTCGACCTCATGCTGGGCAGAACGCTGTATTTCAGTATACAGGGAAGATAAAGAAAGAGGTAGAGAAGAGATTGTCCTGTTTTCAGGAGTTTATAACCCAGTTATTGAGTTAGGACACAGAGTAATAATAAAATTGAATATTCCGATCATGATTCACAATTTGTAGGACAAATTCTAATTTATTATTCAACTTAATCATCTTAAATTAAGTAGGATTAGCACTCCCATTTTACAGATGACGACTTAAGGGTTGAGGAAATTGAGTGCTTTAGATAAGGTTAAAGGGAAATGAGAGAACAACGTGTTTTCCTATGGCTGGTATCTGGAAATACTGGAACCGAGCGTTCTGATTATGTGAAGAAAGTGGTCGGTTTGGCTTGCTGGGGATTGGAGTAATATCTTAGAACAGAGCTTCTCAAAACTCAGTGTGAACAGGATTCCCCTGGGGGCCTTGTTAAAATGCAAATTCTGATTCTGGAAGTCTAGGGAGAGTTTTCTTTCTAGCAAGCTTGTAGTTGATGGCGATGACACTGATCTGGGGTCACACTTTTAGTATCATGGCTTCAGAATAGCAGAGTGACAACAGTTGTACCCATATTGGTGACAACGGAACTTACCGGTCACAACTGAAAGCAGCTTTTGCAGAGAAACTCAATATGGGAAAATTAACCTTTTTCATAACTGGAGTAAATGTGAGCTGTGGCTAGCAGAATGGGCCACTGAGCAGAAGAGCTAATAGAGTGAAATGCCCAAACCACAGGTGGGGGTGCCTAGGCATTGAGCTACTGGGAAAAACCTGAGCCATTTCCTTCCAGGGCAACCGTGATTTGTACTTGTTGATGTGGCTATCTGAGTGGTCACGTCCTGCCTGCCTTTCTAGCACAAGTGGGGGCTGCCATTGTCCCTGACCTGGCTGCCTGCCAATTCCTGG
Source organism: Homo sapiens (assembly GCF_000001405.40). Classification (NCBI taxonomy): domain Eukaryota; kingdom Metazoa; phylum Chordata; class Mammalia; order Primates; family Hominidae; genus Homo; species Homo sapiens. The sequence continues at coordinate 103,068,265 of NC_000013.11, forward strand.
GAGAGCCTTCTGTCTTTCCCACCTCCTTCCCCACCCCAACAGCTAAATGATAAACCAGGTAATATCCAAAGAGGCCTCCCCTCCCACTCCTAGGTGTATCATGACTTGGCCCTACCCTGCTGGCTGCTCCAAGCATTTCCTGGGACTGACCTCTGGCCTACTTCTGTCGGGAGCTGGCCCTCCCCAGGGCAGATGAGCCAAGTGCACTCCCTGCTGCCACACCTGAGCATCTGCACCTAGCCGCTCACACCTGGGCACCTGCACCTGAGCACCTGTGGCTGGCTCTTCCCCCAACTCCCAAAGGTGGGTGAGGCAGATGCCCATGCAGTGGTGATCAGTTTACGGTCTCTCTTTTCTGATTTCTCTTAACCTCAAACATTAGGTGAAAGGCAGAAAGCTAGCCTAGGATTGAACGGCAAATAGCCTCTTCACCAGGTCTGATCTGCAAAGGAAAATTTGAGCCCTGCAGGCGGGAAGGATTTGGATTCTGAAATTTCTCTTAAAGTTGGAAGGCTGCAGTGCAAGGCCCAATGCACAGGGCTCAAGACAAGCATATTTAGACACCCTCCTTTGAACTCAAATGGGTTTCCCAGGGCAGGCCTCCTGTTTTGGGCCATGGCTGCTTCTGGGTTGGCCAGGTGTGATCCATACTTAGGCTTTTTGCTCACAGTGCTGGAAGCAGGGAAGAAAAGTGAAGGGAGCAGAAAGCAGGTTCAGAACAAAGCTCTTCTCAAATTTCAGATGACTTTCTAAGGAGATTTTAGGCTCCCAGGGGCAGAATGCTTTGCATATAGACAACTTGCAAATGAGCAGTCTGTTTGACTAGACAGAGTGCTACAGTTCTGCTTAAAAAAAAGTGCCAATGCATTTCTAATTTCACATTGTTTTTACATAAATTTGCACATTAGGCTTGAGAGGTTTTATATTCAAGTATCGGAATGATTCACAATTAATTAGTACCCTTAACTTCAGCTATATTCAAATCCAGACACTGAAAGTATCTAAATATATAAAAATCATTCTCAGGAAACAACAGGTGCTGGAGAGGATGTGGAGAAATAGGAACACTTTTACACTGTTGGTGGGACTGTAAACTAGTTCAACCATTGTGGAAGTCAGTGTGGCGATTCCTCAGGGATCTAGAACTAGAAATACCATTTGACCCAGCCATCCCATTTTACTGGGTATATACCCAAAGGACTATAAATCATGCTGCTATAAAGACACATACACACGTAAGTTTATGGCAGCACTATTCACAATAGCAAAGACTTGGAACCAGCCCAAATGTCCAACAATGATAGACTGGATTAAGAAAATGTGGCACATATACACCATGGAATACTATGCAGCCATACAAAATGATGAGTTCATGTCCTTTGTAGGGACGTGGATGAAATTGGAAATCATCATTCTCAGTAAACTATCGCAAGAACAAAAAACCAAACACCGCATATTCTCACTCATAGGTGGGAATTGAACAATGAGATCACATGGACACAGGAAGGGGAACATCACACTCTGGGGACTGTTGTGGGGTGGGGGGAGGGGGGAGGGATAGCTTTAGGAGATATACCTAATGCTAAATGACGAGTTAATGGGTGCAGCACACCAGCATGGCACATGTATACATATGTAACTAACCTGCACATTGTGCACATGTACCCTAAAACTTAAAGTAAAATAATAATAAAATTAAAAAAAATAAAAAATCATTCTCTTTAATTGTAATACGGAATTGGAAACAGATGCACACCTGAGAGGGGTAGTCAGGAGGCTGGAGCTTCATTTTCGTCGTCATCCTTCTCAGTCTTTTCTGCTACATTTTGTCACACCCTGGGCTCACATGCAGGCCACCCTCAAGAAACCAGGAGCCGGTTCCTGCTTCTGGCCGCCTGGGCGCAGACATGAGAATTTGACATCTGAGGCTTCCCTTTTGTTCCTGTGTATCAATTTGAGGAGGCCAGGGTTCAATAGCTTTCTAGCATGTTTGCCCTGAGGTTCACATGATAAAAGATGAGCTTCCTATCTTCTATTGTGTTTCATCACAAATGGCTCTATTCAGATCAATGGCCCTCTTGGATTTGATTGACTCTGTTAAGTACTTTCCTGTGACTGAAGTTATCTCCCTCTCTCTCCTCTCTAGTTCCTTTCTACAGATTGATCTTTTATGAAACCTGAAAGTCCCACAATTAGAGCTCTTTGGAGTTACCACTGACCCTCTTTAAGGCAACAAGTACCTTGGGGAGAATGCCCCGTGAATGACTAGCTATTCATTCTTGAGTCTTTAGAGGGAAAAGGCAGCATAGTATTGAGGAGAAGAAAGTAGGATAGAAGAACCTGGAATCTACTGGATGGAAAATGCACTAGGCTTGGAATCAGAACTGGGTTCTAGATCTGCTTCTTTTGAAAATACTGTGCAGACTATTCAGGTTTTTATGAATGAATGTGAATCCTTATTAAACATCTGTAGGATGGTCCCACCACTTTGGAAAATGATTATAGCTAAATGTCCATATGCCCTCCGACCCAGCCATTCCAGTCCTAGGTTTCAATCTAAAGAAATCTATAAATTAAGTTCCCCAAGAGACATGAACTAGAATGTTCACAGTGACTCCATTCATAATAGCGTCAAACTGGAATCTATCCAAATGTCCATCAAGGGTAGAATAGGTAAATATATTGTGGTATATTCACACGATGGACTTCTATACATCAGCTGGATGAGTAATCTACTACCACAAATCTAATGTTGAGTGAAAGAAACCAGAAACTAAAGAACACATACAAAAACAGGCAAAGCAAATCTATGGTGTTAGAAGTTAGGATAGTCGTTACCTTGGCAGTATGGAAGATCAGAGACTAGGAGGGGTCACAAGTACCAATACTTCAATATAAAGTAAACAAAAACAAAAACAAAAATCAACCTGACACATTTGATAAGAAGAGATTGGGGAGTGGTCTGTGCCCATGCCTAGAGAAGGCAGGAAATGACACTAAACTTGAGAAGAAGTCAGGAGAGAATAAAGGCTGGGAGTAGAGATGGGAGGAGAAGTTGGGGGGTAGGGCTAGGAGGTGGGTAGGTGGATGGCTAGTTCACTTTCATCGTTTTAGCAAGGGTTGGCTCTGTTAATTATCCTGTATCTTACTCATTTTGTGTTGTTGTCAGTCAAACATTTTCTAAGTATCTGAAAACATTAAGTTTTCTGAACCTATAATTAAATACTTTTTGGTGAATCAGTCCTAGATAAACCTTCAAGCAAATCCTCTTCGTAGACAGCAACTATTGCATGCTTTCTGGTTCACTAGTAACAAGTAATCTTAAAGTAGAAAATTAATCGATGTATTTTGCTAATAGCTCCTGTTGTCTCTTGCAAGCATGGCAAACATTTTGTTACTCACATTTTTTGTCTTTGCTTTTATAACGTGGATGAATAGCAAATTCCTGTAAATCCATGACCTTGCGGTGGCTGATTATATTATTGCTGTCAGTTAATTGCTTCCTACTTCTCTGTAATGGGATTCTATAGCCACAGCTGTTGAAATTGACTTGCAGTGCTTCCCTGTTGAAGGAATAGCCAATTTTTTTTGGCTTTTTTTGCAGGGTGGGGGGACAGAATCTCGCTCTGTCGCCCAGACCGGAGTGCAGTGGTGTGATCACAGCTCACTGTAGCCTCCATCGCCCAGGCTCAAGCAGTTCTCCCACCTCACCCTCTCTACTAGTTGGGACCACAGGCATGTGTTACCATGTCTGACTAACTTTTAAGTTTTTTGTAAAGATGGGTGGGGGTGGGATGGGGTCAGGGGGTGGGCTGGAGGGAGTCTCACTATGTTGCCCAGAGTGGTCTCAAACTCCCGGGCTCGAGCAATCCTCCAGTCTCGGCTTCCTAATGTTCTGGGATTACAGGCATGGGCCACCACACCTGCCCAGAATAGCCAATTGTTAAGTGTTAGTGTTGAGCCACGGGATTGCTTTGGCCAAGTAAGCAGTAATGATAGTGATGGGTATGCTACCTCCAAGCAGAAACTCCTAAAATCATGCACCACATTTTCCCCACTCTTTCCCCTTTGTGTGGGAATGGCAATCCCAGCTAAAAGCTCTTCCCTCATCTGTTCCTAGAATAAGAAGACACATGGAACAGAGCCATGGAACCACAGACACACAAGGTTGTGCTATAAACAACAGGGAGCTTGGGGACTTTTGTCATATAATATAAAATAGTAAAAACTGACTGTTACTTATCTGCTGTGATTTTCAAGCTAATAAGATTAGCATTTTCCATGAGTTACTATAATTACCAATTATAGGTTGATTGTGTCCCCACAAAATTCATGAATCGGAAGCCTTAATCCCTGGTACCTCAGAATGTAATAATATTTGGAGATAAGGTCCTTAAAGTGATGGTTAAGTTGCAATTTGGCCATTAGGGTGGTGTCCTCAGAAAAAGAGGGAATTTGGACACGTTGAGTCACACCGGGAATGCCTGCCAATCTATCTCTGGTGGTGCTTTTTGTCTTAAAGTAAATTTTATCAGGTTTAAAAAATATAACTGTGCTAGTCTGTTCTCCTGCTGCTGATAAAGACATATCTAAGACTGGGTAATTTATAAAGGAAAGAGGTTTAATGGACTCACAGCTCCACATGGCTGGGGGTGCCTCACAATCATGGCATAAGAGCAAGGGACGTCTTACATGGTGGCAGGCAAGAGACCATGTACGGGGAACTCCCATTTATAAAACCATCAGATCTCATGAGACTTATTCACTATTACCAGAATAGGATAGGGGAAACTGCCCGCATGATTCAATAATCTCTACCTGGCACCACCCTTGACACATGGTGATTATTATAATTCAAGATGAGATTTGGGTGGGGACACAGGGCCAAACCATATCAATGACTACAGCAGATTTCTCTTTGTTGTGCTTGTGTGGCATATCTTTTTGTATCCTTTCATTTGTAATCTTTCTTTTTCTTTAAATTTAAGATGTGTGTTTTTTTAATAGCAATGTAGAGTTTATTTATTCTGAAAATTCCTTTCACTTACATTTAATATGATTTATTCTATATTTGGGTTTAAATCTTTAGTTTTACCAAATACTTTCTATTTGAATACATATTTTATATTCCCTTTTTCTTTCTTGCCTTGTTTTTAATTTATTATTTTCTATCACATTTGTCCTATGTGTTACATTGGGAGTTTTAAACACTGTTGCTATTATTATTTTACTGGTGGCATTACACATTACACCATTCCTCCTTTACTTTTCAAGCCATAGTTTTTGTATTTTTGTCTCATTCTCAGATAATGCAAGAACCCCTATGGACACATGTCATTAATGCCATGAATTTTATGTCTCCCTAGCTTTAATTAAGAAAAATACCATTATTTTCATTTACAAGTCAATATTCATTACATTTATCCAAATACTTCTTATTTTGTTGCTCTTTATTTTTTTTTGCATTTCTGAACAACTGTTTTTTTTCTTCCTGAAGACAACACTTAGCATTTTCTTTAGGGAGGGGCTTCTAGCAGCAACTTTTTTTTCAGTTATGATTTGCTATCTCTGTTCTTCCAGGATATTTTAACTAAGTATGAAATTATATTTTAGGAGTGATTTACTTTCAGCACTTTGAAGCTATAATTACATTTTATTCTGAATTCCATTGTGTCTGTTGAGTGATTATCCATAAGGCTTATTATTGTTCCTTTGAAAGTAACTTATCCTTTTTCTCCCCTCTGGCTGATTTTAATATTTTCTCTTTGTCTTTGGTTTTCAGCATTTTATACAATGTACTTACATATACTTTTATTTTTATTTATCTTGCCTGAGCTTCATAATGATTTTAAATATATTACTCAATATCTCGTCTCAATTTTGGCAAGCTGTCAGCCACTATCTTAGCAAATATTACTTCTTTTTTTTCTCAGACACAAATTGTACATACTTTAGGCTTTCTCACTGTGCCTTCTGAGTTGTTCACTCTTTCTTATGTATCAACTATAATATTTTTTCCATCCTTTATTTTGAATCTATTCTTCTGGCCTATAACAATTCACCAATTCACCAATTCTCTTTTCATTCAGCTGTATTTATTCTGCTGCTAAGCTGATCTATATGTTTCTAATTTCAATTATTATACCTTTTATTTCCAGAATTTTCAGTTTTTTAAGTTGTCTAGTTCTCTGACGAAAATTTTGTTTGTGATCTTCTTGAACACAGTAAGCAGACTTCCTTAAAAATATAGACTCTCCAGTATCTGGAACCACCATGGATCTGATTCCATTGCCTTTTTTTTTTTTCATACTGGGTTTCATTTATGTTGGCCTGTCTCCTTGAGGATTTTAAGAAATTATGTACCAGACTCCAATCACTGTCTTCTATTCCTAAAACATTGTCAGCTGTGCAGCTAATTCTCTCTGTTGTCTCTTCTAGTATTCCAAGAACCATCCTTTGGGAAAAATGGCCTCCGCCGTTTGTTTAACCTCCTTGGATCTCTATTTCCTATCTTATTAGCTCTCTATTATCTTCAAGCAGATTATTTTTAAGGTTTTTATACCTATTTTCGACTCATGAAAATGTTGGTCAAAAATGCTTCCTCTGCTTTAACTTGGGTACTTTTATTTTGATGAATTATCAAATGTTTCTTTTTAGTGTTACTTTTCTTTTGTCCTTTTATTGATTGACATTCATATGTGAATTTATTTCTGTCAATGAGTTAGTCAGTCCGAATTTGCAATTAATGTGGAAGCTTTATTTTGAGAAAAATGTGGTATTAAGTCATACTAGTAAGCACCATCTCAAACCTTACCACGTAGTTTATTGCTGGCTGCTGCCTGTCTTTGATTTTTACCATTGTATTTTGTTTTATGCTCAAATAGTCACCAAATATTGTAGGTATGACTGTACTTAGAATTTATTTTAGTTCATTCCCCTTACTTAATAGAAGTGGGGGTTCTATTGCGTATCTTGATGAATATTCTATTTCTTCTTTTCAAACTATTCTTTTCTCATCTTTAAAGATAATCTCTTCCATGAAGCCTGATTTCAGCCAGCCAACTGACAGGAAAGAGGGGCCAGGGATGGAAACTTCTCACTCTTATTATGAGCTGATTGTTTAATCTTCATACTGTGTGGTCTTCCAGTAAACTTGCCTCTAAAATATGTTGATATGTACAAACTACCACAAGAAAATTTAATCCTCAGGGTTCTAAGAAGAGACATTAGAGATGTAAAGAGGAGTATGATATGAAACTAAATGCAATAAAGAACAAACATTTTAATTTTTATACATCAATTGCATTAAATATTGTCACTATTGACAACTCCTCTGGTATTTGGGACATATTGATTGAACTTAATTATAGAATGAGTGAAGCTGATGATACTATGTGGGAAAGCCTTGTAAAACATCTGAGCCTCATCTCTACTAAAAATACAAAAATTAGCCAGGCATGGTGGCACACGTCTGTAGCCCCAGCTACTCAGGGGGCTGAGGCAGGAGAGTTTCATGAGGTCAGGAGGCGGAGGTTGCAGTGAGCTGAGATCGTGCCACTGCACTCCAGCCTGAGTGACAGAGCAAGACTCTGTCTCAAAAAACAAACAAACAAAAATCTGAGTTCTGGTAAAATGTATATTTTGAAAAATAAATGGGTGTCAATTCCCATCAAGCATCGTAAGTCCCCACAATTTACTCACATATGTGCTTGATTTTCCTGTGGCATATCTCATTTCCACAAACAGAATATCTCATTGATTTGAAAGTTATTAATCAGAACACCCTTCTCTGTTACTAAGTGCTGAAAAGGAAGAGCAGAGCTTCTCAGATGTGGTCGAAACTCCAAAAATCTCCACTACATCTTGAAGGATATTACTCTGGAATTTTGGACTGTCTGCAAAGTTGCTGCAGCCCCAATAAATGTTCAAAAATTTAACTACAATTTATTCCATCTGTTTCATTGAGGGTTTTCTTAACATTTGATAATTACTGAAGAGAACATTTTGAATTTTTGCTGCATGTGTGGTAGAATAATTCTTTGAATATTATTATTATTATTTTTGCTGTAAGAATTTCTTTTTATTCCAAGCAGTTGGTCACTTTTTGGGTTTCGATTACTCAGGAAGTGGTAGACGGATTGCATAGCTAAGCAGGAACCAGGATAGGGTCTCCCTATGTCTTAGCTTCTGGTGTGCTGGTACAGAATGGTTGGAGTTTATCAACTTTCCGATGACTGATTCCTTAAGTCAACTCACAAGACAGTGATATTTGAACCAAAATGCCAAATAATTATTAATTGCAATGGAGAAAATTTATTTCTGGTGGTCTCTATTCGCATACCTCCTTTGCAGTGTCAGGGTACCTTAGGGGTACTCAGAATTTTGCTTGCTAAAAAGAACAAAGGGAGAAAGGTAATCTTAAAATCTGTTTTTTTTTTCCAGGCTAGGTAAAATCCAGAGAGCTCTCCCTGCCTTCCAGATTTCCCAACTCTAGTAAGCTTTAGAGAGAACCGCATTTCTGTCCCTGATTTAGTCTTGCTCTCTTCTGAATACTTGATAAACAGAGAGGAATTTCTTTGATTTGCACTTGCATTTATTTGACCTCTGCTGAACATTGCCTTGATGTTTATGCATTATTTTTTTTGAATAATAATCCCATTGAACATTTTCTGGATAACTAGTTAAGTTTTTTCTGGGCTAGTCTGTTCTCATGCTGCTAATAAAGACATACCTGAGACTGAGTAATTTATAAAGGAAAGAGGTTTAATTGAACCACAGTTGCACATGGCTGGGGAGGCCTCACATCATGGTGGAAGAGCAAGGCATGTCTTACATGGCGACAGGCAAGAGAAAGCTTGTGCAGGGGAACTCCCCTTTTTAAAACCACCAGCTCTTGTGAGACTTATTCACTATCATGAGAACAGCATGGGAAAGACCTGCCCCCATGATTCAGTTACCTCCCACCAGGTCCCTCTCACAACACATGGGAACTGTGGAAGCTACAATTCAAGATGAGATTTGGGTGGGGACACAACCAAACCATATCGTAGGCTCTGCTTTCTGAGGATTTTACCTAAAAACATTGTATTTCTGAAGACTTTTGCAATAAATCTATCTTTTCCTTGACACATTTATTTTACTAATTTAATTTGCAGAAGACAACCATCTTAGCTATTTGGTGGGCATTATCTAGTTAATAAATTATGTTCATAAGTTAATATACACAAACATATTTACATGTTTCATATCAAGTCTCTCAAAATAATACTTTTTACCCCTAAAAACATCTAAATATTATCTCAAATGAAAAAAGGAAGAAGATCACTCCTTCGAAATAAAAATTGCATTTGTGTAGTTGGGAGGTTTTCTTGAATGATATCTTGAAGCTAAAATGGGAAATAATTACTAAAAGGAATCAACATTTATTTTCTGTCCAAATACAGTAAGTAAAGAATGATTGGTCTGTGTTTCATCGTTGTAGCAATGTGTGAAAGGTGGTATAGAATGGCTTGGTTTGGTCCCAGTAATAGTGTGAATCTGTGTAGGAGAAGCCAGTGGCCGGTTGTCCCCAGGTGTCCCTGGATCGATTTAACAGCCTCTACTGGGAAGCAAGAATTGGAAGAACAGTCAATTGAAAAGAATAAGTAGCAATACGGTTAAATAAGAAGTCTTGAGGTCCTCAAAAAATGAAAAATGGAATTACCATATGATCCAGCATTCCCACTTGTGGGTATATATCCAAAAGGATTGAAAACAATATCTCAAAGAGTTATTTGCACATTTATGCTTCATTGCACCATTATTCACAATAGCCAAGAGGTGGAAGCAACTTAAATAAACATGGACAGATGGATGGCTGACGAGATGTGTCGTATATATATGGAATATTATGGAGCCTTGAAACAGAAGGAAGTCCCATCATGAGCTACGGCATGGATGAACCTTGAAAACATTAGCTAAATGAAAGAAGCCAGTCACAAAAAGACAAATACTGCATAATTCCACTTACAGGAGGTATCTAGAGTAGTGAGACTCTTAGAAACAGAAAGTAGAAAAGTGGTCACCAGGGGCTGTGGGAGGTTGAAAATGGGAAGTTTTTGTTCAGTGAACGTAGAGTTTTGGTTTTGCAGGACGGAAGGTTCTAGAGATCTGTTGCACAACAATGTGAATATGGTTAATACTATGCACATAAAAACGGTTAAGATCGTAAATTTTATGTCACACATTTTTTCAACCACAATTTAAACATGAAAGGATAGTCTTGGATCATATGGCTGTTTCTCAGCTTCAGACCAACGCCAGGACACTTGCCACCTCCATCAGAGCTCTGCACTGTCCGGCCGACATTCCCACTTTTCCTGGCCTTGCTTTCATTGCACATGGATTTTCCTGTCCATGGTTCTTGGTTCACCCCATGGTGCTTCCTCAAGCACCTACATTCCCCAAGGGTTAGGAGGCAAAGTGCTGAGAGGTTAAGAGGGAGACAAAAGCATTGCTTGTTGTGGGAGAGGGTGAAAATAGTTGCTTTCAAAGTCCTTCCTGATCTTGGCCTCATTTTCTTGTTCTTTACCAGTAGGTCCCAGTGATAATGTTTGGGTAGACACAGAGTCTGTGAACTCCTAGGAGATACTGTCCAAGCACCCAGGCTCAAGTTTCTGGAGGAGATAATATAGAGTGTATGAGAGTGGGATGGGTGAACTAGATAAACTTTAAAGTTCTTTCATCCTCTGAGATTCTTTTATTCCCCCCAAATCTATTTGTCTTTTATTGTTATAAACACAGGCTTTTGTGATGTGTTTACTCAAGATGTCCCTGTTGACATTTTATATTTTTCTAAATGTCACTCTCCTATCAATTATATATGAAATTCATATTGGTTTCTATATGAGACAGTTTATGCAAAATAAGAGGGCTTTGTATGGTTTTGAGATTCTGAAACTTGTGATTTATATAAGATATTAAACAGAATTTTCTACAATAACTTCCCATTTCTGCATTATTTTCCGACTTTGAAAGTGAAGGAGGCCATAAATTATATTTTACAGTTAACAGACCTTTAAAAAATATCAATAGAGTCTTAGCTTTGGTATCAGAATGCCATCTAGGGACAAACAGGTCTATCCCGACAATTTTATTTATTTTACTTATCTTAACACATAATTTATTAGCAAAGACTCCACGAAGCTAGCCTTCTCCTAATATAATGCATTAATCTAAGTGGGACATAAACGCTGAGGCCAAACCACAACAACCTGCACTATTCAAAGCAGGACAATTATTTCCTGAAGATGAAAGTCTCTTTATGAGCGCTGTCAATTCTTCATCTTTTCCCATAGTAAAAGTGGTTTTTATCTGGTTTCTATTGGTATCCCAGGTAGCTAACATTTAAATCATGACATATCTGTGAGAAATCCCATCTATCGAGAAATGGGAACAGGCAGTACCGTGTTGAGAGAAAGGGGACTTGCAGTGCATCCAAATGAATGTGTTTATGTTTTAAGTATCCTCATTCTATACAAATGGAAAATGGATATTTTTAACATTCATCAATAGCTTCACAAAGAACACATTTTGGAAGTCACTTAGACTTTATAACATTCAGGATACTTAAATTTGAATTTTCATAGATCGGGCAATAAAGTAACAACACTCAGTATCTAGGACTTCTCTCTCTCCTGTGTTACGTTTCAACATTTCTTAGCGAAATGTTGACCAGCACAGACCAGAATGATTTGAGTTGGCTGCAATGAAGGAAAATGCAATGAACAAACAAATGCTTTCGTTATGTTAGATGGCACAGTTTTGGCTTCCTTCTCCTTAACATTTCTTCCCCTTGAATTAGAGAGGAATCTATCTGGTTCATTTGCAGATCATCAGAAATATAATAAGGATAGCTCTTTTAAAATATAAAATTAAAAAGGAACATATTAAATGTCTACAGAAAATTCCAGAAGCTTATTAATTTTAATTTTTAAAGTCACCTCTATTACTTATTACAGAGGGGCAACAGAACATTCTGGAGCCAGACCGCTCGTCTGAATCTCAGCCCCACCTTTCCTACTCATCTGACTTGGGGCAAATTAACGGAAGCATTTTCTGCCTTTGTTTCCTCTTTAGTAAAATGGGTTTTAAATAGTACCTAGTTCATGATGACAGCATGAGGATTAAATGACTGTTCGAAGAACATGGAGCAAAGCTTGTCACATTTAGCTTATTGGAAAAGGCAGTTTCTTACTTTAGTCAAAGAGAAACAAACCAAACCCAATCCTGTGGTTAGCTTTCTAATAACTCCAGTGAAGGGTAAGTGAATGGAAAAAGTCCTTCATTATATGAAAACAAATAAATATCAAGTGCCTACCTTAAGCACAGTAGTACACTAGGGAGAAGCTTAGAAGTGAAAGGTATAGCTCCAAATGCCGATGTGTGATGCAGTTAGATAGGAGACAAGAGGGAGAGGCTCACGGAGGGTCTCCCATGGTGCCCCGTGCACCTTTCTCATAGCTCTTCTTCCCCTGTGTCCTTCTTGCTGTTTTCAAGGGTACCCTCTGCCTTCTAACAACAGGCTGTTTGTTTTAGCTGTAATGCCTAACAGTTTCTGGAGGACACTAACTGTTCCACCCATATTTGTTGATTGAATGAATAAATGCATGAATCCTTTTGAAATAAAATGGCTATGAAACTATTCACTAAAGAGATGAGATTTGATATGGGCTTTGAATGATGGGAGAATTTACATGAGAGTTGCCAGATCAAATGCAGGGTGTCCGGTTAAATAAGAATTTCAGATAAACATCAATTTTTTTTCAGTGTAAATATGTTTCATGCAACATTTGGGATATACTTATTCTGAAAATGATTCACTGTTTACATTTCAGACAGACAATTTTTTTGGGGTAAGTATTACAAAATATTACATGGAATATACTTTTACTAAAATTTATTCATTATTTTTCTGAAATTCAAACTTTATTTGATGTCCTGTATTTTTATTTGCTAAATCTTGCAACCCCAATAAGAGAAATAGGGAATAGAAGGAATTTTAATTTAAGGAAATGGCAAGAGAAATATATGTAGGCATTTTGTTTTTGAGAAAATTAGGTTTTGAGTAGAAATAGCTGAATGAAGAATTGGGGTGGGAATAATCCCTGGAATAGTACTCTTTCTTTCTCATTTTTTTTTTAACTGTATATTTCTGAGCACCCTCCCCTGACCCCACCTTGATCTTCCTTGATCCTCCAGCATAGATGTTCTGTATAAGGTAAAGGGCAAAGGGTTTGCAAGGCACATAGCCTTTTGGTCACTCAACCTATAAAGTTACCTTAAATGCTACCGCCTGTTTAAGAGATAGGTACATGACTGTGTGTTCAGGAAAACAGTGACTCACAATAAGCATACATTTAGACATTTCAAATAGATTTATTGTAGCTCTTTAATGTAAATAGAAACTGACCTTATCGTTTTCTTTAGATAGACTCAACCCTGGATTTTGACAGGTGCTTTGGTAAGTTAGCTGAAAGCCTTCCCTTTGCTCTTTCAATGTGCTTATTATGAAAGACAGCCTGGGCTAACTCTCCCAATATCAGCATTCCTTTTTCTTTTCTCTTTCCTTCTTTCCTTCCTCTCTTCCCTCTTTCTATTTCTCTGTCTTTCTTTTTACTGGATCCATGATTCAGTACTTTTTTAAAAAATCTGGAAACAAACTATACTGGCAGTTTTTACGTTTATCACATTGTATTAAATACCTAGTGTTCATCATAATTGGCTGGGCTATGAGAGCCTTGTAAATATCTAATAAATAAAAACAACATATTCTTCCAGGTGATCCTGTTGAAAAACAAGACAAACATTTGACCTATCTCTTAAATTAACATCCTTTTCCTTAAACTACTTAAAATATTGACTATAAAGACATAGGACCCAATTGTGCTCCTTAACAGTAAATCTTCTCGTCTTTTCTACCTTTCAACTTTTAGACTTTAAGGCATTTAAAAGGCACAGATCCAGAAAGGCAAAACCACAGAGACCAAGCAGCAAAGTGAAAGGAAGATAAGAAGTTATTTATTTTCTATCAGCATTCATAACTTTGTATTATTCAACCTAATTTCATTTTTCTGCATGTGTGAAGTGAATTGTTTATAATGAGAAAAGGGAGAGAACACTAAATTTCATGGGATGAAAGACTCTTTTAAAGATAAACCAAAGGGCAATTGAGAAGTATGGTCCCAAAGAATAATAATAGAATCTTGCCTTTTAAACTTTATTTTATTTCAGTGACTCCATGGCCTGGTGCATGATGCGGTCACCTGAGAACATGAAGTACTGGTGGGCTTTCATCTGGAAACTTTAAATATAATGCCTGGTTCTCTCTTCTCTCTCTCTCTCTCTGTCTCTGGCTTTCAGTATATAGACACAGCTATGGAAAATCCAAATTTATTGTTCACTGCCAGTAATAGGAACAGAAGGGAAAAATAAATGTTAGGTTGATATAGTTACTAATATTTGCAAAATAAAACAAATTTAAACAAATATAAGGTAAATAAAGGATATTTCTCCATGATACAGTATTCAATTCAATTTGAAAAATATTTACTCAGTGCTTTCAGGAGGCCAAGCTCTGTTTTAGGCATCGGAGGAAATATAATGATACAGTCTTTATGCTCAGGCTGATGATGGTTTGATGGTGGCAAGGAAAAAATTCAATATGAAAGTGATTATCATATAGAACAGAATGTAGTAAGAGCTTAAGGAGGGATATACCCACAGCACCAAGACATGTTTGATGGAGAAGAGATTACATCTCGTTGTGAGAGCAGGAGGATAGGGTGATTGTGGTCAGGAAGGAAGTAAAATTTGAAATGGAAATTGACTGGGGGAGAAATGGGAGATAAGTTTCTGGTGGATATAAAGTTGCAAGTCATTGAAAAGGATCACTGAGAAAGATCTGGCCCTGCTGGAGAGTATGGTGTGTGTAGGCAATGAAAGGAGATCAGGCTAGAAAGTGAGGTTGGGGCTAAACTTCTGAAGGGCTTTGAATGCCAGAATGCATCTTTTCTACCTAATGTGGCTGGCTGCAAGAAACCATTTAAGATCTGAGTACAATAATCAGATTAATTTGGCATCCATTTGAAAAGTGCTGTGGATCAGAAGGAATTTGTGAGTAAGAGCAAGAAAGACTTGGAAGCAATTTAGAATCCATGTGAGAGGTGATAAGACTCTAAAGAAGGTTGGTGGCAGTAACGGTGGATCTGAGGAGAGCCGAGAGCATCGTTGTGTTATAGCCGGCTTCTGTCTTTCAAAGAGGCTTGGCTAGACCAAATCAATCAGCTCCCCGCTACTTCTGGACTTAGATGTGTCTCACTTTCCTTCCTAAGTCCTGGGCTTTCTAGGCTTGCCCAGGAAACAGGAACAGAGGGATAGCATGTGCAAAGGTTGCTCTCTAGTTGATGGCAAATTTTCTTTCCACTTGAGTATCACAAAAGCAACATTTAAAAATGTTATTTATCACTCTATAAACCACAAAGTGATGGAAGAAAGAGTGAGCTGAAACAAGCTCCAAAAATGCACTTATACTGATTTACCCAGCCCTTGCTCAAGACACTGTTTTCCAGTTCATGCACTTGAGCAGCTCCCTCTCACTGCACAGGTGCCTGTTTACCAATGTTCAGTTACCTTGGGAAGGGTGTTGGGAGGGAGGCATGGGAGGATAGGTATTGCGTCTTTACTCAAGACAGCCAGGAAAGATTGGAGCCAGAAGACAAATACAAAGCCTGCCTACTTAAAAGAGGGAAAGTCTAAAGTCAGGAGTCAGCTTATGATGAGAACAATGTTGATGAAAAATGACCGAATAAGATAAAAATGCCTAAGATTGGTATACTTGGAACATGGTCCTATTGGGTAGTGGGCCCAATAATAATAGGTAATATTTATTTAATATTCATTATATGAGTGAAGTTGCAGATATTGTAACCTGCATTTTTTCCCTCTCTCCGATGGTGATATTGAATCTGAGAATGGCTTGCCTCAGTTCTGTGAGGCTTCAATGTATTCACATTCAGTTCTTCCACCAGCTTTATGAGGTGGGGTCTATTTTATCTGCACTTCATAGGTGAAACTTCAGGAGGTAAACTTCAGAAGGAGGTGAAGTGACTTGTTCGAGATCACATAGCCTGGAAGTGGTGAAGTTAGAATTTAGCTTAAAGAGAAAAATAGGAAAAGAAAAATTGAAGGTAAGTAGCCTAGGAAAGTTAAAAAGTACTAAGTCCAGTGTTTCAACAGTAAAGACATAGAAATTTAGGTAAAAATTACACATGGATATCATCTAGGACCCACTAGAGCAACCTAAATAAATGGTACTTAGATTAGGTACTTACAACATTAAGATTTGGTCTTCAAAACAGATTTTTTAAAAATTAAAAAATTATATCTATTTATTTAGTTATTTATTTTTTCCAGGCAGGGTCTTGCTATGATGCCCACGCTGGTCTCAAACTTCTGGCCTGAAGCAATCCTCCCAGCTTAGCCTTCCAAAGCATTGGGATTACAGGTTCGAGCCACCGCATCCAGTTTTTATTTTTTATATTTTACAAACTGTATCCACAACAATGTTAACACTGGAGTAGGAAGTCTTTGGTGTAAATTTATTTGGCCTTGTTACTTTGTTGGCCTTGTTACTTTGGTTGAAATCATACACAGACACAGACTATAAAGATGTATTTTTCATTTTCCCATTCCCACTCTGCTAGACTTTGCCTGCAGTTCTGTGATGGGAACAAATGCATTTGTCTTTACAATAAATGGGCTCCCAGCGACTGGGCGTTTGTCTGGAAGGACATTCCAGATCTTGGGCACATCAAGTGTGGAGGCCTTTTGCATCTGTCTGAGTCAACAGTCAACCCTGTGAGGGCAAAGTACTCATTAAAGAAATGGATGCTCAATAGAGTGTTAGCCTGGTGACAAAACACACCTGGGGAGCCATGTGCTGAGCATGGGGATCAGCTGCGTCTCCAGGATGTGCTGTCATCCTCTGTCCCTTGTGTTCTTGGTTTTGGGATCCTTTTCAGTATGTGCACCATATGAAATTGGTACTTGAGTTGAAAACTATTTATTGGCCTAGTTATAAACATAATTTCTTGGTCTAAGGGCATATCACTTATAATTACCGTGATCTAAAGATTTTTCCCACTCTGTATTTATACCTAGAAGTGCATTTCATTCCCATTTGTTTGAGGAATGAATATTCATTTTTAGGTATACTAAGATCTCTGCTTTTCTTCTTCAGGTTGACCTATTTTGACTCTTCTCTGCTTATTAGCACTTTATAAGCATAGGTAGAAGAAATAGAAGGAAATAAAACACATTATTTAAGTGTGGTAGACATTGCAGTAAAGAGAAAAGGGAAGGTTTCTGGAAGATAGGAGACAGTTACTGGCTCATTAATTTCAATTATGTTGTTACTTATTAGCACAAATAATTAACTGTACATAGGAATTTAACAAGAGACCTAAAGATATTCGATGAGTGGCTATAAGGCTTACATTTATGTGTGTGCAAAATATTCATTTTAAATAATAATAATACGTAGAAAGTTGTGTCTGTGGCCAGCAATTAGCATTTGTTTTCAGTTAAAATTTTAATTGTTTCAATAGCTGAGTGGATGTATCTTGAAGTAGGAAACTAATGACATAAACTACTATCTTATTGAATATGCAGGGCAATAATAATCTCATTGAACCTGTAGTGTGAGTGAGATTCAATTTCACCAAGGCCAAAGTGGTAGACAAGGTATATCAAAAGTATGGGAAGAAGATAGTTAAGCAGAAACACTCAACCTGACATGTCATTGTTTTTATATGTTTTATAGCAACAAAGTATCAGATGAAAGAGGCAAGTTACTTATCACCATGTAGGGACAGAACAAATTTGGGTTATGTGATCTGCAAGAGTATAGTTGTAGTGACTCAAGAAGCAGCAAGGTAAGAGCTATTAGCTGATAAATAGTTTTTTTAGAATTCTTTTGTTTTGATTTAAAGGAGAACATTTATTGACCACCCACTGTGCCAGACAGTACTCTACAGTCATTTTTCATTTGCTAACTTACTTGATTCTTCTAATAACCTTGTGATTACTGACAAATGAGAAGATTTATTTTTGTTAACATTCATTACTAATAGTAGATGTGGTCAGTATCGATCACTTGTTGGAATGTTTATCATAAAATGCAGATATAGGTTTGGAGAGGACTGAATAAAGAACCAAGAAAGGCTGAACCAAAATGATTTTGGGATGCTGACATCACATATTACATCCTGAAAGAATTTTGAATCACTTATGTTAGTGCAGTACAGCAAGACAGCTAGTTAGAACTCTGCAAAGTGTTAGTGGTGGCCATGAGTTCAGTTTTTTTTTTTTTTTTTTTGTAGAATCATTAGCAACTCTATTTCAAGCTTGTAGACTATAACCCTAGCAATCTATCTTGTAAATATATATTCTTAGCAACTAGAAAAACCAGGTGTGGTGATTTAAAATTCTGTCCACACTCTTTTCTTTAAAAGGTAGAGAGTAATTCTATTCCCTTCGAATGTGAGCCACATTTAGTGACTTGTTTCTAATGAACAGGATGAGGCAAAAATGATGGTGTGTGACTCTGAAGGTCATAAAAGGCATTGCATCTTCCTTGTTGCCCTCTCGTGGAACACTCATTCTGGAGGACATGTAAGCAGCCCTATGGAGAGATACATGTGGTGAGGAACTGAGGCCTTCTGCTAAGAGTTAGTGAGAAACCAAGGCTTCTGGCAATAGCTGTGAGTGTGCCATTTTGGAAGCAGATGGCCCAGCCCCCGTTGAGCTTTCAGAAGGTTACATCTCTGCCTGTTATCTTGACTGCAACCTCTGGAGAGACCTTGAGCCATAACTACCCAGCTAAGCAGCTTCTGCATGTCTTACTCATGCAAACCATGAGATAATAAGTGTTTCTTGATTTAAGCCACTAAGTGTTGACTAATTGGTTATACAACAATAGATAATTAATATACAAAGAGAGAGAACATATGTGTCAGCACAAATTAACCTATATTATTGGAATAAAACAAGTTCGTTGCCCAAAGAAAATAGAGCCTCAAGTGAAGCTTGTGTGCTTATGCTTTACTGGAGAATATAATTGGAGGGAAGCAATAATGAGGGGAAAATAAAGCGAGGCAAGGAAGACAGGAAACAATTCAAAGTGGTGCCTAATAGAGCAGGCTACAGCTTTGCAAGATGACATAGTTGGTTGCTCAGTTACTGGGGCTGTATCTAGAGAGTTGGAGACGTGACATGGAATCACTGTGTCTTGCAGCAGTCAAGTAGGAAGGAAGGAAGAATAATTGATCTCCTGGCTTCTTCCTGTCTATCAAAGGTCACATTACTTTCCATGAGGCATCAACTCCTCATCCTTCTTAGCAGTATTAACTTGTCACTCTGGACATCTTGTTGAATAGCTAGACCCTGGGTGGGTCCAGTCACATTGGATCTGGGCATTGAGATGGTTGTATTTCCTGCAGGAAAGAGTGAGATAAAAGCCAAGACAAAGCCTGACTCTTATCCTCTAGGGAGACTGAGAAAAGTGATGGTGTTATGAGATGCAGAGAAATGATTGCAGAAGCTTCTGTCTTTACTGCAGCCATTGTGGCCAGAAGATGAAGCAAGTGGCTGGGACCCAGGGGGCAGATGGGGCCTGGTGGATCTGGGGTGATGATAAAGTGGTCTGGCATCCAATTCAAGGCACATGATATAAATGTATGAGGACTATTCTGCTGTCAGGAAACATAAGAACATCCTTGTGGAGGCAGAATCTTGTGGTGGGCAGGAGTTCCAGCTCTGGAATTTGAATCCCAGCTCCTGAATTTACTAGCTAGGTGACCTTGGGCAAGTTTCATATGCTTTATGGGCATCGGTTATCTCATCTTTATAGTAGAGAAAATAATAGCACCTACCACCCAAGGTTGTTGGGAAATTTAAATGAGTTAATAGATCCACAATACTTGCAACAGTGTCTGGCACAGACTAAGTGCCAGATAAACATAAGTTATTGCTGATATTACTGCCTACTAGGAGCTTATGTACATGATGAACTGATAGACAAAGGCATAAAACACAGAACTAATACGTGAGCAGACAAAAACTCTCAAAGTGAGTATGGGTCAAAACTGGATTAAAAATTTTGCATGTAAAAGGCAAGGTAGCTGTGTAATTGGGGTGGCAAATTAACCGTTGAGTGTTTCTGTTAACTTGTATTTGGGCATGGAAAAGTGGTGGGTCTTTTGATGATTTCTGTGTTGATGAAGGCTGATAAGTGAGAGTATGAGAATAACAAAACATTTATTAAGTACCATTTATGTGTTACCTCATTTTTTGGATATGTTTTACTACTTATGTTATCTGATTTTCCTAGGCCTGCGAAGGGAGGAAGCTTACATCTTTCCCTTTCTCTTAATAATTTAGTTGGATTTGGGATACCAAAGATAAAAAATCAAGTCAAGAAATAAATAGGAATCAGGGTAGATTTACCTGACTTGGCTTAAATTACATAGTTCTACACCTGAATTGAAGGGAACAGAGAAAATAATGGGGGAAACAAGGTTCATGAAAAATAAAATTGAGGTAGCCTGCCAGTACACATCTGGGAGACTGGAGGCCAGAGTTGGGAGAGAAGAAGAAAGCACATATTCCACAAACATTTTATGCCAATGTTCATTATATGCCAGGCATTTTGCTAAATACAGGTTTCATAAATATGAAAGACAAAAGTTCTTGACCTCAAAGTGTTTTAGCAGGGTGTTGTAGATTAATTTTAAAAAGCTATAATTCATATGATACATTGTATATTAAATGTATGTAGAAATATATAGAGATTTTCAACTATGAAAGAAATAGGGGCCAGGGACAGTGGTTCACGCCTGTAATCCCAACACTTTGGGAGGCCAAGGCAGGTGGATCACTTGAGGTCAGGAGTTTGAGGCCAAGCAACATAGCAAAACCCCATCTCTACCAAAACCACAAAAAAAATTAGCTGGGCATGGTGGCACATGCCTGTAATCTGAGTTACTTAGGAGGCTGAGGCGGGAGAATCCCTTGAACTTGGGAGACAGAGGTTGCAGTTAGCCAAGATTGGGCCACTGCACTCCAGCCTGGGTGACAGAACAAGACTCTGTCCCTCCCCCTCCCCCAAAAAAAGAAAAAAAAAGAGAAGGAAATAGGTAATATAGGACTCATTTTTCTATGCAATCAACTGCAATGTTGGCTGATATATAGGAAATAACTTTTCAGATATTTGGCAATAGGCAGCACAGTCTTCTAATGCCTAAGAAAAGGGAAACTAACAATGTGAGTCCTATAGTTGCCTCAGATTTCTCCCTGAAAACACTTTTTGGACCATGATATGAGGAGAGGGAACACAAGCAGAGCATAGTGGTTGCACTAAGCTGAGAACACAGAGAAGGAGGAGGCTGGAATTTGCAGGGCAGAGTACTCAGGAGGCTGAGGCAAGAGAATTGCTTGAGCTCAGGAGGTTGAGGTGCAGTGAGCTATGATCACACCATTTCACTCTAGCCTGGACAACAGAGTAAGACTCTATCTCAAGACACACACACACACACACACACACACACACACACACACAGAGTAGCAAATTGAATTAAGTGATATATAGAAACCATATTATATTAACCATTATGTTAATATAATGATTACATTGTTGGTTTATTTCCAAACAATAAACCAACTTTGCATTCCAGAGATAAACTCTTGCTATAAAAGAAAAACTTATTAACTCGTACTCTAAAAGGAAACTCATGTCATCTTGATAGCTGAGGAAAAGAATTTCACAAAATACAACATCCACTCATGGTAAAAACTCTCAGTAAACTAGGAGTGGAAGAAAATTTCCTCAACCTGGTAAAGGGTGTCTATAAAAGAAACCTACTTCAGTCATGCTTACTGACGTTAGGCACCTAAGACAGAAATAAGACAAAGCTAGTCAGCTTCATCACCTAAATTCAATATTGTACCTGAGGATTTTCTATGCAGTGCAATATGATAAGAAAAACAAAGACTTTAGATTGGAAAGGAAGAAGTGTCTTTATATATGGATGGCATGAATTGTACATATATAACCTTAGAAATCTACAATTTACAAAACAGATACTAGAACTAATGAGTGAGTTTTTTTTTTTCTTTTTTTTTTTTGATGGAGTCTCGCTCTGTCGCCCAGGCTGGAGTGCAGTGGCATGATCTCGGCTCACTGCAAGCTCTGCCTCCAGGGTTCACGCCATTCTCCTGCCTCAGCCTCTGGAGTAGCTGGGACTACAGGTGCCCGCCACCACACCCGGCTAATTTTTTGTATTTTTATAGAGATGGGGTTTCACTGTGTAAGCCAGGAATTAGTGAGTTTTTGGTAAAATGGCGGGATATAGGCTTAATACACAAAAATCAGTTTTGTTTCTATGTATTAGCTATAAAAAATACAAAAATAAATAAAAATGCCATTTCTCTAGGACACATCTTAATCAAATTGCTGAAAAACAGTTATAAGAGAAAAATCTTAGAAGCAAGAGAAAAAACGTGACACATAAGAGAACAAAGTTAAAAGTGACCACTGATTTCTCATAAGAGACAATGCAAACCAGAATTACAGTCTTAATACCTTAGTGAACATAAATTCAAAAATTCTTAGCAAAAGACTAGTAAATTAGAAATAACCATTGAAAAACATAAAGTCTTTTCTATAGCATATAAAAATGTAAAATACTTAAAAATAAATTAGACAAAACATGCACTCTGCTTTGAATAATTTGTCTCCCCAAAATTTGTATGTTGAAATCCTAGCCCCCATGGTGATGGTATGAGGAGGCTGGGCCTTTGGGAAGTAGTGAGTTCATGAGGGTGAAGCCCTCATGAATGAGATTAGTGCCCTTATAAAGGAAGCTTGAAGGAGCTCAGCTACCCCTTCCACTGTGTGAGGATAGAGCTAGAAGGTGCCATCTATGAACCAGAAAGCCGGCCTTCACCCGACACTCAGTCTGCTGGCATCTTAATCTTGGACCTTTCAGCCTCCAGAACTGTGAGAAATGTTTCTGCTGTTTGCAAGTGACCCAGTCTGTGGTGTTTTCTTCTAACAGCCAGAATGAACTAAAACGGTGTGTGAAATCTGTGTACAGAAATCTACAAAAAATAAACAGAGAGAAGTTAAAGATGATATAAATAAATGGGAATTTATTTAGATTTTAGGACTTGATCTTAAGATATGAATTTTCCCCATTGACCTATGGATTCTACGCAATCCCAATCAAAATCCTAGAAAGGAATTTTTTTTGGTAGAAATTTACAAAGTGATTCTAAAATTTCAATGGAAATGCAAAGAACTTTATTGTACAATATGGTAACCACTAGCCACATGTAACTATTTAAAGTCAAATTGAAATTAAGTAAAATTAAAAATTTAGTTTCTCAGTTATAAAATCCAAATTTTTCATGCTCTTAGGTACACGTGGCTTGTGGATATTGTATTGGACAGCACAAATATAGAACATGACAAAAATTTATATTGGATGGTGGTAAAGAACAGCTTAAAGTTTTTGAAAAAACAGAATGAAGGGGAATCTCTTATACTGCTTGATTTCAAAGTATATTAGTCCATTTTCACACTGCTGATAAAGACATACCTGAGCCTTCTAATAAAGATATAACTGAGCCTCTCAAAAAAGAGGTTTAATGTGGACTTACGGTTCCAAGTGTCTGGGGAAGCCTCAACTGTGGCACAAAGCAAGGAGGAGCAAGTCACGTCTTACATGGATGGCAGCAGGCAAAGAAAAAGAGCTTGTGCAGGGAAATACCCTTTATGATACCATCAGATATCGTGAGACCCACCCACCACCATGAGAACACCAAGAGAAAGACCTGCCCCCATGACCCAGTTACCTCCCACTGAGTTCCTCCCACAGCATGTGGGAATTCAAGATGAGATTTGGGTGGGGACACAGCTAAACCATAACTTTCCACCCCTGACCCTTCCCAAATCTCATGTCCTCACATTTCAAAACCAATCATGGCTCCCCAACAGTCCCCCAAAGTCTTAACTCGTTTCAGCATTAACTCAAAAGTCCAAGTACAGTCTAAGGCAAGCCTCTTCCACCTATAAGCCTGTAAAACCAAAAGCAGGTTAGTTACTTCTTAGATACAATGGGGGTACAGGCATTGGGCAAATACAGCTGTTCCAAATGGGAGACATTGGCCAAAACAAAGGGGTTACAGGCCCCATGCAAGTCTGAAATCCAGTGAGGCAGACATATCTTAAAGCTCCAAAATGATCTCCTTTGGCTCCATGTCTCACATCCAGGTCATGCTGATGCAAGAGGTGGATATGCATGGTCTTGGGCAGCTCTGCCCCTATAGCTTTGCAGGGTACAGCCTCCCTCCCAGCTGCTTTCACAGGCTGGCGTTGAGTGTCTGGGGCTTTTCCAGGCACATGGTGCAAGCTGTCAGTGGATCTACCATACTGGGGTCTGGAGGATAGAGGTCCTCATCTCACAGCTCCACTAGATGATGTCCCAGTGGGGAGTCTGTGGGGGGCTCTGAACCCACATTTGCCTTCCTCAATGCCTTAGCTGAGGTTCTCCATGAGGGCCCCTCCCCTGCATCAAACATCTGCCTGGACATCCAGGCATTTCCATACATCTTCTGAAATCTTAGGTGGAGTTTCCCAAACCCCAATTCTTGACTTCTGTGCACTGGCAGGCTCAACACCATGTGAAATTTGCCAAGACCTGAGGCTTGCAACTGCTGAAGCCATGTCCTGAGCTCTACGTTGGCCCCTTTCAGCCATGCTGGAGTGGCTGTGATGCAGGGCACAAGTCCCTAGGCTGCACACAGCATAGGGACCCTGGGCCCGGCCCATGAAACTATTTTTCCTCCTAGGTCTCTGGGCCTGTGATGGGGGAGGGCTACCTTGAAGACCTCTGACATGCCTTGGAAACATTTTTCCCATTGCCTTGGGGATTAACATTCAGCTCCTTGTAACTTAGGTGAATTTCTTCAGTCAGCTTGAATTTCTCCTCAAAAAATGGGATTTTATTTTCTACCACATTGTCAAGCTGCAAATTATCCAAACTTTAATGCTCTGCTTCCCTTATAAAACTGAATGGTTTTAACAGCACCCAAGTCACATCTTGAATGCTTTTTGCTTAGAAATTTCTTCTGCCAGATACACTAAATCATCTCTCATAAATTCAAAGTTCCACAGATCTCTAGGGCAGGGGCAAAATGCCACTCATATTTTTGCTAAAATATAACAAGAATCACCTTTGATTCAGTTCCCAAAAAGTTCCTCATCTCCATCTGAGACAACTTCAGCCTGGATTTCATTGTCCATATCATTATCAGCATTTTGGTCAAAGCCATTCAACAAGTCTCTAGGGAGTTCCAAACTTTCCTACATTTTCCTGTCTTCTTCTGAGCCATCCAAAATGTTCCAACCTCTGCCTGTTACCCAGCTTCAAAGTCACTTCCACATTTTTGGGTATTGTTTCAGCAACACCCCACTCCTGGTACCAATTTACTGTATTAGTCTGTTTTCACACTGCTGATAAAGACATACCTGAGACTGGGCAATTTACAAAAAAGTGGTTTAATATGGACTTACAGTTCCAAGTGTCTGGGGAAGCCTCAAAATCATGGCAGAAGGCAAGGAGGAGCAAGTCATGTCTTACACGGATGGCAGCAGTCAAAGAAAAATAGCTTGTGCTGGGAAACTCCCCCTCATAATACCATCAGATCTCATGTAACTCACCCACCACCATGAGAACATCATGGGAAAGACCTGCTTCCATGATCCAGTTACCTCCCACTGAGTCCCTCCCACAACACATGGGAATTCAAGATGATACTTGGGTGGGGACACAGCCAAGATGAGATTTGGGTGGGGACACAAGACTTAGCTGTGTTCAAGACTGATATCAGCATGAGAAAAACACATGGAGCAGTGAAACCAAATATTGAGTCTAAAAATAGACACATACATATGCAGTCAATTGATTTCCAAAAAAGGTGTTACAGTTGTTCACTGGGGAAAAATCATTTCTTAAAAAATAAATTGTTCTGGAGGAGCTGGATATATGTATGGGAGAAATAAACTTCAGCCATTACTTTGCAATTTACACAAAAATATATTTTAACTATATCATAGAGTTAAAAGTTAAAGCTGAAACCGTACAACTATGAGTCAAAAACATACAAGAAAATGTTTGTGACAGTGGGGTAAGCAAAAATTCCTCAGAAAACAAAGCTAAATGTAAGAAACAATGATTAATTTGACTGTATCCAAAGCTCTTTTCTTTAAAAGATACTGCTAAGAACATGAGAGGCAAGCCGAAGATTGTAAGAGGATATTAGAATACATGTATATTACAAGGGACTTGTAGTTAGAATACATAAAGAGTTTCTACAACTTAATGAGAAAAAAATAAACAAAATATTTGAACAGGAACTTCATAGAAGACAATATATGAATGGCCAAGGAGCACATGAAAAGATCATCAACATCATTAATTATCAGAGAAAATAAACAAAAATTGCTGTAAGATACTGCTGTTCACCTACTATAAAGGTAAAAAGTAAAGACTTACAGCACAAAATATTGGTAATGTCATTGAGTACTGGAAGTCATACATCACTGGGGGGAAATCAAAATAGGAGATAACCTGGAAGTTTCTTATAAATATGCACTTGCCATTTTACCTAACAATAATTCCAAGAGAAATGAAAAGTTGTGTTTATATGAAGACTTGTAATGAAATGTTCATGGCAGCTTTATACATGATGCATAAAAGACAGAAACAACCAAATGTCCATCTACAGTGAAGCTATATACAAACTGTGTGGTATAGCCCTACAATGGGTAAAAATAAAAAATAAATTAAAAACAATAAAAAAATTAGGTAATGATAGATTTAACAATATAGGCAAATCTCCAAACATTAATCTGGGAAAAGAAGCTAGAAAAAAATGAAAGCAAACTGTAGGATTTGATTTATATCAAATTATAGATCAGGTAAAATTAATCTGTAGTGACAGAAAGTAGATCAGTAATTTCCCAGGGTAGGGGTGGAATGGGCTTGAGTGGACCAGGACACAAGGGACCTTTCAGGGGGATGGAAGTGTTTTGTGTCTCATAAGTGGTGACAGTCACAATGGTGTATGCATTAGTGAAAATGCATTAAACTTTACGCATAAAATGAGTAAATTTCATTGAATTTAAATTGTGCCTCAACATGATTGATTTTAAAAGAATAATGATTTATAGGAGAAAATCATACATTTCTCCAAGAATCATAAATTCAATCCAACTTTTTAAAAAGAACATGTCATACATACTTTTAAGTGTCTTTATCTATTTTTATACAGTCCTGTAAATATTATGTAGTTAATAGAAGCACTAAGGTCTGGAAAGTTGTTCAAGATATCTGAAACGCATGTTACAAACGATTTATAATAATAGCAATAGGTTAAAATGTATTAAGTGGCTATAATATGTCATGCACAGTATTAAATGCTTCACATTTATTGTTTCATTAACTACTACAAATCTATGAGATGTGTATCAATAACATACCCATTTTGCAGGCAAGGAAACTGAGTGGTGGAGGGGTAAAGAACTTGCTAACAGGTCACAAAGTAGCAAGAGGAAAGTGTATTGGGATATGGGGCGAAAGAGAGAGAATGCTGATGGGCTAAGGGACTTACAAGAAATTATAAGGAGGATGTTATTGCCTTAGGACTTGATTATTTTGCCCATGAGGGAAGGCAGGAACAGTATTCAAGCCAAAGGAATGGCAAAGCACAGACAGCTGGGCATGAAAATGCAGGGGAGCTTTTTCCCTCACATTTTAGTTTCTCCAGAGCTAGAAGAAAAAGAAAAGCTGTGTTGACTTAGCAGAAAACTGGGTATGTTTTTCCCAACTCAGAAAATATCCCTGACTTCTTCCATACTTTTGTATGCCATGAACTTTAAAATATCCCTGACTTCTTCCATACGTTTGTGTGCCATGAACTTTAAAATACTTTCTCTGGCCCCCAGGATCCTTCACTGACAATGGCCGCTCGGAGCAAGTGGCAGTTGCAGGCCAGCCCGCCTTCCCTGCCCTCACTCCCTGGCACAGTCGCTGGAGTGTCCCTCGGATCATACTTCTGTGTCTGCGGTCCAACCCTTAAATTGTACCAATAAACTCATAAAATGGGCCAAATGGAGAATTTCTGGACTTGGCATGGCTCTCCCTCAACCCAGAGAAGAAGAAATATAATTTCATATGGATGTTCTCAATTCAGAATTTTAATTTTCTCTGTTCAAGATTTATAAAATTTGTTAATTAGAGATATTATTTCAGTTTGGGTCTCATTTTCCAAATTTCTCAGGATACCTAAAATCTATTGCCATTTGCAAGGAATTGAATTGCATTCCCCCCAAGTTCCTAAGTTGCACTAATTCCTAACCACTAATGAGACTGTATTTAAAGATAGGGCCTTTAGGAGGGAATTAAGGTGACACGAAGTCATAAGTGTGTAGCCCTGATCTGATGAGATTAGTATGCTTACAAGAAGAGACACCAGAAAGCACCACGTCTGCCTCTTTCTCCCCCACACCACATCTGCCACGTGAAGACACAACGAGAAGGCAGCATTTGCAAACCAGGAAGAAGACTCACACCAAGAACAGAGTCCACCCACACTTTGATCTCCATCCGCACTTCGATCTTTGACTTCCAGCCTCCAGGACTTCAAGACATCAATTTCTGTTGTTTAAGCCCCTCAGTCTATGGCATTTTCTTATGGCAGCCCACACAGACTGACTTCACTATGTAGTTCTCAGATAAAACTTAGATGATTTCCTTTTATAAGTTAGAATTAACTTGCATTTACTGTTTCAGTCGTAAGTTTCTTGAATCCTTTAATACTTGACAGGCACTGTAGTAGTTACCTGCACTAACTACCACTACATTTACCATTCACAGTAACCTGGGAAATAATTTTTTCAATTTTCCCCATTTTCTATAAAGGGAAACTGAGTAAAAGGGTGGTTTGAAAGGGCAAGTGAGTGGCAAATGAGGTCCACTGGAGACAAAAGTCTGCTTTCACTCATCATGCTGCCCTGAATGAAAACCATG
The DNA here is from genome assembly GCF_000001405.40 of Homo sapiens. Taxonomy (NCBI): domain Eukaryota; kingdom Metazoa; phylum Chordata; class Mammalia; order Primates; family Hominidae; genus Homo; species Homo sapiens. The sequence continues at coordinate 103,097,454 of NC_000013.11, forward strand.
AAGCCAAATTTTGAACCAACTTTTCATTGTCTGCTGCTAATTTGCAGCTGCCGCACTGGGATGCCTCTTCTATCACGCTTTGTGTTTGAATGTTGGGTGTAGTACTTGGAGGCCTGCAGAGACTGATGCTGTTGATAGATGTCATCTCTTGTGAGCGCCAGTTGGCCAAGCTTCCTCGGATGTGAACCACGTATAGGCAGCCCCTGACAGTCTCACAACAGAGTGGTGAGTAGCCTGAGACAGCCATTTGTTTTGAAACCGATCTCAGTGCCATGAATGCTTTGTCATCTGTCAAAAACCAGTGCTGCTTGGTTAACCAGACTGTCATTTCTTTAATGGCAGCATGGTGAGGCACACAACTACCACTGCAGTTACCTGATCATTGCGGAGGCTGTTTACTTAACAAGTGCTCTCTGAGTAACAAGAAGACAGCAGAGACCAAAATAAAGCAAGGGCTGCCAACCTGGGGAAGAGAGGGCAGAATATGAGGAGATGGGGCAGGCTGATTTTAAAAATATTTTCAAGGTAGAGATGCTGAAGTTAGCTGTCAGGGCCTATGACCCTCCAAAAACAGCATGCAAACTTTTGTTTGTAGCTATGTACATTTAAAAAATCTTCCCAAAGCTGTCTGTAACTCATAAAAGGTAAAGAACTCCTACTTTAGCAAGAAGAATCTTGGGACGTTTGTTTGTCACTTCTGAATTCAGGGTTTACTTGCCCAGCTAAAGCGGCTAGTGCCAGTTGCTAGTCCCAGTGACAGGTATTTAGGGAGATGCAAGGTTGATTTCTTTTGGGACCAGAAAAGGCTAAAATTACAAGACTAGAAGCAGTGACAAACACAAGGCTACCATAGTTCCTACCCTCTAATGATTTACATTCTATGTTGTCATAGAGAGCGTAGCAAAATTTGAGACCCGTTGCAAGACTCTATCTTTAATATTAGCATATCTGGATGATAGAAAAGATACTCATATATTTCATGTATACACACATACACATACACTTAGCAAATTATGATTTTATGGAATCTTTTTTCTCTCTTCTACAGGTTTCAAAATGGAACAATAATTTTCTGGAAACTCCACCTCACCCTGTAAAAGTGAAGATTGGGTGAGTTGACTAGAGTGTCTTGGCAAAGGACAAAAACATGAAATAACCAGTTCAAAGTCACCTCTCATGTCTTAGATAGAGCCTCAGCTGCCTCTGTCTTTGAAATTCTTCATTTACTAGGCAGGGTCAGCCCCTCTCAGAGCTGAGCGTTTCACAGGATGAAGGTAAAATGACACATGAAATGACGGCACTTAAGCACTGCTGTTTCCTGAGTGTACGTTGTGCATAGTATGAGAAGTTATTTCTCATAAGGACAATCTTTAACTTAAGCAACATGTCCTGAAGATGTCTTACAAGGGCAATCAAGACATAGCCAGGGGGCTAAGTGGGAGGAAGTTATAATGTACAAGGTGAGTCTTTGGAGACTCTGAAAAACCCATTAACGGAAAAGTTATTAATGTCTTTTTTAATGCAGCTATAGTGCAGAGGCAGACCCCAAAGAAACCAATCCACATTATGAAACATTTTACAGAAATCCACTTTTAAAAATAGGAGAACGCTATACATGAAGTCTTGAGGTGGGAACTGAGTACATGCCTGGCCTCCTGGGCCAGTTGTGGATTTTCTAAAGAATAAAAGGAAATTCTACTTTCACCTCTACTTTGAGACAGAGAAATAGAACAAAATTGCCCACTGTAAAATTTGATTATCATTTTTATTTCTCTTTCTCAGATTTAATTTTCTTTCTTTCTCTTTTGTACTTTCCCTAATCAACTCTAATATCTTCAGGCCTCTGTTAACTTGAATTCAGCTTTAAACATATCAGGTTATTAAAACTTCATCAGGTATGGCTATGATGCCCAGTCAGGTGAGTTTCTCTACAAACGGTGGTGGAACTCTGGTCCCATGAATAAGATGCCTCTGTCCTATTGTCAGAAGGGAATAAACTTGGATATTTTTTTCTCCTTTAGAGGTTGACAGATTTGCATTCATTTCCATTAGACTAAGAGCTCTTGGTAAACATAAACTGGGTCTTGTTTATCTTTATATCCCTTTCTCATAGCACAGACCTGGTACACAGTAGTGATCAACAGACACTTGTCAGATGAATAAATTGTGAGCCCATGAAAGCTTTAGTTCAACCATTACATGGAGACTTTCTTTTTTTTTTTTTTTTTTTGCCAGAGCCTCTGCTAGTTGCTGGGTCTACAGAGACAATAGAACATGGTCCTCACTTTTAGTGTCCCCTGTGTCTGGTGGGGACGTGAGGAAGAGGGGGATAATTTCTGCCAGTGGTGGTGTCAGGGAGAAAGAACGCTGAGCATGTGTTCTCTAAGAGCAGGATAGACAAGGAAGAAAGGATGTTCTAGAGAGACTGGAGCAGGGCCAAAGGCAGGGTGTTGGGCTTCTGCAGCCCAGGGGCCCTGGATGCTGGTCTTGGCAACATTCCTTGTGAACTGAGCAAGAAAAGACATTGAAGAGGAATGTTGGAGACTGAGTGCATGTGTGGCTCATGGAAAAGGCCTGAGGATCCTAGAACCCTGGACCACGGTCCTGACGCCCCAGCTTGTCTGACTTGGTCAGTTAATGCTCTCTAGGAACACCCTTTTAAACAATAATATGTACACAGATGATGCATGTATTAGTCCATTCTCACACTATTATAAAGACATACCTGAGACTGAGTAATTTATAAAGAAAAGAGGTTTACTTGACTCACAGTTCAGCATGGCTGGGGAGACCTCAGGAAATTTACAATCACGGTGGAAGGCAAAGGGCAAGCAAGGCACATTGTCATGAGGTGGCAGGAAGGAGAATGAATGCAGGAGGAACTAGCAAACACTTATAAAACCATCAGATCTCGTGAGAACTCACTCACTATCATGAGAACAGCATAGGGGAAACCACCCCCATGATTCAATTACCTCCACCTGGTCTCTCCCTGGACACATGGGGATTATGGGGCTTATGGGAATTACAATTCAAGATGAGATTTTGGGTGAGAACACAGCCAAACCATATTGGTGCAAAAGTGCAGGAAACATCTCAATTAACATTAAGCAAAATGCAAATTTGCTCCTTGAACTCAGTTCTCTTAATTCCCAGGGCATAGAGGTAGGTAGAAAGACAAAGCATCAAACTAAATAAACAGCCCTAAATAAAAATTTAAAAATCTTTACTTGACTTTGTTCAATGTTGATCCTGTGGCCACTGCATGCTTTTGTGCACTCATAGCATTTTTACTTATTTATTTATTTTTATAGAGATGGGGTCTTGCTATGTTGCCCTGGCTGGTCTTGAACTCCTGGGCTCAAGTGGTCCTCCCACCTTGGGCTCCCAAAATGTTGGAATTACAGGTGTGAGCTACCATGCTCAGCCAATAATGTCTTTAAGGGCAAACTCAGAGGGAAATATCTTCTGTAAGGAGTCTGTTGGGGCCCCACAGGCAAGGTCTTTGCCTACTGACTCATCACTCCCTCTCCCACTTGCCCTGGATGTTGTCTTGCTGCTGGGTGTGAGATGCAAGAAGCAGTCACTAGGCAACACTTTAGCCTCATAGTCTTTCATAAATCATGAATGATGTCTACTTATTAAAAGGGCATGTTGGAAAAAGTGATCTTTCTAGCTCTCAAATTCTGCTACTACAGCAACTCCTTATTTCATCTTCACTACACTCCAATTTTGTTTTCTTCTCCTCTCCCTCTTCTTTGTTTTTCCCTTTAATTTTTTTTTTTCCCTTGGACACAGAAAGTAGAAAAAGAAACTTCCTTTTGGTTACAACCAGATTTAAAAAACAGATAAAGGAGGGATTATTTTTAATAGTTTGAGCTATGCTGGAGAGTTTAAAGAAGATATTGTTTAACTGAACTTTAAACTTCACCAAGATGGGTTTTAATCTTTTATTGTGAATCTGATAAAAACATTCCCTCCACCCCACAATATTGCATCTAATGTCAGGAAACCATCTTTCTTTCAAAACTCACTCAGGATTGCAGGTTAGGAATCAAAGATGGGCCAGAGTGGGAGATTGTCCATGCATGTACAGAGTTCACTCTGCTTTTCTTTTTTCTCTTTTGCCTGTTCTAACTCCCCTCTACAACCTCTACTCTTCACGTGGGGGCAAGTCACAGTTTTGTCAGGTGGTTTGTTGAAAACAGCACATGTGCTAACCCATGTGCTCCTTGGAGAAGGGCCATTGCCCCTGCCACAGGCCACTCAGCTGAGAAAGGCATCCTGAAGATGTCAAGCTGCAGGGAAAATGCAAACCAGGTGGCTGGGCTTCAGGAGAGAAATGGAATAGTAATAAAACGTGGCCAGGAGTGCTGCCCTGGGTAGATCTTCCTGTTGAAAACCTTTTTATTTTATGAGATATTCTAAATTTCCTGCTCTGCATTTTATAAAATGATAAGCCAGAAATCTCAAATTCTACCTACTGTGTGGAAAGCTGGAGATAGCTAAGGGTGTGTGTGCGTTGCCTTTGGTACAGCAATTATTCCTCACACAGCAGAGAGTGTTCTGGATAGGTAAAACGTGCAACCTGTGGACTGAGATAGGGAGGGTGAGAAGCAGTCTGTGTTGGAGTGATATGGCATGAGAGACGCGTGCGAGCACGTGTACGATTTTGTGTGTGGGGCTGACTCACTGACAGGGCTCTGCCTGCTGCAAATGAAGCTTAGTGAGCCCTTTTGCTTCTTCATTTTTAAAACCTTCAAGTAAAAAATGACAACTGAAGATACTAAAATAGCAGCAACATCACTCAAACATCTGGTTCATCAGCATGACTTTTAGGAGATAAAGATTTCTTTCTTAACTAAAGGGTTTCATTTTGCAACTTCAACATGTCAGCTATCAGCCTTGCTTGCAATGCACCTCTTAATACTCAAAATAGTGCAAACAGGAAAACAAGGTCATTTCTATTAAAAGAATGTCCTTGCAAAGGCTACATACATATCATGAGATACTCCTTAAGGGGTTCACAGTGTTTAACTCAGAAGACTCCTTTTCCATTTTGCATCCCAGAGAATGGTGTGATTTGCATTCATTCTCCAAGTTTTACCTTTTATTTTTAAAATGAAATGAGTTCTCACATGCAGACTTGTAAGTGAATATCCTAAGAGGCTGAAGTGCATTCCTATTACTTGAGCCATCAAGGACTTCCTCTGGGTAGTGACAGTGTGGGGGCTCTGGGTCACTAAGGAATTTAAGAATAGTTCTTTGAGACTCCCAGCTATGCCACCTACAGGGCTGGATCGAGAGATCCTTGATTTGATTGATCAAAGATCTTCATCTTGGTAAACCTCCTTCAATCTCAAATCTTCACCATCTTTGGTGTGAGTGCAAATGGAATGGATGCCAGTCATTTGATAGGAGCTACATAAATGGGAATTAATCCTGTTAAATTTTGCTCTTGCCTTGTTCATTCTCCCAAGAAGGCTTGGGAAGTTTGCTGCTTTTAGGTGATGTATTAGCTTCCTGCTGCTGCTATACCAAATTACACAAACTCAGTGGTGTCAGATAAAAAGCAAATCTGAGGCCGGGCGCGGTGGCTCAAGCCTGTAATCCCAGCACTTTGGGAGGCCAAGGCAGGCAGATCACAAGGTCAGGAGATCAAGACCATCCTGGATAACACGGTGAAACCCTGTCTCTACTAAAAATACAAAAAAATTAGCCAGGCGTGGTGGCGGGCTCCTGTAGTCCCAGCTGCTCGGGAGGCTGAGGCAGGAGAATGGCATGAACCTGGGAGGCGGAGCTTGCAGTGAGCCGAGATCGCGCCACTGCACCCCAGCCTGGGCAACAGAGCAAGACTCCGTCTCAAAAAAAAAGGAAATCTGGGCCGGGTGCGGTGGCTCACACCTGTAATCCCAGCACTTTGGGAGGCCAAGGCTGGCAGATCATGGGGTCAGGAGATTGAGACCATCCTGGATAACACGTTGAAAACCGTCTCTACTGAAAATACAAAAAATGAGCCGGGTGTAGTGGCACACACCTGTAATCCCAGCTACTGGGGAGGCTGAGGCAAGAGAATCACTTGAATCTGGGAGACGGAGGTTGCAGTGAGCCGAAATCACACCACTGCACTCCAGCCTGGGCAACAGAGCGAGAGTCTGTCTAAAAAAAAGAAAAGCCATTCTAACTGGTGTGAGATGGTATCTCATTGTGGTTTTGATTTGCATTTCTCTGAATAAAATTAAAAAATAAATAAATAAATAAATGTGAATAAGAAAAAAAAAGAAAAGCAAATCTGAATTTAGATAGGGCGGTGCTATATTAGAAAGGATTATTGCAAGAGGGATAAAGGGCTGTTGCATTACGGAGAATTCTGTGACCATGAAATCTGCAACTGTCTCAGAGGTCAGCCCGAAAAAGGCTTTTCTTTTATAAGGGGGAGTAAACAAGACTAAGGAGAACCAAGCCTGAGAAGTGGGATGAATGAGGAACATGGCATGATAGGACAGTAGGTCTGAGAACGTTTTCCCCTGAAGTCACACTATTTCTAGGATAGGGCATGAAGGAGAGGCTGTTTACTGGCTCTGGTTGAGGTTTGGGACTGAGGGAAGGAGATAAATTTAGGTTAACTCCTAAATTTAGGTTATCTCCAAAGTTAGGTTAACGTGCCTTTTGTTCCAAGTGACAATAGACAAATAGTTCAACTTATCGTTTATGAGGCAAAGAACAGGAATTTGGAGGGTCTGTGTCAGGCCTTGTCCTAAACAAGGGGTTATGCTTGAGTGTCATCTAAGTCACATGGGAAAGAGTGAGTCTGCAGTAGGTCACTTCCTGGAGCACAGAATAAATGAGGGTTTCTTAACATTAGCTGTTTTCCAGGAACACCAGGCTCAGGTAAAGTTCAGCATTGTCAGTGGCTTAGAGCATCATAAATTTGTTGTCTTGCAGTCTGGAGGTCAGAAGTCTGAGGCGGGTGCTACTGGGTTAAAATCCAGATGCTGGCAGGGCTGTTTTCCTTCCTGGAGGCTCAGGGGATCTCTTACCTCTTTTCTTGCATTTTCTAGCTTCTGGAGGCCGCTGCATTCCTTGGCTTGTGGCCCTTTCATTTGCAAAGCCAGCACCAGCTGGGAGAGTTTCACTCTGATGCTGACTCTTCTCTCTCTCACTCTTCCACATTTAGAGTCCTTCGTGATTATGTCATTTCTGGTCCACCTGGACTATCCAGGCTGCGGCTGATTAGCAACCTTCATTCCGTCAGCAACCCAATTCCCTTTCACCACATGAGGTAACACTTAGGTTCTGGGAATTAGGACTTGGATGTCTTTAAGTGTTATTATTCTGCCTACTATTGAAGAGATCCTGAAATAATTCACAGGAGGTAGGAAAAGACTTATCTTACCAAACTCTGCTTTTCGAGTACTTGTTTTTGTTTTGTTTTGACTAAAGGCAGCAGCTCTCAAACTTTGTCCTTTTTACACTCTTAAAGTTTCTTGAAGACCTCAAAGAGACTTTGTTCATATGGCTTATATCTATTGATATATACCGTACCAGGAATTAAAATTGAGGAAAGTTAGATATTTATTAATTCATTTAAAATGCCAATAAGAAACTCATATGTTAATAGGAATAACATATTTTCATTGAAAAATAACTAACCCGGCACAGTGGCATGTACCTGTAGACCCAACTACTCAGGAGGCTAAGGCAGGAGGATTGCTTGAGCCAGGGGTTCAAGTCCAGCCTGGGCAACAGAATGAGACCCTATCTCTAAAAATCCAAAGAACAACTCCCCCTCCCAAAATTTGCTAAAACAAAATTTTGGTAAGAAAAATAGCATTGCTTTACATTTTTGAAATCTCTTTCATGTCTGGTTTGATAGAAGAGTGCTGAATTTCATATATGCTGCTTTGGTTGAAGTATATAAAGAATATCCAGCCTCACATAGAAGTGTAGTTGGAAAATGAAGGAGCATTTCAGTAGCATTTATTTATTTATTTGTTTGAGACGGAGTTTTGCTCTTGTTGCCCAGGCTGGAGTCCAATGGTATGATCTCAGCTCACCGCAACATCCGCCTCCCGGGTTCAAGCGATTCTCCTGCTTCAGACTCCCAAGTAGCTGGGATTACAGGCATGTGCCACCACGCCTGACTACTTTTGTATTTTTAGTAGAGACTGGGTTTCTCCATGTTGATCAGGCTAGTCTCGAACTCCTGACCTCAGGTGATCTGCCTGCCTCGGCCTTCCAAAATGTTGAGATTACAGGCATAAGCCACGGCGCCCAGCCTCCATAGCCCTTATACATATAATTGTGAATGTACTTCTTTGCTATTACACTAAAATTTGGTAAGTGAGGCAAGTGGTAGTTTTTACATTGTTAATTGCAATATGGAATCTAAAAACATAGAGCTTTTTGTAGACTATTACTGTAAAATCCAGGAATCTTTCAGTTCAAAAAGCTTTTACCCATGGGTGATTTTATAATGCCATTCCCTGTTAATGCGGAAAATACTGGTTCATAGAGTTATGAAGATCTTCCAATTATCCTATTTTATAGTACCACACCAAAAAATCACATTTGATTATATCACTACTAATTTTATCAGAAAGATTTTTAAGTATTGGGAAATTCCCAGAGGCTACTTTTTCTTAATTTGAGTTTTTCTCTTGAAAGTCAAATTTTATCGCTGGCAACAAATTTGCCTTTTCTCGATGTGGACATATGCACTGGTGTTGCAAAAGCAATGGGCAATAAAACTACTGCAGCCTTTGTACACATCATGGTGGTGGTGGTAAACTACTGACACTCATAACATCTTCACCACCACACATTGAGTGAAAGCAAAGAAACCAGCAAAAACCTTTCAAATAGGTCCATGATGAAGCAATACAATTATTCATTTTATTATTAAACATCAACCTTTGGTATATTTAAAACATATTCTATGTGATGAAATGACAAGTAGAGATATTATATTTCTGCTACAGACCAAAGGTAAGGGTCATCTCCAAGAAAAGATCACAGGCTGCTGGGCTGCAAGCTGAACTACCTTTTTTTTTTTTTTTTTTTTTTTTTTGTGAAATAATGTTTTTACTTGAAAGAATGGTAGAAGGACAAACTACAGTTTCAGACTTGAGTATTTGGTAGATATTTTCTTAAAAATGAACCAAATGAACCAGTTACTTCAAGGAAAACTATAAACAGTGAAAAAGGCAAACAATATCTTTGCATTATTGTAAAAATAGTTTTAGCTTAGGGAACACAGAAAGAAACTTCTTGGAGACTCCTGCGTTGCTACACATCACTCTTTGAGAACCTCTGACTTAAGATTTTTATCAACAGAAGGAGATAAAAAATGCCACCTTTGCTTACCTTAGTATAACCATATTTATCAAAGTATCTAATTTGATAATCAGATGTCTTTGTCATGAAAGAACAAGACAGGACACAGGCAGATTATGTTTGGGAATTTGGAATCAGAAATGTTTGCAGAATGAAAGATGCTCTATGTAGCCAGGGCCATAGAGCCTGGCCTGGCCTGTAGCCAGGTAGGCGACAGGTTCCTTGTGAAGCTGAAAGGAGCAGAAAACTCTCATGGCAAGAAAGATTCATCTTTACTCAGAAGACACTCACATGACCTAGGTGGCTGAACTTCATTAAACATCTGTTTGCTCATATGGCTGGGGATAACTGGCTCACCTCATAATTTTATTGTGAGAGTTAAATAAGAGGATGAATCTAACTTGAGTGATACAGGGTAGGGGCTTAATAATGAAAGCTGTTGTTAGGATGGCTTTACAGCTTATCGCCTGGTCTCTTGGCTCTCTAGACCTTTGTTCAGCAAACACTCATTATTGTTCTGAGACCTCGTGGCATTCAGGACCCAGGTGTGCCAGGTAAAAAATTCCTTCTCCACCCTCCAGCCTGACAATGCAGCACACTCTGGGCTTGCAGTATCCTACTTAGCTTACCCTTCATTACTGCAGCCCCAGGTGACTCTGAGTCTGGGGAAATCTACTCTTCAGTGCTCCCTTGAAGGTGGGGTTTGCCCCTCTGGAGCCAACAGCAGTGCGCTCCTCTGATGTAACATATCTTCGTCTTTACCAACCAGTGCGCTGCTTGGAGTAAGCCAAAATCTTTCTATGTCAATGTGTTTTGTAATTTTCAGATCAAGGATCAGAAATCATCTTTAAATGGTCTAAACCATTTTTTAGTGATAATAATTTAATCTTGAATCTACATTTTCCTTGTGAAGGAAGGATGAGTCACATTTTTAAAATTGCCAGTGATAACTACACTGCAACTACTGCTACTAATCATAACGACCAAACTGCCAGGCACTTTGCAGATGTCATTGCACTTAATCTTCCCTGATTTCCTCGGCAGCTATCATGATGCCTTTTTTTTTTTTCTTTTTTGCGATAGGGTCTTGCTCTGTCACAGAGATGGAATGTCTGCAATATTGGTGAATGCATTAAGGCTACACACCTAGTTTTAAGGAAAGTTGGAGTTCCAGTTAAATTCTGTCTCACTTTTTCAACATGCTTCCCCTCTTTCCAAAGAATAGCATGATGCTATTTTAAAGATTTCAAAGAACTACTCAGTGGAGTCACAATAAAAATTCAAGTTTCTTTCTCTAGAGTGCTTTTCATTTTTTTTTTTTTTAAACAGAGGCTTCCTGACATAATTTCTGACCAGAGACAAGTTCCTAGCAGGTTTAGAAAAGACATCTTTGGCCGGGCATGGTGGCTGACGCCTGTAATCCCAGCACTTTGGGAGGCCGAGGCGGGTGGATCACCTGAGGTCAGGAGTTCGAGACCAGCCTGACCAACATGGTGAAACCCCATCTCTACTAAAAATACAAAATTAGCCAGGTGTAGTGTGGCTGTAATCCCAGCTACTTGGGAGGCTGAGGCAGGAGAATTGCTTGAACCTGGGAGGTGGAGGTTGCAGTGAGCCAGGATTGCACCATTGCACTCCAGCCAGGGCAACAAGAGCGAGAAACTCCGTCTCAAAAAAAAAAAAAAATCTTCAAATCCGGTTTCACCCTCACACTTTGATCACTGCCTGTGCACGTGCAACTTGGCTTCATTTGTCCATTTCATGCATTGGAGGTTGATGGTGTCCTGAGGGTGCTCCCTGCTTAGGCATGCGCTCTGCAATCTCATGCTGGCTTTGCTGGTCTGCCCTGAATCAGCAGTGATGAGGCAGTAGTCAGGTCTGGGGTCAGACTTGGTGATGGCCTTGATCAGGGTTCAGAACACCACGAGTCTACGAGGGGTGAAGGATATTCTCCTGGGATCGAAAGGGAAAGATTCCTTAAGTCCCCTCCTGGGTGAATTGCATCTGAAAGCTTTGCTGGCAGCTTCTCTGCACTGAAGCTCTGGTAAATGTCTGGGTTATCTCAGTAAAAATAACTCTTGGGCTAAGGGGAAATGTTCTTTTTTGTACTTTCCACACAGCAGCCTGACATTGCTTGCAGTGTCTTTGTTGGACATCACTGGGCTTAGCCGCACCCTTGATCCACTCTGGCCAGTCCATACGGAAGTCAAATGCTCCCCGCTGCAAGCAATAAATACAACATAGCCCAGAGGAAATTTATTTATTCCAGCAGCCAGGTGTTTGGGCCTCAGTACCTCTTCATGAGTCAGAAAAAAAAAATAGTAGTTTTCTATTTGTCTCCCTCCAACTAATCTGAAATTCTTCAGGCATTATATATAACAGCTGAGTCTTAACGCTTCCTTTCAAACTTTAATCAGCGACATGAGGCACATGTGCTTGTCTCCTGTGTGTTCCTCATCATTTTTAAGTGCCAGTTTGTAGGTTTAATATCATCTAAAATGTCAGGACTCTGGCATGGTTCTAATCTGAGTCCCTTTCTATCTTTCCTCCATTGTTTATGGAAATGATATGAATGCGCCTCCACTCAGTAAGGATTTGCTGAGCATTTTGCCACATTTGTCTTAAGTTCTGAGCTCATCTGGCTCCTTAAAGATGTTTGATTTTGTGTAATCTCAAGGGAGATTATGTTATTACGAAGAGGCATAGAAAACAAAACCGACTTCAGAATGGGTCGTAGACGTGCTGAGGTTCTAAGCAGGTGGACATCTGTGGTTGGCTCCTGTGAGCGGACCTTGGATGAGCAGAAACTGTTCTCTTGTACGAGTTTTCCAGGCTTTCCAATTCCTCAGCATCGTGGAGTCATGAGGTGTTATTATACTGTCATTAATGAGTGACTTGGCTTATTGAATATTATAGTTTGCATGTAAGGTGGCTTAGTCAAATAGCAGTTCATTTCCCTTAAAGCATGAAGTATGGTATGGTCTAGTGGTTCTGTGACATCCCTGAGTCCCAGTCTCCTCCTGCTGTTCTGTTCCCCCGTCCTGACCTTATGGCTTTTGTCGTCTCATTTACCACCTCATGGCTGCAAGAAGGAGGCTTCAGCTTTCTCCCCCTCACCTGGTCCAGAAGTATCTCAGGACCCTGCTCTCCCTCACCCCACCCTCATTCTTGCAAGGGAGGCAGTGAATCTGAGTATTTCTGGCAAAACTTATTGATGCCCTGGGCAACACTGGGATTCTTTAGTAACAAATAGGGGGAGTATTTGGTGTACAGTCCACCCAAGATACATATCTTAATTCTCTTCTGAGTCTAATAATCACTTTTTGTTTCATCTGGTCCTGCCTCCGGGCAGTATCGGCGTTGTAGTTTCTGTTAAACGCTTCCCTGTGCTCTCAGTGTTTTCCCAATTAATCTTCTGCCATTGCTCACTCAGGGTCCTTGACACGTTGCACATAACTAGGTACAGAAACCTCAAGTATCTTGACTGCTCTTTGAGGCTGTTAGACCCCCCTGACTACTTCCATGGTTCTTCATTCTGGCAACCGAGACTCCCTTCAGACCTGCCTCATATCCATGAGTCCCCTAGTTTTATAGTCTGTTTCCTTACTGATTCTTGGTGTCTGCATTTTTGTGGGTTTTTACCCCCTTAGAACCTCTCAGCACATCTACAACCCATTCTGAAATCGGTTTTGTTTTCTGGACCACTGGAAAAGCTATACACCCTGTGACCAATGCCTGTTAGAAGTCTCCAAAGCTTTAAGCAGTGGTTCTCACTGGAGGTCACAAAAGGCAGTACTCATGCCAGGTGCTTTCTGTGTTAAGTGCATAAACCCTGAATGCACTCTAACCACATTCCCTTCACTTCATATATCTGAATTGTCAGGGGGACCCAGGAGAGGCTCAAATTGAGGATTTTCCCTCTAGACATTGCTGTTATTCTGGTATGACCTGTGGTGAGGGGAGGATTGATGCCATTACTTGGACAGGAAATCTAAATTAGTAATTTTCTTTCCAAGTAGGATGACTGCTGGGTAGAAACTTAAGATTCTGGAGGTAGAAAGAAATCTAGACAACATTGGTCAAATGCCTGTGTTTCATGGGCAAGACACCTTGCTTCAGAGAGATGGAATTATTAGAAGTCATATGTGTCAGTAGGGGTGGGTCCAGACTTAGGAGCCAAGGTTTTACATGCTTGGCTATAGGGTTTTCCCCTCATATTTTTTTTTGGAGAAAGATTTTATCCTTCTACACCTGCCCCTTTCACCTAGGAAGGTTGGAATCACCAAGAAGACTGACTAGCGGTAAGAGCAGTGGGTGGCTCGAGATACTCAGCCACCTGGTATCCACAGATATGATTGAAACAGCCTTTATGAAGACACTAAAGGGTCTCAGCTAAATCTTCTTACATGTTCTGCCTTGGCCTCCCCTCCTTCTGTACTTAAAAAGTATTTTGTCACTACACATTATATCATTGCAGTTGCTTTATATAATTAACCTGGAAGAAAAAAAAAGGTGTCTGATTTCAAAGGAGAGTCAGAAATGCATTAATTTACCTTAGCAACTTACTTTATTTAGTGCAAAAGTGTCCCACATACAGAGAGATCAATCACATCACAGATTTTCTTAATTGCACTTTACTGTTGAGTGCAATGAAAAACATCAGTACAGCCCGGTTTAATGCTTATATTCTAAGCCTTCCTTAGCTGTTGCTGAATGGGGTCCTATACTTTAGAAGTTGCTTTTGCAAGACACAGAAAGACCTGGGTTATACTCTCCTTTTCTACCCCTTCCAGGTTCTGGATGAATTGGTCTCAGTGCTCACCATGTGCTGGGCATTGAAATTGTTAAAAAATAATGAAACCACAGCAACAAGACAAGCTCCCCAGGTGATGCTTCAGTGCAGTCAAGGTAGAGATGAAAATTTTCATGAGTTTATCAAAATGTTACTTACATTTAAGTAATCAGTTTTCATGAACTGAAATATACATTACATTTTTCTATATAAAATGCTCTGTAAAAGTCATTTAATGTAATTTTATAAATATGTATATATGACAAATGTAGATTTGTGTTCAATGATATCTATTCTGCAATCTTTTTTTTTACAACTAGTTATTAAGGCAAAATGAATCAATCAGACTCCATTGAAGGAAAGCTGGACTGAACATAAGAAGTGGTCAGATTTCATGTGTCATTAAATTATTCAAATCTTTATTTAACAAAATAATTGGTTCTCTGGTAGATAATGATAGTTTTCCCTCAATATCCATTCTTCCTTCTCCTTTAATCATAGAACTTCAAAATGCTAGCTGGAGACATAATTTCCCAGAATAAAAACTAAATTCCCTAACCTCTTTCATAGCTATTATGGACATATAATTAAATTCTAGCCAAAGTGATAAGAGCAGAAGTGGTATAGTATCTTCCAGGAAGTCTCCTCAAGACAGGGAGCACACACTTCAGTCCCTTCTTCTATCCGACTCCATGGGACCTGCTGTTAGAGCCAAGGCTGCCATCTTGATCCACAAAGCTGCTGTCAAGTGCTGAGAATGGCCTGGTTTCCTAATGACTGTGGAGCCATTATACTTAGTCAATTTGAGAGAGAAATAAATCACTTCTTGCTTCAGCCACTCTTGTTTTGTGTTTTCTATCTCATTAAGCCAAACTGAATTCCTTACCCGTTCTGTATTATAATTGGATGGGACCACGCTAGTTAGGGGAGGGGCATAGTGAACAGAGTGTCTAGCTAGTTCATAGACATTCTGAAACATTCTGAAAACATTTATGGCTCTAAGAAAGCCCATTCTATACTCTTGACACTTTTTCAAAGTTCCTATTCTTCATCCACCCTTCAGTCCGTTTTGATCTATTTTCACTCTTCTGGTTGTCTTCATATGTCCTCTTTCCATCTCGATGGGTGATGATCCAAGACGGCAAAACCAAGAGACAGAACTGATAGAATGTATTGCTTTAAGTATGTAAAATCACTTCTCTAAGGTCCTCAGATACTAATTCTTCAAGGCCCACACCTACAGTACAAGTTCTGAGCACAATGTATTTGAAGAATGCAATTATTAATTGGATGGATATTGATTGAAGATTAATGAAAACTATTTTTCAAAGGAGATCCACCTTATGAATTGCTAAATTGAAGTTAGCCATTGAGGTTTTGGATCATGACATCAGCGATTGCCCAGTGGCTTTTCTAAATTAGGAAACAGTGTCTTGAAACCAAACAAGACACTTGGTTCTGGTTTTGGTACATGGAACCAAAACCAAACTCTGTTAAAAGATTTGAAGTTATCTAGGCTGGGCGCAGTGTCTCACGCCTGTAATCCCAGCACTTTGGGAGGCCGAGGTGGGTGGATCACGAGGTCAGAAGATCGAGACCATCCTGGCTAACACGGTGAAACCCCGTCTCTACTAAAAATACAAAAAATTAGCCGGGCGTGGTGGCGGGCGCCTGAAGTCCCAGCTATTCGGGAGGTTGAAGCAGGAGAATGGCGTGAACCCGGGAAGCCGAGCTTGTAGTGAGCCGAGATCACGCCACTGCACTCCAGCCTGGGCGACAGAGCGAGACTCCGACTCAAAAAAAAAAAAAAAAAAAAAGAGAGATTGAAGTTATCTAAACAATGATGGCAGGAAAATAGTCAAATCATCATCTATCTTGAGGTCAGAATCAGTTACTATTGCTGCACAGAGATAAAATGGCTGGGAAATGGTGGTGGCTGCACTAAAAGAGGGAGAGAGACCCAAATCGAAGTCTTTGGTACCGTTCAGGTAGTTATGCACCTGCTTATCTCCCTTGGCCGCCATGGAAGTTGACACATGTCCTGTGCTTAATTCATATAGAAATGCTAGATGAATTAATGTAGTACAGAAAATGTTTGTCTCAACATTAAAAAAAGATTGGGAACAACAGAAAGTGTTCAAGAAGAACAAAAAATGTGTATAGAATAATGGGTTATATAAAGAAAATGTAAACATTTGGCACACAGCTTGAAAGGGAGTTTAAGACATGATAATGGTTTCAAAGCATCTTTTGACATGAAGGCCTAGAGAGGACTGAACAATAGTATGAATTAAGGTGCATCACAGCCATTTTGATTCATGTGGAAAAAGGTAATTTGGAAAACTGCATATGGTGTAAGAAAAATGTAGGAAACTAATTTTACTATGAATTGAACTTTAACATTTTAAGTGATTATCAAATTATTTTGACAATGAATGACTTACAATATTTTGTTTGACTCAAACCTGTGACTAAGGCAAGTACAGTTTATTATAGAGACTAGTTAGAAGGCAGCAGAAACAATTTCACAGAAGCAACTAGATATGTCTAGCTCACGTTTTGCTAATACATAGTAAACTGCAGAAGTCTTCTAATTTTTAGGTACTGAAAGTCAGAGTGATGATTAATTAGATTGGGAATTTGTCTCTGTAGTAAAAGATTATCTTGACAATAGATGGAAATAATGGAGTTTCTATTCTAAGAAATATTCTCCCTAAAGCAATCTTACCTTTACTGGAACTAGGTAAGCAAATTTTGATGGTATTCCCTTTGGATTCCCAAAGAATAGTGAACTCATATGAAAATGAAGAAATTTCAGTTTGAAACTATTAAAGAAGGAAGAGATGAGACTAATGGGCTGAAGATAAAATCCAAACCCATCAATTGCACCGTATATTTTATTTTACTAAAGTGAGTAGAAAGATTTATTGCCTGTGTCTTAACAACGGAATTAAGCAAATTGAGTCAATTATTTAAGTCATATTTATTTGAAAGTCTGTTTTGAGGCCACAATTTAGCTTGACTGTCATTTAGCAGATCATCTGCTTACTTTTCCTTTAAAAATTTTATTTCTTTGTTTAATTAAAGATTATGTATAGTGACAATAAACAGATTTGCTTTTTTAAGAGACAAAATCAATGATCACATTATACAATTATAAATAGATGTAAGTTGATAAATAACTGATTAATTTACTCTGAACAACTGAATGGAAAACAACATCTTAGTATCCCCCCTTAAAATCCAAGTGATACGGTTCTTTCTCAAATCTAAGCAAAATTATAAACACCACTCAAATTTTTTTAAAGAAACCTCAAATGATATGTCTTTGTCAATTCATCACTATACATTGGTCATAGAGTCAAACTACATATAAAAAGCTTTATTTCATGGATATTTCAAGTTTGTTTGTTAAATATAACTTGTAAGACTTGCTTTTCTAATTAAAGAATCTAAATAACTTGTAGAAACATTCAGATATATTCTAAGTAATTATTTCCATTGTTTAATCTTCATATAGTTTGAAATAAGCATGGAATTTCATAATCCACTTTACTGAATTTTCTCCCTTCCTTCCTTTCTTCCTTCCTTCCTTCCTTCCTTTTTCTTTTTTTCTTTCTTCTTTCTTTCTTTCACTGAGACTGGAGTGCAAGGGTGTGATCATGGCTCACTGCAGCCTCAATCTCCCGGGTTCAAATCATCCTCCCACCTCAGCCTCCCATGTAGCTAGAACCATAGGTGCACAACAGCATGCTCAACTAATCTTATTAAAATATTTTTTTGTAGAGAAGGGGTCTTGCTACATTGCCCAGGCTTTTCTCGAACTCTTGGGCTCAAGTAATTCTCCTGTCTTGACCTCCCAAGGTGTGATTACAGGCATAAGCCACTGCACCTGGCCAATCAACAGTCTTAAGAATGGCTTAGATGTATATGGCTTCCCCGTATTTACACAATAGTTGTGGGAAACTGAATGGTGACACTATTAGAGCAATCAAATGACTTATTACTGAAAGCCCTCTAGAGATTGTCTAGTTCAAACCCAAATTCTATTTTTAGATTAATTAAAAGTTTTAAACTATCAAGGAAGAGATGAGACTAATGGGCTGAAGATAAAATCCAAAGCTACCAATTGCACCTTAGATTTTATTTTACTGAGTAGAAAGATTTACTGCCTGTGTCTTAACAAAATAATTAAGCAAATTGAGTCTATTGTGCTATCAAACATTAGATCGTATTGCTTTTATTGAACTGTATTTTTGTACCCATTAACCATCCCACTTCATCCTCACCGCCCCACTGTCATCGAATAATGGTAACCATTATTCAACTCTCTATCATCATGAGATCAATTTTTTTTAGCTCCCATATCTGAGTGAGAACTTGCAAAATTTGTCTTTCTGTGCCCAGCTTATTTCATTTAACATAAAATCCTTCAGTTCCAACCATGAAGCTGCAAATGACTTGACTTTATTCTTTTTTATTGCTGAATAATATTTCATTGTGTATATATGCCACATTTTCTTTACCCATTTATCTGTTGATGGAGACTTAGGTTGGTTTCATGTCTTGGCTATTGTGAATAGTGCTGCAATAAACACGGGAGCACAGATATCACTTTGATATATGAATTATCTTTCTTTTGGATATATAGATAGCAGTGGGATTGTGAATCATATGATAGTTATATTTCTAGTTTTTTGAGGACCCTCCAAATTGTTCTCCATAGTGACCGTGCTAAGTTTACATTCCCTCCAACAGCGTACAAAGGTTCCCCTTTTTCCACATCCTCACCAGCATTCATTATTCCCTGTCTTTTTGATAAAAGCCATTTTAACTGCAGTGAGAGGATATTTCACTGTGGTTTTGATTTGCATTTCTCTGATGATTGGTGACATTGAACACCTTTTCATATACCTATTTGCCATTTGTATGTCTTCTTTGGAGAAATGTCTATTCAGATATTTTCCCCATTTGTAAATTAGATTATTTGGGATTATTTTTTGCTATTTTGTTTGAGCTCCTTATACATTCTGGTTAATTGAATTTTCTCTTTCATGAATTTCTGATTATATTTGTTTTCCAGTTCACCACTGGAATCTTAGTCGTTTTCTAATTAAATGTGTAACTGTCATAGATGTTGCACATGTTTTGCTAAAATTGAAACTATTTTTGGTAGCATTTTTTTTTTTTTTTGCTGATCACATCCTCTTTCTTTTTTTAAATAAAATAGTTCTTAATAATTATCACATTTATATTATTTAAATTCTTTGTATTTTTGAAAATCATTTTGTGAAGTTCCACACTTGAGATTTCAATTGGGATGTCTAACCTACACATGGAGCTGCAAGGAATCAATGTCTTTCCTCTGTCTACACAAGCAGAAACATGGATGCTTTTGATTACGTATTCAGGTTTTCTTTTATTATACATTGGCTTTCTTTTTACATGTTTTCTACACATGGTAGAAAAAAACACATTTGCACAATAATATGCCCAGAAAAAAATGCTAACAGTTTTCAAGGCTTTTGTAAGATCTAAACATTTTACTACAAGGTTGTTATTGGTATACTGGAAAAATTCTTGATATTTGTGTATTTGTCTCGTGTACATCTACTGTGTTGAATTTTGTTATTAATTTGAAGAGGTTTTTTTCAGCTTATTTATATAGATTTTCTAGATACATAGCAGTGTCTGTCATTAATAATGATACTATTGTCTCTTCGTAATTATTATAATCTGTTTTCAGTCTCAGTGTAGCACCCAGAACAATGGTAAAGGAGAATGATGGTTATAACCTTCCTTTAACAAGATTGACACTCATTGACTTACTAATGGCAATGGCTTTTGGTATGAGATTGTTCATCTATGTCATGTTTTTATTCTTAAGATTAAAAAAACTTATACAATCAAGAATAATGATTGAATTTTATTAAATATCTCTTTTTAACCATCAATTAAGGCAACTACAAGATTTTTCCAGATTGAGTTAATAATTCTAGACTCTATTGTTATAACGCTAGAATCACTATTATTATAATGCTAGAATCCTTATTAAACCATTCAAGGATTTGTTTTTGATATTAGAGTGTTATAAATTTGCTAGTATTTCAGTTAGGACTTTTGTATATGCATACAGAAATACATAAGATTGATCTCTAATTTCTGTTTTGCTCATTATCAGACTTGTTTATTAGAGTTATGGTAGATTCTTTTTTTAAATTATTATTATACTTTAAGTTTTAGGGTACATGTACACAACGTGCAGGTTTGTTACATATGTATACGTGTGCCATGTTGGTGTGCTGCACCCATTAACTCGTCATTTAGCATTAGGTATATCTTCTAATGCTATCCCTCCCCCCTCCCCCGACCCCACAACTGTCCCTGCTGTGTGATGTTCCCCTTCCTGTGTCCATGTGTTCTCATTGTTCAATTCCCACCTATGAGTGAGAACATGCGGTGTTTGGTTTTTTGTCCTTGCAATAGTTTGCTGAGAATGATGGTTTCCAGCTTCATCTATGTCCCTACAAAGGACATGAACTCATCATTTTTTATGGCTGCATAGTATTCCATGGTGTATATGTGCCACATTTTCTTAATCCAGTGTATCATTGTTGGACATTTGGGTTGGTTCCAAGTCTTTGCTATTGTGAATAGTGCCACAATAAATATATGTGTGCATGTGTTTTTATAGCAGCATGATTTATAATCCTTTGGGTATATACCCGGAAATGGGATGGCTGGGTCAAATGGTATTTCTAGTTCTAGATCCCTGAGGAATCGCCACACCGACTTTCACAATGGTTGAACTAGTTTACAGCCCCACCAACAGTGTAAAATTGTTCCTATTTCTCCACATCCTCTCCAGCACCTGTTGTTTCCTGACTTTTTAATGATTGCCATTCTAACTGGTGTGAGATGGTATCTCATTGTGGTTTTGATTTGCATTCCTCTGATGGCCAGTGATGATGAGCATTTTTTCATGTGTTTTTTGGCTGCATAAATGTCTTCTTTTGAGAAGTGTCTGTTCATATCCTTTGCCCACTTTTTGATGGGGTTGTTTGTTTTTTTCTTGTAAATTTGTTGGAGTTCATTGTAGATTCTGGATATTAGCCCTTTGTCAGATAAGTAGGTTGCAAAAATTTTCTCCCATTCTGTAGGTTGCCTGTTCACTCTGATGGTGGTTTCTTTTGCTGTGCAGAAGCTCTTTAGTTTAATTAGATCCCATTTGTCAATTTCGGCTTTTGTTGACATTGCTTTTGGAGTTTTAGACATGAAGTCCTTGCCCATGCCTATGTCCTGAATGGTATTGCCTAGGTTTTCTTCTAGGGTTTTTATGGTTTTAGGTCTAACATGTAAGTCTTTAATCCGTCTTGAATTAATTTTTGTATAAGGTGTAAGGAAGGGATCCAGTTTCAGCTTTCTACATATGGCTAGCCAGTTTTCCCAGCACCATTTATTAAATAGGGAATCGTTTCCCCATTTCTTGTTTTTGTCAGGTTTGTCAAAGATCAGACAGTTGTAGATATGCGGCATTATTTCTGAGGGCTCTGTTCTGTTCCATTGGTCTATACCTCTGTTTTGGTACCAGTACCATGCTGTTTTGGTTACTGTAGCCTTGTAGTATAGTTTGAAGTCAGGTAGTGTGATGCCTCCAGCTTTGTTCTTTTGGCTTAGGATTGACTTGGCGATGAGGGCTCTTTTTTGGTTCTGTATGAACTTTAAAGTAGTTTTTTCCAATTCTGTGAAGAAAGTCATTGGTAGCTTGATGGGGATGGCACTGAATCTATAAATTACCTTGGGCAGTGTGGCCATTTTCACGATATTGATTCTTCCTACCCATGAGCATGGAATGTTCTTCCATTTGTTTGTATCCTCTTTTATTTCATTGAGCAGTGGTTTGTAGTTCTCCTTGAAGAGGTCCTTCACATCCCTTTAAGTTGGATTCCTAGGTATTTTATTCTCTTTGAAGCAGTTGTGAATGGGAGTTCACTCATGATTTGGTTCTCTGTCTGTTATTGGTGTATAAGAATGCTTGTGATTTTTGCACGTTGATTTTGTATCCTGAGACTTTGATGAAGTTGCTTATCCTTAAGGAGATTTTGGGCTGTGACAATGGGATTTTCTAGATATACAATGTCATCTGCAAACAGGGACAATTTGACTTCCTCTTTTCCTAATTGAATGCCCTTTATTCCCTTGTCCTGCCTGATTGCCCTGGCCAGAACTTCCAACACTATGTTGAATAGGAGTGGTGAGAGAGGGCATCCCCGTCTTGTGCCAGTTTTCAAGGGGAATGCTTCCAGTTTTTGTCCATTCAGTATGATATTGGCTGTGGGTTTGTCATAGATAGTTTCTTAAGATACATTCCTCAGCTTTTTTCCAAGGTGTAAAAAGATGTATAAATGATCAGGATGACCTAGCAAGTCAGAGGTTGAAATTATTCACCTGTGTGCCTGGACACATAATAAAATACAGTCTTTACTTCATGCCTTCTATTTTTAGACACATTCAGGTTTTCAGTGTAGTTATTTAACGTTTTTCCAGTATAACCTCCATTTCTTTGTAATATATCAAATTCTTAACATGAAATTATTCAAAATATTCTATATTTGTTGATTTAACTTTTTTCTAAATTTGATTTTTTTTCTTGAGTTGGTATTCCTGTTACTTAAATTGTTCCCTAAGAAACAACTATTTAATTAATATATATTAATTTTAATTTTTTTCTGCATCTGTTTTTTATTTTGTTCTTTTTTATTCACACATTTATTATTTTCTGGTCAAGTTATTTTTAATATTTTAAACTCTATTTTAAAATGACATATTAGTATTTTTTCTATTTTTTGCCAGGTGTACCAGCTCATGCCTGTAGTCGCAACTGCTCTGGAGGCTGAGCTGGGAGAATACTTTGAGCCCAGAATTTGGAGGCAGAAGTGAGCTGTGATCACACCACTGCACTCCAGCCTGGGTGACAAAGTGAGACCCTGTCTCTTAAATAAATAAATAAATAAATAGAAATTTAAAATTAAAAATATTATAGTATTCTTAGGCTTTAAATATTCCTTTGGTGGCCTCATCATGATTTTATTTTGCAATGTTTTCTATCTGTTTTTTTATCAATTAAGTCTTCAAATAATGTTTTAGCATTCAGGATCTTTGTATCATATGAACAAATTTATAATATTATCAGATAATATATTATTATCTGATAATCTTGCCTCTATAATTTCTGTCTCTACAATTATGGAATTGAGATTGTTTTTGGCTCAATTTACTATTGAGTTTTCTGTAGAATGTAAAACTTGGTTTAGCTTGACTAAGATTAATTTACTAATTATGTTGTTTTAATTATTTATGTCTTTGAATGTATCTGATCTATCACATATTGGTGCTGGTGTATTCAAGGGGTTCACTGTATTTTTGCTTTTTGTTCATTGTTCTTTGCATTTATAAGGGAGATATATAATTTTAAAATGTATAATTATGTAGGTTATATATAATAGGTAAGATAACTATGACATTATTTTATGTGGAGTATAGTGTAATGCCTATTTGTCTTATTATTTGTATAATTTGTATAATTAATACAATGTAATGAGTGTCCTTTTTAGTTTTAATACATTTAATATTGAGTATTTCTTTGATATTAATGTTGTCTCCTTGGCTCTTTTTTGTTGCTGTTTGCTTCATTTCTGATGTATCTTTTTATTTATTTATTTTTCTTTCTTTCTTTAGTATTATTTAGTTTTAGGCCCAAACTGAAATGTTATCCCCCAAATTAAAAATAAGTAAATAAAAAGTCAAATCCACAAATCTTTGTGCTTTAACATTAGGCGTTGAAGTCACTAGTATAATTGATACGTATAATAACTTTTCATGCTCCTGCTTATCTTGTCATGTTGTTGAAAGGTGAAGTGAAATAATAGCAGGGTTTCTGGCATATCCTATGCTCTCAATAAACATTTAGGTGAAGCAACATGTTTCGGTGGCTCAACACTGGCTCTGAAGGCTAGTCTTCTGAGTTAAAATTGCAGTTCTAACATTTACAAACTATTTGTCTTTGAATAATTTACTGATTTTTTTTTATCTTCAATGTCATTTCTGAAAAATGTGGCAAATAATAATATCTACTTCATAAAATGGTCTTAAGAAATAAATGAAAAAAAGAGAAGCAAACATGTATAGTACCTGGCATAAAATGAGAGTTAAATAAATATTAGCTATTTTTATTCTTTGCAGATTCTTGAATCTTGTTTTTTTGTTCTGTAGTGATTTGGAAAACAGGTGTGCATCCTGTTTTTAACTCCACTGGCAATTACCTTTGAAGTTTTTAAAAAACACAGTGCAAACCAAATTTTTCTAATTACCAATGAACAACAGCATCATAACTTCTGACGCTGCCCTATGTAAACTAATCTCAGCATATTTTTAGCAAACTTTAGTGAACTTTTACATTTTTATCATTTAAAAAATAAATCTGAATCTTATTGATAAATAAAATTGTTAGTAGACTACAGACTTTTTTGGAAAAAAAATTTTACTCTATTATTTAAAGGATAATTTAAACATTTTAAATTGAAATTAGCCAGGCATGGTGGTGCACACCTGTGGTCCCAGCTACTCAGGAGGCTGAGGCAGGAGAATTGCTTCAGTCTGGGAGGTGGAGTTTGCAGTGAGCTGTGATTGTGCCACTGCACTGCAGCCTGGGCAACAGAGTGAGACCCTGTCTCAAAAAAAATGATGGTGATTTTATCTTATTTGCAAAAAATCACTTAGATATGTAACTACTGTACTTGTTTAATTTTATTCTGTGTTCAGCCTTTTTTCTTTAGGTTATGTACTTCATATTTTTGGCTCTTTAATGTTCATTACATTTTTGGTCATCTCGAGTATATTCTGAAGTCTTTTTTCAGGCAATATACATGAAAATTATTTTTTCAGTTTTCTTGTATATCTGGAAAAAGAACCCCTTTCCTTCCCATTTGTGAATTAACAACTAGTTTGATGTAGGGAAGTCTTTGATTTCTTATTCACCTATGTGGACATTGCTCTATTTTCTTCTGAAATCTATTCTGATGATGAAGAAATATAAGGTCAATGTGATGTATCTTCTATTGTTGAAAAACAGAGTTTTTTTTCTTGATTTTTGAAATTTGTCCTATTTTCAAGTTTTATATTCTGTTTTTGAAACCCTTTTTATCTAACGATGAAATTAATTTTTTCATTTCATTTAAGTATACATATATTGTAGTTTCTTTTGCTTCCTTTGTTACTTTGCTCTTCATTTTATCATTTACTCCTAGTATTTTTATTTTTCCTTTGCATTTTGAGATAACTTCTTTAATTTTTCCTTGAGTAGGACCTAAACAGATGTAGATTCTTTTAATGATGCTACCTTGGGATTTTAATTCTACTTTTGAAGTTTAAGAGAAGGTCACAACGTTTTCCAATTTCAGATTAAATCTCAGACTTTCATCTTTTTGTCTTGTATTGATCAGTTTTTAGGGCAGCATACTTTTTTAAAATATGGCATCTATGATTTCTTGTATATCTTTGAGAAAAAAGCAAATATTTATCTACAAATTCTTATTTTACATGTAGCAAGTAATTTTCAGAGATAGGATTCCTTAAAATCTTTAGGATAGTTGATACTCTACTTTTTTATGATGTCGCATAAACGTTCATAAGGAAATTAAGGAATTATTGTTTCTTATCCTTTGACTCAGAAGCATTGGTCTTTTTTTTTAGCATTTGCCAGCAGATAGAATACAAAGTCTTCCTTTGGCTGCTCTTACTTTCCACTTAGGTGCTTACTGAAAACCTGTGTCAGGACAAAAACAGAGTGTGGATCTTGAAAGCAGGATTTATCCAGTAAAGTTCTTCCAGACTTAGATAAACTCTTCTTTTATCCCGTGGCTTAAGAACTTTGCCTCTGACTCTGAGATTGATAAGTTCTATCCCCACATCACTTGTGGGTATCCATGATTCTTTTTTAATCCTAAGTATTTATATTTAAAAATGAGTATTTCTGGCATATTCTGGTAACACGGTTTTCTTTGTTTCTGCCTTCACGTGCATATCCCAAAATGTAATTGAGAGACTAGAAATGGGCAATCACCAGACTATATGTAAAAACAGATCTAGAGCAACAA
Source organism: Homo sapiens (assembly GCF_000001405.40). Lineage (NCBI taxonomy): Eukaryota > Metazoa > Chordata > Mammalia > Primates > Hominidae > Homo > Homo sapiens. The sequence continues at coordinate 103,123,737 of NC_000013.11, forward strand.
GCCCAGAAAGTCAACCCACTGTCTACAGTAACCAGCTCAGGAAGCCAGCCTATTATCTATAAGTCTGACTTGAAGGAAGTCAGATCACTACCTCCAGGAACCAGTTCAGGAAACCAAACAAAATCCCCTGTAAGTAATCATCAGCTCCAAATGGCCAGAACTTGATTAATAACTGGCAGTTTCTCTAATTTTTGTCCCTGCTTCCACCTTATGAACACCTAGAGAAGACCACATGTGCCCCAAAGCAATCACGGAAGATGCCCTGCTTCTAGATCGCCCCTCTCCATCTTCCTTGGGCCAGTAGCCTCCAATCAGGGCACATCTGAGCTCCTACCTTTTTCCTACTCTCAAGCTTTCTCTCTCTTCTGCCTGCCTTTGAGTCACTGCCAAAACGCAAGTGATGTTTGCTGCCTCCCTTGGTATAGCAAGTTCTGAAGTCTTTGCTTGTTCTCACTTGGTTGCCCTGCACTTATTTCCACAAATTATACTGTTTTCTTGGTCATTAAGCTTTAGAAATTCTAGATATTTCAGAATGCCTGTTAAAGGGCTATGCAGATGGTGAATAGCATGGTGGTGGTGGCCACATGGAGGAGCTAACTTTTACAACTCTACAATAGTACCTGAATGGTAAGGTGAGTCAAGGTGGCTGGGAATGGATGCACTTAAAAAAATTGCACATCTTGGCCAGGCACGATGGCTCATGCCTGTAATCCCAGCACTTTGGGAGGCCGAGGTGGGTGGATCACCTGAGGTCAGGAGTTCGAGACCAGCCTGGCCAAACTGGTGAAACCCCGACTCTACTAAAAATACAAAAATCAGCTGGGCTTGTTGGAGGGCACCTGTAATCCCAGCTACTCGGGAGGCTGAGGCAGGAGAGTCACTTGAACCCAGGAGGCAGAGGTTGCAGTGAGCCAAGATCGTGCCATTGCACTCCAGCCTGGGTGACAGAACAAGACTCCATCACAAAAAAAAAAAGAAAAAAAAATGCAGGTCCTCTAACTCCCAGCTGGTGGGAGGCAGTGGGTAGAAGGCATCATCTGAGCAGGATGTACTGCTCTATCTCAGAGAGCAACATAAATGCAGGGCAGCAGTTTTGTTGGTAAGTCTATCTCCATCTATTCTCTATGTACTGGAAATCCCTCCCACACTCTATCAATGGTTTGCTATTATCCTTAATTTCCTGGAATATCACACAATTAATTTTTTTTATGTCTTCTTTGCTATTTTAGTGGGGAAATTTGGAGAAAATCAGGAATTGCTACACAAATGCCATCTTAACCTGGAAATCAAACCCAACCCAGCCATTTTAGAAACATGAAAACTGGGGCTTAGATCTCTTGATCCCTTGTCTATGATATACTCTGCTCTTTGTTTTCATTTTCTTTTTCATAACTCATCAGAGTCCTCAGCCAACTCTTTGGAATGAATTTAGAGAAATCGCTTCTTCGCATAATAGCTGTATAATCTTGGACAGTTTATGTAATCTTCTTAGGCCTCAATTTTGTCATAAAAATGTTGCTAATAGGATTGCCAAGGAATTAAACATGTCAGAAACCATTTAGGTGCTTCTGTGTATATCATTATGTATTACTGTTTTAATCCTCTTAAAAACTTTACAAGACAGAGACTTTTAACATTCCTAATTTACAGATAAGAAAACTAAGGTTCAGAGAGGTAAAATAATTTGCCTAAGCTCATACCTCTAGTAAGTGGTGGTCTAGAGTTTAACACTAGGCAGTCTTAATCAAGATTTGCTTTTAAATCACAGCACAGTTTTTTAAACCACAGTTTTTCATGGTGCTAAAACATAGCTATGCCCATATTTAAAAGATGCTGTTGAATGAGGCTAGCTAGGTACAAATGACCTACCGCAATACACTGAGCTCCCCAGGATTGAGAACGTCCAAGAAGATTCCAGTAGTCCTGTGGGGCAAAGTGTCCTTGATCCTCGTCACTTTAAGTAACTGAGGTTAGCAACGTGGCCCAGTGGGTGATTCAGGGGCACAGGTTTGAAGGTGGTATAACCTTGAAATATATTTAGTTCAGCAATTTCTTTAGGAATGTTTAATTCCAAAACACTTTATGGTTTGAGACATTTCCAACCACTCTGGGAAGGAAGCTGGTAGGTCTGGGAATTGAGATTTCATCCGATGCAACAAAGACAAGCTTACGGGCAAGATAGGCTTGGGAAGCAATTTATCCTTTCTACTTAAGCTTGTAGCCTGAAATCTTGCAATTTTCTGAAGTTTTGAGATGCGGTAAGGAGGGCTTTATAGGACTGTCTGTGTAGTGTTTTGAGGTCATAGTTAACGGAAGAAATGGAAATAATTCAGCAATGGACCTTTATTATTCCTTTTAAGTGTCCAGCATTTTATTTCCCTGACTGTGCATAGCTGATTCCCCTGCCATGATGAGATTTTGTGAAGGAGAGCCAAATTCCTAGCCTAGAAGCAAAAATACCAGAAACACACTTTTCCAATCTCCTTTTCAGCCAGGAGTGTTGAACCCGGACTTCACTGTGCACAGAATCAGAGAACATGGAGGATCTGAATTTCCTGGGCGGGAATAACAGCTGGGCACAGATTTTCCCCCAATGGCAGGAATAATTTCTCCTGGCTATTGAGTTATGTGCCCTGAAAGAACCAGGGGATATTTGGGATCGTGAAATTCAATTGTCAACCACCTCATGCTTCACTTTAAACAGAGCCTGCACTGCAGATGTGGTCTAGCTTGAAACTTCTCCCAACTTTCGAATTTGTCTTCTGCTCATCCTACTGCCTGCATCACTCTTTTAGGTGTCCTGTTTTGGTTCGTGACTGTAATCCTTTTTCTGAAACCCTTGTTATTAGCCCCTATTTTGTAGCTGCCCCTCAAGTTCCCTTCTTTTGGTTTTTGTTTTCATTTATGAGTCCAGTAAACTTATGTTACAGGAATTTTTTGGCCAATAACTTGTCTTAGAATTCTTTTCGATATTTATTTCAGACTTGATCTCATCTCTTATGTTCCAAGCCCATCTCTTATGTTCCTTACCCATTTATGTTCCAAGCCTGAATCTTCCAAGCATGGGTCTTGCTGTGGGAATAGGTGAGACCCACTATATGTCTATTCAGCAGGATACAGGTTGATATGAAGGCAGTTCACTTAAAATTAAGAGTATATGTTTAAGAACTAGAAAATCTTTGGCTTCTAGGCTCCTGTTTTTAGTGTTGGCATGGGCCAATAACCTACAAGGGGTTGGTTTCCTGATCTTAAGAGGTATAGTGATAGCAATTGCCTCACTGTGTTGCCGTGAGAACTAATCAAGGTTGTGCGTAGAAAATGGTCAGCTCAGTGCTAGGCACTCACGCTCTCCCTAACAATGTTGCTCTCATCGTTCAGATTTGTTAGGCAGTGGCAATGCTTTGGATTTGGGAGAGTTCTAGGTTATATTTCACCCTCTGTTTGCCAAGCAGAGATTAGCTTTTATGTGGACATGGACTTAATTCACTTAGTTTACTTTCTGGAACCTGGAAACACAGATTTTAGCTGGGTCTTGTTAGTCCCTCCTTTTCAGTGTCACACTCTATAAATAATAATTCTAACATGCACCTAAGATAATGCACTCGACACATAATTGATATACATAATGTTCCAAAGGGATATAAATACATGAAAGTAAAAATGGCAATAGTTTGTGTAAGCTGTTGCTTAAACCAAGAGGTGTCATTCCAATAGAGTAGGGTGTGGGATGCTGGAAATGGCTGTTCTCTGATGACATTCCTAGCTCTCTGGTTAAGAGTTCTATCATCACTGTGTCAAGGTAAAATCCTTTTACCACTCTGCTCATTTTGCTCTGATTCCTCCCTGTTCTCTTTGTTATATTCTTTTATGAATTACACCTTCTGCTAAGCTTTAGTACACAGAACTGGAGTTAGTTCTGTTTATTCGCAGTCCTGCCCTAACGTGGGCTGAAGATGTTTTAGAGAATGAAGCCTCCATGAGTTGCTCTAAGTGATGTGAAGTCTGCTGGAGAAAGATGTCTGTTCACTTCCTTTTGCATCCACCCTCTCCCTCTCCTGTAAAACACAAAGTGAGAGTCTAGGGAAAGTATGGAGTGCTGGAGGGAATGGCACACATTTAATGGGGTACCGTGGGCCAAGCCCTACACTAGGCAATTTATTCCTATTATCTGATTTAAGCGTCACCATAATCCAATGAAGAGAATATTAGCACTGTTTTACAGTTGAGAAAACTGAAGCTTGGA